>NC_000010.11:118495451-119120534 GCF_000001405.40 Homo sapiens | reverse complement strand
CACAGCAGAGCACACAGTAACATCTAGTGCTGCGAACTGTCTGCCAACAAAGTTAACACTTTTTTATAATTAGAGGTGATACCTGGTGAACTCCTGGACCGCTTCTATCTTGGGGTGATACACCACAATTCTTTTCTTTAGCATCAGTGCTGTGTGTAAGATAACAGTTTCCATTCCAAACTGAGATACAATGTCTTCAAAAAAGAGAAATTGTAATGTTACTGCATTACACATCATGCAAAGAAATAAAGATTTTTTTTTCTTTTTTTCTTTTTTCTTTTTTTTTTGAGACCGAGTCTCACTCTGTCACCCAGGCTGGAATGCAGTGGCAAGATAGTTGCTCACCGCAACCT
The DNA here is from genome assembly GCF_000001405.40 of Homo sapiens. Lineage (NCBI taxonomy): Eukaryota > Metazoa > Chordata > Mammalia > Primates > Hominidae > Homo > Homo sapiens. The sequence goes on along the minus strand of NC_000010.11, from coordinate 119,120,181 downwards.
CTGCCTCCTGGGCTCAAGCGATTCTCCTGCTTCAGCTTCCCGAGTAGCTGGGATTACAGGCACACACCACCACACCTGGCTAATATTTGTATTTTTAGTAGAGACGGGGTTTCACCATGTTGGCCAGGCTAATCTCGAACTCCTGACCTCAAGTGATCCACCCACCTCAGCCTCCCAAAGTGTTGGGATTACAGGTGTGAGTCACAGCACCTGACGTACAAAATTATTTTTAATACAGAGAATTTAGGCAAATGTTGTAAAGCATACAAACACTTTATTTGGTGGAAGAGTAGATCTATCCTATGTCAGCTTCCCAGGACGTGTGCTCTGCCCCGCAAGGGACTCTATGATGGGATGCATAGAGGAAGCTAGACTCACAAAAAACTGAAACAACTGATGTGAAGGGAACCAGCATCTTTCTGTATCATTAAAACTTCCTGATTTAAAAAAAAAAAAAAAAATGTCTGCCAGGTGCAGGGTGACTCATGTCTGTAATACCAACACTTTGGGAGGCCAAGGTGGGAGGATCACTTGAGCCCAGGAGTTTGAGACCAGCCTGGGCAACACAGGGAGACTGTCTCTAAAAAATGTTTAAAAATTAGCTGGGGCTGGGCACAGTGTCTCACACTGTAATCCCAGCGCTTTGGGAGGCCTAAGCAGGCAGGTCATCTGAGGTCAGGAGTTTGACACCAGCCTGGCCACCATGGTGCAACCCCATCTCTACCAAAAATACAAAATTAGGCTGGGCACAGTGGTTCACACCTGTAATTCCAGCACTTTGGGAGGCCGAGGCGGGTGGATAACCTGAGGTCAGGAGTTCGAGACCAGCCTGGCCAAAATGGTGAAACCCCATCTCTACTAAAAATACAAAAATTAGCGGCCGGGCGCGGAAGCTCATGCCTGGAATCCTAGCACTTTGGGAGGCCGAGGCAGACGGATCACCTGAGGTCAGGAGTTCGAGACCAGCCTGACCAACATGGAGAAACCCCATCTGTACTAAAAATACACAATTAGGCAGGCGTGGTGGCACATGCCTGTAATCCCAGCTACTTGGGAGGCTGAGGCACTTGAACCCAGGAGGCGGAGGATGCGGTGAGCCAAGATCGCGCCACCCAGCCTAGGCAACACTTGTTGGAGCAAAACTCCATCTCAAAGAAAAAAAAAAAAAAAATTAGCTGGGTGTGGTGGCAGGTGCCTGTAGTCCCAGCTACTTGGGAGGCTGAGGCACGAGAATCACTTGAACCTGGGAGGCAAAGGTTGCAGTGAGCTGAGATTGTGCCACTGCACTCCAGCCTGGGTGACACAGTGAGACTCTTGACTCAAAAAAAAAAAAAAAAAAAAAAATTAGCTGGGCATGGTGGTGTGCACCTGTAGTCCCAGCTACTCGGGAGGCTGAGGTGGAAGGATTGCTTGAGCCCAGGAAGTTAAGGCTACAGTGAGCCGTAATTGTACCACTGCACTTCAGCCTCAGTAACAAAGCAAGACCCTGTCTCAAAAGGAAAAAAAAAAGTCTATTAACTCCCCCATGTCCCCCAGTATAATTACTTAAGTCCTTAAGTTAGCCTGACAAACACCTACCACCTCAACAGGGATGCTGAGAAAATTCAAAGAACAGCGGGATCAAAAGGAAAGACAGATGGGCACCATGGGAGGACATGACAGAGGGCAGCCTCGCCTTCAGAGTTCCCCTCGCCTCCTGCTCAGGGACCCTGAAGTCTGTGGCTTAGGCCTGAGCTGTCTGCATTTTGGATTTTCCAGCTGGAACTTAAATTAGGAGTTTGTGGTCAAGGCCTTGGGCTCTTCAGATGACAGAGATAACTGCTAAGATCTAAGAAAAGAAATGTAATCCATGAAGACCTCGAGGCACAAAATTCAGCCCACCAGCGAGAAAATATTTCTAAAATAGCCAATAGAATAATATGGAAACAAACACCACAAAAACCTGTTTTCCTCTGAGAGAATTCTAACTCAATAAGGAAATACGGGGGTTAAAGGCACCCTCTTGTGTACAAATGATATGAAAAATATGTAAATGAAAATAACGTATGGAAGGATTAGAATTATCTAATAACTAGATAATTCTAATTAGATAATCTAATTATGTAATTATTCTATTAGGCACAATAGGATCTAATGAGACTGTTTTTGGCTTGGGGATTTTGTTGTTGGAAGGGTTTTGTTTTTACCTTCTTTTTTTTGTTTTTTGTTTTTTTTTTGAGACGGAGTCTCGTCTGTTGCCCAGGCCGGAGTGCAGTGGCACAATCTCGGCTCACTGCAACCTCCGCCTTCCAGGTTCAACTGATTCTCCTGCCTCAGCCTCCCGAGTAGCTGGGATCACAGGCGGGTGCCACCACGCCCGGCTAATTTTTTGTATTTTTAGTGGAGACGAGGTTTCACCATGTTAACCAGGATGGTCTCGATCTCCTGACCTCGTGATCCACCCGCCTTGGCCTCCCAAAGTGTTGGGATTACAGGCGTGAGCCACCGTCCCTGGCCTGTTTTTTCCCTTCTTACCTTTGATGGAGCCAGCCAGGTAGGCCTTTCGGGCATCAAAATCCTTACTAAGGAAAGAGCCGTTTTCTTCACTCTGGCATATCCCCTTTGTGAGAACTGCAATATAACTCTCCATCATTTTAACTGGGCTCCCATGTTTCAGGTACATTCTGTAAGAAAGGACAACAAAGCAACTGTGATTTCATTTGGCACAAATCATGTACAGATGTGCACCCAGGCTGGTATGGGTGCCTTCTCAAGAATCCGAGGCCACCTTGCTACTGCCCTTCTGAATGCTTCACTCTTCTGTTTTTTTTGAGACAGAGTCTCACTCTGTCGCCCGGGCTGGAGTGCAACGGTGCAATCTTGGCTCACTGAAACCTCCACCTCCTGGGTTCAAGTGTTTTTCCTGCCTCAGCCTCCCGAGTACCTGGGATTACAGGTGTGCACCACCACACCCTGCTAAGTTTTGTAATTTTAGTAGAGTCGGGGTCTCACCATGTTGGCCAGGCTGGTCTCAAACTCCTGACCTCAGGTAATCCGCCCACCTCAGCCTCCTAAAGTGCTGGGATTACAGCTGCACTTACTGCACTTACTGCTGAGTTACTGCGCTTGGCCTGAATGCTTGAATCTTTTCATGTAGAAAGTAGTATTACTTTCAAGTAGCATCATTTCTCTCTAAATTAAAAATATATTTCAAAGAAAAAGCAGCCGGGCGCAGTGGCTCATGCCTGTAATCCTAGCACTTTGGGAGGGCAAAGCAGGCGAATCACCTGAGGTCAGAAGTTGGAGACCAGCCTGGCCAACATGGCAAAACCTCACCTCTACTAAAAATACCAAAAAAAAAAAAAAATTAGCCAGGTGTGGCAGTACATGCCTGTAATCCCAGCTACTCAGGAGGCTGAGGCAGGATTGTCGCTTGAACCAGGGAGGCAGAGGTTACAATGAGCCGAGATTGCACCACTGCATTCCAGCCTGGTCAACAGAGCAAGATTCTGTCTCAAAAAAAAAAAAAAAAAAAAAGAAAGAAAGAAAGAAAAGAAAAAGCTTGAGAGACCTTCAACAATTCTTTGGACTCAGCCATCTCCTTACATCTGGGAGCCCCTTGTTGTACTAAGGCAGGAGAATGAAGTACGAACTTCCTGAGGTCCCAGGATTCTCAAGAATGTTGTGCACTTATCCTGTGTCTTACATTCACAACTGGGGTTCTCAGTCATACAACTCTGTTTTATCACTGAGATTTCCTTTGACGAGAAAGGAGTTTTACGCACTGTTCACAGAGAAACCAGTAATTAGTTGTAGAACCCATACTTATTATTAAATGAGTTCCCAGAGGTAGCTATATTTAGATAATTAAGAAATCAAAACTCCTTTAGGTTTCTGGTGATAAATGCACATTAGACATTCATCGTCAAGTTAAAGCTTCTAGAAAATGCTGACAGGAAACTGGCTGCATTTATAGCTCACATGTGGAATCCGTCTCTTCCCCTTGAAATCTCTTCCTGTGAGCAACTAAAATTAAATTTTGCTTGAGAAACATGACTGGGTCTATTTGGGCCTTTCAGGAGCTGGTGGGATAGAAAATCGGGAAGAAAATAAAACATATTTAAGACAGATCACTTGAGGGCCGGGCACAGTGACTCATGCCTGTAATCACGGCACTTTGGGAGGCCAAGGTGGGCGGATCACTTGAGGCCAGGAGTTAGAGACCAGCCCGGGCAACACGGTGAAACGCTGTCTCTACTAAAAATATAAAAATTAGCTGGGCCTGGTGGCTCACACCTGTAATCCCAGCTACTTGGGAGGCTGAGGCAGAAGAATTGCTTGAACCCAGGAAGAGGAGGTTGCAGTGAGTCAAGATCACACCACTGCACTCCAGCCTGGGCAACAGAGCGAGATTCCGTCTCAAAAAAAAAAAAAAAAAGATCACTTGAAAATTATATTTATCATAGACTAAATGAAAAAAGCAAGTGTTTTAACTGCTTGCCAACTTTTGTCAATCATCAGTGTTTTTTTAAAAATTACCAATTCCAGCACTTTGGGAGGCCGAGGCGGGCGGATCACGAGGTCAGGAGATCGAGACCATCCCGGCTAAAACGGTGAAACCCCGTCTCTACTAAAAATACAAAAAAAATTAGCCGGGCGTAGTGGCGGGCGCCTGTCGTCCCAGCTACTTGGGAGGCTGAGGCAGGAGAATGGCGTGAACCCGGGAGGCGGAGCTTGCAGTGAGCCGAGATCCCGCCACTGCACTCCAGCCTGGGCGACAGAGCGAGACTCCGTCTCAAAAAAAAAAAAAAAAAAAAAAATTACCAATTCAATTCACAACTTGACGGAAAAAAAGTAGAGAACAATGAATGTGGTGAGCTTTCACACATGTAAAATACATTCAAACCCAGGAACTCACACACAGGCTCACACAGGGAGAAAAACTTCTCTGATAGGATATAAAGAAGGAGGTCACGGGAGTTGTGTGGGGTGGGGATCAGGAGGTAGAACTGGAGTCTGGGAACAGGAGGAGGCGGCAGCTCAGTTTTCACTGCATATTCTCCTGTGTTTCTAAATGTGCTTTATTACTACCAACAACAAAAAACCAAAATGCCATTAGCTTTCTAAAATAGAGGCCAAGCACTGTGGCTCATGCTTATAATCTCTACACTCTAGGAGGCCGAGGCAAGAGGCTCACTTTAGGCCAGGAGTTCCAGACAAGCCTGGTGAACATGGTGAAACCCCGTCTCTACTAAAAATATAAAAATTAGCCAGGTGTGGTGGTGTGCACCTGTAATTCCCACTACTTGGGAGGCTGCAGCACAAGAATCACTTAAACCCATGAGTTGGAGGTGGTAGTGAGCCGAGGTGGCGCCACTGCATTCCAGCCTGGGTGACAGAGTGAAACTCTATCTCAAAAAAAAAAAAATTATAAAATAGAAACAATACACAGTAATAGAGAAGAGAAACATAAGGTTGGTAGGATAAGATGACTTCCTACATGACAACCCTGGGCCAGGAGAGATAAAACAGAGGGGGAAATCCCCCCAAAACCACTCCACAGGAAAAGCCCACAGTGCGACCCCAAGCACCTTGTTCAGATAGACATCCATAGGCTGCCACACATCGAGGCCTGTACAGCTGACTGCAAGTGTGCATGAAACCCCGGTTCTCTAGCAGGGCCACTAGCAGCAAGCGACTAGAGGCTGAAGAGGACCACAGCAGTGAACCTGCAGCCACATAGGGAATGAGGTTCCCTCCTGCGGGCTTCTGCTGCCACTGTGAGCAGCAAGCTGTGTGTGGAAGGCACGCCTGCCTGCTCCTCACCAGAAATGGAGGGAGGCAACTCCATGTTAAACTGTCATGAAGAAAAGAAGTCTTTGCCTATGAGTGTGTGCATGTACACACAGACCTGTGTGTGTGTGTGTGTGTGTGTGTGCAAATACTTGGATGTGCATACATGCAAGAGTGAGCATAGTGCTGCATGAAGGGGCAGGAAGCAGAGGAGGCGGCTGGCAGTAGCTCCGAGTCCTCACTTCTCTTGCACTGTGACGGGAGAAGAAATCCAGGATACTACAATGCCACGCACTGCACAAGCTGAGAAACCCTCTGGGCCTCCTTCTGGGCAGGAAGTGGGGTCTGAAGCAACCTTGCCTTTTGGACTCCAGAATATTTCCCAGTGAATTCAGTTGAGCAACATAACCCTGACTCAACCAAATGAAATGGGAGTCCAATGTTTGTTCAAAAATACCTCTGTAGTGTTTTTAGTTTATGGCTTCTGGATAGCGTCTTTTCTGGCAATAATAATCTCCCTTTGTGTAAGTGCCACATTAGCAGACAACTGTTTATCCACAGTGAGACATTCACCTGGTTCTTATGAGAGTAGGAAGCTTTTTTATTCTGGCTGGTTGCAAAAATGGTGAAATCTCATTTAGCCAAGATATAATCTAACTGAAACCCTTAGGTAATGAGAAGATAGTCTTATGATAGAGTTTTTCTCTTTTTTTTTTTTTGCTTCTTTTGGTGTGTGTATATACATTCACGCACAAAAATAGCCAAAAGCCTACCATTTATTAGGCTTATAAAACAAAAACAATTCCCTTCACCCTCAGTGCCCCCAAAAATCTCTGTATTAGGGAAAAGCCTGACGGTAACATGACACCTAGAATTATAATTCTATCTAGTAACAACATTTTTTTTTTTAAAGGGCTAGGTGCAGTGGCTCACGTTTGTAATCTCAGCGCTTTGAAAAGCCAAGGCAGAGGATCACTTGACCCCAGGAGTTCAAGACCAGCCTGGGCAACATAGTAAGACCACCTTTCTACAAAATATATATATATTTTTTAATTAGCCAGGAGCAGTGGCACACACCTGTAGTCCTAACTACTTGGGAGGCTGAGGTGAGAGGACTGCTTCAGCCCAGGAGTTCAAGGTTACAGTGAGCTATGATCATGCCACTGCACTCCAAGCTAGGCAAAAGAGCAAGACCGTGTCGCTAAAAAAAAGACAACAACCAGAAAAAAAAAAAAAAAATCACGACTAAAACCCTGCAAGGCAGGGTGCGGTGGCTCACGCCTATAATCCCAGCACTTTGGGAGGCCAAGGCGGGCGGATCACTTGAGGTCAGGAGTTCAAGACCAGCCTGGCCAACATGACAAAACCCCCTCTCTACTAAAAATACAAAAAATTAGCTGGGCGTGGTGGCACCCACCTGTAATCTCAGTTACTCGGGAGGCTGAGGCAAGAGAATCGCTTGAACCCAGGAGGCAGAGGTTGCAGTGAGCCAAGATCGCCCCACTGCACTCCAGCTTGGGCAACAAAGGGAGACTCTGTCTCAAAAAAAAAAACATAATAAATAAAACTCTGCAAAAGCCTTCATCATTAAGAAAGAGCTAATATCTTTAACACATAAAAAAAGAGTTTCATCACGCCTATAATCCCAGCACTTTGGGAGGCCAACATGAGCAGATCACTTGAGCTCAGGAGTTTGAAACCAGCCTGGGCAACATGGTGAAACCCTGTCTCTACAAAAAATATAAAAAATTGGCTAGGCATGGAAGTGCGCACCTGCAGTCCTTGCTACATGGGAGGCTGAGGTGGGAGGATCACCTGAGTCCTGGGAGGTCAAGACTGCAGTGAGCCATGATGAAGCCGCTGCACTCCAGTCTGAGCAACAGAGTGAGACCCTGTCTCAAAAAAAAAAAAAAAAAGAAAAAGAAAAAGAAAAAGAAAAGAAAATAGACTGGTATATTTTAGATAAATTTTTCAACAATGGAGATGAAACTAAAAGAGTCTAGCTGAATCGTGACTAACCAGTTAATCAGAATTCCCTAGCTTCTCAGCATTCCAGCTAAGAAATGTGTTATTGTGCTTCGGCATAATTCTTTCCCCAAAATGACTGTACACACAGACCTTGACACATACGAACCAGTTTACCATGTCATAAGGCCCTTAACTTATCCAACCTACTAAGGGAATTCTAGACTGGAAGTGAACAGAAGTAACAGATCAAAAGTAGGAAGTGATTCAAAACACCCAGGAGCTACAATAGCTATAAAACTGCTCCTTCTCTTCCCCTAGATCATTTACCCAAATAAGAGAAGTATCAACAGAGCAAAAGAGAAAGGCCGTCTTTACAGTCTGTGAAGGGCTACTAAAGATTATGCTGGGGAGACACAAGGCTGAACTTTGCTTTCTCAGTGTAGAAATCTGCTATGTAACTATACTAAGGTCTTCATTTTGTATATTAGCATTTAATACAATTTTTATACAGACCTACACAATATCCTAGTGAAGGCAGCATACTTCTCTGGGTTAAAATCTTTGGCGGTCAGGACAATAGAAAAATGAGTCACCTGTTCAAAAGAAACAACAAAAAAATACACTTTTTAAATACACTTTAGCAGAATTTTTATTACTATATTCTAACAAACCTTTTGTATAAGACACAACAGTATTAAAAGAAAAAGACCAAAATTTAACAAGTCCTCACTTGCTTCTTTATACTTCTGCATGTGCATATGTATTACATATACATATATATTGAATTTCCTACATAAGAATGCAATATTTAGAGAAAAAATTTTCAGAAATCAAAAATACTTCACTCAAATATAAAAAAAGTACATTTCTACTTAATGTCCCCTAATCTCATCAAAGTACAAGAAAGAAGTGCTAAATCAGACTCACCAATTTAGCAACTGCTTATCTTTTCTCCTCCACACTTTTTTACTATTTTATTTTACCTATTTTTTTTTTTGAGTTGGGGTCTCACTATGTTGCCTAGGCTGGACTTGAACTCCTGGGCTCAAGAGATCCTCCAGCCTCAGCCTCTTAAGTAGCTGGGATTACAGGCACTACCACCAAACCCTTATTTTACTTATTTTTATTGATACATAATAGATGTATATATTTTTCCAGTTTTTTTTTTTTTTTTTTTTGGGACATTTGCTCTGTCGCCCAGGCTGGAGTGCAGTGGTGTAATCTCAGCTCACTGTAACCTCTGCCTCCCGGGTTCAAGCAATTCTCATGCCTCAGCCTCCCAAGCTCCCAAGTAGCTGGGATTATAGGCACACCACCATGCCCAGCTAATTTTTTGTATTTTCAGTAGAGACAGTGTTTCACTCTGTTGGCCAGGCTGGTCTCGAACTCCTGGCCTCAAATGATCCACCCACCTCAGCTCCCAAAGTGCTGGGATTACAGGCATCAGCCACCGCACCCAGACTATTTATCTTTTCTTTATGCTGAAAACATTCAAATTATTCTAACTATTTTGAAATTAATAGATTATTCTTAATCATAGTCACACTACAGCTCTGTCGAATAGCAATTGTTCTTCGTTATAAAAGGATGAAAAACAACAAAATACATCTCAGTAACAACCATACAGCTCCTGAACTAACTCTCTGCAGGGTGCCATAAGCTAAAAAGTACTATTATAAGAAGTTTTGGCTGGGCATGATGGCTCACATCTGTAATCCCAGCACTTTGGGAGGCCGAGGCAGGTGGATCACAAGGTCAGGAGTTCAAGACCAGCCTGGCCAAGATGGTGAAACCCTGTCTCAACTAAAACTACAAAAATTAGCCAGGAATGGTGGCAGGTGCCTATAATCCCAGCTACTCGGGAGGCTGAGGCAGGGAATTGCTTGAACCCAGGAGGCAGAGGTTGCAGTGAGCCGAGATTTTGTCCCTGCACTCCAGGCTGGGCGACAGAGTGAGACTTTGTCTCAAAAAAAGAAAAAAACCTTCATTTACTTATATGCCTCTATATTATAAATTTCTGATAAACATATACCTAATATTTCCACTAATGAGACAAAATTCAGAATTTCATAAATACAAAACTTTGAAGAGATACATTTAAAATGAAGAGTAGGTGGTGGTGCATGCCTGTAGTCCCAGCTACTTGGGAGGCTGAGGCACAAGAATCGCTTGATCCTGGGAGGCAGAGGTTGCAGTGAGCCGAGATCACACCACTGCACTCCAACCTGGGTGACAGAGCAAGACTCCATCTCAAAAAAAAAACAAAAACAAAAAGAACTTATTGAGCAATAAACCAAAGATTTCATTACATATTGAAACCTATCTTTTTGGCCAGGTGCGGTGGCTCGCGCCTGTTAATCCCAGAACTTTAGGAGAAAAGACAGGAGGATCGCTTGAACTCAGGAGTTCAAGACCAGCCTGGGCAACAGAGTGAGACCTCATCTCTACAAAAAATTTAAAAACTAGCTGGGCATGGTAGTGCACACATGTGCTCCCAGCTACTCAGGGAGCTGAGGAGGGAGGATCACTTGGGCCCAGGAGATTAAGGCTGCAGTAAGACATGATTGCACCATTGCACTCCAGCCTGGGTGACAAAATGAGACTCTGACTCAAAAAATAAAAATTAAAAATTGAAGTTAAAAAAAAAAAAAGAAAATTAGCTGGACGTGGTGGCGAATGCCTGTAATCCCAGCTACTCAGGACGCTGAGGCAGGAGAATCGCTTGAATCTGGGAGATGGAGGTTGCAGTGAGCCGAGATCATGCTACTGCAATCCAGCCCGGGCAACAAGAGCAAAACTCCCGTAAAAAAAAAAAAAAAGTATCTTCTTGCAAATTTATATTTTGTAACTATGAATCTGTTTTGTCTTAAACCTTCTACAGTTTCTAAATTGTTACCTTCCTGCTATTTTAAATGTAATTTTTAAAATTTAAGCTGGTATTCTAGTCATGCTTCACATAGTCGCACTATTGGCTATAAATTAGCCCTAAAACGGGAAAAAATCTCTGTTTGGGTACATGCCAGAGGCTCAGATAAAGTATTGTTCCAATATTCTATTCTTTGAAAAAACCTGCTGGTTGCTTGGGATTAGGAAAGTCCACGATTACATCCTAGTCTTCCACATGTCACACTGATACTGTTCATATCAAACAACACACCAAGAAAAGTCTACTTAATACACAAGCTGCCTTAAATATCCTTTCTAAATTCTTTTTTTTTTTTTTTTGAGACGGAGTTTCGCTCTTGTTGCCTAGGCTAGAGTGCAATGGCGCAATCACAGCTCACCACAACCTCTGCCTCCCGGGTTCAAGAGATTCTCCTGCCGCAGCCTCCCGAGTAGCTGGGATTACAGGCATGCGCCACCACGCCCGGCTAATTTTTTGTATTTTTAGTAGAGATGCGGTTTCTCCATGTTGGTCAGGCTGGTCTTGAACTCACAACCTCAGGTGATGCGCCTGCCTCAGCCTCCCAAAATGCTGGGATTACTGGCGTGAGCCAACACGCTCGGCCTGCCTTTCTAAATTCTTAATTTATCCTGGCCGGGTGCATCACCTGAGGTCAGGAATTCACGACCAGCCTGGCAAACATGGTAAAACCTGTCTCTACTAAAAATACAAAAAATTAGCCAGGCGTGATGGTGGGTGCCTGCAATCCCAGCTACTCGGGAGGCTGAAGCAGGTGAATCGCTTGAACCCGGGAGGCGGAGGTTGCAGTGAGCCGAGATTGCGCCATTGCACTCCAGCCTGACCAACAGAAAAACTCCATCTCAAAAAAACAAAAACAAAAAAAAAGGGGAAAAGACCACATATTGCTGTACTGCTCACCACTGTATCAACTACAGGGTCTGTCATATAATAGACAACAATAAATATTTATAGAATGAATGAGAGTGAAGTGTGAAACAGAGTATTCCCAATGAAAATAATATTTAATATTTTCTTTTCTTTTTTTTTTTTTTTTTGAGACGGAGTCTCGCTCTGTCGCCAGGCTGGAGTGCAGTGGCACAATCTTGGCTCACCGCAACCTCCGCCTCCCAGGTTCAAGCGATTCTCCTGCCTCAGCCTCCTGAGTAGCTGGGACTACAGGCGTGCGCCACCACGCCCAGCTAATTTTTGTGTTTTTAGTAGAGATGGGGTTTCACCTTGCTGGCCAGGATGGTCTGAATCTCTTGACCTTGTGATCTGCCGACCTCAGCCTCCCAAAGTGCTGGGATTACAGGCATGAGCCACCGCGCCCAGCCTATTTTGGGGTTTTTTTTTTACCTTCACGCAATCATACCTTTTTCAAAATGGAAGAATCTGGAACTTCAATTGTTGTGATATAAAACCATGTTCTTCTGTACTGACCAAAGACAAAGGGATGGAGAAGTTTGTTTTCATCTGTAAGGCAGCATTTTCTCAGCAGCAGGTTCCTTAATGTGGCTGTCGTGGAAGGATAACACCACACCCACAGAACTTCTCCATTTGTGTCCTTTTCTACGGTGGAAAGATGGTCACTGTGAGAATGTCAAACAGCAGCAAGGAAGTGAATTGATTGGTTACTCAGAAACACTTAGTGGAATCAGTTTTAACATCCCATCTTACAAAGCAACTCACAATACCTGACACCCCAAATTCCCACCTATCTCTACTGCTCAAATTATCTAGCTGTCATGATCCTGAATTACAGGCCACCTGAGTAAAAAGTTTTTATAACAAACCATGAATGAAAATTCAGCCTTAGAGATATGGTAGAGTTTTGGCCGGGCACGATGGCTCATGCTTGTAATCCCATCACTTTGGGAGGCCAAGGCGAGTGGATTACCTGAGGTCGGGACTTCGAGACCAGCCTGACCAACCTGGAGAAACCCCATCTCTACTAATAATACAAAAATTATCCGGGTGTGGTGGGGCATGCCTGTAATCCCAGCTACTCAGGAGGCTAAGGCAAGAGAATTGCTTGAACCCGGGAGGCAGAGGTTGCAGTCAGCCAAGATCACGCCACTGCACTCTAGCCTGGGCAACAGAGCAAAACTTGGTCTCAAAAAAAAAAAAAAAGACAAAGAAAGATGTTAGAGTTTCTCCCTATCTCCTCCCACACAAATGCTTATCAACTAAAATTACATTAAGTTTTTAACTAGTTGGAATAATTCTTTTTTTTTTTTTTGAGGCGGAGTCTCACCGTCACCCAGGCTAGAGTGTACTGGTGCTATCTTGGCTCCCAGGTTCAAACGATTCTTCTGCCTTGGCCTCCCAAGTAGCTGGGATTACAGGTGCCCACCACCATGCCCAGCTAATTTTTGTAGTTTTAGTAGAGACAGGGTTTCGCCATGTTAGCCAGGCTGGTCTTGAACTCCTGACCTCAGGTGATCTGCCCGCCTCGGCCTCCCAAAGTGCTGGGCGGAATAATTCTTTAAATGGAGTTTTGCTCTTATTGCCCAGGCTGGAGTGCAATGCAGTGATCTCAGCTCACCACAACCTCCATCTCCCAGATTCAAGCTATTCTCCTGCTTCAGCCTCCCGAGTGGCTGGGGTTACAGGCATGCACCACCACTCCTGGCTAATTTTGTATTTTTAGTAAAGATGGGGTTTTGGTTTCTCCACATTGGTCAGGCTGGTCTCGAACTCCCCACCTCAGATGATCTGCCTGCCTCGGCCCCCCAAAGTGCTGGGATTATAGGCGTGAGCCACCGTGCCCAGCCGAATAATTTTTAATAAATACATAGAAAAGGTTTGTCGAAAACAAAACCAGAGATGAAGAAAATAGTGAAATATTTCAAACCATGTTGCATACCAACTGTGTGAATTTTGTATTTAAAATTGTTTAGGCCAAGCATAATGGCTCATGCCTATAATCCTAACACTTTGGGAACCCAGGAGGATCGCCTGAGGCCAGAAGTTCCAGACCAACCTGGGCCACATAGTGAGACCGCATCTCTACAAAAAAAAAATTTTAATTAGCTGGACATGGTGGTGTGTGCCTATGGTCCCAGCTACTCAGGAAGCTAAGGTGGGAGGATCAAGTTAGCCCAAGATTCAGAGGTTGTCGTGAGCTATGCACCACTGCATTCCAGCCTAGTCAACAGAGAGAGACCCTGTCTCTAAAGACTACAAATAAAAAATTGTTATTGAAAACAGAATTACCATTCCACCCAGTAATCCCATTACTGGGTATCTGCCGAAAGGAAAAGAAATCATTATACTAAAAAAGACACTCACATTCTGTTTTTTTTTCTCTCTCTGAGACAGGGTCTAACTCTGTCACTTGGGCTGCAGTGCGGTGGCGCAATCTCAGCTCACTGCAACCTCCACCTCTGATCTCAGCTCACTGCAACTTCCACCTCCCGGGTTCAAGTGATTCTCCTGCCTCAGCCTCCTAAGTAGCTGAGATTACAGGTGTGCACCACCACGCCCAGTTAATTTTTTGCCTTTTTAGTGAAGACAGGGTCTCGCTATATTGGCCAGGCTGATCAACTCCCAGCCTCAATTGATCCACCTGCCTCAGCCTCCCAAAGTGCTAGGATTACAGGCATGAGCCACCACGCCTGGCCTCTTTTTTCAATTTCTTTTTTTGAGACGGGGTTGGGGGGGGTCTCACTCTGTCACCCATGCTGGAGTACAGTGGCATGATCTCAGTTCACTGCAACCTCTGCCTCCTGGGACCAAGCAATCCTCCCACCTACAGGCACACCACACCCGGCTAATTTTTGTATTTTTTGTAGAGACACGAGGGTTTTACCACATTGCCCAGGCTGGCTGCAAACCCCTTTTAAATGCACGTTAGTGTGAATAATTAAAAAACTGCTGAGTTCAAAATATGATCATATGTCATCTTTTTATTTGCTATTAGTAGATAAAGACAGTTTAACTTAGCCTTAGTTCAAAAGTACCTTCTGGAGAAACTAAGTTACTTAGGTTTTGTTTTGAAGCAGTTTGAAAATCACATTAGAAATAAATACAGTAATCCACCTGGACAACATGTCGGTATCCCATCTCCACAAAAAATACAAAAATTAATCGGGTGGTGGTGCACGCCTGAGGTCCCAGCTACTCGGAGGCCGAGGCGGGAGGATGGTTTGGGCCTGGGAGGTGGAGGCTGCAGAGAGCGATGATTGCGCTACTGCACTCCAGCCTGGATAAGAGGGAGACCCCGTCTAAAAAAAAAAAAAAGAAGAAAGACAAAGAAATAAAAACAGTAAGCGATTCCCACATAAACGCACTGCTTTGAGGCACTGAAAAATAATCAGCATATTTCTTCAGTTTTGCTAAAGCCTAAGCAATGTTATTGCGCACTTGGGGAATAGAAAGAGTTTAGGGGTGTGCAAAAATCTCGGGAAAATAAAACTTTTTCGAAGGGAACCAACGGGTTCCATCCCCTAAATACTGCACGAGGCTGCCCAAAGATCCCCGTGTGATATTTTTTAATTATGGAAGATAATTACATTCCTCAGAGCTAACCGAGATTCCACCACACAGGATTGTGTAGAAACTCCTGCTTTATTTATGCACAAGCTCGATCACATGATGCAGGAGCTCTCCACTGGTGGGGGTTGGGGGCTCTGGGATACACTGCGAGGGTCCCACTCCCGGCTCTGTACGGCCTATGGTGTGTCCGTGCACAATGACGGCCTGGGCCTCCATTTGCTCCTCCGTGAAGTGGGCGTCAGACGTTTCCCACGGCCCCTCGGTCCTTGGTGAGAGCTAAAAGGAGACAATGTGTGTACAACGCGCAGCACCCGGCCCAGCAGTCTCCAGCTGCCCGGTCCCACGATGGGGGCCGCCCGGGCGGGCAGTCACCCGTGGCTCCGAGGCAGCCGCCCGCCCCCGGCTCGGGGGAACCGGACCCTGCCTCCTCCCCGCCGCGCCGCGCCGCGCCGCCAGCCGGCTGCTCCCGCCCGGCCCGGCCCCGCCCGCGCAGCGCCCCTCGCAGCTGCCCAGCCTGGGAGCGCTCGACGTCCCGGCTCCGCCGGGCAACCCGGGGCGTGCAGGGGGAGCTCCACCCCGGAATCTTGGAGGTCCCCGGGCTCCCTCGGGCCGGGCAGGCCCCACAGGCGGCCGCGGGCGGGCGGGCGAGGGCGGCGGGCCGGGTCCCCTGCACCAAGGAGGCCGGGCTCCGCAGTCCCCAGTCCAGGCCCAACAGGGAGGGGGCCGCGCCCTCCTCATGCGGTCGGCGCCGGGGGCCGCGGGAGCCCGGGCTGCCCCGGGCCGAGGTGGAGCAGAGGCAGAACCAGGGTGCGGGCTTCCAGGCAGGGCGCCTACGTCCTCACCGATCAGCCCGACTCCAAGCATCAGCTGAGTGTCCGCCACCTCGGCCGCAGCCATCTTCCGCCGCCGCGGCGCGCAGCTCTGGCTGCCGCCTGCAGGACCGGCCTCGCACCCGAACCCCGCCCCGCCCGCCGTAGGGCCCGCCCCCATCACAGGCCCCGCCTCCCTCCCCGGCCCATCATAAGCCCCGCCTCCCTCCCCGGACCATCACAGGCCCCGCCTCCCGCTGTAGGACCCGCCTCCCTCCCGCCCCGCCCCATCACAGGACCATCAACCCCCCCCGTCGGCCCCGCCCCACCCGCAGGCCCACCTATTCCAGCCCCAGTCCTCCCTGCCAGGACCTGCTCAGTGCAGCTCCACTCGTCTTCTGCCCGTGGCCCTTCGCCCTTGGAAACCTCCTTGAGTCTCCGCAGCCTGCCTCAATTTCTCTAATCCAGCTGTTCATCCTTCTTCTTCTCAATCCACTCCAATCTTTCTTCCCGTCGTAGGCTTTCCTTGTTCTACCTCTGCCCTCTGGTCAAGCTCAAAAGAACAGGTCACCTTGTTCCTAAAAAGAGGCGTCCTGAGGATGGAGGAAGGGTCTCCATCCATTCCTTCATCCAGCCACCCCCAAAACAAAACAAAACAAAAATTGAGGGCCTAATAAGGCACTGGGGATACCTTATAGGGCTGAACAAGACAGAGCAGTCCACTGGGGAAGACAGACAATTGGCGAGTAGAATAAATAATCCAGGCCAGGTGAGGTGGCTCACGCCTCTGATCCCAACACGATGGGAGGCCAAGGCAGGAGCATCACTTGAGGTCAGGAGTTCGAGATCAGCCTTGGCAACATAGTGAGACCCATCTCTACAAAAAAAATTTAAAAATTAGCCAGGCATAGTGGCATGCACCTGTAGTCCCAGCTACTCTCAGGCTGAGGCAGGAAAATCATTTGAGCCCAGGATTTTGAGGCTGCAGTGAGCTGTGATCCTGCCACTCACTCCAGCCTGGGTGACAGAGTGAGACCCTGTCTCAAAAATAAATAAATAGATAAATAGATGACAGATAGATAGATAATAGTAAAAAAGCTCAGAATGATATGTGCCCTGGAGGCAACGATATGTGCCCTGGAGGCAGTGTGTTAGAGAGTGGAGGTGTGCTGCTCTAAAATGGGTGTCAAGAAAGGCTTCTCTGAGAAAGGGATATTTGAACTGAGATCTGAATGATAGTAACGACTCAGACATTGGAAGATTTGGCTCCAAGATTCCTCCTCTGGATCTACTGTCTGCCCCAACCCCAAGTCACACAGAGCTAATTAGGGAGGGTCCTTGGTGTCTGCAGGAATACAATCCCACCCTCATCTTTTTTTCTTTTTTCTTTTTTTTTTTTTTTTTTTGAGATGGAGTCTTGTTCAGTTGCCCGGCCTGGAGTGCAATAGCGCGATCTCGGCTCACTGCAACCTCCGCCTCTCGGTTTTAAGGGATTCTCCTGCCTCAGCCTCCTGCGTAGCTGGGATTACAGGCGTGAGCCACTGCGCCTGTTTTTTTCTTTTTTCTTTCTTTTTTTTTTGGAGACAGTTTCTCGCTATGTTGCCCAGGCTGCAATTTATACATTGGAGTATATTTAGGTGTGTATATGGCATTCCTGTTTCTCTCACTAAACTGAACCCCTGGAAGGCAGCACCCTGAACTACGTGCCCTTCTATTCTCTGGGCTTCCTGTTGTAGTATAACTGTTAATGTGTCTAGTTTTCACAGAAAAGAAGCAGGTGTTTAGAGGCTGAGGAGTGGGACACAGATGTGGAATCAGTTTGGAAGCCAACTAGAAACTTGCACTAGGTGGGGCACGGTGGCTCACGCCTGTAATCCTAGCACTTTGGGAGGCTGAGGTGGGTGGATCACGAGGTCAGGAGATTGAGACCAACCCGGCTAAAACGGTGAAACCCTGTCTCTACTAAAAATACAAAAAATTAGCCGGGCGTGGTGGCAGGTGCCTGTAGTCCCAGCTACTTGTGAGGCTGAGGCAGGAGAATGGCGTGAACCCGGGAGGCGGAGCTTGCAGTGAGCCGAGATCACGCCACTGCACTCCAGCCTGGGCGACAGAGCGAGACTCCATCTCAAAAACAAACAAACAAAAAATCACAAAAATTAGCTAGGCATGGTGGCAGGTGCCTGTAATCCCAGCTACTCAGGAAGCTGAGGCAGACTGGCTTGAACCCAAGAGAGGACGGTTGCAGTGAGCCAAGATCGCGCCACTGCATTCCAGCCTGGGCGACAGAGTGAGACTCCATCTCAGAAAAAAAAAGAAAAGAAATGAGGATGAAGACGATGATGAACAGATAATTAAACAAAGGAGAGGGAGATGATAGTGGGTGCAGGGAGGGGAAAGATAATGAGGGGTGTGTCCAGGCTCCAGTGAGTGGGATGATACCTGGAATTGACACCTCCTTCCCTCCTGTTTCTCCACAAGTGCTGTCTTACCTGCCAGACAGGTACACCAGAGTGAAGGGAAAAGGAATAGAGGGTGGAGAGAGCAGAGGCGACGCATCCCCAATCTTTAAAAGTAAGACTGACCTCTGCGCTGTCACAGACAGATGGAGCTGGGGTGTGGAAACAGACAACCTGAGTTCCAACCCCCTTGCCCATCTTAGCTGCGAAACCTCACACATGTTTCCTATCTTTTCTGTGCATGTTTTCTCAGTGATCAAATGGAGCTAACCATACTTTCCTCCGTGACTCTCCCAATAAAGATTTGAATCAGGGAAAATCTTTATGCTAGTTTTATTGATAAGAATAGCCTAATTTTATAGGTAAGAATATAAAGGGTCCCCAAGACCACCCCCCAAATTCAATGATTTGTTGGAAGGATTCTCAGGATTCAGCATATAGCTATACTCATGGCTATGATATACATTTTTATTTTTTTGAGACAGGGTCTCACTCTGTCACCCAGGCTGGAGTGCAGTGGCACGATCACGGCTCACTGCAGCTTTGATCCAGGCTCAAGCTATCCTCCCACCTCATCCTCCTGAGTAGCTGGGACTACAGGCAGGCACCACCATGCCTAGCTATTTTTTTTTTTTTTTTTTTGAGATGTGATCTCACCATATTGTGTAGGCTGATCTCAAGCTTCTGACCTCAAGCGATCTGCCCACCTCAGGCTCCAAAGTGCTGGGGTTACACATGTGAACCACCATCCCCAGCTCAGGGCTATGATTTATTACAGCCAGAGAATACAAAGCAAAATCAGCAAAGGGAAAAGGCACATGGGGTGATGTCTGGAGGAAACCAGGGCCAAGTTCCCAAGAGTTATTTCCTGGTAGAGTCACACAGGACACACCTAATTCCTCCAGCAACAAGTTGTGGCAATACTTGTGATATTTATCAACCAGGGAAGCTTGTTAGAACTCAGTCACCAAGTAACTCAGTTTTTACTGGGGGCCAGTCACATAGGTACCCTCTGCCTAGCTCATACCAGATTTCCAGACTCTCATGAACCACATTGTATGTACAAATAGTTCAGGCATAGTCTGTCACTCTGATCAGTTTGATCAGTTCTAGAAATGCTGGGAACACTGCCGAAGTCCAAGTTTCCAGGCACAGCCAAGGGCCAAACTGGCCAGCAGACTTTCTATGGATATCACCCTCAGGCCTGTCGTGTGAATTCTTTTTTGCACAGCCTGCTCACTCCTTGCTCTGCAGAAAAAGAGTAAGTTACTGGCACTGAAGCAGATTTGGAAAGTGCCTAAACTGTCTGGCCACATGGACAAGTGCACAAGGGACCCCAGCATCTTCCAGGTGTTCCAATCCCAGGTTCCTATGAGTCAAATATGGTTCTTTTTCATCTTTGTTTCTGTAATTGGATTCCATCATAGATTGGGCATGTGTCAGCCAAGGGAGCCATTAGGGTGGCAGTTTTTTTTTGTTGTTGTTGTTTTGTTTGTTTGTTTGTTTTGATGGAGTCTTGCTCTGTCGCAATGCAGTGATGCAATCTCAGCTCACTGCAACTTCCGCCTCCTGGGTTCAAGCAATTCTCCTGTCTCAGCCTCCTGAGTAGCTGGGACTACAGGCGCAGGCCACCACACCCGGCTAATTTTTGTATTTTTAGTAGAGACAGGGTTTCACCATATTGGTCAGACTGGTCTCGAACTCCTGACCTCAGGTGATCCACCCACCTCAGCCTCCCAAAGTGCTGGGATTACAGGTGTGAGCTACTGTGCCCAGCCTTTTTTTTTTTCTGAGACGGAGTCTTGCTCTGTCACCCAGGCTGGAGTGCAGTGGTGTGATCTCCACTAACTGCAACCTCCGCCTCCCAGGCTCAAGCAATTCTCCTGCCTCAGCCTCCCAAGTAGCTGGGACTACAGGTGTGTGCCACCAAGCCTGGTTAATTTTTTTTTATTTTTAGTAGAGATGGGGTTTCACCATGTTGGCCAGGCTAGTCTGAAACTCTTGGCCTCAAGTGATCCATCCGCCTTGGCCTCCCAAAGTGCTGGGATTACAGGTGTGATCCACCACGCCTGGCCAAGCTCTTTTAATTTAAGGGATTCAGTCTCACTTGGGAACTGGAAGGCGATTCAGTCAACTGCTCTGACACTCCGTCCTGACTTCTAGCATATGTGAGGCTTCCAGAACATTCCCAAGATGAAGTCATCCTCCTTGTGTTCTCAATGGTTTCAGGATGCTGGGTAGCTCTCCGGCCCTAAGAAGCCCAGGTTTCGAGCTGTGTTGCATTATTCTTTTTTCTTTCTTTCTTTCTATTTATTTATTCATTTATCTATTGAGACAGGGTCTTGCTCTGTCACCCAAGCTGGGGTGCAGTCGTTCAATCACAGCTTGCTGCAGACTTGACCTTCCAGGCTCAAGCAATTCTCCCACCTCAGCCTCCCGAGTAGCTGGGACCATAGGTTTGTGCCACCATGCCCAGCAATTTTTTAAAACTTTTTGTAGAGATGGGGTCTCCTTATGTTGCCCAGTATGGCCTTGAACTCCTAGGCTCAGGCAATCCTCCTGCATCAGCCTCCAGAGTAGCTGGGACTATAGGCATGAGCCACGATGCCCGGCTAATTTTTATTTTTATTTTTATTTTATTTTTGTAGAGATGGGAGTCTCACTATGTTGCCCAGGCTGGTTTTGAACTCCTGGCCTTAAGACATCCTCCCACCTCAGCCTCCCAAAGTGCTGGGCTTACAGGTGTGAGCCATCACACCTGGCTACTATGTTGCATTAAAAGAAATAGTTCATGGACTGGGCACCGAGGCTCATTCCTGTAGTCCCAGCATTTTGGGAAGCTGAGGCAAAAGCATCGAGCCCAGGAGTTCAAGAGCAGCCTGGGCAACATAGCAAGACCCTGTCTCTAGAACAAAAATTTAAAAATTAGGTGGGCTTGGAGATACACACCTGAACCTATCTA
The DNA here is from genome assembly GCF_000001405.40 of Homo sapiens. Lineage (NCBI taxonomy): Eukaryota > Metazoa > Chordata > Mammalia > Primates > Hominidae > Homo > Homo sapiens. Next base: position 119,098,812 of record NC_000010.11, on the reverse strand, counting down.
CTCAGGAGGCTGAGGTGGGAGGATCACTTGAGTCCAAGAGTCACTGGTTGCCATGAGCTACAATTGAGCCACTGCACTCCAGCCTGTGTGACAGAGCAAAACCCAGTCTCTAAAAAAACCAGTCTCTAAAAAAAAGAATAATACATAGTTCAGCAAGAAAAATGTAATTAAAATAATTCTGATCTTTCTTTGCGTTTTCCAAAAAACATTAAAGAGGACAGAATTTATTACCTACAGTGAAATGTCTTAAAATCCCTTTCCCCTCAGATTTTTAAAAATAAAACTTTTAGGCTAGGGGTGGTGGCTCATGCCTGTAATTCCAGCACTTTGGGAGGCCAAGGCAGGCAGGTCACCTGAGGTCAGGAGTTCGAGACCAGCCTGGCCAACATGGTAAAACCCCATCTCTACTAAAAATACAAAAATTAGCTAGGTGTGGTGGCAGGTGCCTATAATCCCAGCGACTTGGGAAGCTGAGACAGGAGAATCCCTTGAACCCAGGAGGCAGAAGTTGCAATGAGCCGAGATCACACCATTGCACTCCAGCCTCGGCAACAAGAGTGAAACTCTACCTCAAAAAAAATAATAATAATAATAGGCCTAGGCCAGGCACGGTGGCTCACACCTGTAATCCCAGCACTTTGGGAGGCTGAGGCGGGTGGATTGCCTGAGCTCAGGAGTTCAAGACCAGCCTGGGCAACACGGTGAAACCCCGTCTCTACTAAAATACAAAAAATTAGCCGGGCATGGCAGCGTACACCTATAATCCCAGCTACTTGAGAGGCTGAGTCAGTAGAATCGCTTGAACCTGGGAAGTGGAGGTTGCAGTAAGCCGAGATTGTGCCACTACACTCCAGCCTGGGTGACAGAGCGAGATTCTATCTCCAAAATATATATATATAAATAATAAATAAAAAAATAAAATAAACATTTCAAATAGCTTTAGATTTTCAGAAAAGTTGCAAAGATAGTATTGAGAGTTACCATATACTGCACCTGATTTTCTCTATCATTAACATCTTATTAATATATCTGTAGGGTACATTTGTCACAACCAGTCAACCAATATTGATACATTATTACTATTTATTATTATTATTTTTTGAGACGGAATCTTGCTCTGTCACCCAGGCTGGAGTGCAATGGTGCGATCTCAGCTCACTGCATCCTCTGCCTCCCAGGTTCAAGCAATTCTCTGCCTCAGCCTCCCAAGTAGCTGGGATTACAGGCACCCACCACCACACCCAGATCATTTTTGTATTTTTAGTAGAGACGGGGTTTCACCATCTTGGCCAGGCTGGTCTTGGACTCCTGACCTCGTGATCCACTGCCTCAGCCTCCCAAAGTGCTGGGATTACAGGCGTGAGCCACTGTGCCCGGCCCTGGCCTATTATTTTTATTGTTATTATTACTCTGAGGCAAGGTCTGGCCCTGTCGCCCAGACTAGAGTGCAGTCGCGCGATCTCGACTCACTGCAACCTCTGCCTCCCAGGCTCAAACGACTCTCTTACCTCAGCCTCCCCAGTAGCTGGGACCACAGGCACATGCCACCACACCCGGCTAACTTTTTGTATTTTTATTCTTATTTATTTATTTTTATTTATTTATTTATTTTGAGATGGAGTCTTTCTCTGTCACCCAGGCTTAAGAACAGTGGCTCGATCTTGGCTCACTGCAACCTCCACCTCCCGGGTTCCAGCGGTTCTCCTGCCTCAGCCTCCCAAGTAGCTGGGATTATAGGCATGTGCCACCATGCCCGGCTAATTTTTGTATTTTAGTAGAGACAGAGTTTCTCCATGTTGGCCAGGATGGTCTTGAACTCCTGACCTCAAGTGATCCACCCACCTTGGCCTCCCAAAGTGCTGGGATTACAAGCGTGAGCCATCAAGCTCAGCCTGACTTTGGCAGTTTTGAGGATTGGTCAGGTATTTTGTAGTCTATCCTTCCATAAGGATTTGTCTGATGTTTCTCTCATGACTGGACTGCATGAAACATTTTTTGTAAGGAAGATCACAGAGGTAAAGTGCCATTCTCATTAAGTCATATCAAGGGTTCATCAAGGTGTTGACCTGGATCACCTGCCTGAGGTTATGTTTGCCAGATTTCTCTGTTGTAAAGTTACTCTTTTTCTTCTTTTTTTCTATTTTCTTTCTTTCTTTTCTTTCTTTTTTTAAGACAGGGTCTGGCTCTGTCGCCCAGGCTGGAGTGCCATGGTGCCATCTCAGCTCACTGCAACCTCCACCTCCCGCGCTCAAGCAATTCTCCTGCCTCAGCCTCCTGAGTAGCTGGGACTACAGGTGTGCGCCATCATGCCTAGCTGATTTCTGTATTTTTAGTAGAGATAGAGTTTAGCCACGTTGCCCAGGCTGGTCTTGAACTCTTGAGCTAAAGTGATCTGCCTGCCTCAGCCTCCCACAGTGCTGGGATTATAGGCACGAGCCACCACACACAGCCAAAATATATCTCTTATCCGTCTTTCTCTCACCTCATCCGTTTCCTACATGAATCTCTCACCCTACTTCTCTGGGTGTCCTCCCAACTGACTATCACAGCTACCTGATAAAGTGTAGGTTGAATAAAGGAAGAGGGGGGAATGCCCACTAGTCAATATCAGAATTCTTGCAGTTGAGGGGCAGAAAGAGGCTGTGTTTCATGTATTGGTTGTTTTGTCCATCTTACATGCATATATGTGAGGATGATTTCTAAAAAGCAGTGCATCGGGGACTGTCCTAAAAGGATCTCATACTTTCTACACACTTTGGGAGGCCAAGGTAGGTGGACTGCTTGAGCTTAGAAGTTCAAGACTTGCCTGGGAAACATGGGGAAACCCCCTCTCAACAAAAAATAACAAAATTAGCAAGGCATGGTGGCGCATTTCTGTGGTCTCAGCTACGCAGGAGGCTGAAGTGGGAGGATTGCTTGAGCCCAGGAAGTCGAGGAGGCTGCAGTGAGCCAAGATCATGCCACTGTACTCCAGCCTGGGCAACAAGAACCCTGTCTCAGAAAAAAAAAAAAAAAAGAGTAAAGAAAAAAAAGCACTACATGTAGTGTCTCATTTAAACCCCACCACACCCTTATTGTGGCTGTTTTGCAGATGGGAAAACAGAGGCTTACAGAGAGATTTCATGCCCAATGTCACGGAGCTAGTAAATGGCAAAGCTGGGGTTAAAAGCCACATCTGACTCCAAATATGGCATGTTTATGGGATGAAGTGAAATGTATTTATAATCCTATGTCTGTAGAAAATAAAATGCAAGGTGGGTGTGGTGGTGTGTGCCTGTGGTCCTGGCTACCTGGGGGACTGAGGCTGGAAGATCACTCGAACCCAGGAGTTCCAGGTTGTGGTGAGCTATGATCAGGCCAAGGCCACTGCATTCCAGCCAAGAAAACCCAGTAAGACCCTGTCTAAAAAAAAAAAAAAAAAAAAAACGCAAAAGAAATGTACCTTCTAAGGCGGGGCACAGGTGGCTCACACCTGTAATCCCAGCACTTTGGGAGGCCCAGGCAGGCGGATCATGAGGTCAAGAGATCGAGACCATCCTGGCCAACATTGTGAAACCCCGTCTCTACTAAAAATACAAAAAAAATTAGCTGGGCGTGGTGGCACGCGCCTGTAGTCACAGCTACTCGGGAGGCTGAGGCAGGAGAATCGCTTGAACCTGGGAGGTGGAGGTTGCAGTGAGCCGAGATCGCGCCACTGCACTCCAGCCTGGGTGACAGTGCGAGACTCTGTCTCAAAAAAAAAAAAAAAAGAAGAAGAAGAAGAAATGTACCTTCTAGTCCTAAAAACACCAATGTGAGTACAATAACATGTTTATAGTCCCAGTTTCCCTGTAGGAGGTTTTTGCTTGAGCAGTCTGAATTGTACAGTTAAACCTTAAACAATCTCCTTATCCTCCATTGAGCTGTATTTCTGTTTTCATTTCACATAAGGCAAAGTAACTTTAAAAATTTTAAACTGTTAGTGTTTCATTCTTGCTTCTGCAAGACTTAATGCTGGCCGGGTGCAGTGGCTCACACCTGGAATCCCAGCACTTTGGGAGGCTGAGGCTGGTGGATCACTTGAGGCAGGAGTTTGAGACCAGCCTGGCCAACATGGTGAAACCCCACCTGTACTATACAAAAATAAAAAAATTAGCCAGGCATGGTGCCGTGCGCCTGTAATCCCAGCTACTCGGGTGGCTGAGGCTTGAGAGACGCTTGAACTTCAGAGGTGGAGGTTGCAGTGAGGCAAGATTGTGCTACTGCACTTCAGCCTGGGCGACAGAGCAAAACTGTCTCAAAAAAGAAAAAGAGTTAATGCCAAGAGAATTGTTAAGGTCTCTGGGTTTGTATCAGTTTTCTATTGCTGTGTAACTAATCAAACTTAGAAGCTTAAAGAACACCCTTTTAGCCGGGCACAGTGGCTCATGCCTGTAATCCCAGCACTTTGGGAGGCCAAGAGGGGTGGATCACCTGAAGTCAGCAGTTCAAGACCAGCCTCGTCAACATGGTGAAACCCCATCTCTACTAAAAATACAAACAAAATAGCCAGGCATGGTGGTGGGCGCCTGCAGTCTCAGCTACTCAGGAGGCTGAGGCAGGAGAATCACTTGAATCTGGGAGGCAGAGGTTGCAGTGAGCCGAGATTGCACCATTGCACTCCAGCCTGGGCAACAATAACAAGACTCCATCTCAAAAAACAAACAAACAAACAAACAAACAAACAAACAAAACCCTTTCATTGGCTCACTGTAGGTTAGTTGTCCAGGAACAGTGTGACTGGATGCTCTGTTTAGTGTCTTGCCAGGCTGTGAATCCAGGCACTGACCAGGCCGCATTCCTCTCTGGAGGCTCTGGGGATGCGTTTGCTTCCAGGCTCATTGAGATTGTTGACAGAATAATTCCCTTGCAGGGGTAGGACTGAGGTCCCTGTTCTCTGGCTGGCTGTTGGCTGGAGGGCTTACCTCAGCCCTTGGAGGTGCCTGCAGTTTCTTGCCTTGGGGTTCCTTCTGTGTGCCTGCTCATGCTTTGAATCCCTTCCTTTGCTTCTGACCTCTCCACATGGATGGATTTAAAGGCTTACGTGATTGAGTAAGCCCCACCCAAATACTCTCCCCCTCAATCTTTTAAAAAAAATCAGAACACTCATTGCATGGCTAATTGTTGAAATTCTTTTTTAAATTTAATTTAATTTAATTTTTGCGGACAGGGTTTCACTCTGTTAGCCAGGCTAGAGTGCAGTGGCACATTCCTGGCTTGGCTCACTGCAGCCTCAATCTCCCTGGTTCGGGTGATCCTCCCACCTCATCCTCCCAAGTAGCTGGAACTACACGCACACACTACAACACCTGGCTAATTTTTTTGTATTTTTTGTAGAGATGAAGTTTCATCAAGTTGCCTGGGCTGGTCTCAAACTCCTGGACTCAAGCACTTTGCCGACCTTGGCCTCCCAAAGTGCTGGGATTACAGGCGTGAGCCACGGCGCCTGGCAACCTGTATACAATTTTTAGGTGCATAATTGAACTGGTCCTAGTGTTTTTTTTTTTTTTTTGTCTTTTATCCCTGGAGCTCCAATTATACTTTCTCTTGTGCTTGGCCGAGTAGCCACATTTGCCACAGGTCAACTTTTGAGGTAGTAGGTCTAGAGCCACAGCAGAGGCTCAATGTGTGCATCTTATTGCGACACTTTCTGAATAATATCATATTATTCCCTTCATTATCTTCTGCTGCCAAGACCAAAGAACAACCTTCTCTTTTCTCCTCTTTCTTTTCTTTTTTTTTTCTTTTTTTTTTGAGACAGGGTCTTGCTCTGTTCCCAGAGCTGGAATGCGGTGGCAGGATCATAGGTCACTCTAACCTTGAACTCCTGGGCTCAAACGATCCTCCTGCCTCTGCCTCCCAAAGTGCTGGGATTAGAGGCATGAGCTGCCACACCCCATTTCTATCTTTTCTTTTCTTTTTTTTATTTTTTGAGACAGAGTCTCACTCTGTCACCTGGGCTGGAGTGCAGTGGTGTGATCTTGGCTCACTGCAACCTCTGCTTCCCAGGTTCAAGTGATTCTCCTGCCTCAGCAACCGACGGCCTCCCAAGTAGCTGGGATTACAGACATGAGTTACCACACCTCCTAATTTTTGTAATTTTGGTCGAGACGGGGTTTTGTCATGTTGGCCAGGCTGGTCTCAAACTTCTGACCTCAAGTGATCCGCCCGCCTTGGCCTCCCAAAGTGCTGAGATTAAAAGTGTGAGCCACTGCGCCCAGCCCAGCTTCTCCCTATCTTAAAGTCAACTGTGACAGATAACATAGCCTAATCACAGGAGTGACATCCCATCACATTTACAGCCCCAGGGACAGGACGTGTATACCAGGGGATGGGACTCCTGGGGACGTCTTAGAATTTTGCCTACCACATTCTCCATTCCTTTATTTATTCACACATCACACATTTATGGAGTACTTGCTCTGCACTGGCCATAGTTCTGGGAGCCGGAGATACAATGGTGAACAAGACACACTTTGTCCCTTAAATCTTACCATCTAGTGTAGTGAGGGAGACAGCAACCAAGGGAACAAAGACAAACAAAGACCAAGGAAACATGAGACCTTGTTATCATGCAGTTAGAACCATCAAGGGGATCTGAAATATACTGATGATCCCTTGGGAGAGAATTAAAACAGGTAGTCTTGGCTGGGCGTGGTGGCTCATGCCTATAATCCCAGTACTTTGGGAGGCCAAGGTGGGTGGATCCCAAGGTCAGGAGATCGAAATCATCCTGGCTAACATGCTGAAACCCCGTCTCTACTAAAAATACAAAAAATTAGCCAGGCGTGGTGGCATACGCTTGTAATCCCATTTACTTGGGAGGTTGAGGCAGAATTGCTTGAACCGGGGAGGCAGAGGTTGCAGTGAGCCAAGATCTCACCACTGCACTCCAGCCTGGGTGACAGAGCAAGACTCCGTCTCAAAACAAACAAACAAACAAACAAAAAAACAACCAATTAGCTGGGCATGGTGGTGGGCACCTGTAATCCCAGCTACTCAGGAGGCTGAGGCAGCAGAATCGCTTGAACCCAGGAGGTGGAGGTTGCAGTGAGCCGAGATGGTGCCACTGCACTCCAGCCTGGGCAACAGAGCAAGACTCCGTCTCAAAAAAAAAAAAAAAAAAAAGACAGTCTTTATTTTTTTTTTATTTGTTTTGTTTTTTGGAGGCAGGGTCTCATTCCATCACCCAGGCTGGAGTAGAGAGGTATGATCATGGCTCACTGCAGCCTCGATCTCCCAGGCTCAAGTGATCCTCCTACTTCAGCCTCCTGAGTAGCTGGGACCACAGGTGCACCACCACACCTAGCTATTTTTTTATTTTTTGTAGAGAGAAGGTCTCCCTATTTTCCCCAGGCTGGTCTTGAGCTCTTGGGCTCAAGTGAGCCTCCTGTCTCAGCCTCCCAAATTGTTGGGATTACAGGTTTATGCCACGGTGCTCGGCTAAAACAGACTTAGAGCAAATGACCATGAGAAGGCTCTCTGAGGAGGTGCCATTCAAGCTGCTCCGTGAGAAGCTGATACAATGAAAAGGTCCATGTGAAGATTATCTAATATACACACCCCCAACATAAAAGTCCACACCCTGTGGTTTTAGGTTTCCTTCTAATCGTATTTAACGTATTTAACAGTGATGCTTGTTTTCAAACCACACCCAAAACCACCATGCACAGTGTATTACTCACTCTGCTTTATTGGGCCTGGTTGGTCTGTGTGGCTTTGGACATTACCTCCTAAATCCCCAAGCAGGAGCTGCACTTCATGGCATGTCAATAATGGCATGTGTGAGTATATGCATTGATCCCACAAACATGCTCCTCTCCTTCCCTTCAGCCTTCTCCTGGAGTCTGGCAGAAACTTAAAGGCTGAAGACAGCCAAATGTAAGATGCATTTCTCCCAATAAGTAACAAATACTGCCAGGACATGTTTTTACTAAATATACACTTAACTGAAGCTGCATTCCAATTTTCCTGCTTTGAATTTGCAGAACCCAAAAGGTCCAATGAGAACCGTCTGGCTCAGGCACAGTGCACCTCACATCTGCACTTCATGGACCATCGTTGAAAATTTCCAACCCCGGTTGGACACTTTCATGATTAAGAATGCACGGCTGTAAGGTTTCAGACCTTGTTACCACACCGTCGGAACCACCAAGGTGCTCTGAAACATAAAATGAACAACCACTTTCTGGTGTTGACTGTGTGCCAGGCACAATCTACATGCAAAAATGAACTGTCCTAGTGACGACCTTCAAAGGACTCCCAGTGGCATACAGGAGACCAACATGGAGAGAGGCAATCATAATACAGGAAGCCTCCTTTAATCAGTTTATTTATTCAACAGAAATTTACCGAGTGCTTACTATGTGCCAGGCACTGTTATAGGTACTAGACATACAGCAGTAAATGAAACAGACACAAAATCCTTGCCCTCATCAAGCTCGTTTTATTCTAAAGGGGTGGATAATAAAGAAATAAATTCATAAAATATATGGGGATCAGATGGTGATAAACCTGATCAAGTAGAGAAGGAAAGGCTGGGAGCAGTGACTCACGCCTGTAATCCCAGCACTTTGAGAGGCAGAGATGGGTGGATCACCTGAGGTCAGGAGTTTGAGACCAGCCTGGCCAACATGGTGAAACCCTGACTCTACTAAAAATATAAAAATTAGCCGGGCGTGTTGGTGGGCATCTGTAACCCCAGCTACGTGGGAGGCTGAGGCACAAGAATCACTTGAACCCAGGAAGCAGAGGTTGTAGTGCCACTGCACTCTAGCCTGGGCAACAGAGTGAGACTGTCTCAAAAAAAAAAAAAAAAAAAAAAAACAGGAGAAGGAAAATCAAGAAGAGAAGAAGAGAAGGGTGCTAGGAAGTATGGGTGCAAGGGATGTTATTATGACTTTAATGAGGTGAGGGAAGGTTATCATGGCTGAAAAGGTGACACTGGGGGTAGTGGAGAAGAACTGTGTAGGGCTTTGCAGGCCATTTTAAGGACGTTAGCTTTCACTGAGTTGGTGAACCACAAGAGGGTCTTGATCAGGGGACTGATAATTTCACTTTTGTTTTAAAAGGATTCCTCTGCTCACTATTAGGAGAGTAAAGTGAAGGTTTCCAAAGGTGGAAACTCACAGACAAGTTAGCAGGTTATTCAATACTCCAGTTGAGAAATGGTGGTGACTTGGACCAGGTGGTAGCCATGGAGGTGGTAGATATAGGATTCGTTGATGGGTTGATTGGATGTGGGGAGGTAACAAAAAAAGAGGATTCAAGGATGTTTCCAACATTTTTTGATCTGAGCAACTGGAAGAACCAGGTTGCCATTATTAACATGGGAAAGATGACAGGAGAAGATTGGAGGTAGAGGAGACCAGGTGTTTGGCAGGTTGAATGTGTGTAGTACATTGAACATTTAATAGATTTGCCAAACAGGCATCTGAATGTGAGAGGTCGGGCTTTCAGGAGAGAGGTCTAGGGCGGGTGATACAATTTTGTAACTTATAAGCCTAGAGATGATTTCTTTGTTTTTTGTTTTTGTTTTTGTTTTTTTTTTTTGAGATGGAGTCTTGCTCTTTCGCCCAGGCCGGAGTGCAGTGGCGCTATCTCAGCTCACGGCAAGCTCCACCTCCCGGGCTCATGCCATTCTCCTGCCTCAGCCTCCCGAGTAGCTGGGACTACAGGCGCCCGCCACAGCGCCTGGCTAATTTTTTGTATTTTTAGTAGAGACGGGGTTTCACCGTGTTAGCCAGGATTGTCTCGATCTCCTGACCTCATGATCCACCTGCCTTGGCCTCCCAAAGTGCTGGGATTACAGGCGTGAGCCACCGCGCCCGGCCTGAGATGATTTCTTTCTTTTCTTTTTTTTTTTTGAGACAGGGTCTTGCTCTGTTGCCCAGGCTGGAGTGCAGTGGCTCGATCTCGACTCACTGCAACTTCTGCCTCCTAGGTTCAAGTGATTCTCCTGCCTCAGCCTCCTGAGTAGCTGGGATTACAGGTGCGTGCCACCATGCCCAGCTAATTTTTGTATTTTTAGTAGAGACGGGGTTTCCATGTTGGTCAGGCTGGTCTCGAACTCCTGACCTCGTGATCTGCTCGCCTCTGCCTCCCAAAGTGCTGGGATTACAGGTGTGAGCCACCGCGCCCAGCTGAGATGATTTCTTTATTGAGATGAAGTCTTGCTCTGTTGCCCAGGTTGGAGGGCAGTGGCGTAATCTTGGCTCACTGCAACCTCTGCCTCCTGGGTTCAAGCGATTCTCCTGCCTCAGCCTCCCAAGTGGCTGGGATTACAGGCATACACCACCACGCTCGGCTAATTTTTGTATTTTTAGTAGAGACAAGGTTTTGCCATGTTGGCCGGGCTGGTCTCAAACTCCTGACTTCAGGTGATCTTCCTACCTCGGCCTCCCAAAGTGCTAGGATTACAGGCATGAGCCACTGTGCCCAGCCCTAGAGATTCTTTCTTTTCTTTTTTTCTGAGACGGAGTCTTGCTCTGTCGCCAGGCTGGAGTGCAATGGCGCAACCTGGGCTTACTGCAAACTCCGCCTCCTGGGTTCAAGCGATTTTCCTTTCTCAGCCTCTGGAGCAGCTGGGATTACAGGCATGCGCCACCACGCCCAGCTAATTTTTGTATTTTTAGTAGAGACAGGGTTTCGCCATGTTGCCCAGGCTGGTCTCGAACTCCTGACCTCATGTGATCCGCCCACCTCAGCCTCCCAAAGTGCTGGGATTACAGGCATGAGCCACCGCGCCCGGACCTAGAGATGATTCCTAAAGCTATAAGCTAGAACCAACTAATGAGCATAGTTAGAGAAAGGATGAGGTCCAGGGGCTGAGCCCTGGGATATTTCAACCTCAGAGGTCACAGAGATGAGACAGCAGCAAAGAGTAGTTAGCAAAGCAAGGAGAACATCAGGAAAGGCTGAGTGGTGGCCAAGTGAAGGAAGTATTTCAAGGACATGAAGGGGTCACCCCTGCATGTGAGAGATGGAATCAAATGCATTGGTGTATAGGGGTTGGCTTGAGATAGGAGCCCCAGACTACAGAGTGGGAGGAGGGAGAGAAGGCAGAGCATCTGAGCACAGCTGCAGGTGTGAGTTGGGGGAGAGATGGCACGGTGCCAAAGTTCTCTTCTAGCTGCCCCACTGTTTTCAGTGCTATGGGAAAGCAGGACCTGGCTGAGAGTAAAGTAGAGCAAGGAGCATTAGAGGATTGGAGAGAGAGGAAAAAGTATGAAACAATCATCTGGGAGAATGGGATAGGGCCGAGAGAAGTTTAATAGGATGGCTGGGCAGCAACAACGTGCTTGTTGAGGCCTGTGGTCTTGAATTTAAGGTGAGACCTGTCAACGTGCTTATACATTCTTCTGTGGCCACATTAGGCTGCAGGCAAGGTGTAGGTGGAGGGTTGGATTTGACCAGGGTTGGGATTTGCTGAGTAGAATAAAAGGAGAAGTGAGGAAGAAAAGAACAAAACTGTAGAATCTGAGTGGGAAAAGGGGGAAATAGAGGCCATGGGAAATGAGGGGTAGTGAAAAGGAAGCAGAATTGATAAAGGGATTGTAGGTCCTGGTAAACAGAAGGGTCATTAGAGTTGGAGCACAATAGAGTTAACAATAGGAGGTGGTGGCTGAAAAGTGAATCTTGAAATTGAGATTTTGAGAACTAAGATTTTTTTTTTTTTTTTAGATTGAGTTTCGTTCTTGTCGCCCAGTCTGGGCAGTGGTGCGATCTTGGCTCACTGCAACCTCCACCTCCCGGGTTCAGGCGATTCTCCTGCCTCAGCCTCCTGAGTAGCCGGGACTACAGGTGCCTGCCACCATGCCTAGCTAATTTTTTTCTATTTTTAGTAGAGACGAGGTTTTGCCATGTTGGGCAGGCTGGTCTTGAATTCCTGACCTCATGTGATCTGCCTGCCTTGGCCTCCCAAAGTGCTGGGATTACAGGCGTGAGCCACCTCGCCCCGCCAGGAACTAAGATCTTTATTATTTTATTTTATTTTTGTTGAGATGGAGTCTTGCTCTGCCATCCAGGCTGGACTGCAGTGGTGTAACCTTGGCTCACTGCAACCTCTGCTTCCCAGGTTCAAGCAATTCTTCTGCTTCAGCCTCCGGGGTAGCTGGGAATTACAGGCATGTGCCACCATGCCCAGCAAATCTTTGTATTTTTAGTAGAGATGGGGTTTCACCATGTTGTTTGCATTTTTATTTTTGAGACAGTCTCGCTCTGTTGCCCAGGCTGGAGTGCAGTGGTGCGATCTTGGCTCACTGCAACCTCTGCCTCTCGGGTTCAAGCAATTCTCCTGCCTCAGCCTCTGGAGTAGCTGGGATTACAGGTGTGCACCCCACCATGCCTGGTTAATTTTTGTATTTTTAGTGGAGATGGGGTTTCACCATGTTGGCCAGGCTGGTCTCGAACTCCTGATTTCAAGTGATCCACCCGCCTTGGCCTCCCAAAGTGCTGGGATTACAGGTATGAGCCACTGTGCTCATACACAGTGGTATTTAGGTCTGCAAACTATGGCCTGTGGGCCAAATTTGGTCTACTGCCTGTTGTTTTTCAGCCTTGAGCTAAGAATAATCTTTGCATTTTAAAATATATGGCTGGGGGCGGTGGCTCACGCCTATAATCCCAGCACTTTGGGAGGCCAAGGCGGGTGGATTACCTGAGGTCAGAAGTTCAAGGCCAGCCTGACCAACATGGTGAAACCCCCATCTCTACTAAAAATACAAAAATTAGCTGGGCGTGGGGTGCATGCCTGTAGTCCTACCTACTCGGAAGGCTGAGGCAGGAGAATCAATTGAACCCAAGAGGCAGGGTTGGCAGTGAGCCAAGATCGTGCCACTGCACTCCAGCCTGGGCAACAGAGCAAGACTCTGTCTCAAAAAAAAAAAAAAAGATACACGCACACACACACACACACACACACACACACACACAGAGAGAGAGAGAGAGAGAGAGAGAGAGACTATTATCCCTTCAGCAAGCACAGTTGCTCAAAAAGTTGAAGACATTGCCTCTTGGCTCACAAAATCTAAAATATGTACCATCTGGCCTTTCACAGAAAAAGTTTGCTGACCTCTGGTCTAGACTCTAGGGTATGACCATGTGTGTGAGTGGCTGAGGTAAGGCAGAGGATCCAACTGTGAAGGTCAGGTCACAGGTGGTCACTGATGCCACCTCCAGGAGTCAGTGGCTCAAGGAAGGAATACAGCTGCCTGTGAGGGTTGCAGGGGTAGCAGAGTGCTCAAGAATGGGCGATGATGGAGTTAACGGTTGCATGAGCCAAGAGCACAAACAAAGGGGCAGTTCAGTCACCCCCTGGCTGTCAGGAAAAGCTTTGCAGAGGAAGCCTTTGAGCTGAGGCTTGAAGTACTGGCAGCAGATAGTGGGGTGAAGGTGGGTGGGATGGGGAGGAGGAAAGGGGTATTTAGGTATAGGAAAGCCAGTATCTTTTTTTTTTTTTTTTTTTTTTTGGAGACAGAGTCTTGCTCTGTCGCCAGGCTGGAGTGCAGTGGTGCAATGTCAACTCAGTGCAACCTCCGTCTCCCGGGTTCAAGTGATTCTCCTGCCTCAGCCTCCCAAGTGGCTGGTACTACAGGCGCCTGCCACCACCCCGGCTAATTTTTCTATTTTTTTAGTAGAGACAAGGTTACCATGTTGGCCAGGTTGGTCTCGAACTCCTGACCTCAGGTGATCCACCGCCTTGCCCTCTCAAAGTGTTAGGATTACAGGCGTGAGCCGCCACGCCCGGCTTACTGTGCCTGGTACATGAAATGCACTTGATAATGGTTTGTTGAAGGAATGTATTACTGTGAACCTTAGTTAACCTCTTTGAAATTCATTATGCTCATGGGGTACAAATACCTTCATTACGCAAACTTGTAAATAAAACTAGAAATGTGAAAACACTTTGTAAATTGTAAAACATGCTACGTGTTTTAAAGCTGTATGATACTATGTTGCAAATATGTATAATGTACTACCTCCCTTGTGCTCCTAACAATTGTCTTTCTGGGAATCATGTTTACTCCACTCAAGTCAGAAAAAAACCCTAAAACATCATATTAATGATCCAGTCATATGTAATACAAAAGTAAGTTGATTAGTTAGAAAAAACCCTGAGCCTGATTACTTCCTCTTACCATTTCCCAAAGTGGTTTCTATCATCTTCAGGTTGCCTGTTTTCTACTAAGTAAGCATTAATCGACAACAAATAATTACCCTTTTCTCCTGGCCCAGATTAAATCCTATCTTGTCGCTCGTTATGTATTCATTTATTTTCACCAGTAAATCATTAACTCCTGGAAAGCAGGCATCTTGATCTTTTTATCTTCCGCATCCAATGGCTGTTAGCTGGTACTGAATATTTGTTGGTAGATTTTTTTTAAAAATTTATTTTTATTTTTATTTTTTTGAGACAGCGTCTCACTCCGTGGCCCAGGCTGGAGTGCAGTGGCTCCATCTCGGCTCACTGCAACCTCCACCTCCTGGGTTCAAGCAATTCTCCTGCCTCAGCCTCCTGAGTAGCTGGGACTACAGGTGAGCACCACCACGCCCGGCTAGTTTTTTTTTTTTTGGTTTTTCATTTTTGCATTTTTAGTAGAGACAAAGTTTCACCAGGTTGACCAGGCTGGTCTCGAATTCCAGAACTCAGGCAATCCACCTGCCTTGGCCTCCCAAAGTGCTGGGATTACAGGCGGGAGCCACTGCGCCTGGCCACCTTCGTTGAATAGGTAAATTTATCCTGGAAATTGATGTTACACCTTTATTCATTCCCAAAATGCCACTAGACCGTACATAATTTTATTTAAATACACATATATGATCATTTGTTATATTACTAAATGCTTTATATACTTTAAATAATTTGAAAGGCAAAAGGATCAATATGTAGGGATATTGGATTTCATTTTATCTCCCAAGTTTCTTTCTTTCTTTTTTTTTTTATACAGAGTCTCGCTCTGTCGCCCAGGCTGCAGTGCAGTGGTGTGGTATCGGCTCACTGCAACCTCCACCTCTCGGGTTCAAGTGATTCTCCTGCCTCAGCCTCCCAAGTAGCTGGGACTACAGGGGCCTGCCACCACAATCGGCTAATTTTTGTATTTTCAGTAGAGACAGGGTTTCACCATATTGGCCAGGCTGGTCTCAAACTCCTGACCTTGTGATCCGCCTGCCTTGGCCTCCCAAAGTGCTGGGGTTACAGGCGTGAGCCACTGCGCCCCACCTATCTCCCAAGTTTCTAGTGTTTGTGTTGTTGTAGGCATACCAAATAATGAGTAATAACGAATGAGGCCATTTTACTATTTTTTTTTTTTTGAGATGGAGTCTCGCTCTGTTGCCCAGGCTGGAGTGCAGTGGCACAATCTTGGCTCATGCAACCTCCACCTCCAGGGTTCAAGTGATTCTCCTGCCTTGGCCTCCCAAGGAGCTGGGATTATGGGCACGTGCCACCATGCCCAGCTAATTTTTGTATTTTTAGTTTCACCATGTTGGCCAAGCTGGTCTCGAACTCCTGACTTTGTGATTCGCCCGCCTCGGCTTCCCAAAGTGTTGGATTACAGGCGTGAGCCATCATGCCGGCCCATTTTACTATTTTCTTTGAGAAATGATAACGTAAAGTTATGAATGTCAGCAAGCTTTTTTTCTGATTTTTTAGGTCAACTTTATTTTGTTTGCATCTCTAAATAGTTCTCTGTCTACATCTCGTAAAAGAAGTATGTGCTCATATGTTTCACTCTTTAATTTTGACTTAATTATTAGATACACAAACAAGTCTCTTGATCCTGCCCATAAAACAGTTCCTATAGCTTCTCAGTACTTGTTTTTATATCAACCCTGCCCAGCTCTTATTTTTTTGTTGAGTAAGCTCAGACACATAGAATGGTCTAAGCGTTCTGGAGGATGAGCTCTCTGAAATTAATTTTAAAATAAACTTCTTTAGAATTTGTGATTTTTTGGGTCCATGTCTATACTTCCCAAATCTTCTTTCTTTATAGTGATCAATTTAGATAAATAGAAAAACCTCTCCTGTAGTAGAACAGTTCATGTTGAAAAATAAAAAAACAAAACAAAACCATCTTTGTGGAGGCAGAAGTAATGAGGGGGAAATGCTTTTTGTGTGTATATCCTGTGGTTTTCTCATTCTTTTTTTTTTTTTTTCTTTTTTTGAGACGGAGTCTCCCTCTGTCGCCCAGGCTGGAGTGCAGTGGCCTGATCTTGGCTCACTGCAACTTTTGCCTCCCGGGTTCAAGCGATTCTCCTGTCTCAGCCTCCCGAGTAGCTGGGATTACAGGCGCCCACCACAGCGCCCGGCTAATTTTTTTTTTTTTTGAGACGGAGTCTCGCCCTGTCACCCAGGCTGGAGCGCAGTGGCACGATCTAGGCTCACTGCAACCTCTGCCTCCCGGGTTCAAGCGATTCTCCTGTCTCAGCCTCCCGAGTAGCTGGGATTACAGGCGTTCGCCACCACGTCCAGCTAATTTTTTGTAACTTTAGTAGAGACGGGGGGGGGGGTTTCACCACTTTGGTCAGGCTGGTCTCGAACTCCTGACCTCGTGATCCGCCCGCCTCGGCCTCCCAAAGCGCCTGGATTACAGGCGTGAGCCACCACGCCAGGCCTAAGTTTTGTATTTTTAGTAGAGACGGGGTTTCGCCATGTTGGCCAAGCTGGTCTCGAACTCCTGACCTCAGGTGATCCACCCGCCCCAGCCACCCAAAGTGCTGGGATTACAGGCGCGACCCACCATGCCCGGCCGATTTCCTCATTCATTAATTCACATATCTCGTCTATTAAATGTGTAATACATTGACAATAATCTATTTCACTGCTGCCTTCTAAATTTTCCTTCTGGGCTGGGCGCGGTGGCTCACGCCTGTAATCCCAGCACTTTGGGAGGCCGAGGAGGGCGGATCACGAGGTCAGGAGATCGAGACCACGGCGAAACCCCGTCTCTACTAAAAATACAAAACATTAGCTGGGCGCAGTGGCGGGCGCCTGTAGTCCCAGCTACTCGGGAGGCTGAGGCAGGAGAATGGCGTGAATCCAGAAGGCGGAGCTTGCAGTGAGCCGAGATCGTGCCACTGCACTCCAGCCTGGGCGACAAAGCGAGACTCCGTTTCAAAAAAAAAAAAAATTTTTTTCCTTCTGAGCTCACCTTTATTTCGTACCAAGGGCTTGAGAATTAGATTCGGTTCAAATGGTTTTCAAATTCTAGGTAAAGTACTTCGTCTGCGAACATTAAAATTGTTAAGCAACAATAAAAGGGCCTCTCAGATTGATTTTTTTCACTAACACTAATTTTTCTTAATTTGTTTGTGACGTGCGCTGTATGTAAAAAGTGACGACACTCCTTTCCGTGTGTTTTCAAACACCAAGCAAGTCTGCTGTGCTCCAGGGCGTTTCGCCCTTTGCCAGGTCGCTGTCCCCATTCGCCCCCTCTGAGAGCCTCCATTTCTCAAGGCAATCCCTGTGACACAAACTTTTTACTTTACCAAGATATAAAAGAACCTTGCTTGTTTATTTTAGGCGTCACTCTTCCCCATGATTGTCTCTCACGGTTGAGCGGCGCTGACCTGATGACACCTGCTCACTGCGTTTTCGTTAAACTCAGCATTTTCACGTAGCCAAGACAGGCGATTCCCAGGCTGGATGGGACCTTACTGTAACTGCACGACTCCGCACAAGTCGCTTTGAAAACCAATCTGCAGACGTTTGCTTGTTCTCCAGACAGAAACTCTGACCCCACACTCACCCTTCCCACCCTAATTCTCGCTCGAAGATTGAAGAGCCTGTGAACTGTC
Source organism: Homo sapiens (assembly GCF_000001405.40). NCBI lineage: Eukaryota > Metazoa > Chordata > Mammalia > Primates > Hominidae > Homo > Homo sapiens. The sequence goes on along the minus strand of NC_000010.11, from coordinate 119,080,998 downwards.
TCCCTAACGCTATCCAGGACAGGCCCAAGACGGGAACTGGACCTTGCGCGCCTAGGACTCCGGCGCCGCCACGTCTGTCGGCGTGCGTGACGCCAGCGCGCTTGCGCGCACGGAGACCCGCCCCCTACATCCGGGGCCTGGGCGGCAGCAGGGCCGCCGCGGGGAGGTCACGTGGCTCCTTCCTTTCCGTCTCTGGCCGGCTGGGCGCGGGCGACTGCTGGCGAGGCGCGTGGGACCTTACGCTGGTTCCCCTTCGTCTCCTCTCCCGGCCCGGGCCACTAGAGAGTTCGCTGACGCCGGGTGAGCTGAGCCTGCCGCCAAGATGCCGGCCTATTTTCAGAGGCCGGAAAATGCCCTCAAACGCGCCAACGGTGAGTAGCTGATCGGGGCGCGCCGGGCTGGGGCGGCCCGAGGCCTCCGAGGTCGAGAGCGCGGGCCTGCTTCCCACTGCTCCGCCGCCCGGCCCGCGCGGGGAGAGGAGACCGATGCGGCCTGCCCGCCGCTGTCCCAGCCGGTGGTTGGGCATGGGTTTCCTTCTCACTCTATCGACTGGGGTCTGGGAGGCGCGTAGCCCGGAACCGTCGCCCCAGGGGCCTTTCCTTCCCCCTGCCGCCTCCGGGTGCGTCGCGGGGACCGCAGCCCGGGAGACAGCCCCTACCCGGACTGGAGCTCCCTCCTTGCTGCCTGCGTCCTCTGGCTCTCCAGGTCCCTGGGGCTTTGGTCTGCTTAGGGCCCGCGTCCCCGGCCGCCATCTGGGAGTGCCGGGGAGTAAGAAACATGGCTCCCTCCCGGGGACAATGCACGCGAGAGCCTCGGCTCCACCTCCTGCCCGGGCCGGGAGCCCTACGGACCCACCCCCGGCCTTCCCGCAGCCACCCCCGCTCTCCAAGCCGCGCTCAGTGCTTTGCTGGGTCGGCGTCCACTTACCCTTTACCCAGCTGCTTTATATCCACTTAGGGGCCTCTGACCCATTTAACCTGATTCCTGTTGTTTTGTTTTGTTTTTGTTTTTTCATTTTTCCTGGCATTGATTAGAAGCAGTCCTAAAGCCTGTTTCGAATCACTGGAAGTTGGAATAGAGTTAATGTAAAGGGACTTCAGGTCGCCTCTTAAAGATAACGAAACAGGCCTAGAGAGAGGTTTCCCCAAGGTCACTCCGGGAGTTGTTGAGCCAAGAGACTTAAAACCAACGTCTCTTGACATCCAGATCAGTCCTTTTTTCTCTTTTTTTCTGCCACAGTGCTGCTGTCTGCGATTTCTATTTCTATATGTGTACTTCAGCCATTGGCGCTTGAGGGAAAAACTTGTGTGCCCCGATCTCTCCAAGGCATTTATTACATTGGCGTTCTGGGGATGCACATGTTCTTGGCTAGGCTCTGGGCTTAAGAAACTTTGTGTAGGGTTTTTTTTTTCCCCTCTAACCGGACAATTTTTCTAATCGTTAGGGCATGGATAGCTCTTATTTTCATCCTTCCTTCACCGAAATAGAAGTTTCGGGTTTTACCCATGTTGTAGATGAATATACCTTGTGAGTTACAGTTTTATGTTTGGAGAGCTTATTTTGTTAGCTTCTTTGAAAATTCATCTTATGAAAATGGCAGTTTGAGTCAGCACATAAACTGATAATTTGGCAGAACCAGAGATATGTTGGTCATATACTTTTTAAAGTAAAAGTAACACTTTTTGTCGGGGAGGGAACTGGTCTGTGGAATAGGATAATTCCACATTGTGTGGAATGGAGTAATTGTTTTAAAAACCTATTGAAACTACAACATAGATGTGAGCACTAATTCATTCTAATGATAACCAGTGATCTAATGGTTAGAACAGACAAGCAGTTTTAGGATGTTTATTAATACATCGGAAAGAAGAGATTGAAATGGAACTTTGTCACTATAAACCAAACTGTAGCAAAGTTTATGACTTTTCGTCGTTTCGAAAGTTAGAATTTGTAGTATACAAAATGATTTGCATGAAATTACTACTCTGCATGGCTGTTGTCGATGTTTTACAGTCATTTGCATGCTTTGCCCAACAGGTATTTTTTTTTCCCCGTGCTAGTAGGCCAAAGCATTATAATGGCCTACATATTATATATTTGGTGTGTTCGGGTCTTGTTTCCTTTATCGCTTCTCTTTTTGGAACCTTCATAAGAACTTCATATAGAAAAGATATGTAATGTGCATCAAACATTTTTTTCCTGTTTCTAAATTGACACAGGCTTGATTCATGAAGGGCAGGTTAAGGAAAGGATCTGAAATTAAAGTAGGCAAGATGAGGGACACTGGGGGGGAAACTTGAGTTTTGTTTGTGTAGCTTTTTAAAAAAGACTGTGGTCCCTTGCAGCCCTTTGAAGCTGTTGGATGGGGATGCATGCGTTCCCTTCAGAGTAGAAACTCATACCTTTGGATTGTGAGGGATCCCTTCTCAAAGTGAGCAGATCGTGGATGGTCCAGGGCACTGCTTCCAAAACATAAGTGAAGGATCAAAGGGCATTCCCCTAATTGGAAATAATCTCATTTTATCTAAATGTTTTACATGTAATATTTGTGATCCTAACAATATTTAGACCTAATTTATTGCATTGTCTTAATAAAATGTAAATAAATTTAAGTAGAATAGTCGTTCAGGTCACCCTAAGCATATATATGAGCAATTTTTGGGGGAAAAATTATAGTAGTCATTCAGGAAGGTGAGAACTTGGACCAGCAGTTACAGGCAAGAATTTCGTATCCTGTAATCATTTGGAGAAGGCCCCTTTTTCATATTATATCATTAGTGGTGCCACACTAACTGCTGCTGACCTTATTATAGTTTATGTTCTACAACCAGTGCCTTTGAAAAATAAAGCTATTAAGGCCACAAATTGAGTAACATAGCATATCCATTTGGTCTGTTGCACAAATAAACTAGCAAACATCAAGGGCTGATGTAAACTTCTTTATACATACTTTCAGTAATGAATTTGAAAGGTATGCTCCAAATGCTCACCCATCCAGTAAGGTTTATAATTCTAGATTTTAATTTTTATTTCTATAATATTAATCTGGAAGTCAATATTTAAGTATTGAAATAGAACCTTTAGTTTATCATAGTTCTTTCCAGTCTCAAAAGCTTCCCCCGGCCACTATTAAATAATTCAGAGGAGGCCGGGCGTGGTGGCTCATGCCTGTAATCCCAGCACTTTGGGAGGCCGAAGCGGGTGGATCACAAGGTCAGGAGATCAAGACCATCCTCACTAACACAGTGAAACCGTCTCTAGTAAAAATACAAAAATATTAGCCTGGTGTGGTGGCGGGCACCTGTAGTCCCAGCTACTCAGGAAGCTGAGGCAGGAGAATGGCATGAACCCAGGAGGTGGAGCTTGCAGTGAGCTGAGATTGCGCCACTGCACTCCAGCGTGGGTGACAGAGCGAGACTCCTTCTCCAAAAAAAAAAAAAAATTCGGAGGAACTAAATTCTTGTATATAAATTAGGACAAAGGCAGAAGACTCACTGTCATGGATTATGAAAAATCTGTTCCCATTCCAACTATTTATTTATTTATTTGAGACAGAATCTCTCTCTGTTGGCCAGGCTGGAGTGCAGTGGCACTATCTCGGCCCACTGCAACCTCCGCCTCCCAGGCTCAAGCGATTCTCCTGCCTCAGCCTCCCAAGTAGCTGGGATTACAGGTGTGTCCCACCATGCCCAGCTAATTTTTTAATTTTTTTCACCATATTTCCCAGGCTGATCTTGAACCCTTGGCCTCAAGTGATCTGCTCGCCTTAGCCTCCCAAAGTGCTGGGATTACAGGCGTGAGCCACCGCGCCTGGCTAAGGAATCAACTTCTAATTGGCTGTTCAGGAAGTGAAAAATGGTTTCAGTTCCATCTTTAAGCAAGCCCTTTTTAGATTAGGAGTTGGATACAATAGGTCATTTTAGTGCTGCTGCTGTGATTTTCTTAAAGTATAAATTCCATTAAACGCATTTACTCCCAAGTTTTTTGCTGATAAGAGACTGTTTTTGTTAGTTATGAAGAACGCCTAATGTACTGTTACATTTTCTTTTTTTTTTTTTTTTGAGACAGAGTCTCTCCCTCTATTGCCCAGGCTGGAGTGCAGTGACGCAATCTTGGCTCACTGCAACCTCCGCCTCCTGGGTTCAAGTGATTCTAAAGTCTCAGCCTCCCGAGTATTTGGGATTACAGGCATGCACCACCATGCCTGGCTAATTTTTGTGTTTTTAGTGGAGACAAGGTTTCACCATGTTGCCCAGGCTGATCTGGAACTCCTGACCGCAAGTGATGCCTTGGCCTCCCAGAGGGCTAGGATTATAGGTGTGAGCCAAGGCGCCTGGCTGTACTGTTACATTTTAGAAAATAACCTTACATGCACTATATAGGAGAAGACCAGGAGAAGACTGCAAGTTTTTTCCCTCCCACCCCCACCCCTGACAACAAGGAAAGGCTTATTTCAACAAAATATCTAGTTATATATTACATCTTTGTTTCATTTAGTAAGTTTTTTTTTTGATAGTAAGATGGAGTCAGCGAAAGATGGACTTTTTCATGCAGTGGTGAAGGGTTTTGTCATTATTTGCATGTGAAAAATGTGATTTCATATAAGGTATTGTACAAAGATTTATTTCAGTATGTTTTGTGATTTATCCTGTAGCAAACTTTTTTTTTTTTTTTTTGGAGACTTGTTGCCCAGGCTGGAGTACAGTGGCGCTATCTCGGCTCACCGCAACCTCCGCCTCCTGAATTCAAGTAATTGTCTTGCCTCAGCCTCCCAAGTAGCTAGGATTACGGGCGTGCATCACCATGGCCCAGCTAATTTTTTGTATTTTTAGTAGAGACGAGGTTTCACCGTGTTAGCCAGGATGGTCTCGATCTCCTGACCTCGTGATCCACCCGCCTCCCAAAGTGCTGTGATTATGGCGTGAGCTACTGCGCCCGGCCATTATCAGATAGCTCTTAAAAGAAAAAGTATTGGCTGGGTGCGGTGGCTCACGCCTGTATCCCCAGCACTTTGGGAGGCCGAGGTGGGCAGATCACGAGGTCAGGAGATTGAGACCATCCTGGCTAACACGGTGAAACCCCGCCTCTACTAAAAATACAAAAAAAAAAAAAAAAAAAATTAGCCAGGCGTGGTGGCGAGCTCCGTAGTCCCAGCGACTCAGGAGGCTGAGGCAGGAGAATGACGTGAACCCGGGAGGCGGAGCTTGCAGTGAGCTGAGATTGCACCACTGCACTCCAGCCTGAGTGACAGAGCAAGACTCTGTCCAAAAAAAAAAAAAAAAAAAAAGTCTTTTTCCAAGGAAAATAAACAATGATATTTTTAAAAAGGAGATATATATATATATATGTATATATATAGTGTTTTAAGCTCCCCCCCTTTTTTTTTTTAGTGTAGTGTTTTAGTTCCCCCAAATTATTTTTTAAATGTTCATTGGGAAGTTTGTGTGTGTGTGAAATTTGCAATTAATGAATGTTAAGATGAATTTAACCAGTTGACTTAGGTTAAATAACCTCTTTCTCCCCCAGTCTATTAAGTGTACAAAAGAAAATAAAAGATGAGGAAATTTAAGATAAATTTTAACCTTGGTCAGAAATAATGTAATGGCAAAGGTATTGCTTTTGACTGTATTTCAAAACAAACAATATGCATAAAACTTAAAATTGGAACTGGGTTTTGAAATGTTACCACATAGAATGCCTTCGGGCTCAGGGGATAATAAATTCAAAAGAATATAAGTTGTCTGGGCATGGTGACCCATGCCTGTAATCCCAGCACTTTGGGAGGCCAAGGCGGGTGGATCATGAGGTCAGGAGTTCGAGACCAGCCTGGCCAAGATGGTGATACCCTGTCTGTACTAAACATACAAAAATTAGCCGGGCCCTGTGGTGGGTGCCTGTAATCCCAGCTACTCAGGAGGCTGAGGCAGGAGAATCGGTTGCGGTGAGCTGAGATGACGCCAGTGTACTCCAGCCTGGGCGACACAGCGAGATTCCATGTCAAAAAAAAAAAAAAAGAAAAAAAATAAGTTATTTTGCTTTGTATTCCATTTTTTTCCCTTTTTTTTTTTTTTTTTTTTTTTGAGTTGGAGTTTCGTTCTTGTTGCCCGGGCCGGAGTGCAGTGGCGCCATCTCAGCTGACCGCAACCTCTGCCTCCCAGGTTCATGTAATTCCCCTGCCTCAGCCTCCGCAGGCATGCACCACTACGCCCTGCTAATTTTGTATTTTTAGTAGAGACTTGGTTTCTCCATTTTGGTTAGGCTGGTCTTGAACTCCCAACCTCAAGTGATCTGCCCTCCTCGTCCTCCCAAAGTGTTGGGATTACAGGCATAAGCCACCGCTCCCGGCCCCATTTTTCTATTTTTTTATTTAAAAAAAAAAAGAATTTTTTAGAGCAGTTTGAGATTTCCAGAGTGTTGCAAAGAGAGTGCATAGTTTCATTGACACCACACCCACTTTCTCCCATGTTGATTTTTATTGGTAACAACTAATGAACCAATACCGACACATTATTTATTTTATTTTTTTTTTTTGAGACACGGAATTTCGCTCTTGTCACCCAGGCTGGAGTGCAATGGTGCGATCTCGGCTCACTGCAACCTCCGCCTCCTGGGTTCAAGTGATTCTCCTGCCTCAGCCTCCTCAGTAGCTGGCACTACAGGCACATACCACCACGCCTGGCTAATTTTTGTATTTTTGGTAGGGATGGGTTTCACCGTATTGGCCAGGCTGGTCTCCAGCTCTAGACCTCAAGTGATTGGCCCACCTCGGCCTCTCAAATTGCTAGGATTACAGGCATGAGCCACTGCGCCCGGCCTGGAACTTTTAAATCACAGTGGAATACAGTGATTCAGTTTTACTTGTAGATCATATTTCAACACAGTACAGGTCTTTCTGTTGTTTTACTTTTGATAATTATGGCATAGCTTTAGAAGTCAAAAATAAATGTAACTTGGTAAAAAGTTGGTAATGAGTTGGGGAATTGAAATAGCTGTTTAAAAAGGTAAAGTTTAGACTCTTGTATAGTGTACATAACTAATTTTAATTCTTCTGAATTTTTCAGAATTTCTTGAGGTTGGCAAAAAGCAGCCTGCTCTGGATGTTCTTTATGATGTTATGAAAAGTAAAAAACATAGAACATGGCAAAAGATACACGAACCAATTATGTTGAAATACTTGGAACTTTGCGTGGATCTTCGCAAGAGCCACTTGGCAAAGGAGGGGTTATACCAGTATAAGAACATTTGTCAACAGGTACAAACGGAACTGGGTTGTATATTTTTAACAAGTGTTTTTAGTAATCTGCCGAAGAACTTACCTTTCGAAGTGAATATATTGTATTTCTCTTAAAAATTTGCCTTTAAAACATCTTATGGTTCAATGGAAAAATAAGTTCTGAAGAGTTTTTGTTTTTTTGGATTAGGTGAACATAAAATCTCTGGAGGATGTTGTTAGGGCATATTTGAAAATGGCAGAGGAAAAAACTGAAGCTGCTAAAGAAGAATCTCAGCAGATGGTCTTAGATATAGAGGATCTAGATAATATTCAAACTCCTGAGAGGTATGTGGGTTAGACCTCTAATAAATGCTTTGATAGTTAACTTGGTGTTTTCTTTTACATGGGTCTTCATTTCCTTTTGAAGTAGATGTTTATCAGAAAAAAATGCAAATCTTTGAAGTTTTAAATGCATAGTAACCAGTTAATTTATGTAGGTAATAAAAATTCATAGAAGTGGAAAATGACAGCCTTAAGATAGAGGGGCAAATACCAATTTAAATGAACATAATGCAGATTGGGAATTCAGGGAGTAGATAGTGACACCTTTGCAGTGTGTACATATTGTGGGAAGAATTTGCACTGTTTTCTGATGAACATTGTTTTGGTTTTTAATCACATGGCAAAGTAGGAAACTGTCTAAAATTGTTTTCAACATTTTTTTCTTTGTAGTGTTCTCCTAAGTGCTGTAAGTGGTGAAGACACTCAGGATCGTACTGACAGATTACTTTTAACTCCATGGGTTAAATTCCTGTGGGAGTCTTACAGGCAGTGTTTGGACCTTCTTAGAAACAATTCTAGAGTAGAGCGCCTGTACCATGATATTGCCCAGCAAGGTAAGATGAGAAGATCAAATCTGAGTGAAGTGCTTTGAAATTGACTGAGGAGTAAATTTTCTGAAAAGTACTTAAAATGAACTAGTTTTTATCCTTATTGAAATGTTGGCATTCACATGAGTATTAAATGACTGCGGCCGGATGTGGTGGCTCACACCTGTAATCCCAGCACTTTGGGAGGTCAAGGTGGGTGGATCACTTGAGGTCAGGAGTTCAAGAGCGGCCTGGCCAACATGGTGAAGCCCCTTCTCTACTAAAAATACAAAAAATTTAGCCGGGCGTGGTGGTGTATGCCTGTAATCCCAACTGTTTAGGAGGCTGAGGTGGCAGGATCGCTTGAACCCAGGAGGCGGAGGTTGCAGTGAGCCAGGATGGCACTGTTGCACTCCAGCCTTGGTAACAGCAAGACTCTGTCTCAAAACAAAACAAAACAAAACAAAACAAAACAAAACAAAACCAAAATGACTGAGTAAGGAATTTGTTTTACTCTTTAAAGGAGTTTTGTGTGAATTGTATTTTATTGATATCTGAAAGATCTTTTTTTTTCTTTTTACACAAACATCAGTAATAATGAAAGACATTTTAAAGTTATTTTGGAATTCTCTGTATAACTGAAAAAATAAACTTTTCCATTTTTTTTTTTTTTAGTGAACTTGAGTTCTCTACTTTTTTTTTTTTTTTTAATTTATTTTTAGTTTTTAAAAAAGAGCTGGGATCTTGCATTGTTGCTCAGGCTGGTCTCAGACTTCTGGACTCAAGTGATCCTCTTGCTTCAGCCTCCCAAAGTGCTGGGATTACAGCTCTGCCCAGCCTGAATTTTCACTTTCTTTCTTTTTTTCTTTCTTTTTTTTTTTTTTTTTTTTTTGAGACAGAGTCTTGCTCTGTGGCCCAGGCTGGAGTGCAGTGGCGCAATCTCGGCTCACTACAAGCTCCGCCTCCCAGGTTCACGCCATTCTTCTCCCTCAGTCTTCCCAACAGCTGGGACTACAGGCGCACGCTGCCATGCTCGGCTAATTTTTTGTATTTTTAGTAGAGATGGGGTTTCACCGTGTTAGCCAGGATGGTCTCAATCTCCTGACCTTGTGATCCACCCACCTCGGCCTCCCAAAGTGCTGGGATTACAGGCGTGAGCCATCGCGCCCAGCTGAATTTTCACTTTCATACAAGTAAATTTGGACTTTTTGATAGCTGTTGATACAAATATTAACTTGAAGTTAAACTGCATCTCTGTTTTAGGCCTGTTAAAATAGACATAACTATTTTTAAGGGGAAAGGAAATCTAAAAAATAATCTAATAGTGCATATGTGACGGTAAAAAAATTAACGTGTCCAGTTAAATGACAGAACAAGTAGTTCATCTGTAATCAGTTGAAATTAGGTTACTATAAGCCCTCAATTTGTATTATGTAGTTTTAATTAGTACAGAACCTTGTTTCTTACTATGTAAGTTAGATATCAAAGTTCATTATATTTCATACTAGATTTTTTTACTCCTAGGATTTAAAGTGGTGGGTCTTTGAAAGGTGACCCCTAGATCTAAATTCTAGTTTCCCATTTGTAAACTCTGCCAGCACCACATTTTAGTTGTAAGCAAGGACCAGTGATTATGTCTTTGGTTTTGTTAGGGCTCACTCAAAAAGGTAGTCTGGATGAAATAAGTTGATTCTCATTGCATCACAAAGACTAATGATGAGTTTGGTGAATCCTGTTAAAACAACTGATCTTAATGTGTGAAATAAAACCTATTCAAATATTTAAGTAGATAGTGGAAGGTACCTAATATATTTTACAATTATGCTTATAGCTTTCAAATTCTGCCTCCAATACACGCGTAAGGCTGAATTCCGTAAACTGTGTGACAATTTGAGAATGCACTTATCGCAGATTCAGCGCCACCATAACCAAAGTACGGCAATCAATCTTAATAATCCAGAGAGCCAGTCCATGCATTTGGAAACCAGACTTGTTCAGCTGGACAGTGCTATCAGCATGGAATTGTGGCAGGTATGTTGGAGCTATTAGCTTTTCTTCCTAGAAATAATAGTCTGTGTTACTTTTCTCCCCCCTTAATGAATAGCTTCATCTTGGTATGCATTGGTTAATTTCAATAAGGTAAGGAATTAAAGTTGCCTAATGGACTGGGAAAAGTTCTGAACAAGAAATCTCAGAATATTTTGTTTCTAGTTGCCTTCTATGAATTCTGGACCAAACCATATAATCTCTTTCAGACCCAGTTTCTTGACATATAAAACAATACATTGCCAGTGCTGCTCGAAGTGTGGTTTCATGACTGGTGTCATCTGTAAACTATCTGGTCTGTGATGAAATAAGTATAGAGTAGAAAAGCATATGCAAAGTTTCTTAGTAGCAATTTTATTGTACATTTTGTGTGTTTTTACTCTGATAAAAAGTGAGCTTTTTCTGTTTCATTTTTGTGGTAATTTTGTATTTTATATTCTTCGGTAAGAGGTCAGAAATTTAAAACAAACCGAATCCTTTACTACTGATTGTTTGGAGAAGTGCTGCTGTAGATTATTCTAGATTTCTTAGTGGTGCTTTAGCTGCCTGTCTTGCATTGGAGATCTTGATGGTGTTAGGAAGCTAGTCCTCTCCCTGGCCCTTTTTCTCTAAGAATCCTACAAAGACGTTCCATATAATTTTGTAGTCATGTGACCTTGAAGTCTTTTGTATATTTGACGGACAATATTTGATTGAAATTATAGAGGAAGAAACTAAAAATTGGGAGTCTTTGAGCCAAGTGAAAGTGTGATTTGATGTCTTGTTCTTGCCCATGTTTCCTTTTCTATAGGGACACCCATCTTAAAATACTACCTGTAGAAGATAAGTAAACATGCCCATTATAGAAAAAAATCCATAAGTTAAAAGAAGAGAAATATTCATCCATTATCTTATCACTCAGAAATAACCTGTTGTATATCCTTCTAGATTTTTTCTTTATATTGCCCGAAGTGATGGGATAATATGCAAATATTTTCTTGAGTCTGCTCTGTCTACTTCCCATTATTTCCTAAAGAACTTTAAAACGTTTAAGGAGTTAGTGTTTTTGTAATTATGGCAGTTTTCTAAAATAGATATACATGAGTAAAGAGAACCACACAAAGGTATTTTATTTGCTATTTTTATGTTTTCTGTGTTGTAGGTTTCATAGAAATTTGAATTAGATTTTTTTCGTGTTATAGAATGCAATGACTTTAATTTATACTCCTAATTTTAGGAAGCATTCAAAGCTGTGGAAGATATTCACGGGCTATTCTCCTTGTCTAAAAAACCACCTAAACCTCAGTTGATGGCAAATTACTATAACAAAGTCTCAACTGTGTTTTGGAAATCTGGAAATGCTCTTTTTCATGCATCTACACTCCATCGTCTTTACCATCTCTCTAGAGAAATGAGAAAGAATCTCACACAAGATGAGATGCAAAGGTAAAAATGTTATACTTGGATAATGTTGAAATTCTGTAACAAATATCGTCTATTATATGACATGGTATATTTTAGGCCATGGTTTCTCAGCCTCTGCACTACTGACATTTTGGGTTGGATAATTCTTAGTCATGGGGCTGTCTTGTGTACTGCAGGTGGTTTAGCAGTTTAGCAGCATCCTCAGCTTCTACCCATTAGATGCCAGTAGCAACCACCGCCAGTTGTGACTATTAAGACGTCTCAAGACATTGCCCTTCCTGAACAGTATTCTTGGACTTTAGTAGTTGGTCTTGAACTCCTCACCTCAGGTGATAAGTAACTCCGCTAAAAGCCCAATTGAGAAATTTGAATATTAGGAAAAACACATTTAACGGATGAGCTTTCTATCCACATAGAGGTGGAGTCTATTCTCAGAACAAATAGAAAATTAAGAAAAATACTTTTTTTTCCTTTTCTTTTTTTTTTTTTTTTTTTGCAAGACAGAGTCTTTTGTTGCCCAGGCTGGAGTGCAGTGGCACGATATTGGCTCACTGCATCCTCTGCCTGCTGGGTTCAAGCGATTCTCCTGGCTCAGTCTCTGGAGTAGCTGGGATTACAGGCACCCACCACCATGCCCGGCTAATTTTTGCATTTTTAGTAGAGACAGAGTTTTACCATATTGGCCAGGCTGGTCTCCACTCCTCACCTCATGATCCACCTGCCTCTGCCTCCCAAAGTGCTGGGATTACAGGAGTGAGCCACCGCGCCTGACTTGTATTTTATTTTATTTTATTTTTTCTTGAGACAGAGCCTTCGCTCTTATCGCCCAGGCTGGAGTGCAATGATGCGATCTCACTCCGCCTCCTGGGTTCAAACAATTCTCCTGCCTCAGCTTCCTGAGTAGCTGGGATTACAGGTGTGCACCACCATGCCTGGCTAATTTTTTGTATTTTTGGTAGAGATGGGGTTTCATGATGTTGGCCAGGCTGTCCTCGAACTCCTGTCCTCAGATGATCCTCCTGGTTCGGCCTCCCAAAGTGCTGGGATTACAGGTGTGAGCCACCACGCCTGGCAGGGTAAATACTTCTATCAAGTCATTTTTTCCTGATTGCAAAATATTAAGTGTAGAATATTTGGGTCATGTTTATTCTCATATAAATACATATGAATATAAAAGGAAGGGTCTATAACCCAACAACCTATAGACCAATTTTTTCCCTGTGCTCCACACGTTCAGAGAAACTTCTCTAGCAACAAACTATAGAAATGAGCCCCGAAGGCATAGTCTTCCATTTTATTATTTTTAACGTTACGTATAACCTGTTTTCTGTCACTTAAAAAAAAAATACATTTCTGGCCTGGCGCAGTGACTCATGTCTGTAATCCCAGCAGTTTCGGGAGGCCAAGGTGGGTGGATCACTTAGGGTTAGGAGTTCAAGACCAGCCTGGCCAACATGGCAAAACCCCGTCTCTACTAAAAATACAAAAATCAGCTGGGTGTGGTGGTGCACGCCTGTAATCCCAGCTACTCGGGAGGCTGAGGCCGGAGAATGGCTTGAACCTGGGAGGCGTAGCTTGTGGTGAGCTGAGATTGTGCCACTGCACTCCAGCCTGGACGATAGAGCAAGACTCCATCTCAAAAAAAAAAAATGCTATTGGACTTAGGCAACACACATACCACCTGTTTTCTTGTATTGGTCCACCAATTATTTTGTTATCCAGTAGAATTATGTAAAGCAAATTGTCTTTCTTATGTAAAACTATTTTAGAGCAATTCATGGGACCAATTAAATGAGTCCCACTAGTATATTTTCTTTCTTTCTCTTCTTTGTTCTCTATGTCTTTGCTTTCTGATACGGTCTTTCTTTCCTTTCTCATAGGGTCTTGCTTCCTTGCTCCAGATGGAGTGTAGTAGTGTGTTGTAGCTCACTGCATGCATCCTTGAACTCCTGGGCTCAGACTATTCTTCCACCTCAGCCTTCTGAGTAGCAGAGACTACAGGCGAGCGCGACCACGTCCAGCTAATGTTTAATTTTTTTTGTGGAGGCAGGGTCTCGTTATGTTGCCCAGGCTGGTCTCAAAGCTTCTGGTCTCAAGTGATCTACCTGCCTCAGGCTCCGAGTGTGTTGGGATTTATAGGCATGAGCCACTGTGCTTGGCCACTAGCATATTTTCTTAGAAACTCTTGAGGATGGTGTCCGTTATGGCATCCACTGTCACTTATGTAATTCACATCCTTTTTTTTTTTTTGAGACAGAATTTTGCTCTTGTTGCCCAAGCTGGAGTGCAATGGCGCAGTCTTGGCTCGCTGCAACCTCTGCCTCCCGGGTTCGAGCGCTTCTCCTGCCTCAGCCTCCCAAGTAGCTGGGATTACAGGCGTGCGCCACCACGCCTGGCTAATTTTTTTTGTATTTTTAGTAGAAACGGGGTTTCACCATGTTAGCCAGGCTGGTCTTGAACTCCTGACCTCAGGTGATCCACCTGCCTCGGCCTCCCAAAGTGTTGGGATTACAGGCATGAGCCACTGCGCCTGGTCCACATCTGTTTGTTTTAAGGAAAAACATGTTCTTCCAGACACATAAGCTTGCCTTCAGAGAGTACTACAATAATAGTGAGCATTAGGCTGTCTAGCTCTTAGTACATTATTTGGTTTAATCTTTGCAGTAGCCTTATGACTCAGAAAATTAAGTATCTTGCCTACGGTCACAGTCTTGGAAATGGCGAAGGGGAGATGCTAGCCCTTCAGCTCCAGGGCTCGCAGTCTTTGGGGTCCTGCCATGCTCTGAATGCAGCCTGACTTCTTGTCTTTCAGGGATGTGAAAATTTAGCTCCTGGTTCTTGTCTCCCCCTCTCCCTCACTACCATAATAGTGTTCACTTCTGATTCTTAAAATTTTTTTCTGCCTTATTGCCACTTACTTCCTTAGGTTTTTTTTTTTTTTTTTTTTTTTTTTTTTTTTTTGACAGTCTTAACTCTGCCCCCCAGGCTGGAGTCCAGTGGCATAATCTTGGCTCACTGCACCCTCCGCCTCCTGGGTTCAACTGATTCTCCTGCCTCAGCTTCCTGAGTAGCTGGGATTACAGGCGCCTGTCACCATGTCTGGCTAATTTTTGCATTTTTAGTAGAGATGGGGTTTCACCATGTTGTCCAGGCTGGTCTGGAACTCGTGACCTCAGGTGATCCGTCTGCTTCGGCCTCCCAAAGTGCTGGGATTACAGGCGTGAGCCACTGCGCCTAGCCATTTCCTTAGTTTTTAAACCTGCCTTAATTTTGTAAGGAAGTCTGGGGTATATGAATGTGTGTTTTCTGTCATTTAATCACAATCTTTTTCTTTCTTTTTTTTTCTTTTTTGAGACAGAGTCTGGCTCTGTCGCCCAGGCTGGAGTGCAGTGGCGCGATCTTGGCTCACTGCAAGCTCCGCCTCCCGGGTTCATGCGATTCTCCTGCCTCAGCCTCCTGAGTAGCTGGGACTACAGGCGCCCACCACTACGCCTGGCTAATTTTTTGTATTTTTAGTAGAGATGGGGTTTCACCGTGTTAGCCAGGATGGTCTCGATCTCTTGACGTCGTGATGTGCCCCCCTTGGCCTCCCAAAGTGCTGGGATTACAGGCGTGAGCCACCGCGCCTGGTCAATCACAATCTTTTTCTGAAGCTAGAAAACACTGACAGTACTGAGTGGATAGATGAAGTCCTGATTCTCCAAGTATTCGTTTAAACACAGCCCATTTCTCTTACTCCCATGCTTTGATGGAATAATATTTATGAGTATAGTGCACCATGGTGATGTACACGTTCTGTCACTAGCACGCCTTACCGTAAGATTAAAGAGAAGTGCTTTTCTGCTTACCAAGTATCATTTACAAACCTAACAGATTTAAAACTTTGTTCTCCATAGAATGTCTACTAGAGTCCTTTTAGCCACTCTTTCCATCCCTATTACTCCTGAGCGTACGGATATTGCTCGACTTCTGGATATGGATGGCATTATAGTTGAAAAACAGCGTCGCCTTGCAACACTACTAGGTCTTCAAGCCCCACCGACACGAATTGGCCTTATTAATGATATGGTTAGTATTAATTTGAGGATTTTTGTAGCTTTGGGCAGAAAACTTTGTGGTCAGGTTTAATAACTCATGATTAAATACTGGGAATTCTGATTCAGTGCCAAGGGTTCTGATGTATGGACAGGGAAGCACTGGTGTCAATCACTGTTCACTTGAGGCAGTTCCGCGCCAGTGGGTGAGCAGGGGTTAAATTGGTGGGAGTTTTGATCTAGCAGGACTTGGGTTGGCTCTGGGGAATACCGTGGGCCAGTTAGTAAGAGAAGAAGTAATGATGGGCAAGAAGAGTCATGGCTTATTTCATGGAGGCTCTAGGAAAACTAATTAAGCTGTGTGTGGTAAATATGAAGAGGCTAGGTGTATTAGTATGTTCTCGCACTGCTATATATACCCGAGGATGGGTGTGGTGGCTCACGTCTGTAATCCCAGCACTTTGGGAGGCTGAGGTAGGTGGATCACCTGAGGTCAGGAATTCAAGACCAGCCTGGCAAACATGGCGAAACCCGGTCTCTCCTAAAAATAACAAAAAATTAGCTGGGCATAGTGGCACACACCTGTAATCCCAGCTACGCAGGAGGCTGAGTCAGGAGAATCGCTGGAACCCGGGAGGCGGAGGTTGCAGTGAGCTGAGATCGTGCCGCTGCACTCCAGCCTGGGCGACAGAGTGAGACTCCTTTTCAAACAAACAAACAAAAAAGAAGTACCTGACACTGGGTAATTTATAAAGAAAAGAGGTTTAATTGGCTCATGGTTCCACAGGCTGTATAGGAAGTATAGTGGCTTCTGCATCTGGGGAGACCTCAGGAAAATTACCATCATGGTGGAAGGGGAACGGGAAGCAGGTATGGCTTATACGGCTGGAGCAGGAGGAAGACAGAGGGGGAAGGTACCACACACTTTTAAACAACACCAGATCTTGGGAGAACTCTTATCATGAGGATGGGCCTACGGGGATGGTGCTAAATCATTAGAAATTGCCCCCATGATTTAGTCACCTCCCACCAGGCCACACTCCAACACTGGAGATTACAGTTGAACATGAGATTTGGGTGGGTACACAGATCCAAACCACATCACTAGGGGAGAAGGTAAGGTAGACTTACCTTCAGTGTCTGATGTTCAATGTCTGAAGAACTAAAATATTTTCAACTTTTTTCTCTTTTAAACTTTCATTTGATGTTACTAAATAGTATGGACTTAATTAGGGTTATTCAGTGAAATTGTATGTGAAATACTTTTTAAAATGCAGATTTCTAGGTTTTACCCAGCAGATATAATACAAAAGTTTTAGAGTGTGGAGCCTAAGACGTGTTGTTGTTGTTTTTTGAGACAGGGTCTAGCTCTGTTGCTCAGGCTGGAGTGCAGTGGTGCGATTTCAGTTCACTGTAACCCCCACCTCCCAGGTTCAAGTGATTCTCCTACCTCAGCCTCCCAAGTAGCTGGAATTACAGGCACGCACCACTACAGTGGTTTTTTGTAGTTTTAGTGGAGACGGGATTTTGCCACGTTGGCTAGGCTGGTCGTGAACTCCTGGCCTCAAGTGAACGATCCCCCTCGGCTTCCCTAAGTGCTGGGATTACAGGTGTGCCACCGTGCCGGCCAGATTTGTGTATCTTTTTAGTGTTTCGCATTGATGGAATCTTCCATTCAGTGGAAATTTGTTGAGTGCCTGTTATGTGCCTAGCAAGTGAAACTGAAGGCAGAAGTTGTATTCTAGGGGAGCTGAGATTCTAGGGATTCTTATCATAATAGTCTGACTTGGTTATTAGAATCACCTCCAGTAGATTACTTTGGGGTAAGAGAAAGAGGGATAAGTACTTGGCTGTATGTTTACCAAAAACGGAATTTAAATCATTAACAGTCCCTAATTCATGAATAGAGCAATAAAGAAATCAAAAAGATAATGGCAGGCTCTCTCAGATATTTTTGAAATGTAT
Organism: Homo sapiens; assembly: GCF_000001405.40. NCBI lineage: Eukaryota > Metazoa > Chordata > Mammalia > Primates > Hominidae > Homo > Homo sapiens. Next base: position 119,063,467 of record NC_000010.11, on the reverse strand, counting down.
TCTGAGGAAACACCTATATTCACTCTGATAAAAGCTAGATAAAAGGCCTAAATTTTCTGCAGTAGTCAATTTAAGAACAAATAACTTTTCTAGATAGTGGCATTTTTCCTTTGTGACATAGTAATGCAGATTCACTTTGTAGCTAACTTTTGCAAAGAGTTCCTGCAGAGCAGCTTTTTTTCTACTTTGTATTCCTCCATGTTTTTTTCTGCTGCCACTGCCCACAGAGTTCAACTTTCTGTTTATGGGGCCGATGTAGGACTCAATGTAATAAAGCAACAGCAGTGTCTTGAGAAAGAAGTTTCATTAGCAAATAAAACATTTGCTAATAAAAAATTTGCTTCTAATTTTTAAAGCTGAAGAAACGTGCCACACTGGAAGGATAATCCACGTCACCTTGTTAAAGGTGATCTTGGCTAGGCGCGGTGGCTCACGTCTAATCCTAGCACTTTGGGAGGCCAAGGCGGGTGGATCACTTCAGGTCAGGAGTTTGAAACGAGCTTGGCCATCGTGGTGAAACCCCGTCTCTACTAAAAATACAAAAAAAAAAAAATTAGCTGGGCATTGTGGTGCATGCGTGTAATCCCAGCTAATCGGGAGGCTGAGGCAGGAGAATCGCTTGAACCCGGGAGGCATAGGTTGCAGTGAGCTGATATCGTGCCACTGCACTCTAGCCTGGGTGACAGAGCAAGACTCCATCTCAAAAAAAAAAAAAAAAAAAAAAGGTGATCTCTTAGACTTAGATTTAATATACTGCAATATGTTGTCCCAGAAGCGAAAGACATTTACAATTGGCTGGAAGTAGAATTTGAGCCACTAAAACTCTGTGAGCAAGTCATTCGGTGATCACTGATGGGTAGCATTGGACCAACAACTAGGGCATCTAGATTAGAGTCCTCATTGTGCCCACAGAGTGTAGACTTCTAGAAGGATACCAGTTAGTGTCAAGTGAATGGATTAGCTGACTGCCAAGAGGCATTTGTCAACTTCTTGAGTTGACCATATATCCAAGGTCAATACCTGAGCGTTAGGCTTCCATAACCAAATTTATGAGACAGAGTGATTCCATTATCTCAGGAAAAGACTCAAACATTCCTAAGAGTGACTTTTAAATCGGAAAGTAAACCAATCATGTATTTTAGTGAGAAATATAATTTAGTAGATTATGGCAGCCTTTCACATTTCCCTATTCGGAAGGGGACTGCATGAAGAATCTAAAATAACTTGATAGGAATGAAATTAGAGCTGGGAATTTTTTTTTTTCTCTTAAAGGCAGATTCTAAGTTAGGGAATTTTATTTGTATGCATATACCACACCTTATTGCAGTAAAGATATATGGATGCTTATAAGGAGGAAGTGTTAGAATGTTGTAGGATTTCAGCCTTGTACCCATTTTACATTAGAGTTAACCTTAGACCTGAGTGCTCCCATGTGTGGGTGCCCTCCTTGCTTGGGGATGCGATCTGCCAATATTTGCCTCAGTTTTGTCACCCACTCTCTATGGGTACACACTTCTGTGCTTTGCTCTATCCCAGCAGTTATTTTGTCCTTGGGTTAACAGTTCCTAAAAAAAATGACATATTCCATGGTAAAATTGAAGTCCATATAAATGGGGTAATATGTGAAATTCTTTTCTCACCGCTATGTTTGTGAGATTTATTCATGTGTTCTATGTAGCTGTTCTTTTTTGAGCATTTTTGTTTATTTTATGAATACACCATATGTGAATTCTCCCCAGTTTGGGGCTATTAGAAATAGTGCTGCCATGATAATTTTTGTGTGATAATTTATATAAAAGTAAAACTGGTATTTTCCTTGTTATTGGTAATAAAATATTCTATTGGCCACAGTAGTTGTCTTTGTGAATATTTAATTGGTTGTAGTTGTGTTTTTTAGAGTTTCATTTCCTTTTTACATACTTGTGGGGCTTTTCACGGTAGGTTAATGTGCATAGTGTGGGGCAAAAGACCCAGCATAGTTGTACTTTGGATTCATTTTTGGTAAATTTAGAGGAGGTTGAGGCTTGATGATTTTTTAAATCATTTTCCAGATTTCCAATGCTATCATTTATACTAAGTTCAGAATTTTAGTTGGAAAATTTCCTTTGGCAGTTACATCTTTTGTTTTGCTTACTGTAGGTCAGATTTAATGTACTACAATATGTTGTCCCAGAAGTGAAAGACCTTTACAATTGGCTTGAAGTAGAATTTAACCCATTAAAACTCTGTGAGCGAGTCACAAAGGTAAGCCTTTGTATTTAAGTTCTGGTTGTTACCACAGAGTTGGCCTTCTTGCAGTTTTGGGTTGTATTCATATTTGTTAAGAGAGAAGTTTTGTCCTATGTGTTGGAATTCAGTGCACATTTCATTGTCTTTTTTCTTTATTTCAAGAGAAAAGATATATCTGATGTGCTCAGCAAACCTTTGGAGGTTAATTAGCAGCATGACTAATTTAGCCATTGCTGCCAGTCACCTTCAAACAAGTATCAGTAGCTTCATGATACATTTTGTATTTCTTTGCATTGGATGATGTTTTTGTATATTAAAAAAAAAAGAGTTTTAGATGTTTTAGTATCTCTTATGTAGAAAGTGTGATTCTCTTTCAATTTAATGGATTTTATAGGTTCTAAATTGGGTTAGGGAACAACCTGAAAAGGAACCGGAATTGCAGCAGTATGTGCCACAACTGCAAAACAACACCATCCTCCGCCTTCTGCAGCAGGTAAAAATAAAAAAATAAAAAAAGTTTTGTGATGTTATGTGCTCATCATGAAACTAAAAACTGGAAAAATCTAGAACTGCCTAGGAAGTGAGAACCTCCCCAAGTTCTGCCCCTGGCAAAAATTAGTCTATTTATTAATTTGAAAATCAGAATTATTATATTTACATATTTTGTAACGGACGCTTTTGTTTTTTGGCTGAACACTGTCTTTGGGCATTTTTCCTTGTTAGTAATGTAGGGCTACCTTATTCCATTTAAGGTACTGTGGTGTATTTATTCAGACTCTCTTGATGAAAACCTGTATTCCTAGATTTTTTTTTTCCCTGTTAGAAATCTTGTAGCATTGAGCATCTTTCATACATGTATCTTTGCATACTTCTATTACTTTCTGTGGCATAAGAAGTGGAATTAGTCATAGGGTTTATGGATTTAAAGCTTTAATAGCTATTCAGAAGCCTGGATTAATAGACCCCCCACCATGAGTGAATGAGACAGCCTTTTCATATATTTTAGTCCAGGGGCTTAAGTCAGTAAGTGCTCCCATTTTGTTTTCCATTTGTTGCATTTGGGAAGGAGGGCGTTTTATTATATTTTCATCTCAGTATTTGTGCACATTTCATTGACCTGCTTTCTTTTATGTGAGTAGTGTTATTTCTTATGTGCTATACAAATAATTGAAGGCTAATTAGCAGTATAACTATAAATAGTAATGCTGCCAGTCTCCTTCAGACAAAAATTCTATAAGAAGTGTTTAAATATATTCGGTAAGTAGCAGGTTTTTAGGCTTTTTTGTTTTACAACAACTAGGATTTGAAAAGATTATAGGTTTGAGGAATAGTATGATAATGGTTCTCAAAGCATGGAGTTTAGAGTCGATGGTCTGGGATTAGCATTCTGGCTTTAACAATGTACTGCTAACATAAATTCTCTGGCATAATTTCTACTTCCCATGACTGTCATGAGATTGCACATAAAAAGTGCTGAATAAACAGTGGCTAGTGTTATTAACCCTTTGTTTTCTATGCAGGTGTCACAGATTTATCAGAGCATTGAGTTTTCTCGTTTGACTTCTTTGGTTCCTTTTGTTGATGCTTTCCAACTGGAACGGGCCATAGTAGATGCAGCCAGGCATTGCGACTTGCAGGTAGGTATGTGCTGTAAGGAGACAGGAGAAGGCCCTTGAGGGCTAGAAAGACACATACCTTCTGTTTCTCAGCTTTTGGTACAGTGATACCATTTTAAAGTTTACTGAGTGAACTTTTCCAGCTTTTGTATATGACATTCTTCTGTTACTTTTTGACTTCATGCTTACTTGTGGATTTAACCATTGATAATTTAATTTTCAAAGGTTCGTATTGATCACACTTCTCGGACCCTGAGTTTTGGATCTGATTTGAATTATGCTACTCGAGAAGATGCTCCGATTGGTCCTCATTTGCAAAGCATGCCTTCAGAGCAGATAAGAAACCAGCTGACAGCCATGTCCTCAGTACTTGCAAAAGCACTTGAAGTCATTAAACCAGCTCATATACTGGTATGCATCTTCCCGGGGAAATAAATCCCAGAAGTTTTGAGGGACTCTTAACGCCATGCCATGTCTTTTACAAAAAGGTTTGAGACAATATCTGAGAGAAGGGATTTATGATATGTTTCCTATAGAATTGTACTTGGTAGTTTTGTTATTTGATCAAATACACAAATCATTGAGCTTTCTTCCATTGAACAAAATACTACTCTGTGTAGGTAATGTAATAGGGTGGATTATGTTACAGAAACAACAGAGTGGACATAGGATTCCTCAAATAGTGAAATACAGTGACTGGATTTTTCCCTCCTGCTTAAGTTATTTCTTTTTTTTCTTTTTTGAGATGGAGTCTCACTCTCACCCAGGCTGGAGTGCAGTGATGCCATCTCGGCTCATTGCAATCTCTACCTCCTGGGTTCAAGCAATTCTTGTGCCTCAGCCTCCTGTGTAGCTGGGACTACAGGCACGTACCACGTGCACAGCTAATGTTTTGTATTTTTAGTAGAGATGGGGTTTCACCATGTTGGCCATGCTGGTCTCAAAGTCCTGGCCTCAAGTGATCCACCCGCCTTGGCCTCCCAAAAGTGATGGGGTTACACGCATGAGCCACTGCCTGTAACAAGTTATTTCTTGTATGTGAGCTCTGTTAATGAACACCTAAGGTAGGTTTGGTGCAGAGAAAAGTTGTCTTATCTAGGAGAGCTTCTTTAGCTGCGTCATTGCTATTAAAAGACTGAATAGGAGCAACACCATAGCATTTAATACCGAAAACAAACAGCTTGGATAGTGTCATCTTCCATTATCAAATGCAGATACATAGAAAGGCAGTACATCAGGATTATTTTGTAATTTCTTTGATGCCTAATACCAGAGAATGTTAATTTTGGTCATGTAAAAAAATTCATTTGTTTTTGAAGCAAGAGAAAGAAGAACAGCATCAGTTGGCTGTCACTGCATACCTTAAAAATTCACGAAAAGAGCACCAGCGGATCCTGGCTCGCCGCCAGACAATTGAGGAGAGAAAAGAGCGCCTTGAGAGTCTGAATATTCAGCGTGAGAAAGAAGAATTGGAACAGAGGGAAGCTGAACTCCAGAAAGTGCGGAAGGCTGAGGAAGAGAGGCTGCGCCAGGAAGCAAAGGAGAGAGAGAAGGAGCGTATCTTACAGGAACATGAACAAATCAAAAAGAAAACTGTCCGAGAGCGTTTGGAGCAGATCAAGAAAACAGAACTGGGTGCCAAAGCATTCAAAGATATTGATATTGAAGTACGTAGCATCTTAGTTATTAAAAAATTAGTTTTATCCAGGTATTTTGTACTCTTAGAACCACAGTCCTTTACCATTTGTTGGCTTACTGGGTTATTTCATGCATTTTGGTACAGCTGGTCATGACTAAATCTGTGAGTAAGCATATGTTTATTGCTCTGTGAAGTTTTGTGTTTTTTTTGAGACGGAGTATTATCTTGTCGCCCAGGCTGGAGTGCAGTGACGTGATCTCAGCTCACTGCAACCTCCGCCTCCCGGGTTCAAGTGATTCTCCTGCCTCAGCCTCCCAACTAGCTGGGATTACAGGCGCCTGCCACCATACCTGGCTAATTTTTGTATTTTTAGTAGAGACAGGGTTTCACCATGTTGGCCAGGCTGGTCTTGAACTCCTGACCTCAAGTGATCTACTTGCCTCAGCCTCCCAAATTGCTGGGGTTATAGGTGTGAGCCACCACACATGACCTGTTTCATAGACACCTTATACACATAGCCTGAAGGTAATTTTGTACACTATTTTACATAATTTTGTGCATGAAACAAAGTTTTGAATGCATTTTGACTGACCTGTCACATGGGTCAGGTGTGGAATTTTACACTTGTGGCACCATGTTGGTGCTCAGAAAGTTTTAAAATTGGGAGCATTTCAGATTTTGGGTTTTTGGATTAGGTTTGCTTACCCTATTTAGTAGAGTCTGGGTAGATGTAGGTTGGAGTAGTGAGAAAAGGATGTATGGATATTTTTTTCCTTATGGTCAAATGGAAATAAGGCTATTGTATAATATTTTTACATTTCCTAAATTATCACCCATTGTAACAATAAAAGCAATGTAGGATTTTATTCTAGAAAGCAGTGAGTTATGTTAGGCATTGCTTGTTTCTCTTTATTAACAATTGTGCATTTGTATTACCTTTCAGGACCTTGAGGAATTGGATCCAGATTTTATCATGGCTAAACAGGTTGAACAACTGGAGAAAGAAAAGAAAGAACTTCAAGAACGCCTAAAGAATCAAGAAAAGAAGGTAAATGAAAGGGTTGGTAAACCTTTAACATACCAAGTTAAGAGAGATTTTTTAAAACTACGTGTGTTTTCGTGTCATTCAGATTGACTATTTTGAAAGAGCCAAACGTTTGGAAGAAATTCCTTTGATAAAGAGCGCTTACGAGGAACAGAGAATTAAAGACATGGATCTGTGGGAGCAACAAGAGGAAGAAAGAGTAAGTTTTTTATTTAATTGTAATATTTTTAGATTGTAATAAAATCCTCTGCCAGTAATGGAACCAAGGATTCAGAATTGCTTTATTTTGTATTCTTCTGCTAGAAATGGTGCTCTAATGGCTGCCTATGAACAGATTGGTAGAAAGAGGGAAAATTTCACAATAGAGATTACAAACGAAACTTGGAAAACAAAGGACAACTGAAAAGCCCATTTTATAAAAAACTGCTTTATATACACTTTAAATGGGTAAATTGTATGGCATGTTTATACATCTCATAGTTTTCATTTTACTTGCAGAATTGTGCAGCCATCTCCACAATCTAATTTTAAAACACGTCTCAAAAAGAAGTTCTAAACCCATTAGCAGTAGTCATCCCTATTCTTCCCCACCACCCCAGCCCTAGGCAACCGCTAAACTACTCCTTTCTCTAGATTTGCTGATTCTGGACATTTTATATAAATGGAATTGTGTACTGTGTTGTCTTTCGTGACTAAACAGGTCATTCCATAGTTTTGTTAACTTATAGTATATTTTATATTTACCTAATGATACAAAAGCATGGTTTACAAATGCTTACGGCACCAAATATGTAATAAAAGTGAGTAAGCAGATCTACTTTAAAAAAGTAACCATAAGCAGGAGGCAAACATCGGTGTAGGGTGTGATAGGAGAATGCAGCCTTTTCTTGGTTTAATCTGATTGTTGTCCCTTGGAGATTAATGGGCCTAGGATTGCCAGCCCTTCCCATTTTTTTTTCTGGAAAAGTTGGAATTTTTGTGATAATTCTCTTAACATGTAAATAATTAAAAACTAATTAGAAAAGTGCTGCAGACCAAATTGGGTTGATTTGGAGCCTTCAGTTTTTCATGTAGGGTAGAAAAGAAATAGCCATATATCATCTTGCATTGATTTCCAGGTGTTTTTAAGGATGAAAATGCCTTTAAAAATTAAACCATGGTGTTTGTTGTTACCATGTCATATTTATTATTTTATTTTATTATATATAGGCACACCTTGTTTTATTGTGCTTCACTTTATTGTGCTTTTGTGTTACCCAGGCAGGTCTCAAAGTCCTGGGCTCAAACGATTCTCCTGGCTGGGCCTCCCAAAGTGCTGGGATTATGGGTGTGAATCACACCTCCCCCAGCCCCCCATATTATTATTATTTTTATTCTTATTTCTTCTTTTACATATTAAAAGTTTGTGGTAACCTTGCATTGAGCAAGTCTGTTGACACCATTTTTCCAGCAGCATGTGCTCATTTCATGTCTCTGTCACATTTTGGTAATTCTCAAAGTATTTAATACTTTTTCATTATATTTGTTGTAGTGATCAGTGATCTTTGATGTTACTGTTGTAATTATTTTGGGGTGCCACGAACCACACTCATAGAAGGCGGTGAACTTAATCTGTAAATTAAGTCTCTTCTGACTGTTCTACCGACTGGCCATTCCCTTACTCTCTGTCTCTCCCTGTCCTTGACCCTTCCTATTATTCCCTGAGACACTAATATGTATATATTTATTTGAGACAGAGTTTCATTCTGTCGCCCAGGCTGGAGTGCAGTGGCGCAATCTCGGCACACTGCAACCTCTGCCCCCGCCGGGTTCAAGTGATTCTCTGGCCGCAGCCTCCCAAGTAGCTGGGATTACAGGCGCCTGCCACCATGCCCGGCTAGTTTTTGTGTTTTTAGTGGAGATGAGGTCACCGTGTTGGCTGGGCTGGTCTTGAACTCCTGACCTCAAGTGTTCTGTTCGCCTCAGCCTCCCAAAGTGCTGGGATTATAGGCGTGAGCCACTGTGCCCAGCTCCTGAGAGGTAATATTGAAATTAGGCTAATTAACAATTCCACAATGGCTTTTAAGTGTTCAACTGAATAGAAGAGTCACCTGTCTCACTTTAAATCAAATGCTAGAAATGATTAAGCTTAGTGAGGAAGGCATGTTGAAAGCTAGGCCTCTTGCACTAATCAAGTTGTGAATGCAAAGGAAAAGCTTTTTTTTTTTTTTTGAGATGGAGTTTCGCCGTTGTTGCCCAAGCTGGAGTGCAATGGCGCAATCTCAGCCCACTGCAGCCTCCGCCTCCCAGTTCAAGTGATTCTCGTGCCTCAGCCTCCCGAGTAGCTGAGATTACAGGCATGTGCCACCACACCCAGCTAATTTTGTACTTTTTTTTTTTTTTTTTAATTAGAGACGGGGTTTCTCTATGTTGGTCAGGCTGGTCTCAAACTCCTGGCCTCAGGTGATCTGCTCATCTCGGCCTCCCAAAGTGCTGGGATTACAGGCATGAGCCACCGTGCCTGGCCCGGAAGAGTTCTTGAAATTAAAAATGCTACTCCAGTGAACACATAAACAGTGAGAAAGTGAAACAGCCTTATTGCTGATATGGAAAAAGTTTCATTGGTCTGGATCAAACCAGCCACAACATTCCCTTTAGCCAAAGCCTGATCGAGAGCAAGGCTATAACTCTCAACAGTTAATAATACAAATAGCTGAGAGAGGTTAGAAAGCCGCAGAAGGCCAGGCCTGGTGGCTCACGTCTGTAATATAAGCACTTTGGGAGGCCGAGGAGGGCAGATCACTTGAGGTCAGGAGTTTGAGACCAGCCTGGCCAACATGGCAAGAACCCGTCTCTACTAAAATTACAAAAATTAGCTGGGCGTGGTGGCAGATGCCTGTAATCCCAGATACTCAGGAGGCTGAGGCAGGAGAATTGCATGAACCTGGGAGGCAGAGGTTGCAGTGAGCTGAGATTGCGCCACTGCACTCCACCCTGGGCAACCATGGGAGACTCTGTCTCAATCAATCAATCAATCAATAAAGGAAGCTGCAGAAGAAAAGTATGAAGCTAGCAGAGGTTGGTTCATAAGGTTTAAGGAAAACCGTCTTTATGACATAACAGTACGATGTGAAGCAGCAAGTGCTGATGGAGGAGCTACAGCAAGTTATTCAGAAGATTTGGCTGAGATAGTTGATGAAGGTGGCTACACTTAAACAACAGACTTTCTTACTTTTTTGAGAGACAGGGTCTCACTCTATCACCCAGGCTGGAGTGCAGTGGCGTGATCTCAGCTCCCTACAGTATCTACCCCCTGGGCTCAAGTGCCCACTTCAGCCTCCTGAGTAGCTGCGACCACAGGCATGCACCACCATGCCTAGCTTTTTTTTTTTTTTTTTTTTTGTATTTTTAGTGGAGACAGGCTCTCCCCAGGCTTCCCAGGCTGGTCTCAAACTCCTGAAGTCAAGCAGTCTGCCTGCTTCAGCCTCACAAAGTGTTGGGATTACAGGGGTGAGCCATGGTGCCCAGCCAATAGATTTTCAGTGTAGATGAAACGACCTTCTGTTGGAAGAAGATGGCCAGCTAGGTCTTTCATACCTAGAGGGAAGTCAGTGCCTAGCTTGAGAGCATCAAAGGGTATGCTCACTGTTTAGGGGTTAATGCAGCTGCTAACTGGAAGTTGAAGCCAATTCTCGTCATTCCAAAAATCCTAGGGTCCTTAAGAATTATGCTGCATCTACCCTTTCTGTGGTCTGTACATGAAAGAACAAAGCCTGAATGACAGCATATCTGTTAATAGCATGGTTTGCTGAATATTTTAAGCCCCCTGTTGAGACCTACTGCTCAAAAAAAAAAGTTTTCAGAATATTGCTGCTCATTGACAATGCATCTGATCGTATGACAGCTCTGACAGTGATGTATAAGAGAGATTAATGTTTGTTTTCATGCCTGTTAACACAGTATGCATTCTGCAGCCCGTAGATCTAGGAATAATTTTGTCTTTCAAGTCTTATTATTTAAGAAATATATTTCATAAACCTGTAGCTGCCATAGTGATTCCTTTGGTGGATCTGGGCAAAGTACGTTGAAAACCTGCTGGAAGGAATTCTTTATTCCAGATGCCATTTGTGATTCGTGGGAGGAGGTCAAAATATCAGCATTAGAAAGAGTTTGGAAGAAGTTGATTCCAAGCCTCATGGATGACTTGGAGGGGTACATGAGTAGAGTGGAGAAAATAATTGCAGATGTGGTGAAAACAGCAAGAGAAGTAGAGTTAGATGTATAGGCTGGGTGGGGTGGCTCACACCTCTAATCCCAGCTCTTTGGGAGGCTGAGGTGGGCAGATTGCATGAGTCCAGGAGTTTGAGACCAGCCTGGGCAACATGGTGAAACCCTGTCTCTACAAAAAAACAGGAAAATTAGCCAGGCATGGTGGAGTGTGCCTGCAGTTCCAGCTACTTGGGAGGCTGACTGAGGTGGGAGGATGCAGAGGTTGCAGTGAGCTGAGATGGTGCCATTGCACTCCAGTGCTTGGGTGACAGAGACAGACCCTGTCTTAAAACACACACACACACACACACACACACACACAAAACCAAAAAAGACTATAACCTGAAGATGTGACTGAATTGCTGCAATCTCATGATAAAGCTTGGATGGGTGAGGAGTTGCTTCTTATGGATGAGCAAAGTAAGTGGTTTCTTGAAATCTCCTGGTGAAAATGCTACGAACATTGTTGACCTGACAACAAAGGATTTAGAATATTCCATAAGTGTAGTTGATAAAGCAGCAGCAGGGTTTGAGAGGATTGGATCAAATTGAAATTCTACTCTTGAGTTAAAAACCGTCAACCAGTGCCACATGCTAGATGAATCTTTTGTAAGAGGTTGCAATCAGTGTGGCAAACTTCATTGTTACCTATTTTAAGAAATTATACCATAGTCACCCCATCCTTTAGTATCTGCCATGCTGATCATTCAGCAGTCGTCAACATTGAAGCAAGACTCCACTAGCAAAAAGATTATGACTCATTGAAGGCTCAGGTGATCATTAGCATTTTTTAGCAATAAAGTATTTTTTGTTTTGTTTTCTTTGAGAACAGGAGTCTCACCATGTTGTCCAGGCTGATCTTGCACTCCTGGGCTCAAGTGATTCTCTTGCCTCAGCGTACTACTGCATCTGACTTACAGTATTTTAAAATTAAGGTTTGTACATTGGTGTTTTAGACATGCTATTGTATACTTAATAGACTGCAAACTTCTATATGCATCGGATAACCAAAAAATCTGCGTTGCTTGCTTTATTGCAATATTCTTTATTGTGGTGGTCTAGAACCAAACCTGCAGTGCCTCCAAGGTGTGTCCGTGTATCATAATTTTTCCTTTATAAAGTTCCTGGTATCATGGGGCTAAATGAAAACTGTCTCTCCTAAATGCCTCAGGATTACTTTGTCTACCTCTTGCCCGTAATTGCCTTCTGGGGACCTATTGACATGGATGTAGTTAACGTTTTCATTTTTATGGCATGACAGAAGGGGCAGTGGAGCAGCTTCTAATTTTTCAAGAGTATTTCTCAGTAATTTGGGGTTAATGAGTAAAAAAAAAAGTGCATTGAAATTTCACAATATTTGTACTTGCAGATTACTACAATGCAGCTAGAACGTGAAAAGGCTCTTGAACATAAGAATCGAATGTCACGAATGCTTGAAGACAGAGATTTATTCGTAATGCGACTCAAAGCTGCACGGCAGTCTGTTTATGAGGTGAGCTTGCTGATTTTTGGGAAATGTTTATTCATGAGCTTTCTAGTATTGGCCTAAGGGTTCTCCCTTAACAAATTGGTATATTCTTTATTGAGTTACTATGTGTAACGGTCATTCAAATAATAGAAATTTTTGGATGATATTTCATAAGCAAAACAATCATCAAAATTGTTCTAAAGGTGAAAGTTGAATGCATAATTTAATACAAGTTTTGTTTACTGTTTTTGTTAGAAATGAAAAAACTAGATCAAAATGTCCTGGGCTTAGATTCTAATTTGACCATTGAATTATTTTGTATAAAGACAAACCCACTGGAGGTAGGTAATATCAACAATTTAAATGTTTTAAAATTTGGCCTGCTGACAAGTTAATGGTCATTTGGAAGTTAGAGTTTTTGTGCTGAGAGGTTGCTTTCGATGATTCTGATACACTTGAGAGTCTTTTGTAAACCTAATAGCTTTCTGCGAGTTTGTTGCTCTTGACAAAGTGTGCCCTTTTTGGGTTGGGGGTTACTTCGATTGCAGGAAAAACTTAAACAGTTTGAAGAGCGATTAGCAGAAGAAAGGCATAATCGATTGGAAGAACGGAAAAGGCAGCGTAAAGAAGAACGCAGGATAACATACTATAGAGAAAAAGAAGAGGAGGAGCAGAGAAGGGCAGAAGAACAAATGCTAAAAGGTACACAGGTCAAACAGGATTGGAGGGGTGCTAATGCAAGGTTGGTGTTAAGATCTAGTTTTTAGTGATCTTATGTAGAAAATACAGGAATCAAGGTAATTGGCCTTTTAGCACTGTAATTAACTGGATCTCAGAACCCAGTTTGCTGTATGTGAAGTTGTTACATCGTCTGCCAGCATTTCCCCACACATTTGATGTTCTTCTAGAAATTAATACTTTTTTTAATCACCGTATTCTGTGTATTAACATTTATTGAGGAATACATTCCAGATGATGGCTGTTAAATGATGCTATATCTGGAATCCCAGATTGCTCAGGGATGGGGGAGGGATTCTAGTATCTTATTACAAAACTATAGTTGAGGGGTGTAGTACTTATTTTCTTGACTATGTTCTGTCCTGTAGCTGATTACAAACTATTTTCAAATTCTTTTACTTGTACATTATGCTACCTGTTTAATACCAGAAAAGTGGAACTAGCACTAGGGGGAAGATATGGCTGGGAGGCACACTTAGTAACCTAATCAATGGTCTAGAGCGGGAAGAGAGAGAGCGCGCCGAACGAGCAAAACGCGAGGAAGAGCTACGAGAGTATCAGGAGCGGGTGAAGAAATTAGAAGAAGTGGAAAGGAAAAAACGCCAAAGGGAGTTGGAAATTGAAGAACGAGAACGGCGTAGAGAGGAAGAGAGAAGACTTGGCGATAGTTCCCTTTCTAGAAAGGTGAGTATAGGGTTTATTGATTTTATTTTGTTTTAATGTGACTTTTTTTTTTTGGTTGAGGCACAGTCTTGCTCTGTCGCCCAGGTTGCCCAGGCTGGAGTACAGTGGTGCAATCTCAGCCCCCGGGTTCAAGTGATTCTCGTGTCTCAGCCTCCTGAGTAGCTGAGATTACAGGTGCATACCACCATGCCTGGCTGATTTTTGTAATTGTGATGTATTTTTATCACCCAGTTCTCTTCCATGATACCTATGTAAATGTATTTAAATCAGTTATTTTCACATCTCTTTCTCTTTTTTTTTTTTTTTTGAGACAGAGTCTCGCTTCATTGCCCAGGCTGGAGTGCAGTGGTGTGATCTCTGTCTCGGCTTCCTGCAATCTCTGCCTCCCAGGTTCAAGCCATTCTCTTGCTTCAGTCTTCCAAGTAGTTGGAATTATAGGCGCCCAACACCATGCCTGGCTGATTTTTGTATTTTTAGTAGAAAATACAAAATTTACTACTAAAATTAGAAATATGGTTTCACCATGTTGGCCAGGTTGGTCTTGAACTCCTGACCTCAAACAATCTGCTTGCCTTGGCCTCCCAAAGTGCTGGGATTACAGGCGCGAGCCACCGCACCCAGCCCATTTTCACCGCTCTTTTTAATGTGGTAGTTTTCCCAAAGAACAGAAGGCACCTAAGGGGGGAAGAATTATACTTGTCTTAGCAAAGATGGAATTTTACAGGCTTAAGCATACTTTTGCGCATGCGTGTCATGAAAGTTTTGTCCATAGCACTGCTGAGTTTGCTACAGAAGAGAGACTGTTGCTGAGTTCCATGAAAGACATCATCGTTTGGCCGGGCGTGGTGGCTCATGCCTATAATTCCCAGCACTTTGGGAAGCCGAGGCGTGCGGATCGCGAAGTCAGTTCTAGACCAGTCTGGCCAACATGGTGATACCCTGTCTCTACTAAAAATAAAAAAATTAGCTGGGTGCGGTGGCAGCACCTGTAATCCCAGCTACTTGAGAGGCTGAGGGAGGAGAATTGCTTGAACCCAGGAGGTGGAGGTTGCAGTGAGCTGAGATCGCGCCACTGCACTCAAGCCTGGGTGACAGAGCAAGACTCTGTCTCAGGGGAAAAAAAAAAAAAGAATCGTGAATTTAGAGGATGATGAATTCTGTAGCTCCTTGGTACTTAAAGACATGTTTGGTGGTCAGCAGCTGTCAGCAGCACCTGTCAACTTGTTAGAAACGCAGACTTTGAGGTCCAGCCCCAAAACTTCTGAATCAAAATATGCAATTTAACAGGATTCCTAGGTGATTCAAACTCAGCTCTAAATGCTGATTTTTAATTGCACTCAGGTTCAAAACGGACCTGTGTTCCCATCTCTGTCTTGTGTCTGGAATTCCCTCTCCTGATTGGTGTTACTGGTATCTGCTTTGTCACAGCTTTGAACCAACTCTTCCTTCTTTCTTTTCCTACATTACTGCCTTAATTCAGATTTTTCTTGCTTGCAATACTTGTTGGTCTACTTACTCGTCTTCCTCATCATCATCTTCCTCCAGCTTCAGACCTTCCTCTATGTTGTGGCCTGCTTGATTTTTCATAATACAGCATGTTTGATCACTGTGCCTGCTGTTGGATTTCAGACCTTTCATTGGTTGGTACTCATTACTGAGAGCCAAAGGTTTTAAAACACGCGTTAGTAGTCTTCCGTGTTGCTGCCGTTTCATCAGTTTCATCTGACACTATTTTCTTCTTAGTCACCTGTGCTGTAGCCATTGGGGAGCAAGTTTTCTGCTTTATTCTGTGTCTGTGGCATCTGTCTGCACGCTCTTCCTTTTGCTTGGGAGGTGCCCTGTTTGCCCCTTAAAGTATTGCTTGCTTACTTTTCACTCAGAAAGCTCAAGGATATCTTGCATGCCTTTTCTCTGCTCCTCTATTTTTGCCACACCTGTATCAAATGCTTATCTGTATGCCTACACTTGATACTAGTTATTTATGTGTCTTCAGTTTGTGTTATTCTTACTGCTAATTTGTAGTTCTAATTCCTTGGTATTAAGTAAATGTGGTCTGTATGATTTACAAGTTTTTGGAATTTAAGAATACATTTTCCCTTGTGTTCTATGAATGTTTTTTTCTGTTGAGCACAAAGTTGTGTGTGTGCATGAAATCAGCGCTGTTTTGTTTAAATCTGCTACATCTTGTTAGTTTATGGGACTGTCTCCTTAGGAACATGAGGAAGCTTACCTTCTGAGATTATCCTTTTCTTTTAGTTAGCATTTGCAAATGTGTCTGTCCACCCTTTTGTACATTTTCAGCCTCTTGTTTCTGTTTTATGCCTCACCCCCTTGCCCACACACACCTTCCCTTTTTTTTGGGAGAGTTTAGTTTAATTTACTTGCATTTAACATGGTAACTAGTATATTTGGTTTTATTCCTAACACTTGCTTTGGAGCTTTTTATTTGCTTCTATGTCCCTGGCACCCCTTCCTTTTTCTTTAAGCCAAATTTGAAGAACTTTTCTAGGTTCTTTTTGTGTGTGTGTGTGTGTGGAGACAGTCTCGCTCTGTTGCCCAGGCTGGAGTGCAGTGGTGCAATCTCAGCTCACTGCAACCTCCGCCTCCCAGTTTCAAGCAATTCTCCTGCCTCAGCCTCCTGAGTAGCTGGGATTACTGGCGTGTGCCACCACGCCTGGCTAATGTTTGTATTTTTAGTAGAGATGGGATTTTTCACTATGTTGGCCTGGCTGGTCTTGAACTCCTGACCTCGTGGTCCACTCACCTCAGCCTCTCACAGTGCTGGGATTACAGGCGTGAGCCACTATGCCTGGCCTTTAGGTTCACTTTTATTTTCTCTATTCCATTAATTTTTTTGCCCTTTTTGCCCGGGCTGGAGTGCAATGGCGAGATCTCGGCCCACTGCAGCCTCCACCTTCCAGGTTCAAGTGATTCTCCTGCCTCAGCCTCCCAAGTAGGTGGGATTACAGGCATGTGCCACCATGCCCGGCTAATTTTGTATTTTTAGTAGAGATGAATTTAACCATGTTGGCCAGGCTGGTCTTGAACTCCTGACCTCAGGTGATCCACCCACCTCAACCTCCCAAAGTGCTGAGATTACAGGCATGAGCCACTGTGCCTGGCCACCATTAATTTTTTCCTAAGTTTTTAAAAAAACTTCCACAGTATAAATTACAACTTTCCTTTGCCTCTTCAGAACAAAACAAAATCATGACCATACCTTAACTTATATTTTATTGCAGTGGACTGGGTATTTTTGCTTCTAGATATTTACACATTATCTTTCCTCTTAGTACTCACTTAACAGTTACTTTAAGTTTTCCATCCATATTAGCGAACATTATTTAGTCTCAAGTATGTTTACACTGCATCATGTTTTCCCCTTTGTGAGTACTTTTTGTTTCTTGATCAGTAGTTTTCAGAATGTCTTTGTGTGTCTCATAAGTTTTTTCTCTCACCGTTGAACAATAAATGGTTCATTATTTGGCCAGTTCAAAATCATCTTTTCAGAAATAATAGAGACCTTTGCTTCTGTTTTTAGTACACAGTGTTACAGAGGGGAGGATTTTGGTCTTACTCTGTAGATACTGTTTCATTCCTCGGAAACAGAATTTTTCTCTATTCTTGCGGTAAAGGAAGTTAAAACTGTCCCTAAGACTGTGTTTAGATACCTGAGTGTATGGTATCTTTGTTTCTTTTTGGCCTTTTGCCCTTTTGGTCTAAGGATTCAGTCTCCTTAGAGCAGACAAAAATCTACTTAATTTAAGGAAACTTTTCTCCTTTTTCTCTGTTCTTGCTCTGTTAAAGTTCTCTTTATATCTTTAATGTTTCTTTTACTCTCTTCATCTCTTTGTTTGTTTGTACCAGGTTCTCTGAGATCGTGGTTCAGTTTGTTTGCTCATCAGCCAGGGCCATTCTGCTCTTGGATCTGCTGGGCCGGGCACATTGGTTCACGCCTATAATCTCAGCACTTTGGGAGACCGAGGCAGGCAAGCGGATCGCTTGAGCCTGGGAGCTTGAGACCAGTCTGGCAACATAGTGAGACCCTGTCTCCACAAAAAATACAAAAATGAGCTGGGCGTGGTGGTGCATGCCCAGCTACTTGGGAAACTGAGGTGGGAGGGAGTATGGCTTGAGCCCAGGAGGCAGAGTTACTTCTTTTTGTTTGTTTAATGGCTATAAGAGCCATCCTTCAAAAGTCTTTGGAGGTTGTAATAGTTGTACTATATCCTCTAAAACCTTGCATTCTTTGTTGAGTATAAATTGCAAAGCAGGCATGGGGGTGGGAGAAGCTTGGCCTTCTGGCTGTATTTGTTCCCTCAATTGTGTTGCCCATAAATTCCTTTGACTGTTATGTTTCTATTTTCTCTCAAGGTGTTTACTTGGGAAAGTCTCTTAGAACAACCCCCACCTTAAGAGACAGCCCAGAATCATTAGCTGTGATGACCCGGGACGAATTTATTTTCTGACCATTCTTGTCTTTCACTGCTTCTCATCTCTAGTTGTTATTTTAGAGTTTCATTGCCAAGACATTTTTTTCAAAAATTCAAATAAAGGGGCAGGCGTGGTGGCTCACACCTATAATCTCAGAACTTTGGGAAGCCTAGGCAGGTGGATCAGTTGAGGTCAGGAGTTCGAGACCAGCATGGCCAACATGTTGAAATCCCATCTCTACTAAAAATATAAAAATTAGTCGGGCATGGAGGCAGGCGCTTGTAGTCCTAGCTACCTGGGAGGCTAAGGCTCAAGAATAGCTTGAATGTGGGTGGCAGAGGCTGCAGTTAGCTGAGATCGTACCACTGCACTCCATCCTGGGTAACAGAGTGAGATTCCACCTCAAAAAAAAAAAAAAAAAAAAGAAAAGAAAATTCAAATAAAGGTTCTCTTATTCACGCATTGTTTGAGACTGTAGCTTATTCTTAGCTTTGTAGATTCTTTTATTTTTATTTTTTTGAGACAGAGGCTTGCGCTCTGGTGCAGGCTGGAGTGCAGTAGTGTGATGTTGGGTAACTGCAAGTTTTGCCTTCTGGGTTCAAGCGATTCTCCTGCCTCAGCCTCCCAAGTAGCTGGGACTACAGGCGCCTGCCACCACGCCTGGCTAATTTTTTGTATTTTTAGTAGAGACAGGGTTTCACCGTGTTAGCCAGGATGGTCTTGATCTCCTGACCTCGTGATCCACCTGCCTCGGCCTTCCAAACTGCTGGGATTACAGGCGTGAGCCACCGCGCCCGGCCCATCAGAGTACTTTGAATAGAGAAGTACTGTTAATTTAACCACCCCCATTAGACATTAAATAAAATGTCTCCACCTTTCTTTGCTTCGTAGGCACTGTGATGTCCATTTCAGGGCATGTGGCTTTTTTCACATTCTTCAAAGGGGATTTCTAGGTTGAAGGAAATCTGTAGAGGTGTATGTTCCCAGGTTGCTTTCCAGCACAGTGTTATATCGGTTTGTAAGGCCACCTACAATATATGAGACTACCAGTTTCCCTGTAGCGTCAGTCTGATCTCAGATTAAAAAATAAATGAAATTTTAAAACTTGCTTATTTAAGGGCTTCATATTGTTATAAGTACAAAAAATATTTGAATGGTAATACCAGTAGTTGTAATAGTAAATGGTTACCAATGTAATGCTTCTTTTTCACTTTGTCAATGGAGGACTCTCGTTGGGGAGATAGAGATTCAGAAGGCACCTGGAGAAAAGGACCTGAAGCAGATTCTGAGTGGAGAAGAGGCCCGCCAGAGAAGTAAGTAGAGTTGAGGAAAATAATGCCGCTCCAGTTCCTGTTAATATCTTATCAGTGGTTTTAAAATTTGGTTCATTTTGTAGAGGCAGGGAAAGGAGAGCCATGAAGAATTGTGTGCATGTCTGATTGCGTGTGGGTTTGTATTTTGTTTTTTTGGGTCTGCTGCCCAGGCTGGGGTGCAGTGGCGCTATCTCGGCTCCCTGCAACCTCTGCCTCCTGGGTTCAAGTGCCTCAGCCTCTCGAATAGCTGGGATTACAGGTGTGTGCCACCACACCTGGCTACTTTTTGTATTTTTAGTAGAGATGGGGTTTTGCCATGTTGCCCAAGCTGGCTTTGACCTCTTGACCTCAAGCGATCTGACTGTCTCAGCCTCTCAAATTGCTGGGATGACAGGCATGAGCCACTGCACTTGGCCTGTGTTGTTGTTTTTGTTGTTGTTGTTGTTGTTTTGAGATGGCGTCTCACTCTGGAGTGCAGTGGCGCGATCTCGGCTCACTACAGCCTCAACCTCCCTGGGCTTAGGTGATCCTCCTGCCTCAGCCTCCTGAGTAGCTGGGACCACAGGTGCGCTCCACCATGCCTGGTTAATTTTGTTTGTTTGTTTCTTTGTTTTTGAGACAGAATCTAGCTCTGTCACCCAGGCTGGAGTGCAGTGGCGCGTTCTCGGCTCACTGCAGCCTCCGCCTCCTGGGTTGAAGCAATTCTTGTGCCTCCCAAGTAGCTGGGAGGCACTTGTAATCCTCCCAAGTAGGATTACAGACATGCACCACCACGCCTGGCTAATTTTTGCATTTTTAGTAGACCCGAGGTTTCACTATGTTGGCCAGGCTGGTCTTGAACTCCTGACCTCAAGAAATCTGCCTGCCTCGGCCTCCCAAAGTGCTGGGATTACAGGTGTGGGCCACTACGCCTGGTGAATTTTTATATTCTTTATAGTGATGGGGTTTTGACATGTTGCCCAGGCTAGTCTCAAACTCCTGGGCTCAAGCAATCCTCCCGCCTTGGCCTTCCAAAGTGCTGGGATTACAGGTGTGAGCGACTGTGCCCAGCCGCATGTCTTACAATTAAGTAGAGATGGGTTTTGCCAGGCCAGGCTGGTCTTGAACTCCTGACCTCAGGTGATCTGCCTGCCTCTGCTTCCCAGAGTGCTGGGATTAAAGGTGCGAGCCACTGCTCCGGCCCATACTGAAGTTTTTAAAAAGCATGTGAAAAAAAAAATCCCCAAAGGATCATATGCTTTTTTATTTTATATATTTTTAATTGTTCTTGTTGCTGTGTAGGGAGTGGAGACGTGGAGAAGGGCGAGATGAGGACAGGTCTCATAGAAGAGATGAAGAGCGGCCCCGGCGTCTGGGGGATGATGAAGATAGAGAGCCCTCTCTTAGACCAGACGATGATCGGGTTCCCCGGCGTGGCATGGATGATGACAGAGGCCCTAGACGTGGTCCTGAGGAAGATAGGTTCTCTCGTCGTGGGGCAGACGATGACCGGCCTTCCTGGCGTAACACAGATGATGACAGGCCTCCCAGACGAATTGCCGATGAAGACAGGGGAAACTGGCGTCATGCGGATGATGACAGACCACCTAGACGAGGACTGGATGAGGACAGAGGAAGCTGGCGAACAGCTGATGAGGACAGAGGACCAAGACGTGGGATGGATGATGACCGGGGGCCGAGGCGAGGAGGCGCTGATGATGAGCGATCATCCTGGCGTAATGCTGATGATGACCGGGGTCCCAGGCGAGGGTTGGATGATGATCGGGGTCCCAGGCGAGGCATGGATGATGACCGGGGTCCCAGGCGAGGCATGGATGATGACCGGGGTCCCAGGCGAGGCATGGATGATGACCGGGGTCCCAGGCGAGGGTTGGATGATGATCGAGGACCTTGGAGGAACGCCGATGATGACAGAATTCCCAGGCGTGGTGCAGAGGATGACAGGGGCCCTTGGAGAAACATGGATGATGATCGCCTTTCAAGACGTGCTGATGATGATCGGTTTCCCAGACGGGGTGATGACTCAAGACCTGGTCCTTGGAGACCATTAGTCAAGCCAGGTAAAATTCTATTTCCTAGAATATGCTTAAGTGTTCACCTGTAAAAGTGAAATTCTGATGGATAAATATCAGGGCTGTATTGTTATTTTCCAGATAAACTGGTCTTTCATCTTTCCTTCAGTATCATTTGCAGTGACTTCGCTGTCAAAAGTTTGCCTTCAGAATACCACCATCCAAAACATAAATAACCCAACCCCTCTCTTCTTTAGTGATGTGCTCTTTGTTTTCCTTCTGCTTCGATGACTGCTTCTTTGAAGGCTCTTCCTGTACTCATGCTTTCAGTATTGGTGTATTTTTCAGGTTTTACTGGGAACCAGCCTCCTTTTAAAAATAAATAATTGAAACCAAAATGTACTTTATATATTTATTTTTGCCAACTGAGAGATTATGCAAGGAGGAACTCATTTTACTTTACTTTTTTTGAGACAGGGTCTTGCTCTGTTGCACAGGCTGGAATGCAGTGGTGCAGTCATGGCTCACTGCAACCTTGACCTCCCGGACCCTAGGGAGCCTCCCACTTCAGCCTTCTGAGTAGCTAGGACTACAGGCGCATGCCACCACACCCTGCTAATATTTTATTTTTTGGAGAGACGGGGTTTCGCTATGTTGCCCAGGCTGGTCTCAAACTCCTGGGCCCAAGTTATCCTTCTGCCTCTCCCTCCCAAAGTGAAGTGCTGGGATAACGGGTGTGAGGCGCTGCGCCCAGCCTCATTTTTTTTCTTAGTCCTGGGCCTGCTTATTGTTTCACACTTTATTATTCGTGAGCAGTTGTATACATGTTTGTGACATGCGTCTATTACCATTTTTTTTCTTTTTGAGGTGGAGTCTTGCTCTGTCTCCCAGGCTGGAGTGCAGTGGTATGATCTCAGCTCACTGCAACCTCTGCCTCCCAGGTTCAAGCAATTCTCCTGCCTCAGCTTCCCAAGTAGCTGGGACTACAGGCACATGCCACCATGCATGGCTAATTTTTTTTTTTTTTTTTTTTTTTGGAGACGGAGTCTCGCTCTGTCATCTGGCTGGAGTGCAGTGGCGCGATCTCCCCTCACTGCAAGTTCTGCCTCCCAGGTTCATGCCCTTCTCCTGCCTCAGCCTCCTGAGTAGCTGGGACAACAGGTGCCTACCACTATGCCTGGCTAATTTTTTGTATTTTTAGTAGAGATGGGGTTTCACCATGGTAGCCAGGATGGTCTCGATCTCCTGACCTCTTGATCCGCCTGCCTCAGCCTCCCAAAGTGCTGGGATTACAGGCATGAGCCACCACGCCCGGCCATTTTTTTGTATTTTTAATAGAGATGGGGTTTCACCATGTTGGCCAGGCTGCTCTCGAACTCCTGACCTCAAGTGATCCACCCACCTCGGCCTCCCAAAGTGCTAGGATTACAGGCGTGAGCCACTGCCCCGGCCAGTTTTCTCTAGGTAATTTCTGCGTACTGCACACAGGTGACAGCTGCTTACTGCATATAGCACATCTCCACTTGGTAGTCTTACTGAATGTCTAACACAGCCTATCCAAAACTGGACTCATTACCATCACATACACGTGCACTTGTTCACGCCCACCCATCCCTCTGATTCTCTTCAGGGGCATCACTGTCCATCTAACTGTCTGAGCTAGGATTCTGGGAGTTGTTTTGTCTCTGTTTCATCCTTTATGTTAAATCTTTAGTTCAGTTCTGCCTTTTTGATGTTCCTGAAATCCACCCTCCTCTCCATTCCCATTGCTTGTACTTGGTCCTGGGTCAGCATCATTTTCCTCACCCGCTAACTGGTTTTTGCTGCCTCTCTTACTCCCAGTTTTAATTTTGGGTGTCAGGGAAATAACCAGAGCAGTTGTTGTAAGTGCAGATCTAAGTGAGCTGCTTCCTTGCTTTCCCCAGTTGTTTCTGTTGCCTACTTCGTCTCTTCTAGTCTCACTTCATTCTGCTGTTCGGCTGTTACCTTGTGTAAGACATTTAATTTTTCTTTTCCTCATGTTAAATGGGGTAACAGTATAGCAGATTCTTACTAATTTGCTAATTATATTTTATACAGTTGCCATGAATACTGAACTCATGTTCCTAGGGTAAATACAAGGTTAGGTTCTTGTAAGCTTCTAGTCATGATATTTTTGTCAACCAATCAATACATAAAATGTCTTTTATGTGTTTGTGTTTAAAGACTCCCTATTTCTGATATGTTGTTGATTCATTACCATTGAATTCATGGTCAACAGCATTATAACTCATTCATGAACAAAGCTTATCTAATACATGTATTTTCTCCTTAAGGCATATCATAGCCACCTTGTGCTTGGGGCCACTAAACAGCATTTGTTTTTTCTCTTTTTGAGGTGGGGCCTCACTGTCTCCCAGGCTGGAGTGCAGTGGCGTGATCTCAGATCACCGCAACCTCTGCCTCCTGGGCTCAAGAGATCCTACCACATCAGCCTCCTGAGTAGTAGACTATAGGTGCACACCACCAAGCCCAGCTAATTTTTGTATTTTTTTGTAGAGATGTGGTTTTGCCATGTTGCCCAGGCTGGTCTTGAACTCCTGGGCTCCAGGGATCCACCCTCCTCAGCCTCCCAAATTCCTGAGATTACAGGCATGAGCCACCACGCCTGGCCACTAGACAGCATTTTAGCACTACACTTGGAGGCCATTTTAAACAGTGAGGTCACCAGCAAATTTACATCTCTATATGTACTGTATATAAAATGTTCCTAGATTCATATATTCCATGCATAAGTGTGAGCCACTGTGCAGGGTTAAAGGATTTATTCATGATTAATGACTAGATAATGGGTGGCAAATGGTGGAGGACAGGAATATAAAAGGAAAGATTGTTTTTTGGATATGAAGGGCTTGAAAACGTTGCAAGGTATAAATACCTCAAAATTGGGACTCAGAGAAAACTCTTGAAGTTTCTGCTTAAATGAGTGATCTGTGTAACATCAGAACAGATACTATGCTGAAATCTGCGTGCAATAGGAAAAATTCTAAAATTTTCAGTGATACTTTTGTTTTATGGAACACTTAACACAGATCATTTAAGGTTTTTGGTATTTTTTTTTCTTTTCCTGTTTGTTTTTTGAGACAGTCTCATTCTGTCATCCAGGCTGGAGTACAGTGGCACTATCTTGGCTCACTGCAGCCTCTGCCTCCCAGGTTCAAGCAGTTCTCATGCCTCAGCCTCCTAAGTCAAGTAGCTAGGACTACAGGCGCACCACCACACCTGGCTAATTGTAGTTTTAGTAGCAACAGGGTTATTACCATGTTGGCCAGGCTGGTCTCGAATTCCTGACCTTAAGTGATCCACCTGGCTCGGTCTCCAAAAGTGCTGGGATTACAGGTGTGAGCCACCATGCCCGGCCCATTTTAAGTTTCTCATATAAGTTTAAGATACTGTTAATGATGTCTGTGCAGTGATGTACACAGCTTTAGTATTTTTTTAATCAGTGTCTTAAATTAGCATTTAGAATGATGATGAATTAATGCCAACGTCTATTCATGATTGCCAATCTGTTTCTTCTTTTAAAAATATTTTAAAAATGTTTTGCTTTTTCAAAAAAACAGGTGGATGGAGAGAGAAAGAAAAAGCCAGAGAGGAGAGCTGGGGTCCACCTCGAGAATCAAGGCCATCAGAAGAACGTGAATGGGACAGAGAAAAAGAAAGGGACAGAGATAATCAAGATCGGGAGGAGAATGACAAGGACCCTGAGAGAGAAAGGGACAGAGAGAGAGATGTGGATCGAGAGGATCGCTTCAGAAGACCTAGGTGTGATGCTCTAATTAAATTATTTGTAGAGGCCGGGCGCAGTGGCTCATGCCTGTAATCCCAGCACTTTGGGAGGGCGGATCACCTGAGTTCAGGAGTTCGAGAGCAGCCTGGCCAACATAGTGAAACCCCATCTCTACTAAAAAATACAAAATTAGCCGGGCGTGGTGGCGCATGCCTGTAATCCCAGCTACTCAGGAGGCTGAGGCAGGAGAATTGCTTGAACCCGGGAGGCAGAGGTTGTGGTGAGCCGAGATAGCGCCATTGCACTCCAGCCTGGGCAACAAGAGCAAAACTCCGTCTCAAAAAAAAAAAAAAAAAAAAAAAAAATTCCCTCTTAAAGTAAGAAAATGGAGGCCCAAACTTCGTGGCTGTCCAAAGGCTGTGTGACCCGTTGGGCATTGGAACCAGTCCAGCCATCTTTGTCAGTCCGTTGCTTTTACCCCTGTGGTTTAGGGCAGTCAGTTTTCTTGCCCTTAAATTATCAAAAGCCCTTTGATTTTATTAGTAGTAGAAGTTCTAGCTTGTTCCCGCTGCCAAAGTGTCCTTGTACTGACAAATGTAGACCAGCAGTGTTCGATGCAATTTTCTTCAAGGAAGAAAATGTGTCTGCTGGCCAGTATGGTAGTCAGCAGTCACATTTGGCAGCCAAGCACTTAGAATATATGGTTGATGGTCCTAAGGAAATATCTCCGTTTTACTTTAAATGTAAGTAACCACATATGGGTAGTGGCTAACGAGTGGGACGGCACAGATCTGGGTGTTCTCATTTGTTCTCCACGCCCCAGGCATCAGGTAAGGTCAGGTTATGAGTTTAAACTGTCTGTTATATTTGTAAACTCTAAGCCCCAGCTTGGACTGGATGTACTTATAATTATCCATTTGGTCTAACAGTAAGAACCTGACCTGTCATTGTAAATGGCTACAGGGATGAAGGTGGCTGGAGAAGAGGACCAGCTGAGGAATCTTCAAGCTGGAGAGACTCAAGTCGCCGGGACGATAGGGATAGGGATGACCGTCGCCGTGAGAGGGATGACCGGCGTGATCTAAGAGAAAGACGAGATCTAAGAGACGACAGGGACCGAAGAGGACCTCCACTCAGATCAGAACGTGAAGAAGGTATAGAGGTTACATACAACTGAAGTATTGGAGAACTGTCGTTTCTGGGGGGGGGGGGATTTGGGTTATTTAATTATATCATAAATTTGTATGAAGGCCAACAATAAGAGAGTTGATATTCTATTTAGAATTCATGATTTTCATACAGTTACTCAATGGTCATGTTGTAAAGTGCACTTATCTCTAAATTCAAAGTACAGTAGTAGACTAAATTGGATAGCAGGCAATATATATAAAGTTTACTTAATAAAAATGAAAAAAATTGTTATTTAAAAGCAGCTTCCTGGCAGATTAAGCACAAAGTAGAAACATTTTCTCTGAAATTGTAACAGAAGTTTATTCTGTTTTAAAATATATGTATTTTTCATTTTTAAAATCCTCATTTTTCTCTTGGTTTTTAAAAATTAATTTTCCATATGTCTTGACATCCTGTTATGAGAGAATTTTTCTCTCATAGCCATAACTTTAAAAACTCCTGTATTTTGTATGGTTAATTTGCTGTTAAAATTCTTCAAGAGCCAAAAATCCTTTCAGTTATAAAATTTTCATTCAGCCAGATTTTTGCCACCTTGTCTTACGGGTTTATACTAACTGTAGTCCTTCCCAGGCTAGTGGTTTCTGCCTGTTTTCAGATTTTGAGTTTTATCTGTACATTTGTATGTTAAAGATTGTCAGAAATTGTATGAGCTTTCATTATGATTTCTGTATTTAACAATACAGAATTTAACAGAATTTCTGTATTTAACAATGATTTCTGTATTTAACAATCTTTAGTACAGGAATTTTGAGTAATTTGAGCCAATAGAATATAGTACTAACTTAATTTTTTTTTTTTAATTAAACTTTTTAGTAAGTTCTTGGAGACGTGCTGATGACAGGAAAGATGACCGGGTGGAAGAGCGGGACCCTCCTCGTCGAGTTCCTCCCCCAGCTCTTTCAAGAGACCGAGAAAGAGACCGAGACCGAGAAAGAGAAGGTGAAAAAGAGAAGGCCTCATGGAGAGCTGAGAAAGATAGGGAATCTCTCCGTCGTACTAAAAATGAGACTGATGAAGATGGATGGACCACAGTACGACGTTAAGTCTCAAGATAATGGATTTAAACTGGTGTCTTAAATAGGTTTGATCACATTCAAGGATTATTATACTTGTGCTTCAACCAATCTAAATTGGATTCTTTAATGTTGTTTCACCATAACACAAAAAGCATGAACTTGTATTAATCCTATATAATAGATTGATCATGCACCATATCCACAGGAGGTTGGAAAAACCATGCCATTTTCTGGAATTTAAGGGTGTTGCATTATTTCATCAATCATTTGTTGACAAAAAAGAAAAACTAAAAAATAAATTTAAAATGTGACCCTTCAGGTATTGAGTAACACCTTTATCTTGGTATAGAACTGATACTTTTTTTTTGATTTTGAAATATCTGATAATAATTTGGAATGAAGTAAGGTTCTGTTAAAATATATTTGAAGACCCTTTAAAGCAGTGAATCTGAAACAATTTTCACACCCTTAAGTGGTTGATACGTACCTATTTTAGGTATTTTGAGGTATTTACCATAAACTAAATTTAGAAATTTTTTAGATTCACTTGAAGTAAACATTACAAACATTGGATACGGTGGGGTTTTCTTTAGATTTTACTTGAGAGAAGGTGAGTACAAAGCAATTTGCAGTTGTTGTAATGACAAGATTACTGCGCAAGTGTGAATCCAAACAGTATAGCTTTTAAATTTTAAAGCATTTGGTAAATTATCGCTGAGTTTTTTTCTGTTGCCAATAGCAAACTGCTTTTCCATTAATGGAGAATTCATGCCTTTCAAGCATTTTAAATATGACAATATTTATAAATGTATGGTTTGGAGGAATCGTTTAAATTCTCTTTCCTAATTTTCTTTCTTTTGAAGATAGATTCTTTCAACAAGTAATTTGTAGTAATGACTGTGTTGACTTCAATTTTGGAGCGCAGTAGCTATGTTAAAGATGAACTATTTGGTCTCATTGAAGCCAACACAGAACTTGCTGCTGTGTTTTTTCTTCAGTGATAAATAAAATACTTACAGAATTTGTTTTAGTGTTGATTTGTGGTTATAGTATTTTGTTTATAATGGTAAGTTTGCATATTCAGTTGAGTTTTTTTTACTTGAATTTTTATCAGTGCCATTAAATGTCTGTGTTTAGTATCAATGAAAATGAACCTAAATATAACAAAGAAAGCATATGTGGCTAGGATGTCCCCCTAACATGTCTTCCTTTGTTAATGCAGGAATTCCTTAGTTTCCTTGTAACGCTGTCCTCTGAGTTTGTGTGTGCATGTGCGTGTTTGAAGTACCACCTTGGGTTTTCACCTGAAATTAGAAAAATCGTAGTTAATTTGAGAAAATGTTACAAATTCATCATGGCTGTAGGCACTTATTTCTGTTATTGAGTAGTGGTGAGAATTCCTATTGGTACAGCTGTAGGGCCAGAAGAGGGAGTATTGATGCTTTTTAACTTAACCAGATGCAGCTATTTTTGTTTGATGTTACCAATGATAGAAATCATTTTAAACACCTTAGTATCTGGTATTTCAAATACGTAGAAGTCTTTAAAGGTCTTTCGTGGGGAGAAGGACTTTTCTTTCATAACAAGAGAATTTCAGATCAGTGATTACAAGTGGGGCAGTAACTTGCTAAGAGTTTGCTTCCTGGAGAGTAGATCTGTATGTGTGACATCACAGGTAAGCCCCAAGAATTTATTTAATCAGATTTGTTCAGACGAGTTACTGCTGCCTACGTTAGAGTTAGATTTCAAGGCGAGTCAGCAAACCCATCCTTTCTGCTCAGTCTCCCGTACTGTTCTCCCAAGTTCTTTGTTCTGGGAGTCAGAACCCAAGTGCAAGAGGAGGGCAGAAGAGTCTGATGCTGTTACTTTGCGATCCTGCTCTTGGTTTCCACTGTCCAGGCCATACAACTCTGTCTACTCCCATTAGTATTTACCAACAGGTGTTAAAGGAAAGCTGAACAAGCAGCCTACTCACCGATCTGCTAGGTGGTCTTCCATGTTCATGGTGGCTTCTGCAGTTTCATTGAGAGTAACATTGCTGTTAATACAGATAGATCCAGTAGTAGAGACATCATCGGTCCAAAAGACTTTGCATCTCATTAGTTGTCCATAGTGACTACCAGGAGGTGGCTGGCATCTATAACGTGTGGGACGTTTTTATGTAAAGAACTGCCTGTGTTTTTTTTTTTTTTTAACCAAAGACACTGACCATAGATTGACTTATACTTTTATAAGTCTAATTGAAATACTTGGGGTACTATGAAAGGACTGTTCCTTGAGTGGCTACGATTAGAAAATCAGGACTAACAAACTTTTCTTTGTCTGGAAGCATATATATTTGTGATATAATTTTAATATGTATAATTTTGGTTTAATAAATCAAATCTATGACAAAAGTTGTTCTCATCAAAGCTAATAATTCTGCAACTTCCAAAAAGGACTTTGTAGGAAAATTAAAATACAAAGAAAAATAAAAGCCACTAGAAATTTTAAGTCTGTACAGAAAAGAACAGGTTAAGACAATCTGTACCTCTACAGTTGGAGAAGCCCTTTTGACTCTTCCCTGTATTGTTTTGCTACTAGGCAAGTATGCAGCATGTTCTTATGAAGATAATTTTGTCATACTTTGTATATTTCTTAAACTTTGAAAAATTGGGTTTCTCTAAATGTAATTTTGCAAAATGTTTAAAGTTCCACATTGAGTTCCAAGGATTTTTAAATGAATGTGTTTACATATACTTTTCATAAGAGAACCCTAGAAAATTAACTATAGTAATACTCTGCGTTTTAACTCCCAGTATTCATTGTCAGCTGGAAAACCTAGGCAAATTTGGCACAGGGGCTGAACATGGGGTACTTTTTTTCTTTTTTGGAGACAGAGTCGCTCTGTTGCTCAGGCTGGAGTGCAGTGGCGTGATCTGGGCTCACTGCAACCTCCGCCTCCTGGTTTCAAGCAATTCTCCTGCCTCAGCCTCCTGAGGAGCTGGGATTACAGGCGCCCACCACACCACCCGGCTAATTTTTGTATTTTTAGTAGAGACGGGGCTTCGCCATGTTGGCCAGGCTGGTCTCCTGACCTTGTGATCCACCCCCGCCTCGCCTCCCAAAGTGCTGGGATTACAGGCATGAGCCACCACACCCGGCCTGAAAATGGGGTACTTTAAAAATAGATGAATAGTGGCTGCCTGAGTAGTGGAGAGGGTCTTCTGGATTCCTTTTCCAATACTCTCCTGCCCTCAAGAAGCTCCAGCTCAATATGTTCTTAGTTCTGGTAAAATAGCAATGTCAGAATATCAAATTAACATTAGGCACATCTCATCACAGTGACTCCCATATATTGAGGCTATGCCAAAGCCCCATGCTCAAGACCTTTGGAAACCGTCTGTAATTTGACTCTGAAAATACAAAGTAGCTAAATTGATCTTGCCACCTGGCTAGCCCTTTTGGCCTAGAGAATGCGCTGATCTGTTCATAGTGGTCCTTTTGAAAAGGCAGAACACGAGCAGTGAGAGAGGTAAGAGGATTCATGTTGACCTTAGAAACTTCACCCAGAAGGTGAAGCTCATTTAAACTGGTAGATTTTCTATAGCAAAAGAAAGGAGAACAAGTAATTACATGGTTTCATTAAGCTACTTAATTTAGGCCCAGTCAGATCTGCAGTTCTCTCTGGTCTGGGGTTAAGACTAGCAGCGTTGGATTATTTGTCTTTCCTGGCTAAGAAACATTGTGCTTTCCTCCTGCCCCCCAAGTTCTTGAAATGCACCTTTTCTTTCACCAAAAAGACAGCTATCGGGTATTTACCCCATCCTCTAACACACCTTCAAATGAAGGTTCCTGATTGAGTCAATTTGCTGTGGATGAAGTTAGCTGTTTAATGCGAAAGCAGTCTAACTTCTAGTAGCCTAGCTAAATCCTACTGGGAGCCTTATACACGTAGACTAAACTCTTGCTGGTATCTTCAGATAGTAATGCATTTGTGTATTTCAGATGAGTTCATCTTAATTCACTTCCATTTTTTGCCTTCTATTGCCTTGCTTGGCAGGTAGCTGCATTCCATAGTGTGGCATTCAGTATGGTGGATTTAAAAGTGAGGGTGGGAGGGTAAAGTAGGGGTTAGGAACTTTTGCCCAAGGATCAGGTTTAGTCTTGCTTATGGGTAAACTGGTGGGGTTCCGGAAACCGACATGGGTCTTCCAGTAGGAGTGGGAACACATGAAGGACCCCCAACAATTCCTTTAATTAGTGCTTATTCTAGTTTGAGCACTGCCTGTATTAAAGTCAGACGCAGCCCACGGTGGAACCTTCTTGAATACGAGTTAATACACGAATAGCTCAGAGCTAGAGATCCATCTTCTATTTGTTTGACAGGCAACAGCTGGAATGGGCTTTCCTCCACTAGGAACCCTGAAATTGAGTAATCTAGGGTGAATTAATACTGCTGTCTTCCCTTCCTCCCTTTGATCTTAATATCATAAACGTTTTTAAAGAACTGGAAGAGGGTGAGTGTGTAGAGAAAATGCCAAGTAGGAAAGTTACAGGTGAGATTAATGAATTCATACTGTTACTGTATAAATACACAATTTTTTTAAACAGCACCATTTCCAAGTTATACACAATATGATTATGACTTGGCACAACTTTTAAAGGTGGAAAAGGCTAGTTGCTAGTTCAGTAATAAAATACCTGGTACATAGAACGATAAGGAGCTGTATTCTACCTGCTACACATTGTGCATTTTACACCTCCAGCTAGGACAGAAACAAGCCACAAGCGGGGAATACCCGCCCAAATTAATACTGGAAAGTTTACAAAACCTTCACTTCTCATAAGGGTGATGCTACCAGCGGCTTGCTTCACCTGGAATTAGAGTAACTGATTTTTAAAGACAACTGAGAATATTAACTCGCTTCAAACAATAAAATAGTCATTTTGCCGACATTTCATAAAATCGCCAGTTTTAAGCTCAGTTCAGAGGCTTTTAAAAAAATATTCTAGACCTAGTAAAGTGCCTCCATTCATAAAATGAAACATCCAAGATTGAGACAATTTCATACTGATGCGCATCTAAAATAGGTCGACGTATACAGTAAATAAACAGCGCCTCTAAGTTGCCATATTTCAGTTAGTGGAATACACACCCAGCCTTCGCCGTTCTGGATGTGCAAACTAGAAACTGAAGACAAATGGGGATTTCAGCGTCTAGTCCCAATCGTTCAGCACGGAAGTACTCCACACGGTCGGCTGCTTTTCAAAAACCACCAGGACGACGTCCCATGTCGAGCCGACCGCTGAGCCGCACGCCTCCCCACGGCGGGGGCGAGATGGTGCGCAGACCTAGCGGTGCGAGGGGCGGCGGCGACCCTGGGCGGCCGGGAGCCCGGGCCTTCAGCGCAGCTTCTTGCCAGGCGGGCCGTCCCTGGCGCTGCGGGGCGGCGGGCGGGCGGGCGGCGGCGGCACTTTGGAGAGCGGGCAGTACTTGATGGTGTGCGCGTTGTCGCCGCTGGCGCCGCACAGGGGACACGTGTAGCGGCGCAGCACGGGACACAGCACTCGCCCGTCGGGGCCCTTGAGGATATGGGTGGTGTAGAGCGCCATCGCCTCCTTGTTGTTCCGGCAGAACACGCACACCTGCAGCTCGGGCTTCAGCAGCCGGGCGGCCGCCGCCCCGGAGGCCGCGTGCAGCCGGGGCTCGGCCGCCCACGCCGGGGCCCGCTCCTCGCGCGGCGTCGCCTCGCTGGTGGTGGTGGCGGCGGCGGCGGCGGCGGGCGCGCAGCCCAGCAGCACGGCGGCGGCACGACCCGCGAACGGGCTCAGCTCGGCGAAGCGCTCCTCCAGCAGCCCGGCCTCGGCGGGGCCCGCGCACAGCTCCAGCGCGCGCAATTCCAGCGCGCTCCCCAGGTAGCGGCCCCGGGACCCCGGCTCGTCGCTGTCGTCGTCGTCGTCCTCGTCGTAGTCGGGCGGCCCCAGCGCCGGCCCCAGCGCCCCAGGCCCGGCCCCCGTGTGGGGGGAGCAGCAGGACGACGAGGAGGAGGAGGGCGGGGAGCCGCCGCCGCCGTTCCCACCGCGGGCGCAGCCGAAGCGCGGCTCGCCGTCCACCGCTTTGGTGATGAGCGTGGCGAGCCCCAGGTAGTCGTTCCAGGAGCTGAAGGGCTGCGGGTGCGCCGGGCCCGGGGCGCTCACGTAGCGGGCGCTGGGCACGAGCGCCATGGGCGGGGGGGCGCGGCCGCGGCGGGGCGAGCGGGGCGCCCAGGGGAAAGCCTCCATGGGCGGGCTGCGGGCCGCGCGCCGCCTCCCCGCCGCCGGCGCGGGCCGGACGGAAGGGACACGCCGAGCCTGCCCGCCGGCCTGCCGCGGGGTGGGGCCGCCGCGCCGCCTTTTATCGGGCCCACTCCTCCCCGCCCCCCGGCCTCGCCGCCGCGGCCCTGCCCCCTGCGTTCCCCCGCCCCGGCCACCTCGCCCGCGCCCCGGACGGAGGCGGAGCGGAGGCGGGCTGGCTGTGTGCGCGCTCCGCTCCAGCCCGCGCGGCTCCCGCGCCCCGCGCGCTGCGCCAGCCTCGCCAGCTGTCGGGCGGCCTTCATTCCGGGAGGGGGCGGGCGAGGCGCCGCCTCGAGCCGTGGCGCTCATTGGCTGCAGACCAGAGCCCCCCGGCGCCTCGGGCGCCGCTCCGGACGCTGATTGGTGGGAACACGGGGAGGGGGCGTGTTCTCCGCGCAGCTGGGAGGTGAGGAGAAAGTAGGGGAGAGAAGGGCCGGGAAGGGAGGGCCGCTGGGGCCCGCATTCGAGCGCCGGGCCTGGGCTTGGAGCAGGTGACCAGGCCTGGGTCTCCTCGGCCTGGTGGTGAGGCCCCCCGAGGACAGGGGTCAGGGTGGCCACAGGTTTACGCCCCCACCTCCCAGCCTTTAATGGCCCTAGGCCCTAATCCTGAGAATCCCCGCTATCCACCCCCTTCTCACCAACATCAGCATGAAAAGCTGGACGCGTTGGAAGGATGCAGCTCTCCCATCACAGCCGCCCAACCAGCCAGTGGCTTCCGTTTGCACCGCGCGTTGGAGCGCTTTCCCCTGGGCGAAATCCATACAAACCCTGAGGTTCGGGGAGGCTGTGGTTCCTGCCGCGGTAAGAGCGGAGGGACGCAGGACTTTCCGGCTGCACGCAGCAGCCTTCCTCCCAACAGGTGCTCAGGGACTTCAGCCAATGGGTGGCCGATAGCCGGTTACTTAGGTCGGGGTTGGGGCTGGGCCGGAAAATCTCATGGCTGGAGAGCCTAGGACAGTGACTGGGATGTGTGTGTGTGTGTGTACCCCCTCGCCCCAGAGGCCTGAGTCAAAATGTGGGTTGTATGTGCAGTTTGAAAAACAACGTGTATTCAATGTTATATTTTGTCTTCCTTCCTTCCTTCCTTCCTTCCTTCCTTCCTTCCTTCCTTCCTTCCTTCCTTCCTTCTTTCCTTCCTTCTTTCCTTCCTTCCTTCCTTCCTTCTTTCCCTCCTTCCTTTTCTTTCTTTTTTTTTCTTTTCTTTCCGCATCCCGGGTTCAAGCAATTCTCCTGCCTCAGCCTTCCAAGCAGCTGGGATTACAGATGCCCGCCACCATGCCGGGCTAATTTTTTGTATTTTAGTAGAGACGGGGTTTCACTATGTTGGCCAGGCTTGTCTTGAACTCCAGACCTCGCGATCCGCCTGCCTTGGCCTCCCAAAGTGTTGGTGTTACAGGCGTGAGCCACCGCGTCTGGCCTCTTTCTTTCTTTCTCACTCTTTCTTTTTTCTTCTTGATTTTTCTTTTTTCTTTTTTTTTTTTCTTGAGACAGGGTCTCACTATGTTGCCTAGGCTGGTCTTGAACACCTGGCCTCAAGCGATCTTCCTGCCTTGGCCTCCCAAAGTGCTGGGATTACAGACATGAGCCACCACACCTGGCCTCAACATTATAATTAAATACTTTGAAATGAATAAAACATGTTGTGTAAAAGCCATGGAGAATAAGAGCCAGAAGATGAGTTTTGATTAGGAAGATGGCAGGTGGTCTTACACTTCCCAACTTTTTTAAAAATTGAAAGTAGGAAAGGCTTTAGATACTGAGGGCTCTTCTAGGATGAAACCTAGAACTGGGATCAGGAAAATGCCTCCCCTGGCAGGTGGGCCCTGGCAGGGTGGGCTTCATGGGGCAGATGGGGCTTTCCTTCCTCACTCTGGACCATGCAGTGGCTGTGGAAACAATGAGCCCTCACTAGGCCTGAGGCCACACTCACAGGTCTTGGCTGTGCCCAGCAGGTTTAGAATGGCTCAGCAGGGGATGCCCAGAACCTAGTGCTGGCATTGGTTAATATTAGAATGAATGAATGAGGGAATCAGAATGTCAGCATGGGAAGGGATCTTTGGGATCATTCTGTTCGATCTTTTCTTGCCTTTTTCTTTTCTTTTTTAATAGATGGGGGTCTCGCTATGTTGCCCAGGCTGGTCTTGAACTCCTGGCCTCAAGTGATCCTCCTGTCTTGGCCTCACAAAGTGCTGGGATTGCAAATGTGAGCCACTGCACCCAGTTCTGTCCAATCCTTACAGATGAAGAAAATGAGACCTAGAGAAGAGTAGGATTTCTTTTTTTTTTTTTGAGACAGAGTCTCACTCTGTCGCCCAGACTGGAGTGCGATGGCACGATCTAGGCTCACTGCAATCTCTGCCTCCTGAGTTTAAGCGATTCTCCTGCCTCAGCCTCCTGAGTAGCTGGGTTTAGAGGCATGTGCCACCATGCCTACCTAATTTTTGTATTTTTAATAGTGATGGGGTTTCACCGTATTGGCTGGTCTCAAACTCCTGACCTCAGGTGATTTGCCTACCTTGGCCTCCCAAAATGCTGGGATTATAGGTGTGAGCCACCGCACCCAGCCAAGCAGGACTTCTTTAAGGCTACAGTGACTATGTGACAGAACTAAGACTCTGGTCCTGTTACTCCCGGCCGGGTGGCCTTCTCACTACACCCTGGACCAGCAAGGTATCTCAGACAATAAGTCTGTGCATGCATCCGCAGAACTCTAAGGCACAACACAGGGGAAGCTGGAAAGAAGTGAGGTGAGGTGAGGCGATATGGCCTTGGCTGGGGCCCCTGCCCTCAAAGAGCAATCCAGGGCTCTGGCTGGCAGGCGCGGGAAAGGACCTGAAGCAGTGAAGTGAGGCCTGTTCTGGCCGCCTCTCTGGGTTAGGGGTTAAAGATCCATGTTTCGGCCTCTTCCTTCTAGCCCCCGATGGTTGATGTAAGTCATGAAACCAGGCAGTAATATTCAGCACTTGCCAACCCAGATCCTTTTCCAAGTTTGTGTTGGCATGCAAGGTAGAAAGTCATTCCTTTATTTCCTCCCCTTCTCCACCAAAAATAAATAAAAGAACCTCCATGCCGCAGGGCTCCTGCAGACGCCTGGCAGGTTTGCTGACCCTGAACTCGGAGCTTTTACCACGAGAACGCCAGCCCCCCAGAGTGGTATGAAGATGATTATTCTATGAATGGAAAATTCCGCTCGGTTCACACAGCCCTGCAGCCTGCATCCTTTCAAGACATGCAGACTTTTCAAGCTCTGAAGATGGGGAGCCACAGTTCTGAGAATAACTTTGGCAGGAAAAGTTTAAAATTGCCAGCTGCTGTGTCTGATCCCCCTTGGT
This sequence comes from Homo sapiens, assembly GCF_000001405.40. NCBI lineage: Eukaryota > Metazoa > Chordata > Mammalia > Primates > Hominidae > Homo > Homo sapiens. The sequence goes on along the minus strand of NC_000010.11, from coordinate 119,026,418 downwards.
CAGGCCAGAGAGGCGATGGCACAGAAGCGGAAGCCTTCTTGCCTCCCAACATGGTTTTCGGCCCTTGTGGTTGTACGGGGAGAATAAAAACTTTTAAGGGATAAGAATAGGAACAAACACCTTGGCTGGGACCTGCAGCCTGGGTATGTGGGAAGTGGAGCTGGGATGGAGATGCCCCAGAAGGAGGTGGAGAAATGAGTGTGTCTTGGGGTCCGCCATGGGCTGTTTCCCCAGGCTGCTCCCCTTGACTGCTATACGAGGTGAGTAGACATTTGACCCAGAAGGGAAGTCGGGAAGTGGAGGCCAAGTGCATGAAGGCTTTTGTCGTGGAGCACACGCTGGGCCTCAGTACCCTGGGAGCCTTTGCTCTCAGTGACCATAGAAAGGCCAGTGTGGGCACCTGGCCCAGCTCTGGGTTAAATAAACAGTGACTTTTGTCACCCAGCAACAGGCCTCAGCCTGGCTGTGAGCTCTCTAGCTCTTTGAGGTGTTGGCACGATTTCAGAGATGTTCTTAGCACCTCTGATGAAGTCTCACTGCCTTTTGCTCACTTTCCAGGAGTCTGGAATGAAACAGATGGAAACAGCCAGTCTGTGAACGTTTCTTCAGGTATCCGGCAGAGGTGAGAAGACAGGTGGGCATGGGCTACACCTCAGAAGTTAGAGGGTGCTGCTTGGTTTCTTCTGGAGTGGGGCAGTGGGGCCTGCCTGGCACAGGCTGAGGGCTCTGGCAGGGCAGGGGTGGGTGGTGGGGAGGGTGCCTGGGTTCTGTGCTCCCACCTCTCCACATGGCCCCCAGCCCGGGCCATTTCCTTTGCTGGCAGCAGAACTGAACCCTGTGAGGCAGCTCACAGACCTCAGGCTCCTGAGGCTCTTCAGAAACATGAGGTCAGCCCTGGGGAATGAGGCAGCTTGGCCGGGGTCCAGGCGGCTATAGCGATGCTGTTTGTCAGGTTCTGGGTTCCCGCTGACCCCCTGCCAGGACTTTGCCAGGGACAGGAGGTGCTTTGGCTCCGTCAGCCATGGGCCTGGAGGTGGGTGAGGTGCATTTGGGCACGAGGAGCCCTCTCCTGGCTGACTTTGTCCACATCATGGCTCTGTCAAGCTCAGAGAGTCCTGGGATGGGGCTCCTGCCCTTTGGGGGGCTTGGGCTTAGGGTCTGCTGTTGTGGAGAAGCCATATGGTGAAGTGGGGAGAGCTTACTGGGCCTCGGGACAGGGTTTGCACCCTGGCGCTGGTGCAAAGTCACGTGTAGTGGACAAGGGGCTTAACCTCTCTGGGCCCCAGATGCTGCTTTTGGTCAGTGAAGGGCTCTTGTCGAGTAAAATGGCAGCCACTCCCCCTCCTTGCAGACTTAACTTTGTTCTGATTCCTTCCCTCAGCCTCGGGGCATAACTGTGACAGGTTTAAGCAGAAACATCCCATTTCCCCTAGTCACCACTGGGTAAGGGGAGGGCTGGTGACCCATTCTCACCCTGGAGATCTCAGCGGACATCTGCTGTCTGCTGGGAGGATACTGGGAAGGGGTTTGCTTCCTTATATAAAAAGGGGGAAGAAATAAAGAACCAGGGCCCTCACCTTCTTCAGCTCAGGCTATAGAGCTGAGGTGATAAGGCTTAAGGACACAAAGCTGGCGCAAGGTGATGGCTTACCAGAAAAGTTAAAACAAAAAACAAACCTTAGTGATATTTTTGTTGATGACTTGGTGACTTGTTACACGAGATAATTATAACATCTCTATTATTTCAGCCACTTCAAGTCAGGTATCCTTTTATTTATTTATTTATTTGAAACAGTGTCTCACTCTGTCACCCAGGCTGGAGTGCAGTGGCATGATCTCGGCTCACTGCAACCTCCACCTCCCAGGTTCAAGCGATTCTGGTGCCCCAGCCTCCCGAGTGGCTGGGATTACAGGCATGCACCACGATGCCCAGCTAATTTTTGTATTTTTAGTAGAGACAGGGTTTCACCATGTTAGCCAGGCTGGTCTTGAACTCCTGACCTCAGGTGATCCACCTGCCTTGGCCTCCCAAAGTGCTGGGATTACAGACGTGAGCCACCACACCACGTCCAGGTATCCTTTTATACGTGCAGTTGACTTCATTCTTAATCAAGCTTGTCCAACCTGTGGCCAGGTGGCCTCATGTGGCCCAGGACAGCTTTGAATGCGGCCCAATACAAATTTGTAAACTTTCTTAAAACATTATGAGATTATGCACAGACCTTTTTTAATTAAGCCCTTCAGCTGTCATTAGTGTGTTTTATGTGTGGTCCAAGACAGTTCTTCCATTGCGGTCCAGGGAAGCCAAAACATTGGACACCCTTGTTCTAAATGAAACATGTAATACTGTGAAAAAAAATACATTTGGTTATTCTGTCGAAAAGGTAGGCTACCATATTCTGGCCAGGTGGAGGTGACGACCATGTCAGAATTCTCTGTGTGTGGACAAGGCTGGAAGGGGATGCGGAGAATGGGAAACGGGTGCCGTGGTGTCATCTCACACCCCCTGCCTTGGGCTAAAGTCTCCCAGCTGGTAATAATACCACCACCATCAGCACCAGGTGCTTGACATGCACTATTCCATGTGCCCCCCACCCCCAACCCTGCCCCGCAAGGCAGGTGCGCTGGTGACCTGTTGGAGACGGGGGCAAAGCTCAGCATGGAGCCCAAGGCTGAGAAGCTCAGGAGCAGCAGGACTGAGATTTGCACCCATTTTTCTCTCACTCCCCGAACCTGGGTTTGTGCCTCCTTGGATGCACCCGGTCATTCTTGGGACTTCTGGGGTCCAGATGTGCGGGAGACTGGCCAGCAACACACAGCGGCAGGGGCAGGAGAGGACACATTCCAGTCCGTGTCAGCAATGTCCCCTGAACAAAACCAACCCCATTTAAAAGCAGTCTGGGTGTTTCTGTTTATCCAGTAGTGGGTACTTTGGTAAAGTGAGTAATCCTTTCTCCCTCCAGCACTTGCCCTCCTCCCTGCCATGTGGTTTTCTTTTAGAAATCTGGAGTGTCCCAATTTTGTTTAAAGCAGGAGCTGCCTGGAGGCTGACAGGCGGAAGGGCAGATGTCCCTGGGCTGATGATGCTGATAATAGCAATAACAGTAGCTCACAGGTGCTGAGCCCTTACCGTGCACTAAGCATTCACTCATATCATTTCTGAAATCCTCCCAGCAGGCCTACAATGATAAGCATTTCACAAAAGGGAAAATGAGGTTTTGGGAGGCTAAAAGCATGCCCAGCAGCTCACAGCTAGCTGGTAGGTGGCATTTCTTCAAGGCCCGCACTGTTAACCCTCACACCTCCTTGATCATCCCCTGGCCCGTGGATACTCATTCATTTGGAATTCACTACATCCGGCCTCCCCACCTCCTCCTGTGCTTCCCTAAATGGGGCCATCAGCCTTCTCTCACCCGTCGTCAATCCCTGCTGTCTGCAGGGGGAGGGAAGTAAAAAGCTGACAGGAAGGAGTTACATGTAAAATGGTAACCTGTAGATTGAGACTGTTCTCCAACAGGTCTGAGGGCTCTAGGCAGAGGGAGGGGAAGCGGGGATATGAGGGCTGTGGAAAGGATGGGACCAGACTGCCAAGCAAAGAATGCTATGTGTGGTTCTGCAGGTTGTGTACAGTTCTGCAGGTTGTGTACTGCACAACCGCTTCCCATCTAAGGGGGCACCTTTACTTCATAGACATAGTAACTCTGTGATCATTTTCTGGCCGACCTTGAGTAAAGTATCTTCTAACGAAATCAGTATATTATGACACTTCACTGACAGATGGAAAAAGATACCTTGTGGAAGAAGTGTCTTTTCCTAATTTGCTCAAAGCCCAAAGCTTTGGCTCTGGCCGAGGTGTGAAATGCTGAGCTTCTTGAAGGCGGGCCTCAAGTTTGACATTAGTACCCCTTTTCTTGTTTCCCCATTCTGAAGCTTCAGGTGGAGAGTCTCCTGAATTCAGCTGATCAGGTGCTGGGCACAGTTCTGCCCTGGTTGTTACTGGTGGATCAGCTGCCCCTTGGGACTAACATTTAACTTTATTTTTGAGACAGTCTTGCTCTGTCGCCCAGGCTGGAATGCAGTGGCACGAGCTTGGCTCACTGCAACCTCTGCCTCCTGGGTTCAAGCGATTCTTCTGTCTCAGCCTCCTGAGTAGCTGGGACTACAGGCATGCACCACCACGCCTGGCTAATTTTCATATTTTTAGTAGAGATGGGGTTTTGCCATGTTGCTCAGGTTGGTCTAGAACTCCTGGGCTCAAGCAGTCCGCCCGCCTCACCCTCCCAAAGTGCTGGGATTACAGGCGTGAGCCACCTCGCTGGGCCGGGACTAACATTTTAAAGATTGCTCAAGTCATTTTAGCCATCTTCTTCTGGTCTTATCTGATTTGCACTGATCCTCTCCCAGCCGTCCTGAGTTCTCCAGGGATTTTGTGTGCTCGGAGCTGCCTCTCCACAGTTGTGTCTGTCTTCAGGCTTCTACGGCTTAGTGACCAGAAGGCAGGTGGGCCCCAGGGAGCGGATGGAGGATCCAAGCTCTGTATAAATTGAGTAGCCTCGAGCAAAATCAGTTCCTGTCTCTGGATCTTAGTTTTAAATTTCAGTTTAAAATAATTGGGCTGGCCTAAGTGATTTCTTGGCCCTTTCCATCTCTAAAATTCATTTATTTACCATCAAGGTCTGGGGATAAGTGGCAAATAAGACTGACGTACTTCTGACCTCATGGAGCTTACACTCGAATTGGGCAGACAGACAAGTAAACAGGCGATGACACTTGGTGGGGGCAGGTTCGCTTCCTGTTGCGGTTGTAACAAATTACCACCCATATAGTGGCTGAAAACAACACACTGATTTTCTCAGCGCTCTAGATGTCAGAAGTCCACAGTGGGTCTCACTGGGCTGAATTCCCTCTGGAGGCTCTTGGCGGGGAACCTGTTTCCTTACCTTTCCCAGCGTCTGGAGGCTGCCTGCCATTCCTGTGGTTCGTGGCCTTTCCCTTCTCAAAACCCAGGGATAGCAGGTAGCTGAGTCCTTTCCACGTGGCACCTCTTTGTTCTTTCTTCTGTCTCCCTCCTCCACCTTCCAGGACCCTGGTGGTCCCACTGGGTTCACTGGGATAATGCAGAATGTGCAGAATGATCTCCCAATTCTAACATCTTTTTTTGTTTGTTTTTGAGACAGAGTCTCGCTCCATCACCCAGGCTGGAGTGCAGTGGTGCAATGTCGGCTCACTGCAACCTCTGCCTCCCATATTCAAGCGATTCTCTTGCCTCAGCCTTCCGAGTAGCTGGAATTACAGGTGCGTGCCACCATGCCCAGCTAATTTTTGTATTTTTAGTAGAGACAGGGTTTTGCCATGTTGGCCAGGCTGGTCTCAAACTCCTGGCCTCAAGTGATCCACCTGCCTCGGCCTCCCAAAGTGCTGGGATTACATGTGTGAGCCACTGCGCCAGGCCCCTATTCTAACATCATTTAATTAGCAACCTTAATTCCACCTGGAACCTCAGTTCTCCTTGGCCATGTCAGGTAACAGATCCACAGGTTGTAGGAATTAATATGCCTTTTGGGGTCATTATTCAGCTTACCACGGGGAAAGTGCAGAGGGCTGTGAACTCCCTGGCAACAGCACCCCACCCACACACGGGTGTGTCATGACTCCCAAGACCTTGGCATAGCCAGAGTGCAGCTGGGCTGGGGAGGTCAGGTTTCCTCTGTCAGTTGGGACCTGACACAGTACAGGGGAAGCTGTGAGGTGAGGGAGCACTACACAAAGTGTGTGTGTGTGTGTGTGTGTGTGTCCCTCAGGCAGATGGAAAGTGATTGCAGAGGAAGGGTCTGAGTTGCAAAGAGGATTAGTGAGCAAAGAAAGGCATACTTGTGTGGGAGACTCAACATACTTAAAATATTAGGTTGGTGCAAAAGTAATTGCGGTTTTAACTCTTTAATGGCAAAAACCACAATTACTTTTGCACCAAACTAATAATAATGATGTTATTTAATTTGTCATTAAAACAAAAAAAGAGCCAAGTGCAACAAAAATACCCAGCAATAATAGAACAAGCATCAGGAGTGAGAGACTGGAGTGAAGTGCTCCAAAACCCTTATATTGTTCAAGGAGAGGGGAAAGATACTAACTTTAATATTTTATAACCTATGGGAAATTTCAAGAATTACAGAAGTAAAGATCATAGCATAATGCATCTTTTTTTTTTTTTTTTTTTTTTGGAGACAGAGTCTTGCTTTGTCGCCCAGGCTGGAGTGCAGTGGCGCAATCTCGGCTCACTGCAAGCTCCGCCTCCCGGGTTCACGCCATTCTCCTGCCTCAGCCTGCCGAGTAGCTGGGACTACAGGCGCCTGCCACCGCGCCCGGCTAATTTTTTGTATTTTTAGTAGAGACGGGGTTTCACCGTGTTAGCCAGGATGGTCTCGATCTCCTGACCTTGTGATCTGCCCACCTTGGCCTCCCAAAGTACTGGGATTACAGGCGTGAGCCACCACACCCGGCCAGCATAATGAATCTTAACCCAGTTTACCCTTAATAACTGGCTACTCTTATTTTTAACTATCTCCACACCTGTTTTTTTTTTTCCCTATCTCCTATACTATGGATTATTTTGGAGAAAATCTTGACTATCAATATTAATTAAATTTAGATTTTGAGAGGTTAAGCATGTAAGTTAACATTTTTAGGGAACCAATTTGGAAAAAAAGAGAAAGGAAATAGAGGGTATAACTTTCTTTCTTTTCTTTTTTTTTTTAGACAGGGTCTTGCTCTGTCACCCAGGCTGGAGTGCAGTGGCATGATCACAACTCACTGCAATCTCAACCTTCCCAGCTCAGGTGATTCTCCCACCTCAGCTTCCCAAGTAGCTGGGACTAGAGGTGCACAACACCATGCCCGGCTAATTTTTGTGTGTTCTGTAGAGACAGGGTTTCACCATGTTACCCAGGCTGGTCTTCAACTCGGGGGCTCAAGTGATCCACCCTCCTTGGCATCCCAAAGTGCTGGGATTATAGCTTTCAAAATAATAGATGTAAAGAAATGGAATGAGGAAAGGATAATAATTACAAAAGAAAGCATGACAGAGGGAAAAATAATCACATAAATGGTAGAACAAATTGGAAGTACACAATAAGATGGTTGAAGTACGTCCAAACATATAATTACTGTAATAAATGTAAATGGACTAAATGTTTTTATTAAAACACAAAGATTTCAGACTGGATTTAAAAATCTGCTATATGTCCTCCATAAGAAACTCTAATGAAACATAAGGATACAGAAAGGTGAAAGGTGAAAGGATGCAAGAAGTCATGGGAGGAGACACCACCAAGGAACAGCTGATGTTGCTGTGCCAACAGCCAACAAAATGGACCTATGGCTATGTAATGTGAAAGGTTCAGTTTACCAGGAGGCTATAACAGTTCCAAGGTAATATATACTTAATAATTTAACTTCAAAGTATAAATAAAAAAACTGATAGAATTGCAAGGAGAAATAGGAGAAATAGACAAATCTACATTAGTGGGAGATGTGACAACTCTCTCGTAGGTAAAATAGACAATATTATTAAGGATATAGAATATATTTAGTAATATTGAATAATGATATGTATATAATTATATATACATATAAATATACAAACACTGCCTTGAATAACTGCAGAATTTACATTCTTTTCAAGCACTCAGAGCATTCATAAAAGTTGACTGGGGCCAGGTGTGGTGGTGCATGCCTGAAATACTAGCTATGTGGGAGGATCACCAGATCCCAGGAGTCTGAGACCAGCTTGTGCAACCTAGTGAGACCCCCATCTCTTAAAAAAGAAAGTTGATGGGATTCTGTGCCATCAACCAGGTATTAACAAATTTCACAGGATTGGTGTCACATAGGATTCTCTGGTCACAAGTCCATTTCATTAGAAATCAACAATGGAAGAAACTAGAAAAGGATACAATACAGAGAAGTGAAGGAATTAGTGAAATAGAAAAGAAAAGATATGATAAATGATTGACAAAGCCAAAAAGTTGATTTTTTTCTTCTTCTTCTTCTTTTTTTTTTTTTTTTGTAGAGGCAAGGTCTCACCATGTTGCCCAGGCTGGTCTCAAGTCATCCACCTGCCTCGGCCTCCCAAAGTGCGGAGATTACAGGCATGAACCACTGTGCCCAGCCTAAAAAAGTTGATTCTTATAAAAGACTAATAACATTAACAAATATTTAGCAAGATTTATTAAGAATAAAAGGCATGACAAACAATTCCATGACTATAGATACTTCCTCAATTTTAAGATGTGGCTGAGCGCAGTGGCTCATGCCTGTAATCCCAGCACTTTGGGAGGCCGAGGCAGGTGGATCACTTGAGGCCAGGAGTTCGAGACCAGCCTGGCCAACATGGCAAAGTGCCATCTCTACTAAAAATACAGAAATTAGCCGGGTGTGGTTGTGGGCGCCTGTAATCCCAGCTACTCGGGAGGCTGAGATAGGAGACTTATTTGAACCTGGGAGGCGGAGGTTGCAGTGAGCTGAGATTGCACCACTGCACTCCAGCTTGGGTGACAGAGTGAGACTCTGTCTCAGAAAAAAGAAAAAAAAAGTTAAAAATATATATGAAATGGGCAATCTGCTAGAAAAGTAAAACTCAGTAATTTAAAAACCTCAGTAATCCTGTAACCAGTTAATAAATTTAATCAGAGTTAAAAATTTCCTCACAAAGAAAACACTAGATCCAGATGACTTTGAAGATAAATTCTGCTACTAAAAAACCAAATAATTCCAATTCTACACCAAACTTTTATAGGAAAAAGATCATTTTCTAATTCATTTTATGAGGCTAGTATAAAGCACAAGAAGTATAAGAAAAGAAAATTACAAACCAAACTCACTCATGAACATATGTGTAAAAATCTGAAACACAATATTAAACCAAATTAGTAATGAAAAATATTTAATTAATCAGGTCTAAGATGAATTTACCTCTGGAATGGAATCTTGGTTTAACATTAGAAGTCAATTAATGTGAGGCCAAACTCAGTGGCTCATGCCTGCAATCCCAGCACTTTGGGAGGCTGAGGTGGGTGGATCACTTGAGCTCAGGAGTTCAAGACCATCCTGGGCAACATAATGAAACCCCGTCTCTACTAAAAATACAAAAATTAGCCAGATGTGGTGGTGCAGGTCTGTAGTCCCATAGTCTCCGCTGCTTGGTACAAGAATCACTTGAACCTGGGAGAGGGAGGTTACAGTGACCCGAGATCATGCCATTGCACTCAAGCCTGGGTGACAGAGCGAGACTCTGTCTTGAAAAAAAAAAAAAAAAAAAAGTCAATGTAATTCACCACATTCATATATTAAAGAAAAATATGATTACCTTGGTAGATACAGAAAACACATTTGATATAATTCAACATACAGTTATGATTAAGACTCTTGGAAAACTAGAAAAAGAAGGGAGTTTCTTTAATTGATACAGCGTATCTACAAACCTTGTAGCAAATATATTTAACACCTCTAATCATCGTGTTCCTGGAGGTCTCACAGGTCCTAGCTACTGTAGTATGGCAGAAGAAATAATTAACATTAAGCGAATCAGGAAGGAAGAAATGAAACTGCATAAGATCATATGTTTTTTGTGTAAAAAACATAAGCACTACAATCAAGTGTTAACATGAATAAGAGAGTGTAGTGAGTTTGCTGGATACAAAATCCATACATAAAAATGAATTGCATTTCAATATATCAAAACAAACAGAAAATGTGATTAAAATATTATTTATAACGGTGTTAAGAAAGCTCCCCAGAGTGTTTTATCCAATTCTGCCCACTCCTTCTCCTGCTCTCCTGTGGTAGGTTTAATTTTATCCTTTCCCTGGGTCCAGCTTTCTTTTTTTTCTCTTGAGATGGGGTCTCACTCTGTTACCCAGGCTGGAGTGCAGTGGTGCCATCTCGGCTGACTGCATCAGCTTCACAAGTAGCTGGGACTACAGGTTTGAGCCACCAATGCCAAGCTAAGTTTTGTATTTTTTGTAGAGACAGGGTTTTGCCATGTTTCCCAGGCTAGTTTGAACTGGGCTCAAAGTGGTCTTCCTGCCTCGGCCTCCCAAAGTGCTGGGATTAAAGGCGTGAGCCACCGTGCCTGGCCTCTGGGTCCAGCTTTCTACTTTCTGGGGATTCCCCCTCTCTACCACTCCCAAAGTTTGTGGTATGATAGTGTTAACTGTAGTTCTGGACTGGGTTTTTCTCTTCTTTTATCCTGCTCTGGAATGTAGATGTTTAATAATTCACCTTCTCTATCCTTCCTCAAAATGTGGGATAACACAATGACTGTGGCCCTCGTTGGAAATTAAACTTGTTTATGCAAAAAACAAAAAAACAAAACCAAAAAAAAAGCTCCCCATAAAGAAAGCACCTGACCCATCTGACTTTTCAGACAAGTTCTATTCAAGGAATATATATATATGTATATATTTTTTTTTGAGACGGAGTTTCACTCTTGTTGCCCAGGCTGGAGTGCAATGGTGCGATCTTGGCTCACGGCAACCTCCGCCTCCCGGGTTCAAGCGCTTCTCCTGCCTCAGCCTCCTGAGTAGCTGGGATTACAGGCATGAGCCACCACGCCTGGCTCATTTTTTTGTATTTTTAGTAGAGATGGGGTTTCTCCATGTTGGTCAGGCTGATCTCGAACTCCTGACCTCAGGTGATCTGCCTGCCTCAGCCTCCCAAAGTGTTGGGATTACAGGTGTGAGCCACTGCGCCCAGCATTATTTTTTTTCTTTTTGAGATTGAGTATTGCTCTGTAGCCCAGGCTAGAGTGCAGTGGCTTGATCTCAGCTCACTGCAACCTCCGTCTCCCAGGTTCAAGCGATTCTCCTGCCTCAGCCTCCCGAGTAGCTGGGATTACAGGTGCGTGCCACCACACCTGGCTGATTTTTGTATTAGGGGTTTCACCATGTTGGTCAGGCTGGTCTCCAACTCCTGACCTCAGGTGATCTACCCACCTCGGCATCCTGAAGTGCTGGGATTACAGGTGTGAGCTACTGCGCCCGGCCAGGTATAAATAATTCTAATCTAATAAACTATGTACAAGACCTTTATGGAGGCAATTATAAACCTCCATTGAAAGAGATTAAAGAAAACTAAACTGGGGATATGCCATGTTTGTGTGTTAGAAAACTCACTATTATAAGGTTGTCAGTTCTCCCAAATACACCTATTTAGATTGAATGTAATTCAAATCAAAATCCTCACTTTTTGTGTGTTTATGTGTGTGTGTGTCAAATGTGACAAGCCAATTCTAAAGTTTATATGGAAAAACAAAGACCAAGAAAGTGAACACACTCTTGAAGAAAAAGAACTAGATGGGCAGGGAAGGGATGGGGCTTGCCATGCCAAAGATAAAAATTATTCTAAAGCTTTAATAATTCAGATGCTATTGACCACCCATAGATTGGTTGCCTATGGACCAGCATTAAAAGTGCAGAAGCAGACCCACTCATATAAAGAAACTTGTTCTGTGGTGGGAACTTGATCTATGCTGGACTTTACAATAGACAGTGTTTGGTAATTGAGAATCCTTACGGAAAAAAAAATCAGACTTCTATATCACATTTTAGATAAGAATCAATTTCAGGTAGATTAAAGACTTAGCTGTGAAGGCAAAACTCTAGCTTTTAGAAGACAATATGGGACAATTCCTATGATTTCAAGGCAAGGAAGTATTTCTTAAACAAGGCAAACACACAAAATAACCCACTAACAATAAAGAGAAGAATTAATAAATGTTACTTAATTAAAATGAAGAACTTCTGTTTCTTAGAAGACACCACACAGTAAGTAAAAAGACAAGTCATGGCCAGGCGTGGTGGCCCACTCCTGTAATCCCAGCACTTTGGGAGGCCAAGGTGGGCGGATCACTTGAGGCCAGGAGTTAGTGACCAGCCTGGCCAACATGGTGAAACCCTGTCTCTACTACATATACAAAAATTAGCTGGGTGTGGTGGCACACACCTGTAGTCCCAGCTGCTTGGGAGGCTGAGGCACAAGAATCGCTTGAACCTGGGAGTTGGAGGTTGCAGTGAGCCGAGATCAGGCCACTGCACTCCAGCCTGGGTGACAGAGTGAGACTCCCTCTCAAAAAAAAAAAAAAAAGTGAGAGGAGCTGTTTGTAATACATGTCATTGACTAAGGTCCTAGTGCCCAGAAGATATAAAATAACTAAAAATTGATATGAGATATACACACAAATAGAAAAATTTGTGAAACGTGTGAAAAGGCACTTATAGCAGAAGAAATGTAAATGGATATTAAAAGGATAAACTAGATTATAATCGGGAATTCAAATTATAACTAAAATGAGATACCACTTTACACCATCAGATTGGCAAAATCAAATATTCTATCAATATCAGACATTGACAAGAATGTGGTATAACTGGAACTTATATATTGCTAGAGAGAATTAAATTGGTATAATCGATGTGGAAAACAACTTGGAAATATTTAGAAAAGTTGAAGGCAAAAATAATTTGTGGCCTAGCAGTCAGCCAGACAGATGCTCCTGAGGACCAGGAAACACGATTAAGAATGTTTACACACTACCTACCAAACTAAAGTGGTTGTAGTAAAAGAAACTGGAAAAACCAAGTGAGGACATGAAGAAACTGGAACTTTTTTTTTTTTGAGAAGGAGCTTTGCTCTTATTGCCTAGGCTGGCGTGCAATGGTGTGATCTCGGCTTACTGCAACCTCCGCCTTCCGGGTTCAAGCGATTCTCCTGCCTCAGCCTCTTGAGTAGCTGGGATTACAGGCATGTGCCACCATGCCCAGCTAATTTTGTATTTTTAGTAGAGATGGGGTTTCTCCATATTGGTCAGCCTGGTCTCAAACTCCCGACCTCAGATGATCCGCCCTCCTTGGCCTCCCAAAGTGCTGGGATTACAGGCATGAGTCATTATGCCCGACTTTTTTTTTCGAGACAAAAGTCTCCCTCTGTCTCCCAGGCTGGAGTGCAGTGGTGTGATCTCGGCTCACTGCAACCTCTGCCTCCCAGGCAGAGCAATTCTTCCTCAGCTTCCTGAGTAGCTGGGATTACAGGCACCTGCCATCCGGCCCAGCTAAATTTTGTATTTTTTGTAGAGATGGGGTTTTGCCATGTTGGACAGGCTGGTCTCAAACTCCTGACCTCATGATCTGCCTGCCTCGGCCTCCCAAAGTACTGGGATTATAGGAGTGAGCCACCACACCTGCTGGAAAGGCACATCTTATATGGTGGCAGGCAAAGCAAGAATAAGAGCCAAGCAAAAAGGGAAAGCCCTTACAAAACCATCAGATCTTACGAGATGTATTCACTACCACAAGAACAGTGGGGGAAACCGCCCCTATGATTCAATTATCTCCCACCGGGTCCCTCCCACAACACCTAGGAATTACGGGAACTACAATTCAAGATGAGATTTGGGTGGGGACACAGTCAAACCATATCAACTACTCAGAAATAAAAAGGAACAGACTATAGATACTGAAGGTTAAAAACATTATGCTCCGTGCAAGAAGCCAAACACAGAATACTACATATTATCTGATTACACTTGTAGAAAAGGCAGCACTGTAGAGACAGAAAGCATATCATCGGCTGCCTGGGCTATGGGTGGGTGGATAGGGAGGACTGCCTGCAAATAGGCATGAGGAAACTTCTGGGGGTGATGGAATGTTCTAAAACTAGGTGGTGGTGATGGCTACACAACTATATAATTTTTTGTTTGTTTGTTTCTGTTTTTAGGCAGGGTCTGGCTCTGTTGCCCAGGCTGGAGTGCAATGGTGTGATCTTAGCTCACTGCAACCTCTGCCTCCCTGGCTCAAGTCATCCTTCCACCTCAGACTCCCAAGTAACTGGGACTACAGGTGCACTACCATGCCTGACTAATTTTTGAATTTTTTGTAGAGATGGGGTTTCACCACATTGTCCAGGCTAGTCTTGAACTTCTGAGCTCAAGCAGTCCACCCGCCTCAGCCTCCCAAAGTGCTGGTATTACAGATGTGAGCCACTGTGCCCTGCCAAAGCTGTATATAGTCCAATTATAATGGGTACATTTTATAGTAATATAAATTATACCTCAATAAGGTTGTTAAAAGTGTTCACACTAACATTGTTCCTAATTGCCCCAAACTGGAAATAGCTCAAATATTCATCAGCAGAATGGATAAATACACTGTGGTATGTCTGTTCAACAGAACCCATGAGCAGTATTAATAAGCAAGTAATAAGCAGTCCTCCCACCTCAGCCTACTGAGTAGCTGGGACCACAGGTGCACACCACCAAGCCTGGCTAATTTTTTTGTGTTTTTGTGTAGAGATGGGGTTTTACCACATTGCCCAGGCTGGGCTCAAACAACCCACCAGCCTCCACCTCCCAAAGTGCTGGGACTACAGGCATGAGCCATCATGCCCAGCCAAATCCCTTAATAATAATAATAATAATAATAATAATTATTATTATTATTATTATTATTTTTTGAGACGGAGTCTTGCTCTGTTGCCCAAGGTGGAGTGCAGTGGTGCGATCTCGGCTCACTGCAAGCTCCACCTCCCGGGTTCACGCCATTCTCCTACCTCAGCCTCCCGAGTAGCTGGGACTACAGGCGCCCGCCATCACGCCTGGCTAATTTTTTGTATTTTTAGTAGAGATGGGGTTTCACCGTGTTAGCCAGGATGGTCTCGATCTCCTGACCTCATGGTCTGCCCGCCTCGGCCTCCCAAAGTGCTGGGATTACAGGTGTGAGCCACCACGCCCAGCCATCCCTTTATTATCACGGATATTGCTGATGACATTTCACAGCTGACTGGGCTCTGCAGTTGAGAATTACTGAGAATCGCTGCTCCAGGCTCGAATCCATCACCTTCGGTGATGTTTGTTTGGGCTTCTCCATCCAGGCAGACACTAGTCACCACTTAGGGTGGGTTTGAGGAGTTTCATCCTTCCTTTTGGTGTTGGTGGGAGATTATCAGGGAAGTGGAGCTCAGGGACCCCCAGCGAGGACCCTTGCATCTTTGTGAGGTCGAGCATGGTGTGGTGGGAGGAGGGAGTCCAGGAAAACCATCAGGATGTGCTGATGATAAGCACTGGGGAATTCTCAGTGTGAAAGGAGAAACACTGAACATGGCTTGGCTTGTGGAGAGGAGATGCTGTTTGGCGTCCTTCTGAGATCTGCTCACCCTTTATGCCTAACGGCCTTGCTGGACCACAGCATGGATGCTTACGAGTTACTGTGTGTCAAATTTAGGCTCACTTTTGCCTAAACTTGTGTATTTCCTGGGGTGGTAATTTGACCTTTTCATCTGTTGACAAGCTTAAAAAGTTGCAGGAACTTTGCCCTCATGGTGGGCATCTCATGATCATAATGAAGTTATAAATTAAAGTCAAAATTAAGAAGTTAAACTCCACACATACACACAACCTAATAGGAAATACATGTAAATATTTACCTCATCTCTGAATTAGGAGGGCCTTTCAAAGCATTTAGATGATGGCTGATATCCCAAAGGGAAAAGTATCTGACAATATGAAAAAAAAAAAAAAAAAAAGTGGGTGGGTGTGGTGGCTTACACCTGTAATCCCAGCACTTTGAGAGGCCGAAGCGAGGGGATTGCTTGAGTCATGAGTTTGAGACCAGCCTGGGCAACATAGTAAAACCTTGTGTCTACTAAAAATGCAAAAGACAAATAACCCAAAAACCACCACCAACAACAACAAAAAAAACCTAAATAAAAGGTATAAAACATTAACAACAAAATGCTAAAAAGCAACAACAAACAACTATTTATGGCAAACATTTTCCCCTAACAAATATGCATGGCAAATATTTTCCAAAATATATTTGTCATATATACAAGAACACAGGGTTACTAGCTTTAATGTTGATATTGCTATGTACATAAAACACAAACTGATTAGAAAATTATTAACACAAAAATAGAAAAGTGGGCAAAAAATGTGAACAAATGATCATAGATAAAATAAAAATGATTTGTAAATATACGAGAAAAAGGTTACCTACTGTAATAACCAAAGAAAGGCAAATTAATATACTCTTTTACCTATCAAATGATTTTTAAAAATCTATCAGATTTTGAAGAATTTGATGAAGTGGATACTTTCCTGTACTTACGTTTTTGGAGAGCTATTTAGCATTATCTATTAACAACCTCAAATATTCATTTCCTATTGGATCAATGATTCGACTTCTAGGAATCTAAGGCGATAACCCCGAATGCAGTCAGAAATTCAGTAAAAATAGTTATTGCAGGGTGGTTTTAGCACAGAATTGAAAACAACTTATGCCCACGTAAGAAGTTAAATGATGCTAAAACACATGATAAACTATCACATGGTCAATTAAAGTTAGACTTTCTATTAATTTTTTATTTTTTTTTATTTTTGAAACGGAGTCTCACTCTGTCGCCCAGCCTGGAGTGCAGTGGCACGATGTCAGCTCACTGCAACCTTCGCCTCCTGGGTTCGAGCAGTTCTCTCGCTCAGCCTCCTGAGTAGCTGGGATTACAGGCATCTGCCACCACGCTCGGCTAATTTTTGTACTTTTAGTAGAGACGGGGTTTCACCATCTTTGCCAAGCTGGTCTCGAACTCCTGACCTCGTGATCCACCTGCCTCGGCCTCCCAAAGTGCTGGGATTACAGGTGTGAGCCATCGCGCCTGGCCTCTATTAATTTTTCATGACACAGGTGAATGCTTATGATATACATCTGTAACTATGGTATAATTCCAAAATACTATTGTTATTATTTTAGAGACAGGGTCTTGCTCTTGTTGCCCAGGCTAGAGTACAGTGGCATGATCATAGCTCATTGCAGCCTTAAACTCCTAGGCTCAAGTGATCCTCCTGCTTTGGCCTCCCAAAGTGCTTTGGGAGGCCAAAGCAGGAGGATCACATCGAGCTACTGTGCCTGGCCTAATTCCAAAATATTAACAATGGTTCTCCCTGGACTGTGGGGTTATAGAAGATCCCTGATCTTCCTCCCCAACCCTTCTTCTAGTGTAGTGGTCAAGAGCTAGGCCTTGGGGTCAAACCCAACTCCATCTTCAAAGCCAGTGGAGGCTGGTTGAGTCTTTCTCACTCTTCATCTCTAACACAGACCCTCCTGCCTCCTTGCTTGCTTATAAGGACCCTTGTGATTACATTGGGCTTTCCTGGATAATCCAGGATCATCTCCCTATTTTAAGATCAGCTGGCTAGCAACCTTAATCCAGCTTTAATTCCCCTTTACCATGTAAGGTAACGTACTCACAGGTTTGGATGGCCGTTATTCTGCTTACCACACTAGCTGTGTGACCTGGGGGAAGTCATTTCCCCGAACGTGTTTCTTCATCTGTGACATGGTCTCTCAACCCCAGCACCATTGGCGTTTTGGGTTGGGTCATTCTTGGTTGTGGGCTGTGCTGTGCACTGTAGGATGTTTAGCAGCATCCTTGGCCTTTCTCCATTAGATCCCAGTAGTAACCGCCCTGCCCCCCACAGTGTGGCCACCAAACACATCTTCAGATTTTACCACATGTCCCTTGGAGGCAAAGTCACCCCTGTTTAAGAACGGATCTATGAAGTAGCTATTGTTCTCAACTCCTGCTGTAGTTGTACAGAAGATCAGACAAGATGGTGTATGGAAAAGGTCTAACATAGAGACAGTGCATAGCAAGGTGCCCCCAAATGACATCTCCCTGTATTTCACTTTTCTGAATGCACATACTGTTATAGTCATTAAAACTAAAGTTATGGTCGGGCGCGGTGGCTCACGCCTGTAATCCCAGCATGTTGGGAGGCTGAGGCAGGTGGGTCACTTGAAGTCAGGAGTTTAAGACCAGCCTGGACAACATGGTGAAACCTCATCTCTACTAAAAATACAAAAATTAGCCACACGTGGTGGCGCACGCCTGTAGTCCCAGCTACTCGGGAGGCTGAGGCAGGAAAATTGCTCGAACCCGGTGGGTGGAGGTTGAAGTGAGCCGAGATCACGCCAATGCACTCCAGCCTGGGTAACAGAGTGAAACTCCATTTCAAAAAAGGGAAAAAAGATAAAAACAACCCCAAAATTAAAGTTATTAAAAATCAACTCTTAGTAGTTGGGTGGTAGGCTTGAAGAGTGAATACCGCCAAAGGCAGCCAGGTGTGGTGGTACGTGCCTGTAGTCCTAGCTACTTGGAGGCTGAGGCAGGAGGATCACTTGAGCCTCAGAGTTTGAGGCCATCCTGGGCAACATAATGAGACCTTGTCTCTCTAAAAAAGAAAAAAGAAAAGAAAAGAAAAGAAAAAAATGTCCTCAAAGGCAAAGGGTGCCTTTTCATTGAGAACACTAAAAATAAATTTTAATTATTCAAATAGTGGATTAATTCCTATTATAAAAAATTCAGGCCGGGCATGGTGGCTCACGCCTGTAATCCCAGCATTTTGGGAGGCTGAGGCGGGTGGATCACGAGGTCAGGAGATTGAGACCATCCTGGCTAACATGGTGAAACCCCGTCTCTACTAAAAATACAAAAAATTAGCTGGGCGCAGTGGCAGGTGCCTGTAGTCCCAGCTACTCGGAGGCTGAGGAAGGAGAATGGTGTCAACCCGGGAGGCGGAGCTTGCAGTGAGCCGAGATCGCGCCACTGCACTCCAGACGGGGAGAGAGAGCGAGACTCTGTCTCAAAAAAAAAAAAAAATAATAATAATAATTCAAACATTATAGACAAGGATAATATTTTCCTTTATCTCCTTGACTCCCACTCTCTATCATTACCTCCCCGGAGGTGACCCTGGAGTGTTAGTGTCACGAAGGCAGAGACTTCACTTGTACTTTTTCATCACTTTATCTCCAGAGGCAAGAGTAGTGCCAGGCACACAGTAAAATGAATGGGTTTAGTGAGTATTCTTCAGTTCTTAAAAAAAAAGTTTGCTATATAAATCTCAGCGATTGTTATCATAATCCAGTTCCATATGGTCTGGATATAATAGCCATATTTACTATGCCATATGTTCAAGTTACTTAACCTCACAAAAGCTTAAATGGATAACAATACTACTGCATGGCGTGGTTGTGAGGAATTCCAGGCTTTTTGCCATGCATTTATACATGAACACACGCACATGCATACACACGCACACACACACACACTTTTTAATTTAGTATATCTGTGATTCCATACATTCTGCAGTTTGCTTTTATCATTTACTATGTCCTAGAGTCTTTCCAAGTCAGTATATATACTGCCACCTCATTCTTTTTTCTGCTATGAGGATGAATCATGGTTTACTTAAGAGATGATAACAAACTCTCTGGCCTCTCCTCCCGGGATCTGGCAGGAGCTCAGAAAACGAATCTCTTGCTAAATCTCTGTCTGGTTGAGTAAGGTGCTCTGCAGGCTGGAGGAGCCTGTTGATATTTTAGTTTTCATCAGCTGTGCAAATCTGTGAGTCTTTTTGGTTTGAGTGCGTCAGTCTTGTCTGGAAATCTACACTGGGACTATTTTTAGCCTGTTAGGCCAGGGGATCTGCCGCTCTGTGGTCCAGTTGGTCATCTGCAGGTGCAGTCTCCAGCAAACGATCACAAGCTCTTTAAGATGTGCCTGGGCTTGGGGGGACCTGTCTCGCGGGCTTTTGTGGAACCTTCAATTCCTGGATTGTAAAGCAGGGCTGCAGGTCTCCTGGGATGAGCTCCAGCCAAGAGGTAAGGGACTGGAGGGAGATTCTTGGGTCCTTTCCCAATTCTGCCCAGACTGTCTCTAAGGTGATGCATGGACACTGATGGGACATTTGCAGTCTGGACTCAGCCTCTGCCTCAGCTCCACGGAAGCTGCAAACATTCACACCTCTGTGCCTTTGCACAAGCCTCTTCCTCTGCCAGGAATACCCTTCCCTTCTTTTTTTTGAGACAGAGTCCCACTCTGTTGCCCAGGCTGGAGTGCAGTGGTGCGATCTCAGCTCACTGCAACCTCGCCTCCCAGGTTCAAGTGATTCTCATGCCTCAGGTTCCTGAGTAGCTGGGATTACAGGCACCCTTCCTCCTTTTTGGCCTTCGAGGCTCAGCTCAAGTGTCCCCTTTTCAGGAAAGCTTCCTCCTTTCCCATGCAGCAGAGCTGGTCACTTTGTCCTCCAAGACCCCAGGGACTTTGTACTTGCTACCTCCTGGCCACAAGGCAGGACAGACCGCTGCCACCTGTCTGTTCCCTTCACTGATGGGGGCTTCTGGAAAGAGGGACCCTCAGTGCTCTCCTGGTGCCTGGTACATCATGGGACTTTGCAAATATCTGTTGGGTGACAGAAGCTCAGTGACTGCAGAATAATGTGATGAGTGCCACTGGAGAAGGAGCTGAGATCATGTGATCGGGAAACAAGGGCTGTTTTCAAGGGGCCACGCCTAGCTGGCTCTGCTCAGGATGTGTCTCATCATCCTCAAAGTGGTCTTTACAGGCTGGAAAGAGAAACCCAGTGTCAGAGACATGAATTTAACTCAGCTGAAGTCTCTCTCAAATTTCTAGAAAAAGATTAGCGGAAGATGCTAATTATTACACTGGTGCAAAAGTAATTGCGGTTTTTGCCATTACTTTTCTTGGCAAAAACCGCAATTACTTGTGCACCAACCTAATATTTCAGTGATAGTAGTTATGCATGTATCTAAAAGACAAAGCACCTTGAAGCACTCTCTGTGTTGAAAGTCATGTTGGATGAACAGAATAATGGTCCCCTTTCTACGAATCTGACCCTCAGAAGCCCAGCCATCTAGGAAGAGGCTGAGAAGTTGGGCGTGAGTAAAAGGCTTTGGGTAACTCTCTCCGTGTTCTACTGAGTAGTTTTGCTATACAGGAGAGTCAGCTCCTTTCTAGGAACCCATTAAATCTTTACATACATTTGTAACATTTTCTTTGATGACTCATGGTCAGCTCAGGCCATTGAGTTGGTGGTGATAGAGGAGGTGGTGTTAGACATACACTCGGCTACTTCTACGGATAGTACTGTGGGATGGCAGAGTGTAGTAATTTGGTAATGTCAATTCTGAGTTATTGGGAACATGTTAAATTTCATTTACTCTGTTTAAAAAGGCAGGAAGTGCCTAATACATTTAGTTTAGAAAATGATTAGCACACCTGACTGGGCGCGGTGGCTCATGCCTATAATCCTAGCACTTTGGGAGGCCAAGGTGGGCGGATCACCTGAGACCAGGAGTTTGAGACCAGCCTGGCCAACATGGCGAAACCCCGTCTCTACTAAAAATACAAAAATTAGCCAGGCATGGTGGCATACGCCTGTAGTCCCAGCTACTTGGGAGGCTGAGACATGAGAATTGCTTGAGCCTGGGAGGCAGAGGTTGCAGTGAGCCAAGATTGTGCCACTGCAATCCAGCCTGGGTGACAGAGTAAGACTCTGTTAAAAAAAAAAAAAAAGAAAAAAAAAAGAAAAGAAAATGACGAGCACACTAGTTGGTGTTTTGGGTGTCTATGATGTGGTTACATTCACTTAGGTGGTATCTCTCCTTTCTCAGCACCACTAGGTAAATAATAAAAACAGTGGGTAGCCAGGCATCGGTGGTGCATGCCTGTAGTCCCAGCTTCTTGGGAGGCTTACATGGGAGGATCACTTGAGCCCAGGAGTTGGAGACCAGCATAACATAGCAAGATCCTGTTTCTTTTCCTTTTTTGGGGGTCAGGGGGACAGAGTCTTCCTCTGTTGCCCACACTGGAGTGCAATGGCACCATCTCAGCTCACTGCAACCTCTGCCTCCTGGGTTCATGCAATTCTCCTGCCTCAGCCTCCCAAGTAGCTGGGATTACAGATGTGCGCCACCACACCCAGCTAATTTTTGTATTTTTAATAGAGACGGGGTTTCACCATGTTGGCCAGGCTGGTCTCAAATTCCCGACCTCAAGTGATCCACCCGCCTCGGCTTCCCAAAGTGCTGGGATTACAGGTGTGAGCCACCACACCTGGCCTAGCAAGACCCTGTTTCAAAAACAGCAAACAAAAAACCCATAAGTAACCCACCTAGCAGTGTGCTAAGAGCTCTCCTCTGGCTCCTCATTTAAATTCCAGTTATCCAGGGAGGAAGGTATCATGAGTAATCCCATTTTATAGATGTGGAGGCTGAGGCTAAGACAGGGAATGCAACACACCCAGGGTCACACAGCCAGCAAGAACTTGATGGGAATTGGAACCCAGGCTAGCAGATTCCAAAGCTGGTGCCCTTCACCCATCAGCTCTCTTGACTGCTAAGGTTTTCCTCTCTTGTTTCTGCAGACTGCAGCCTGGTGGGTGTGTCTGCAGCCTGGGGTGTGTCTGCAGCCTGGTGGGTGTCTCCAGCTGTCCTTTAACTTCTCCATTTCCCTCAGTTCCCTGGGAAGGTTCAGGGTGGTGGGCTTGCCTTTCAGGATGCCTTTCATCGTCAGGGCCCCTGTGTCCACTGCTGTGACATTTGGTGAGGAACAGCTCCCTTCCTGGAGCCAAAGAGCATTCATTGTCTGGCCACAGGAAAAGCACGCCACATGTCCCCTGACGACCTGAAGATGAATCCTGACTGCCTGGACATGCCTGGGCGGGTGTACCCATGGCCTGTGGTTGAACCAGCCACACCTTGTCTCTTGGCCAGAGGTAATGTCCAGGCTCATCTCTCTGTGTAGTAACTGGACCCAGCTGGAGGGTGGGAGGTGATAGCTCCTGGGAAGTCCGGTCCGGGGTCCTGGCCAGGGAGTCACAGTGGCTGCTCTGCAGGCTGCCCTGAGGCTGAGGGCTGTGAGTCCTGGGATCTGCTGGGGAAGTCCAAGGCATATCGCACCAGCTGCCCCTAGCTGCTGCCTGCAGCTGGAGGCCACAGGCCCCCCATGTTGAAGAAGTGTCACCTTCAAAGGGAGGTCACCATGCAGCAGCATCATGGCTGGAAAGGACCAGAGTGAGTGAGAGCCAGCATCGCTGTTTCTGATCCACCAGTGACCTGCTACACAGAAATGGCAAGTTATTTCTCTCCTCTGGATCTCAGATTTCTCACCCTTAAATAAAAGGGCACGCAGTGGCATGGAACCACGCTGACACCTATCACTGTTAAACGAGGCCAGGACACAGTCTGATCTCCATCTCCACTTTTTGTTGTTGTTAAATGAAACGGTACGTATCTTTGCTTCTATATATTTTGTGTAAAAAATATGGGGATATATAAGAAAATGTATGTAAAAGTGTAGAAGGATATATATGAAATTGCTAACAGTGGTCTTCTCCAGGTGGTAGAATTATGGGTAGCTTTTTTGCATAGTTATAGGTCTACTTTTTTTTTTTTTTTTTTTGAGATGGAGTCTCACTCTGTCACTCAGGCTAGAGTGCAGTAGCGCGATCTCAGCTCACTGCAACCTCCACCTCCCAGGTTCAAGTGATTCTCCTGCCTCAGCCTCCAAAGTAGCTGGGATTACAGGCACGTGCCGCCACACCCAGCTAATTTTTGTATTTTTAGTAGAGATGCGGTTTCACCATGTTGACCAGGCCGGTCTCAAACTCCTGACCTCAGGTGATCCACCTGCCTTGGCCTCCCAAAGTGCTGGGATTACAGGCGTGAGCCACCGTGCCCGGCCTGTTTACTTATTTTTTTAAAATACAAAAAATTTGAAAGCAGGATGTTGGGTTCTAAATCCTGAGCTCTGTCTTATCCTTGCTGCTGCCTTCACCCTGAAAGCCCGGCAATGACTGCCTCCTTTGCCTCTAGAGACTGCAGCCAGCTCACCTCAGGCACTGGGTTCTCCTGCCAGAATGGTCTCAGTAGCTGCACCTGCCGGTTTGGCCTCCTTCTTCCTAATGATTGCAGCATTGCACACCTGAACATGCTTTCAGCTAGGATTTGGTGGTGCCAATCTCCATTTTTAAATAGACTAACTAGAAGTCAGTATGCTATCTGCTTCCTCATCTGTCATCATTGCACCCTGCCCCACCCCCAGAATCAAGTGGCAGACAGGCCAGGAGGGGTGAGAGGTGGAGCAGACGTGGCCCGGGAGTGGGGCTCTGTGGCTCGCTCTGCTTGCTTCTCCCTCTCCAGCCATTCTCTAGGATCACTCCTGTCCCATGCGTGTTTGCTCTGCCTCCTCACTGTCCCCTAGTAGATTGCGTTGAGCCATTGAGGCCAGCTCACGTGCCATCTCAAGCCTTCAGTGGTTGAAGCAGCCTTCGTGTATTCCTTCTCTGGGTCTGTCTGCACAACGCCTCCCTCATGCCCCAGGCTCCTGGTAGGGTTGTTGGTCACAGCTCTGCTCCTGCCACAGGTGGGCAGATGATACAGACTGATCAGTTTGAATATCCTGTCTCCCTGGTCACAAAGATTGGTTCAGGCATGGGCATGTGACAAGTCAGACCCTTTCCTGGGAGTGGTGTTATGAGAGAGACAGATGATCATTTTGCTGTCACTACTCATGTGGGATATGATGAGTCTGTGACTGCAGTGGTCATCTTTCCCCCACAGGAAGAGCATCTCCCTGCAGAAGTAAACCACGCACAGAGCCCTAATGACATCATTGCTTCAGCCCCTGGATCCAGCCAGGCCTGAAGCAGGATAACCCTGGACTTCCCAGTGAGGTGAGCCAGTAAGTGTCCTGTTTGTTTGAGCTGATTTGATTTGGGATTCTGTTCCTTGAATCTGAAGGAGACTTGAGTGGCACAACTTCCTTGACTCCCCACAGTCCTCTTCTGCTCGAGTTAGTAACTCATGCATCTACTTCCATGCGACACTGTTGCTCCTTACTGCCGCCTTCCTCAGCAGGACTCCCTGCCCCTCTTCGGGCCCACAGCTCTGATGCCATAGGTGGTAGTTAGTGAAGGGTGACTGAGTGAACCAGAGGAGATGTGTGTGGATATAGCCACCTCGAGACTCTTTCTGTAGCTGCTGACACTTCTGCTTAAGGACAGGCTGGGTCTTAACTTACCTGCAAGGAGGCTTTTTAAAAAAAAACAAACAGGCTGGGTGTGGTGGCTCACACCTGTAATCCCAGCCCTTTGGGAGGCCAAGACGGGCGGATCACCTGAGGTCAGGAGACCAGCCTGGACAACATGGTGAAAACCTGTCTCTACTAAAAATACAGAAATCAGCTGAGCATCATGGCGCACCCCTGTAATCCCAGCTACTTGTGAGGCTGAGGCAGGAGAATTGCTTGAATCCAGGAGGTGGAGATTGCGCCACTGCACTTCAGCCTGAGCGACAGGGCGAGACTCTGTCTCAAAAACAAACAAAAAAACAACCCTACCCCCCAAAGCAAACACACACACACACACACACACACACACACACACACACACACACACACACATCTAGCACTGCCGGCCAGCATTCCAACTTTAGAAACTTGGCTGGGCTTGAGCAGTGCCTTGAAGATCGGCTTCTGACACCTGCCGCGGCTTAGAGCACAGACAAAGCAGATTCTGGATGAATGAGAAAGCCCCAAGCCATAGCACTGACACCTGTTGGCATTCAGGGCATGTCTTGGCCTCCTGGAGGGCAGCCAGGAGCCGGCCAGGAGGTCCGAAGCAGGTCTGCTGGTAGAAATGGGGCAGTGTCATGGACAGGTTTGTTTGGAAAGGAATCTTGACCTTGCACAACTTCAGCTCCTGAGGAAAAGTTCAGATTTATTTAGTGTGATGCAATCCCAGGACACAGGCACTGTTTTCAGTGTAGCTGCAAGAATAAAAGTTATGATTTGATTTTTTTTTTTTTAAGACGGAGTCTCACTCTGTCGCCAGGCTGGAGTGCAGTGGCGTAATCTTGGCTCACTGCAACCTCTGCCTCCTGGATTCAAGCGATTTTCCTGCCCCAGCCTCCCAAGTAGCTGGGACTACAGGTGCTCGCCACCACGCCCAGCTAATATTTGTATTTTTAGTAGAGACAGGGTTTCACCATATTGGCCAAGCTGGTCTTGAACTCCTGATCTTGTGATCCACCTGCCTTGGCCTCCCAAAGTGCTGTGATTACAGGCGTGAGCCGCCACACCCGGCCATGATGGGTTTTTTTTAAGAAAATGGAATCAAATGATCAACATGTTTCGAGGTCTGCAACTTGTAGAAAGCTTGGTGGACAGTCGAGGAAATGTTTCCTTTAATAAATTAGAAAGTGTTTGCTTTTTTCCTCTAGCTAATCTTTCATAATAAATTTGATCATAGTAGGGCAGGATTAAAAAAAGTAATTCTTCCCTGAAACTTTACATCTGCTGGTCTTAAATTGTCAGAAAAGTACTTTAATAAATATGAAATTGATGACGGTAAAATGTTAATTCTACAGTTTGCTTATATTTTATTTGGATTTGTGGAAGTCACCCTCTCTTCCTTATATTGGCCTCCAAGTAAATAACCATGATTGTGAATTAGGTATTCAGTAAGCCCACATATGCTAGTTTTTAGCAGAAGTATGGCCAGTAGGGAAAGCAAATCCATATCTAAAGGTTCTATTCCAATTAGAAAATGTTTGCTCCTCCCATGATTGAAATGATACAATGTCATCAACTTGCCACTGGATCACTGGCTGGTTCCCCTGGGGAATGGTGACATATCTGTAGCCAGGTGGCCCTAAGGAATGGAAGAACATGTTCTACATGAGCCCATGTAGAGCCTCTATCCATGATGCCATGGCCACATTGCTTGGTGTTGGTTCAGAGTCAGTGTTTAGTAATCCCTCAAAAGTCTAGTTATTTCCTCTTCTCCAATGCATAGTAACCCGGCCGATGGTTGCAGGTCGCGTTGGGAAGGCTATATTGGAACGTAGCTGAGCTCTTTCTCAAGGGGACAGGGTAGATTGTATTATCCAAACATGGCTGCATTAAATGTAGCCCATCTCACATGTTCTAGTTATGTGTGATGTTGAGACTCCTCCATTGAGATATGGGGTCTACGTCTCTTTATTGAAATATGAGCTGTCAGTTCTAAAAAACAGAACTTAGAAGAAGTGATGCTGCTTAGAATCTGAAACTAGGCACTAAAAGGTGATTTAGATTTAGTTTGCATCTGGTTCTCTCTCTCTCTCTCTTTCCCTCTCTCCCTCTCCCCATTGTGCCTTGGGAATCCTGAGCCAACATATAAGAAGTCTGGCTATGCTGAAGCTGCCATCCTGGACAGACCACAAGTGAAGGCCACATAAAGACAGAGAGGGGTAGTGGAGGGGTCCCAGCTATTCTAGTCCCCAGCTCTTTGAGTCCTTTAAGCTTCAACCACCAGACATCTGGATGAGCCTTCAGATGATTCTGGCCCCCAGCCTGAGTTGTTCCAGCTGAGGCCAAGTAGCACAGAGATGACTTGTTCCCATGAAGCCCTGCCCCAAATGCGGATTTATAAGCAGAAAAAATGGTGTTGTTTTAAGCCACTAAATTCTGTTGTAGTTTGTTACACTGCATTATTTATAGAGGCTTTGGGCCTGTGGACTAGCTCAAGTCTGGGAATGGTCAATGTCGGTTCAGAGCCAGTGTTTAATAATTTCTAAAAAGTCTAGTTATTTCCTCTTCTCCAATGCACAGTAACCTGGCCAATGGCTGCAGGTCATGTTGGGAAAGGTATATTGGTAGTATAGCTGAGTTCCTTCTCAAGGGGCAGGGTAGATTGTATTATCCAAACATGGCTACATTAAATGGAATCCATTTCACATGCTCTAGTTGTGATGTGATATTGAGAATCCTTCATCAAGACTCTTTGACTTTGACTACTGTGCTAATTCAAGTCAAACTTCTGATCTAGAGCTTTTCTGTTTATATAAACCTAGTGAGTAGCAGGTTGCCCATTTCTTTCAGTTCTAGGGAGACCATGATCTTTCAGCCTATGACATAGATGTAGTCTTGTCCAACCATTAACACTTCGGTTCTGTTGCTCATTATGGAAACCATGCCAGCCTGGCCTCTGGTGGCTCCGTGCCATCCCTGGGCTTCTGCTTCCCTGGGATTTCATTTTTCCTATTGAATTCAGGGAACCCAGTTTGACACCATTATCATTTCTGGTCTACTGAAAATAAGCACGTGGAGATCTTCAGGGGTGTGGTGTAAACCCACCAAAGTATTTCTCAAAGCCTGGGTGAAGGGAGCGGCCTCTGGATGCTTCCGGGGGACATAGTTGGAGGGCAGGTGAGAAGTCTCCCACAGTAAACTCACTCCAGTATTCCAATACCCTGAGCCTTTGGATATAGTCCTCTAGGGTACAACAAGGAAGTTTTATCACCTCAACCTCATTTGCTATAGACACATTTGGGTCTGTGATTTAAGATCCAAGAACCAAGCCAATAAGAACTGGAAGCCTTCTGTCTATGACACCTTTCAGTATAGAGTCTGAGTTAAGGTCTGTGATAGAGAACTTCCTACGTTGAGATATTAATGTAAAATATAGGCCCTCTTGGGCCCTTTGCAGAAGCGAATAGAAGACTGTCAACAGTAATTCTTTCACAGTTCAGGGCCCATGGGACTGCTGAAGATGAGCTCAGAGTCTAGAATCATAAGGGACATGAAGAATCACCGGGAGGAAGAGATCAGACGTAGGACAAGGATTCTAAGAACCTGGGGCCATTTGAATTTACTAAAGAGAGAGAGAGAAAAAAAAAAAAAAAAGGAAAAGAAACAATAAGGAAAAAACAGGGTACCATAATAAAAGAAAAAACAGATTTGTAAAAGAACCAAATTTAATTTCTAGAAAATACAGTCATTGAAATGAAGCCATTCATCCTTCTGTAAGAGATAGCTTAAAACAAGGAAATGAAGACACTCAGTAGATAGGTTAAATAGCAGGTTAGACACCAGGAGAAAATCAGTGATGAGATTCTCCCAAATGCAATACATAATGATAAAAAGGAGACTATAAAAGAGAGGTTAAGAGATATAGAAGATAGGGTGAGAAAGTCCAACATGCATCTAATAGGTATTCTAGGAAGCACAGCATGGAGCAACTCAGGGAGAAGTAATATTTTATTTATTTTTTGAGACAGAGTCTTGCTCTGTTGCCTAGGCTGGAGTGCAGTGGTGTGATATCAGCTCACTGCAACCTCTGCCTCCCGGGTTCAAGCGATTCTCCTGCCTCAGCCTCCCAAGTAGTGGGATTAACAGGCATGCACCACCACACCTGGCTAAATTTTGTATTTTTAATAGAGACGGGGTTTCACCATGTTGGCCAGGCTGGTCTCGAACTCCTGACATCAAGTGATCTGCCCACCTCAGTCTCTCAAAGTGCTGGGATTATAGGCGTGAGCCACTGTGCCAGGCAGAGAAGTAATATTTAAAGAGATCATGGCTGAGAGTTTTCTAGAATTGATGAAAGATACGAATCTTCATATTAAAAGTGGAGAAAAGAGAGTGTTTTACCCCTGAAAGTAAAAACAAGTAAATCTACACTTATATACAAGGAGTAAAATTGCAGAAAACCGGAAACAACGATGAATCTTAAAAGCAACCAGACATAAATGAATTACCTACAAAATAACAGTGATTTGGCTCACAGCAGACTTAGTAACAATAGAGGCCAGAAGACAATGGAACGATATAATAAAGATGCCACTGCAAATAATTGTTAATCAAAAATTCTGTAGCCAGCTACCAGTGAGGGTGAAAAAAAGACATGTTCAGACAAAGTCCAAGAGACTCTAGCACTCACAGATCCTTGCTGAAAGCATCACTAAAGGATGCATTCCATTAAGATATAATTTAAGCCTAGAAGGAAAAAATAGGACGTAAGAAGTAACTGTGAGACAATAATTTGGTAATTAAATCTAAATAAGCACGGAGTGTATAAAAAACAGTGGTTAAATAGCAACCAGTTTTGGGGATTCAAAAGTGCTAGACCACAACAACTTGGAAAATGGTGGTGAGATTGGAGGAAAGATCCTAAGGTCTTAGTGTCATCGATGTGACACAATGTGTAATGACACTGTGTAACTTGGAATCTTGTTACATATTTATTAAAATATGATAGAAACTAGCTAAAATCATTTAAGTATTTGAAGTCAGTAGAAAAAGAATCTTCTAAAAAACCCCGAATTTAGGAGAAACAGCTATTGTTGAAAAAAAAAAAACAAACCAACAACAAACCCTGATTAACCAAATAGAAATCAGAAAAGGAGAAAAAAGAAGCAAAGAAAAAGCAAAGTAAAAACAAAACACAAAATAGAATGCTGGAAGGAAATCTGAATTCTTCAGTTATCACAATACACGTAAGTGGATAGTGCTTACCGTTTAAAAAACAGAAATTCTCAGACTGGATTAAAAACACTATCGGTGCACACCTGTGGTCCCAGTTACTTGGGAGGCTGAGGCGGGAGAATGCCTTGAGCTCAGGAAATCAAGGCTGCAGTGAGATGTGATCATGCTGCTCCACTCCAGCCTTGGCGACAGTGAGACCCTGTCTCAAAAAACAAACAAAACTAACAAACAGCCCCAAACACCAGCCCTACCAACACTAACAACACCACCCCCACCCCCGACTCGAATCCGGCTTTGTGCTATTAACAGTGGCACACCTGGAAGACAAGGGCACTGAAAGTTTGAAAGAAACAGAAAGCGTATACCCAACAACTTCTGACCGAAAGAAAGCTAGTGTTGGCCGGGCGCGGTGGCTCACACTTGTAATCCCAGCACTTTGGGAGGCCAAGGCAGGTGGATCACAAGGCGAGGAGTTCAAGACCAGCCTGGCCAAGATGGTGAAACCTTGTCTCTACTAAAAATACAAAAAAATTAGCCGGGCGTGGTGACAGGTGCCTGTGATTCTAGCTACTCGGGAGGCTGAGGCAGAGAATTGCTTGAACTCGGGAGGTGGAGGTTGCAGTGAGCTGAGATCCCACCACTGCACTCCAGCCTGGGCAACAGAGTGAGACTCTGCCTTAAAAAACAAAAAAAAGGAAAGCCAGTGTAGCAATATTATCATCAGACACATTGCATGAGAAAGAGGCCTTACATCATGTAAAAGGAACAATTCACCAGGAAGATACACCTGGACTTGGATCTCTCCCCGCATTTGTTTCAAATATTTATAGGAAATAGACAATTAGAAGAAGAAATGGAAAGATTTGCAGTCTTAGTGGGAGATTTTAACATAGTCTTCTGGAAAATGAGAGCTGTAGTAGGGAAACAACTTAGCACAGATACAGAAGTTTTAAAAACCATCTTTATCAATCTCAGTCAGATACATACATAGAGAACCCTAGCCCTGTATTTGTCATTTAAATATATATATTTTTTCAAGTTTATGTGGAAATTTAAAAAAATTGATTATTTACTAGCTCATAGCAGGTCTCAATAAATACCAAAGAACTACTATATACAGACCACAGTCTTAAACCACAATCCAATAAAACTGCAAATCAATCAATAGCAAAAAGCCAAAAAGAAGGATGATTTTGCTCAGTATTTCTCAACCACACTCACATCATGGGCAAGGGCATGGCCCTTCCTGGGCAGGTGAGAGGATCCAAGGTTGTAAAGTGTGTTGTAAGCATGACCCAGCTGGTGTCCTTGAGGCTGGTTGCAGTAGCAGCAGTACCTGGACTGCTGGACAAAGTGGAGATGTCACTTCTGGTCCCTTCTCTTTGGCTTTTGCCTTAACTCCCTGCATACTCCAGAGTCCCTTCTGGATGGAAACCCGTCTTCGGGCTAGGAGCAGCCTCTACCCTGAGTGCTATGGGGATGGCCTGTTTTGACCTTTGCTTGTCTGTGGCCTGGACCCCATCGGGCCTTTTGGGGTGGGTGCTGAGGGAGCATTTCACTCTGTGGTGGCTTTAGGGCAGCTTTGGGTTTGGTCCAATGCTGGACCCCCAGGCAGAGGAAGAGAGGCAGTGTGTCATGTGGAGAATGGTCTGAGATTCAAGCAACCTGAGTTCTGGTCTCAGCCCCTCCCTAAGATGCTCCATGGCCTCAAACAAGTCGCCACTGCCCCATGCCCCAGTGCATACCCTTTACCAAGCTACTCAGTACCTCAGAGGCAAGTTAGCACTCTGGGGGCCTTATCTGGGACTCTGGGTCACCAGGGACAGAAACCCATCTCAGACGGGCTCACACAAAAAGGGAATTGACTGGCTGATGAAACTGAGAAGCTCAAGAGTGGCACTGGCTTCAGTTTGGCAGGATCCAGAGCCTCAAACAAGCCCATTATTAGGACTTTGTTGCTCTCTCCATCTGCCAGCATTGTCGTCCTCGCTAGCTTCTGCTGAGGCTCATACTCTTCACTCTCAGCAGGGATGGCATCTGTAGATCCAGGCTTCCATCCAATCAGCTTTGGAGCCCCAGTGCAGATTCAGGCTTCCATCCAATCAACTTGGAGCCCCAGTGCAGATCCAGGCTTCCATCCAATCAGGTTTGAGGCCCCAGTGCAGATCCAGGCTTCCATCCAATCAGCTTTGAGGCCCCAGTGCAGATCCAGGCTTCTATCCAATCAGCTTTGAGGCCCCAGTGCAGATCCAGGCTTCCATCCAATTAGCTTTGGAACCCCAGAGCAGATCCAGGCTTCAATCCAATCAGCTTTGGAGCCCCAGTGGAAAGATAATGCCTCTTCTCTGACAGTTTCAGCAAACATCCCAGGGTTGAATTTCACTGGCCTGTCAGGTCATGTACCCATCCCTGAACCAATCACTGTGGCAGAGGACTGGAAACCTCTGACTGTCCAGGGCATGGTCATGAGCTCGTCCCAGAAGCGGAGGAAAGCAGTTTCCCAAGAAGTACAGAATATTAGAGAAGCAGCAGGCAGCAGCCTGGGGCAGGGCAGGTGGTTCCTGGGCATCTGACCTGAATGCAGAATAAATTTGGATCCTAAATTGCTTACACTTTGGAGGTGGCACATGAGTACAATGAACTATAATACCAGGCAAATAATTTCAAAGCCTGTAATAGCAGCTCACATAATATACTGTTGAAATGCAAAGGAAGCAATGATTAACTGCTACTGGGGGTCAGGGACGGCTCCTCAGAGGAGGTGACATGTCTTCTGGCTTGCATCTCTCTCTTTGCTTTCTGCCTGCACTCATGGGTGGCCAAGCCCTGTGGGTGACTCAGGGCTGAGCCTGGGAGCAGGACCTCAGCCTCCACTCCACCTGAGGAAAAGTGTCGAGAATCGGCTGCAGCAGCTGTGAATCTGATTATTGGGAACTGAATGGCTTCTAAGGACTCCTGGAGGAGCCTGGCTTTGCACATCTAAATATGGAAATTTAATAACCATACTTGATATAACTTTATCTGCACCACTCCAGAGAGAACATTAGTCTTGGTATTTGCAATTTTACAGACATTAGGGGGCTGGTACCAAAACGTTGGTTCATGAGTTTGAGGGTCTGAGGTGACAGAAGATGCTTCATTGTTTGGTTGGTTGTTGATAGAATCATAGAACGTGAGAGTTGGGAGCCTTAGGTGGGATTTAGGTCAGAGATCTTCACATGGGGTCTATAGGCTCCTAAATTATAGGTTAAATTGTGCTTACGTGTGTATGTGTGTGTGTGTGTGTGTGTGTTCATGTTCCCTAGAAAGAGTGTTCATTGCTTTCATCAGATTCACAAAGGGATTTGTGACCACCAGAACACTAAGAACCCAGAGCTGGGGCCAAGCCTCTCAATTGGGGGTGGAGATAAATGGACCCCGAGGAGAAGGTATGCCCAAAAGAGCCCCTCAGGTCATTGTCCAAAGTGGTGCTCAACCTCAGGTGTCCAGATTCTGGGCTGGGGATGTCTTCCTTTAAGCCAGGGGTTCCCTAGCCTGACTGAGCATCAGAACCCCCTGGGGGACTAGCCAGCCACCTGATTTCCTGGGCTAGCTCCAGACCTGCTGAATCAGGGAATGTGTGAGCCCCAGGATCCTGTATGGCTAACAAGCTCCCTGGGTGGTTCTAATGCCTGTCACCAGAACTGGTGCTGGGACAAAGATCTGGGTCCATCATTCAAGAACATGTTCCAAATGAGTGGAGGATAAAGGAGCCCTCTTCGATAGGGATGGGTAAGTAAGTATTGTGAAAGGAAAATAAATCTCAGGACCCTAAATCACTAAGCCAAGGGAAAAGTCAAGCTGAGAACAACGTTAGGCAAACCTGCCTCCCATTTATTCTTAAATAAGATAGCCATACAGATAGAAAAGCTACATACCTCCTACATAATTTGCCTGCAAGGAAATTCCTTGTGGCCTTCAAGATCTTTACCATAAACCAGTTCCGTTGAATTTCACCCTGGCAATGTAAACTGATAGCTTATCTTCACAGGTGTGGGACAGAAAGTCATCTCTCTGCTCACCTGAGACAAATGCGTATCTGATTGCTTCCTCTGCTGATGTAAAATGCAGATTCACTGAGCCAGACTAAACTGTATCCAGTGAAAGGCTGATCAAAGACTCGAAAGAAGACAACCTTTTGTCTCTTATCTACCTATGACCTGGAAGCCCTCCCGCTTCGAGTTGTCCTCCCTTTCTGGACCAAACCAATGTACATCTTACACATATTGATTGATGTCTCATGTCTCCCTACAATGTATAAAAGCCCGCTGTATCCTGACCACCTTGGGCATGTGGTCATCAGAACCTCCTGAGGCTGTGTTGTGGGTACGTCCTTAACCTTGGCAAAATAAGCTTTTCTATATTGATTGAGATCTGTCTCAGATATTTTGGATTCACAGTGTGTCCTTACAGGCATTTCCGAGATTACTTTCATGTTTGGTGAATTGCTAGAAGGACTCATAGGGCTCAACATACAGTCATACCTATGGCTAGGATTTATCACAGCAAACCGATACAAAGAGAAATAGTAAATGGAAAAAATGCGTTGGACAAAACCTGGAGGAAACGAGGTGCAAGCTTCTAAGCGTCCTCTCCCAGCGGAGTCCATAGGATATGCTTAATTTCTCCAGCATCAGACTGAGAGAACAGGTGTGAATGTTGTAAACTGGGGAAGCTTGTCTGTGCCTAGGAGTCCAGGGTTTTTATGAAGGGTCAATTTCATAGGCACTCTTTGCCTAGCATGTATCAAATTACCAGACCCTCAGAAGGAAAGCAGGTGTCTAGCATAAACCACATTGTACAAACATTTAAGCATTCCCTAATTGACAAACTGATTAGCCCGTCTTAACAGTTAGCGAATAGGGAAAATACTCCCCAAATCCAAGTTCCCAGATACCAGCCCAGGGACAGTCTTTCAAGCAGCCCTTTCTAAGGACAGAAGTCTCAGGCCTGCTGTGTGAACCTTTTCTGTACAGTGGGGATGCCAGCTCACTTGACCACAATGAGGCACTATGCCATCAGCACTCTGGTGGGACCACCAAAGGATGGCCAGGTGTATCGACACACCTGTGTCTGCTGCAGACAGGGGACCACAGCAACTATATGTTGTGCAGCTCCTGGAAATCTGGTGTTCCTGTGACATCCACCAAACTGGGTTCTCTGCTTCTCGATGTCACCAGCCTCCCACTTAAAGTTCAAGATGTATTTGTTTGACCAATCCAAGATGAGAACCTGGCATTTTTTTGCTTCTGCAGTGGGGGTTGGGCTCTGTCTCCCAGCAAGGCTCATAGATGAGTGTATTAGTTTTCTAGGGATCTCCTAGCAAGGTACCACAGACTGGGTGACTTAAGCAACAGAAATTACTTTTCCCACAATTCTGGAGGCTAGAATTCCAAAATCAAGGTGTGGGCAGGATTGGTTTCTTTTGAGGCCTCTCTTCTTAGCTTGTAGATTGCCATCTTCCCTCCCTGTGTGTCTGTCTTAATCCTTCATCTCCTTCTCCTTTTTTTTTTTCCATTTAAAAAATTGTAGTGGAATACACATAACAAATTTTAACATTTTAAACATTTTTAAGTGTACAGTTATATCAACGTATTAATTTGGCATAAAAGTAATTGCAGTTTTTCCCATTAAAGGTAATGGCAAAACAGCAATTACTTTTGCATCTACTATTACAGACCTTCATAATGATGTGCAAATATCATTACCATCTACCTCCAGAACTCTTCATGCTGTAAAACTGAAACTCTATACCCATTAAACACTAACTCCCTATTCTCCTTTCTCCTGAGCTCTCTGAGCCCTATGTTTTCTTCTAAGCATCTATAGTTTTAGGTCTTACATTTAGGTCTTTGATCCATTTTTTAGTTAATTTTTGTATATGGTGTTAGGTAAGGGTCCAGTTTCATTCTTTTGCTTGTGGATGTTCAGATTTCCCAGCACCATTTGTTGAATAAACTGTCTTTTGCCATGGAATGGTTTTGGCACCTTTGTCAAAAATCAGTAAATCCAGCTGGGCAGGGTGGCTCATGCCTGCAATCCCGCAACTTTGGGAGGCTGAGGTGGGTGGATCACCTGAGGTCAGGAGTTTGAGACCAGCCTGGCTAACATGGTAAAACCCTGTTTCTACTAAAAATACAAAAACCAGCCAGGCATGGTGGTGGGCTCCTGTAACCCCAGCTACTCAGGAAGCTGAGGCACGAGAACCGCTTGAACCCAGGAGATAGAGGTTGCAGTGAGCCGAGGTCCCGCCACTGCACTCCAACCTAGGCGACAAGAGTGAAGCTCTGTTTCAAAAAAAAAAAATTAATAAACCCCATGTGAGGGTTTATTATTTCTGGGCTCTCTATTCCATTGGTCTATATGTTATCTTTATGCCAGTTCCACACTGGTTTGATTACCATAGCTTTGTAGTAAGTTTGAAATCAGGAAGTATGAATTTTCCAGCTTTGCTGTTCTTTTTCAAGATTGTTTTGGCTGTTCATGGTCCTTTGAGATTCCATGTGAATTTTAGGATGGGGTTTTCTATTTCTTTGAAAAACATCATTAGGATTTTGTTAGGGATTGCATTGAATCTGTAGATTGCTTTGGGTAGTATTGACATCTTAGTAGTAGTAGTTTTCCAATCCATGAATGTGGGATGTGTTTCCATTTATTTATGTCTTCTTTATTTTATTTATTCACTTATTTTTATTATTTTTTTTTTGAGACAGGGTCTCACTCTGTTGCCCAGCCTGGAGTGCAGTGGTGCAATCATGACTCACTGCAGCCTCAACCTCCAGGGCTCAGGGAATCCTCCTACCTCAGCCTCCTGAGTAGCTGAGACTACAGGTGTGTGCCACCACGTCTGTCGCATTTTTGTATTTTTTCTTTTTTGTAAAGATGGGGTTTCACTATGTTTCCCAGACTGGTCTTGAACTTCTGGGCTCAGGTGATCCTTTCACCTCAGCCTCCCAAAGTGTTGGGATTATAGACATGAGCCACCGTGCCCAGCCTATGTCTTCTTTATTTCAGCAATGTTTTGTAGTTTTCATTCTACAAATCTTTCACCCCCTTGGTTAATTCCTAAGTATTCTATTCATTTTGTTACTGTTGTACATGGAATTGTTTTTGTAATTTCCATTTCAGATTGCGCATTGTTAGTGTTTAGAAATGCAACTAGTTTTTGTGTGTTGATTTTGTATCTTACTACTTTGCTGAATTCATTTATTAGTTCCAGCTTTTTTTTGGGTGAAATACTTAGGGTTTTCTACATATGAAAATCATATCATCTCTGAACGGAGATAATTTTGCTTCTTTTTTTTTTTCCAATTGGATGTTTTTATTTCTTTTTCTTGACGAATTTCTCTTGCTAGAATTTCCACTGCTATGTTGAAGTGGCAAAAGTGGGCATCCTTGCCTTCTTCCTGATCTTAGATAACAAGCTTTTAGTCTTTTACCATTGAGTATGACATTTGTTGTGGGTTTTTCATAAATGGGTTTTATTATATTGAGGTTTTTTTTTTTTTTTTTTTTTTTTAGACGGAGTCTCACTCTGTTGCCCAGGCTGGAGTGCAGTGTACTCTTGGCTCACTGCAGCTTGTGCCTCCCAGGCTCAAACAATTCTCTGACTTCAGCCTCCTAAGTAGCAGGGATTACAGGCATGTGTCACCATGCTTGGCTAATTTTGTATTTTTAGTAGATACGGGGTTTCACCATGTTGGCCAGGCTGGTCTCGAACCCCTGACCTCAGGTGATCCACCCACCTTGGCCTCCCAAAGTGCTGGGACTATAGGCATGAGCCACTGCCCCTGGCCAACTGAGGTATTTATTTATTTATTTTTTGCATTCCTACTTTGTTGAGGCTTTTTTTTTTTTTGTCATGAAAGGCTGTTGAATTTTGTCACATGCTATTTTTTCTGCATCAATTGAGATGATCATGTGGTTTTTTTCCCCTTCATCCTGTTAATGTTGTATGTCACATTGGTCAATTTTTGTATGTTGAACCATCCTTGTTTGAGGACTAAATCCTACTTGGTTATGGTGTATAAGGCTTTTAATAAGCTGCTGAATTTGGTTTGCTAGTATTTTTTGACAATGTTTGCATCCATGTTCATAAAGGACATTGGTCTGTAGTTTTGTTTTCTTGTAGTGTCTTTATCTAGCTTTGGTATCAGGGTAATGCTGGCCTCATACAATGAGTAAAGAAGTTTTCCTTCCTTTTCAATTTCTTGGAAAAGTTTGAGAAGGATTGTTGCCCTTCTGTAAATGTTTGATTGAATTTACCAGTGAAGCCATCAGGTCTACCAGGGCTTTTCTTTGTCAGGAGATTTTTTGATTACTGGTTCAATCTCCCTCTCCCTCTTTCTCCTCTCCCTCCTTCCCCCCTCCTTCCCTCCCTCCCTCCCTCCCTCCCTTCCTTCCTTACTTCTTTCCTTCCTTCCATAGTCTCACTGTGTAGCCTAGGCTGGAGTGCAGTGGTACAATTTCGGCTCATTGCAACCTCCTCTGCTTCCTGGGTTCAAAGCAATTCTCCCACTTCAGCCTCCCAAGTAGCTGGGACTACAGGCATGCAACACTACGCCTGGCTAATTTTTGTATTTTTTGGTAGAGACGGGGTTTTGCTATGTGGGCTGGGCTGGTCCTGAACTCCTGGCCTCATATAATCTCCCTGCCTGGGCCTCCCAAAGTGTTAGATTACAGGCATGAACTACTGTGCTCAGCCTAGATTTTCTATTTCTGAAAATAGAAATTTAGTATTGGTTTTTGTGTTTCTAGGAATTTGTCCATTTTCTCTAAATTATCTAATTTTGGGGTATACAATTGTTCATAGTACCTGCTTATAACCTTTTCATTTCTGTAAAATTTGTGGTAATGTTTTCACTTTCGTTTCTGATTTTAGTAATTTGAGTCTTCTTCTGTTTTTTTCTTAGTCCATCTATCTAAAGGCTTGTCAATTTTGTTGATCTTTCCAAAGAGCCAAATTTTGGTTTTATTGATTTTTGTTACTTAAGGATGGACTTCTGTCATTTTTATATTAGTTTTTGATATGCCTTATAGCTTTTTTAATCTCTCATTTCCTGTATGATAGCTTTATTTTGTGGTTAATTTTTTGTAGTGGAATGTTTAAATTCCTTTCTCATTTCTTTTTGTGCATTTTTTTTTTTTGAGACAGGGACTCACTCTGTTGCTCAGGCTGGAGGGCAGTGGCATAATGGCTCACTGCAGCCTTGACCTCCTGGGCTCAAGCAATCCTCCCACGTCAGCCTCCCAAGTGGCTGGGACCACAGGTGCGTGTTACCATGCCCAGCTAATTTTTGTACTTTTTTTTTTTAATAGAGACGGGGTTTAGGTATGTTGCCCAGGCTGATCTCAAACTCCTGGGCTCTAGCAATCCTCCTGCCTCAGCCTCCCAAAGTGCTGGGATTACAGGTGTGAGCCACCACACCTGGCCTTGTGCATACTCTATAGCTATTTTCTTAGTAGTTACGATGGGATTTGGTTACATTTAACATCCTAAAATTATAACACCCTAATTTGAATTTATACCTTATTAACTTCAATAACACACAAAAACTCTGTTCCTTTACAGTTCTAGCCCCACTCCTTTCAGTTGCTGATGTCACAGAACTACATCTTTACATATTGTGTGTCTAAAAATATAAGCCAATGGCTGTTTTAAATTCATCAGTTTCTTAAATTATGTAGATAATAAAATGTATGGCTACCAATCGAAGTTATAATAATACTAGCTTTTAGACTAATTTTTAAAAATGCAGTAGTCTCTGAAATCATGTAAAAAACAGATAAAGTTACATATAATTGTTACAACAATATATCTTTTATAATTGCACATATATTTACCTTTATTGAGACCTTTATTTCTTCACATGGCTTCAAGTTACTGTCTAATGTCTTTTCATTTCACCCTGCAGGATTCCCTTGAGCATTTCTTGCAGGGTAGGCCTAGTGATAACAACACCACTAGTGGATGCTGTCTTAATTTTTGTTTATCTGAGAATGTCTTAATTTCTCTTCACTTAACATTTTTTTCACTTTAAATTACACTTATTTCTTTTATTTTGAGTTAACACATAATTATACATATTTATGGAATAGAGAGTGATATTTTGATATATGTGTATGATGTGGAATGATCAAATAAGGGTAATTAGCACATCCATTACCTCAAACATTTATGATTTCTTTGTGTTGTGAACATTCAAAATCCTCTCTTGTATATAACAAATTATAGTTAACCATTTTCACCCTACAGTGCTGCAGAAGATCAGAACTCATTCCTTCTATCTAACTGTAATTTTGTATCCATTGACTAAAGTCTCCATATCCTTCCCTCCTCCTCCCCTTCCTAGCCTCTAATACCCACAATTACTCTATTCATCCTTTCTCCTTAACTTTTGAAGGACAATTTTGATGAATATAGAATTCTTGGTTGACAGTTCTTTTTCTTTTAGCACCTTGAATATATTGGCCCACTGCCTTCTGGCCTCCAAAGTTTCAGATGAGAAATATGCTGATAATCTTATTGAGAAGATCCCGTATGTGACCAGCCACTTATCTCTTCCGAAATTCTTTCTTCTTCTTCTTTTCTTTTTTTTTTTTTTTTGAGACAGGGTCTTATTTGGTTGCCCAGGCTGGAGTGCAGTGGCATGATCTCAGCTCACTGCAGCCTTGACCTCCTGAGCTCAAGCAATCCTCCCACCTCAGCCTTCCAAGTTGCTGGGACTACAGGTGCACACCACCACAGCCAGCTAATTTTTGTATTTTTTGTAGTGACGGGCTATTGCTGTTTTGCCCAGCCTGGTTTTGAACTCCTGAGTTCAAGCGATCTGCCTACCTTGGCCTCCCAAAATGCTGGGATTACAGGCATGTTCCACCATGCCCAGCTGAAAGTTTGATTGTAATGTGTCTCAGTGTGGGTCTCTTTGAGTTCATCTTACTTGGAGTTTATTGAGCTTCTTGGATGTTTATATTCATGTCTTCATAAAATTTGGGAAGTTTTCAGCCACTATTTCTTCAAATATTCTTTCTTCCTCTTTTTCCATCTCTTCTTCTGAGACTCCTACAATGTATATGTTGGTCCATTGTGTCCCAAAGGTCCCTTGGGCTCTGTTCACTTTTCTTTAATTTTTTTCTTTCTGTTCCTAGACTCCATAATTTCCTTTGTCCTGTCTTCATGTTCATTGATTCTTTTTTCTATCTGCCCAAATAAGTCTTTTGAGTATTTCTAGTAAATTTTACATTTTGGTTATGGTACTTTTTTTTTTTTTTTTAAGAGATGGATCTCACCCTGTTGCCCAGGCTGGAGTGCGGTGGTGCGATCTCAGCTCACTGCAAGCTCTGCCTCCTGGGTTCACGCCATTCTCCTGCTTCAGCCTCCCGAGTAGCTGGGATTATAGGCGCCCGCCACCATGCCCAGCTAATTTTTGTATTTTTGGTAGAGACAGGGTTTCACCATGTTAGCCAGGATGGTCTTGATCTCCTGACCTCGTGATCTGCCTGCCTCGGCCTCCCAAAGTGCTGGGATTACAGGTGTGAGCCACCGCGCCCAGCCCAGTTATAGTACTTTTCAGCTTTGAAATTTCTTTTTGGTTTCTTGTTTTCTGTTTCTTTATTGATTTTTCCATTTTGTTTATAGACCATTTCTTATAACTTTTCTACATCTCCTCTAGTTTTTGAGCATCTGTAAGACAGTCGTTTTGAAGTCTTTGTCTAGTAGATCTGCTACCAGGTGTTTTTCAGAGGCAGTTTCTGTTGAGTTACATTTTTCCTTTGAATGGGTCACAATTTCCTATTTCGTTGTATGCTTTGTGATTTTCATTTGTTGTTGAAAACTGGACATTTGAATCTAATAATATAGTAACTCTGGAAATCAGATTCTCTCCCTCCCCTAGGGTTTGCTGTTTTTTTATTTTGTCATTGTTGCTATGTATTTCTTTATTTATTTTCAGAATTACTGTAGGCTGTCTCTGTGCCAAGGATCAGCCTGAGGTGTAAACTTAAGATCTTCTCAGGTTTGTTTTTTTTTTTTTTTCTTGAGATGGAGTCTCGCTCTGTCGCCCAGGCTGGAGTGCAGTGGCGTGATCTCAGCTCACTGCAAGCTCTGCCTCCTGGGTTCATGCCATTCTCCTGCCTCAGCCTCTGGAGTAGCTGGGACTACAGGTGCCTGCCACCACACCTGGCTAATTTTTTGTATTTTTGGTAGAGATGGGGTTTCACCATGTTAGCCAGGATGGTCTCGATCTCCTGACCTAGTGATCTGCCTGCCTCGGCCTCCCAAAGTGCTGGGATTACAGGCGTGAGTCAGGTTTTTTTTTTTTTTTCTGAGCCTGTTTCTTTCCTTGGACATACATGGTCAATTTCTAATTTTCCCTGTATATCCAATTGCTTTTGAATGTCATAGGCTTTAATGTATGGTTTCCAAAAGGAAAACAGAAGAAAATTGAAGGGAAGGGGTGAAGGACACTGGCCCTTTAAGTCCCCCTGGAAGTCAATTCAGCCCGAAGGAGAGGGGCTTACAACAATGGGGGGAGGTGCAACAATGGCTGCCTGCCCCTTTGCACCTCTGTCATCAGAAGTGGCAATCAGCAATCAGAACACAGATCCTGAGATGTGGAGGCCAGGGTCAATGTTTGCTTGCCCTGGCTCCCAATAGCTATCTGCAGGTTGCTCCTGGAACAAATGTACAGCTGTCTGCCACAGAGCTGGGGTTGGGGGATGGTAGCTGCTGCTGTGCCAAAAGCTGAGGTTGACTGTAATTAACCACAATGTGCAGACCAAGCTTTCCCCTGGAAGTTGCAAGCTTCTGGTCACCTCCTATTTAAAATAGTCTCCTCCAATAGGCTCCTTTCGAGTCCCAAAATAGTTATGCAGGACAGATTCTGCCAGTGCAGTTATTGTCTAGGTGGAGGCAGCTTCCTTGTGCTCCCTATACTGACATCTTCCTGGAAGCCTCCTTCATTGTCTTTTTTTTTTTTTTTTTTTTTGAGACAGTCTCGCTCTGTTGCCCAGGCTAGAGTGCAGCAACCTCCACCTCCTGGGTTCAAGTGATTCTCGTGCCTCAGCCTCCTGAGTAACTGGAACTACAGGTGCATGCCACCATGGTTGGCTAATTTTTGTGTTTTTTTGTAGAGATGGGGTTTCACTTTGTTGCCCAGGCTGGTCTTGACTCCTGACCTCAAATGATCGACCCTCCTTGGCCTCCCAAAGTGCAGGGATTACAGGTGTGAGCCACCGTGCCTAGCCTCATCTTCTCTTCTTATAAGGGCAGCAGTTATATTGGATTGGGGCCTACTGCAATGACCTCATTTGACTTTAATTACCTCTTTACAGACCCTATCTCCAAATAAAGCCATATCCTGCAGTATTGTTGGGTAAGGCTTCAACATATGAATTTTGGGCAGATAGAGCACTCTGGCCAGGGCACCTGGAGACCCAGGGACTACAGAGTCATGCGACCTTCCTCGGCCTTCATTTCCTCATCTGCAAAATGGGAGAGGCAATCCCTGGTCTGCCTCCTTCACGGGATTGGGTACGGATGGGATAAAGGAAGCAGAGTGGCATTGCTAGGGCCTGACAGGTGTGAGAAAGTTCATGCTTCTTCTGGGGAATCTTTTGCAAGAAGGCCAAGATTTTGGGCTGTGACTGCCCCAGGCAGGCTAATCCCATGGGGCCCCTATACACTGACAACTCTTAGGTTCTTACACAACATGTATTTGGAGGAGAGTCTGATGTTGTGCACAGAATGAGTTGGTGGTGGTCCCACTCACACCCCCATCTCACCCACCCTAGGCACAAACTGCCCTCTGTGCTTACCGGAGTTTGTCCCTTCAAATGGCAAAAATGCACCTTTTGATTTTGAAGGGCAGAGGTTGCTACCTTCCAGCTGTGGTTTTCATGGTCTAGGGAGCAACCATTCCCATTGTTCACACTGAATGATGATGATTTGCTTAGAGTCAGCCTCCCGCAGTGGGAGTTGGGGAGACGGCCCTGTTCATGCTGCAGCTCCCCCGTCCAGGAGGGAGCCAGCACTCGGGGTTCGTTAGGTGAATGAATGAATTTCGATGAGACTGGCCCCATTTTGTCTGGGAGAGAGCTGGGAGCAGAAAGAAAGCAGTGAAAGCCCCTGGCCCCCGGGAGACCTGCCATGGGAGATGTGGGGCACGGGGCCTTTCCAGGATGTGTAGGCAGAAGCTGCTTCCGGTCTGCCTGTGTGGTTTGTTGGAGTTCGTAGTGTTTTCTGTTGTGCTGTGCTTTGTCCGTAGTTGTTGGTTGCCTCTGGTTGTCATTGTCAAACCTGAGAGCCCTTAGGAACTCACTTCTCCCGATTCCATTGTGTTTTCTGGTCCTTCCTGTGGCTCCGTTAAGCTCTAAAAGATCCAGGTCTCTTCTCAAGGGCTGGGGAGGAGGGTCCTCCAAGCTCAACAGTAGGGGTGGGTGGAAGGTTCAGTGAGTTGTCTGAGAATTTGGATCAGGACAAGGCCTTGGTCATCTGTTTTTCTTTTCTTTCTTCTTCTTTTTTTTTTTTTTCGAGATGTAGTCTCGCACTGTCGCCCGGGCTGGAGTTCAATGGCACGATCTCAGCTCACTGCAACCTCCACCTCCCAGGTTCGTGTGATTCTCCTGCCTCAGCCT
This sequence comes from Homo sapiens, assembly GCF_000001405.40. NCBI lineage: Eukaryota > Metazoa > Chordata > Mammalia > Primates > Hominidae > Homo > Homo sapiens. The sequence goes on along the minus strand of NC_000010.11, from coordinate 118,981,589 downwards.
CCTGAGTAGCTGGGATTACAGGCGCACATCACCATGTCTGGCTAATTTTTTGAATTTTTAGTAGAGATGGGGTTTCACTATGTTGTCCAGACTGGTCTCAAACTCCTGACCTCATGATCTACCTGCCTCAGCCTCCCAAAGTGCTGGGATTACAGGCGTGAGCCACCATGCCCGGCCACCTTGGTCATCTTCAAGGCACTCCTCTGGACACAGGGCACCTGGCCACCCCCAGGTACCCCTGGCCCAGATGGGAGAACAGACCTGCCCTTAGGTTTGTGAGATTAGGAACTGCCCTTAGGAGAAAATTCTCCTCCAGGAGCAGGAGGCAAAACACATTTTAATTGAAACAGATTTCACTCAGTTGCTACATCGCTCCTTGTTTGGCTTCTAATGCTTAAGGATGTCTGTGATTTAATGAGGCCATTCTCCCATGGGACACAGCTCCCTGGGCCTGTCGGGTAGTGAAGTGGAGTAATTGTGGATTTTTGTTCTTTGGTCTTTTTATTGATGTTTCAAGTGCATGTAAGGAAAACGACTCCAAAGTGCTGACTTCAGTCCCTGGGACTCCCTCGCTGCAGGATGAAGCTGGAGGAGGCTGCAGAGGAGGCAGCCTGACGTCAAGGTAACAGCCGCAGTGGCAATAGTGGCTGCTAGGATTTTTGATGTGCCAGGAATTATGCTAAGTGCTTCAGGAATGTGAATGTCATTGAATTCTCCTAGTAGTCCCATGAAGCAGAGACTATTATTATCATCCCTATTTTATCCATGAGGAAACTGAGGTACAGAGAAGTAGCTTGCCAGGGGGAGGAGCTGTCCCTTCAGCCAGGGTGAGGGGCTTCAGAAAAGACACAGACCCTTCAAGTCCACGTCACAGGCCCAGGTGGTCTGATGGTTATAACTGTACGACCCTGGGCCTTCGGAGGAGTCACTTCCTCCTCTGTCAAATGAGGACCCCGATTCCTCTCCGATCCAAGGCTGTGAGAGGATCACGTGAAATCCTGGTTATGACGGTCTCACCCTGCACAGGCACCGTATCGTGACAGCTGCTGTGGTTGAGGATGAGTGGCATCAGGGCAGCACCTGGGTGTGGCCCCCCTGCCTGTTCCTCCTGGTGGAACCCGTCTCCCATGGGGGCCCCACAACCTGTTCCTCCTGGTGGAACTCGTCTACCACGGGGGGCCCCCACCTGTTCCTCCTGGTGGAGCCCGTCTCCCACAGGGAGGCCTCCCGCCTGTTCCTCCTGGTGCAACCCGTTTCCCACAGGGCGGGGGGGGCCCACCTGTTCCTCCTGGTGGAGCTGTCTCCCATGGGGTGGCCCCCCACCTGTTCCTCCTGGTGGAGCTGTCTCCCACGGGGTGGCCCCCTGTTCCTCCCAAGTGCCTGGGGCTGTATCATCTGTGCCAGCCACCATCATCCTGCAGCTGGGGCCCAGTGTCCTCACAGAGCTCTAGAGTCTCTGGGCTGCTCAGGGAGTGTGGGGAGAGCCGGGAGTGGTCAGAGCAGAAGAGCTGGCTGGGTGGGAGTCAGGAGCCCTGCACAGAGGCGTAGAAGGGGAGCAGGAGCTGCCAGGTAGCCTAGGGATGTGGTTCTCAACTGGGGACAATTTTGCCTCCCAGAGGCAATGTCGGGGGACATCTTTGGTTGTTACAACTGGCATGGGGGGATGTGTTGTTACTGGCGTGGAGTGGGTGAGGCCAGGAATACTGCTAAACATCTCACACTGGACAGGACAGTGCCCCATGGCAAATAATTATCTGGCCTCAAATGTCATTAGCGACAAGGTGGGAGGCCCTGGCCAGGGTGAGCACTGATCACTTGAAGGGCCTTGGCGTGTGTGGAGGGGTGAACGTAGCAGGGACATATGGGACCCAATGACCAGGCCGTGTGGGGGTCTCTCAGAAGATGTCAGCTGGACAGAGAACATCCGGGGCTCGTCACCACCCATTCCTTCTCAGGCCGTAGTACCACATTGAACTTAGAAGCAAACCCAGGGAGAACTGAGAGGATGGGGACCCATCTGGAAGTTTCCACCATCCAGTGAAAAGGGGGCTTGCAACAGAAATTAAGTTAAACAAAAGTTCAGTTCAGTTGTGGATCTGAGAAACAGATCTGTCATTGCAGTTAGCCCTGGTGAACTATGTGCGTCACCCTGCGTAATCTCATGGACTGAGTTGGAGTATTTTCCTCTTTTCGTTTGGGGGTTAACTGAGGCTCAGAGAAGAGAAATAATGTGCCCAAGGTCTCAGCTGTTTAGCGGTGAAGCCGGGATTTGAACCCATCTTTGTCTGAGTGCAGGGGTAGTACTCCCTTGCAGGTGTTTCCAGGCACAGATGAACTTGCGAAGGGCCTTTGACGGAAGTGCCGGCCTCAACCTCTGAGCCTGAGCAAATCCAGGCCCATCCCTGGGCCAGGCAGCCAGGCCCATTCACAGCTCTTGGTCCCAGCTTGGACACTCTCCAGGGGGAAGTCACAGGGCAGCAGCAGTTTCCTAAACTCATCCTTTGCCTTCTTTCTGAGCCTGGCCCTTATCTCCTCCAAGGAGACACAAAAGCGCAGCCTCATCACCAGGTATTGGTGCCTTCCCTTGCCTGAGACTTGGGCGTTTCTGGGGATGAGGCTATGGCTGGGGGCAGTAGCCTCAGATCCACTCTCTGGCCTGGGCTTCTCCCACAAGGACCTGAGACATCCTCATACCCCTCCCTGGAGCCAAATGGGCACTGTGACATGGCCCTGCAAAGAGACAGCTGCCCCCGCTGCAGTGGGAGATAAGAGGCTCCTGAGGCCTGGCTGGCCACGTGTCCTTCAAGTTCCGTGGTGATGATGGCCCAAACCTCTACCTCCTCTCTTGACCTGGCCAGCTAGGGTCCCCCCTACCCTTTAGCCAGGGTCCTCATCAGCTGCACCGTGCCCTGTTGACACTTCTCTTCCACTGTCCATCCTCCACCCTCACCAGGTCCATCATTGGCCCACACTTAATTCTGTCAGCCACATGGTGATGCTTCCGAAGAGCCTCCTGGTAGCTCAAAGTGGGATCAAAGTGCCCCAGGGCGGGCAGCATTGCAGCGAGACACGGAACAACCTCCCGGGCAGTATGTGCAGGAGCTCGGCACTTGCTGGGGGCCTCAGCAAGTCATTTCGGTACCGACTGCAGCAGGTGGTCTTGGCCCAAGTCACCTGCTGCAGCTGGAAGGAGCCATCACTGCCCCTCCTGGCTCTGTCCTCTGAGGCTTTGCAGCCATCACCCAGCACGCCAGGGCATCTGCCTGACACCCAGTTCCAGAAAGTCTGGTTTTCTTCCCAAAGCCAGAGACTGTGTGCTTCATCTAGGAGGTGGCTAAAATGGCTTAGGGTAGGGGCGGGTGGGTCAAGAGGCTTGCAGGAGAATGAAAGTGAGGGCAGGGTTGCCACTGCTCGCAGCTTCCTGCACAGCCCCACCTTCCATGAACGACGGCCAGGTGGGTGACCTGCTCCAGGTCCCTGGGAGGGCTGGCCGGGGTGGGGCGAGGTGACTGGCCCCTGGTCTTGCAGCCAGAGCCTAAGGCGTCTGGGGACGCTGATCACTTGCAGCCCAGAGAGAGCACAGCTGTCCTCTGCTTGGGGGTTTGCGACACAGGGCAACGGGAGTGGCTGAATATGCAACAGCAAAGGAGACTGCAGCCGTGGAGTCAGGGTCAGGGCACCGCAGTCCTCATTCTAACCAACGCCACTGACAAGCAGTGTGACCTTGGGCAAGTCACTCTACCTCTCTGAGCCTCAGTTTCCTTTCCTGCAAAATGTCAATAATAAAAATACAGTTCCTACCTGGAAGGTTGTTTCTGTGCATAAATGTTGTCAGCTGTCAAAATCATAAAATTCATGGTGAGATCTCATCTCTGCAAAAATAAAGTAAAAAAATTAGCCAGGTGTGGTGGCATGTGCCTGTAGTCCCAGCAACTTGGGAAGCGGAGGTGGGAGGATGGCTTGAGCCCAGGAGGTCGAGGCTGCAGTGTGCTGTGATTGCACCACTGCACTCCAGCCTGGATGACAGAGCAAGACTCTATCTCGAAAAATTAAAAAATAATAAAATGAATAGTAATCCATTGCTATCTGCATTGGTTTGCTCTTATGACCTCTCTGACTTCCTCCCTGCTTGGCTCAGCAATTCCATTCCAGCAGTGTTTCCTGCATGAGGAGTACCTGCTGTGAGAGCCACAGTCACCCTCAAGCCTGGGTGAGCCTGGGTCAGGGCTGAGCTGAGCACAGCCTCCACCTTGGGCTGGGAATTGAGCTCTTCCAGACAGGAGAACAAGGCCTCTGAGCATGGAGAGCCACCAGCATCACCTCACCTGGGTTTAGGGACTTTGCAGACCCCTTTTTGGGGGGCGGTCCTTGGACTCCTCTGCAGGTTACAAACTTCCCACACACTCACCTGGCCAGACTTTTCCATTGGCTGGCCCTTTGGTGTTTGCTTCTTCTTTTAGGACACGGATGGTGCTGGGGGTTCATGAAGCACCATTGCAAGGCCAAAGGGAACCTCTCCTTTCTTCACGCCTTCCAGTCTGGCACTGCATGCAGACCGTGGTCAGTGGGGACTGACCCAGGGGCTCAGTCCAAAATGGTTTTATTTTTATTTTTAAATACAAATAAATGAGAAGCTCTGGCTGAAATGCTGTTTTTCTCTTCTTGTTCTTTCCCTTCTCTTTTCCCCATCCTTCCAGGCTGCTCCATCCCAGATCAAGTGAATCAGAATCTCTGGGGGATGGGACCAGGTCTGGTTGGTGTTTTTTGTTTGTTTGTTTTGTTTTGTTCTGTTTTTGTTTTTTAGGTATCCTGGGTAATTTTTGTTTTCTGGTTGTAAATATGAAGACTTTTTAAAAATTTTATTTTACTTTAAGTTCCGGGACACATGTGCAGGTTTGTTACATAGGTAAACATGTGCCATGGTGGTTTGCTGCACTTATCATCCCGTCACCTAGGTATTAAGCCCCGCATGCATCAGCCATTTGTCCTAATGCTTTCCCTCCCCTCACCTCACCCCCCAACAGGCCCAGGTGTGTGTTGTTCCCCTCCCTGTATCCATGTGTTCTCATTGTTCAGCTCCTACGTATGAGTGAGAACATGCAGTGTTTGGTTTTCTGTTCCTGTGTTAGTTTGTTGAGGATGATGGCTTCCAGCTTCATCCATGTCCCTGCAAAGGATGTGATCTCATTCCTTTTTATGGCTGTATAGTATTCCATGGTGTATATGTACCACATTTTCTTTATCCAGTCTATCATTGATGTATCCCTCGTAATTATTATGGGTAGCCCAGTGCTGAAAACCACTGCTTTGGGGAAACTGTTGTCATTAGGACCGGAAATCTCACAGAGGCCACAGTGAAGGGGAACAGTAGTTAGCAACAGTGATACCACTAGGACATGGCATGGCTCTCTTTCCTTTTTCCTACTCTCTTCTACATTGGCTCCTACCTCAAGCCCTAACCTCAGAGTCACAGAATAGCTGCAGCAGCTCTATCCCTCATATCTCCTCAGCTTTGAGGCCTGGAAAGAGGGGGAGGTTCTCTCCTAGGATGTCCATTGGATGACCCACTGCGTCTCATTGGTGCTTGCCTTTGCTGGCTCTGGTTGGCTTGCCACTGCTTGTTTCCATTTGACACATAAGCTTCCTCCAGCAGGTGGACTAGTATGAATTCAATATAATGGGGAGTGGTAATGGGGGATGGGTGAGGTGCTGTGAGAGTGCTGAGTGGGGTTACTAGCGGGAGGAAGGGTCAGTGACAGCTAAAGGGAAGCCCAGTGGAGGAGCTAGGATGTATAACAGCTGGGGGTGAGAACTGGAAAGACTCAGGAGCCACACAGATCCCGTGGCCATCCGCAGAGCCTGGGGAGGGAATACATGTACAAGTTAAAAATTACGTAGTGTCCCACAAGGGTTATAATGTAAAATCTGCAAGGCAATGTCCCCCACCCCCCAGTCCTGCTGCTCAGTGTTCAGCACTTTTCTGGAAATCTCTTCTGGTTTCTACTTACATATACCAATGTTGATGCTGCTCTTCCTGGAATTTTCTGTTGTAGGCATTGTCTGATGACTTCCTATTCTGAAAGATGGGGATTTCACATTCTTGTACCTCTCCACCCCAGTGGGTAGAATAATGGCTCCCCAAATACATCCATGCCCAAACCCCCAAGACCTGTGAATATGTTACCTTATGTGGCAAAGGAGACTTTGCAGATGTGATTAAAATTAAGGACCTTGAAAGGAGAGAACAGCCTGGATTATCCAGGTGGGCCCAATCTAATCACATGAGTCCTTGAAAGCAAAAGGCAGATGAGGGAGCCAGAGATGCCAGAAAGAAGAGGAAGGAAAGAGTCTAAGTGTGAGAGGGACTCCACCCACTGTTGATGACTCTGAGGATGGAAGAAGGGGCTGTGAGTCAAGGACTGCAGGTGGCTTCCAGGAGTTGGAAACGGCCCCCAGCCAAGAGCCCACAAGGGAATGTGACTGCAGTCAGTCCTACCCCTCCCTGCAAGGAACTGAATTCTGCCAATTCTGTGAATGAGCAAGCAAGTGGATCCATCTGCCCCAGGGCTTCCAGAAACGAACCCAGCCCTGCCGGCACCTCAATTTTAGCCCAGGGAGACCCTTGTCTGACTTCTGATCTGTAAGTGTAAGATCACAAATGTGTGTTGAGTCATCAAGTTTGTGCTAATTTGTGTGTGTTTTTTTTTTTGAGACGGAGTCTCACACTCTCACCCAGCTGGAGTGCAGTGGCGCCATCTCGGCTCACTGCAAGCTCCAACTCCTGGGTTCATGCCATTCTGCTTCAGCCTCCCAAGTAGCTGGGACTACAGGTGCCCGCCACCACACCTGGCTAATTTTTTAATTTTTTTTTATTTTTAGTAGAGACGGGGTTTCACCATGTTAGCCAGGATGGTCTTGATCTCCCGACCTCGTGATCTGCCCGCCTCGGCCTCCCAAAGTGCTGGGATTACAGGCAAAGCCACCATGCCCGGCTGAGTTTGTGCTAATTTGTTATAGCAGACAAATTGCCTGGGGTATACCTCCCACCGTGACATACATACTTTCCCTGTGCCCTCTCCTTTTATTTATAACTTTAAATCAAATTTCAATGTTTACATTAATAAGGTTAAATGAATACTGTTCCCAACTGACGCATGTAGTATATGTACTATGGTTACATTTCTTTTTTATACCTTTTTTTCCCCCTTGGGGTTGATAATTGCCTTTTTGTTTGCTTCATCTTCTGGGTACTTATGAATTCAGCCCTAAGTGTTTGGTCAGACTCTATCCATCAGGTGCTTAGTCGCAAAAAAAAAGAAAAAAAATGCACTCTAGCTAGAAGGAGAATTAATTACAGAATGTTCACTAGCTCCAGAATCCCAGGAGGAAAGAGAGGCAGCCTTGGAGACTGCACAATGAAGGACAGTCCTCAGACTGAACTACTGGCTGTCAGGGAGATGAATACTGCCACCCATGCTGTCCCTGAAGGTTAGCTGCCTCCCCCTCTAACTTTCCTTGAAAATGGCTTCCCATTGATGCTTGCTTCTTTACATTGTTTTATCCACAAATGAAATCTCACATGGATACAACTGATTGCTGGAGCTAAGGTCACATGTTCACACCTAGCTGCAAGGGAGGCTGGGAAACTTCAGTTTCATCTGGATTAGTTGTTCTGCAGGTCTGCTGCACAGAAGTCGTCTGGGATCTCCCTGCATCTCTCTGGATATTTTCTTTGCTTCTCTCCTGGGCTGGACCCTTTTCCTGGGTTCCATGTCTTCCTCTTCTTCATTTTGGTGTAACATCTCCTCCAATAACATTTTGAGATGGGGATAAGAGATAACATTTTGGATTTTTCAAGTCTGAAAATGTCCATACTATTCTCACAAGTAATTGATAATGCAATTTAGCTAGATACAAGGTTCTACATGGGAAATGCTTTTTCTTCAGAAATTTGAATTGTTCTATTGTCTTTTGGCTTCTAATGGGGAGAGACTCAATGCCATTATAATCTTGGTCCTTTGCATGTAGATATTTCCCCTCTTTCCTAGTGGGAAGCTTGTAGAATTTTGTCTCAGTCTGAAATGTAATCATCACATGCCTTCATGTAGGTGTGCTTTCATCCATTATGCTGGTACCTGGTAAGCCTTTTCAATCGGAAGCTCAAGGCCTTCGTCTTGAATTATTTCTTTGATGTTTTCTTCCTCTGTTTTTTCTGTTCTGTCATTCTGGGGTGCCTATTATTTTCATGCTGGACTTCTTGAAGTTGTCCCCTCATTTTCTGTATTTTTCTTTACCGTTTGCTCTGCTTATCTTTAACTTCTAAGTCTTCTATTGAGTTTATTTCTGCTATCTTAAGGTTATTTTTGGTTCACTAAATGTTTCTTTTTTTAAAAAACAGTGTCTTGTTCAGATTTCCTGGAGTTAATATTTTTGCTATTCTCTTTGAAAATCTAAAACTGAAAAATTAGTGGTTCCTCCTCCTCCAAAGATTTTCCCTCCCTGCAGTTTGTTTTCTTCAAGTTGTTTTTATATACTTGATTTTTTTTTTTTTTTGGTCTGTCTTTCGTGTACAAAGTTTTACTTCGCTATCCTGGCAACCCTTGCCTATCCAGTCATATTTAAAATTATGTACTAAGATGCTGACTGGGCACTCTGATTGCAGGAGTGGTCTTATCAAGTGCAGGCCTCACTGGATGACAGTGATGTTCAATTTTTGCTGCATGTTGGAATCACCTGGGGAGCTTTTATTTTTTAGGAGAGGGAGCTTTTCAAACCCGGATGTCTGGGCCCTCCCCAGATTAATTAAATCAGAATCTCTGGAGGGTGGGGCTCTGGGATTGGTATTTTTTAAAGCTCCCAGAGTGGTTCTAATTGCAGTCAGTTGAGAACGTTGCTCCAGGGTGATTGAGTTCAGCTGTTTTGAGAAACAACCATAACAGTAGAAACGTAAGTAGACTCTGGAAACTTGTAGTCGTACCTGTCAAGTATGGTATACTGATTCCCACCCTCTAAAATAGAAAATGTGGGAAATAATACAGAGTGGGTGTAAGATATTGTGTTTTCTCTGACAGGAGTTAATTCCAAGTTAAAAGAAAGCAGAGAACACTTTTTTTTTTTGTCTTCACCTCTATCATTCATCCTTAGAAGATAAAAAACAAATGTCAGCACCCGTAGCCCTTTTCTCTTGAGTTGGTCATATTCTCCCGTGAAGAATTTTCCAGTCTCCTCCTTCCTTGGCCAGCATTCTGAGATCTGAGTGGGGGAAGGAGACTGTGGGTCTTGATATCCAATATGTAAGCTTTAATTTAATTTCCCGTTTTCAGTGCAGTTCCTCCCTCCCCACAGGTCCCTGGTGTCCCCCATTGCAGAGACAGCTGTGTTACTTTCTCTAGAGAATCAGGGTCCAGTCTCCCGCTGGGGCAGGAGGTGCATTTGGCCAACCATGAGGAGTGGGAGAAGTAATTAGGGTCTGTCTGCTTGCACAGACTTTCAGCTTCTCTTCCTGCTTTCAACCTCACTTTCACCCCTGCCACCAGGGGCAGCCGGCACTGCCCATCTCTCCATCATGGTGGGATTTCTTGGTGTAAACCAAGCTGAGTCTCAGCTTCCCCACTCAGCTTTCTTGATTCATCAGTTACCAGATTCCAAAAAGTTGTTCCTGCTGTTCCTCATCCTTTTTATTCTCATGTGTTTATTCCTTTAAAGCATCCCTTTTATTGTTTTAACGGGACTCAGGGAGGAATCGCAGGTGGATGTGTATCGGCCGTTATCTTTCATCACATGTGTTCACCATTACCATATAAAGAATTTGTCCTATCACTTTGTGTGGACATGTGAGTCATTTTAATTTTGGGAAAAGGCTCTTTAACAATTGCAAAGTTAACTATTCAGATGTAATTTATTTTCTGTGAGGCACAGGTTTCACTGTGAACCTTCCAGGTCGTGGCTGATGTCTGAAGACTGTATTGAACATTGATGGGACACACTTTTTTTTTTAAAATTTTAAGTTCTGGGATACGTGTGCTGAACGTGCAAGTTTGTTACATGGTATATGTATGCCATGGTGGTTTGCTGCGCCCATCAACTCATCATCTAGGTTTTAAGCTGCATATGCATTAGGTATTTGGATGGGACACACTTTTTAAGAACCAACTTGGTTCTTCTTTAGCTCAGACGTGTAATGGAATGTATCAGAGACGCCGCTGAGTGGTGAGCTTGGGGATTTCTGTCACACTTCTTCCTCTGTGTTGGTTTCAAGTCACAATGGCTGCTGCTATGTGTTTTACAGACTTTTTTTTTTTGTCCCCCAGGAGAGCTAGAGTTATGTATTTGGTTTTGTTTGGACGTAAACATTTCTTCCTCTATTGACCAGTGCCAGGATTTATAAAGTTGAACTCTGAACCATGGACTCAGAAATGTATTTCACTGAAATAAAAGAAGACAGAGTCTCCGGGCAGTGGATTTCCAGGGAGGTGTCTTGAAATAGGGATCCATGTGGTTCTATTTTTGACCAAGTGGTTCAGGCAGGAGGAGGGGTAACCGGAGGGGCCGGGGGTCCTTGGGGAAGCTGTTGCCTATGTGGTTCCCTGGTCTGCCAGTCAAGGAGGGGGTAGGCACAGCTGTGGCCAGGTTGAAGACCAGGTTTCTTGAGTAAGACCCCAGACAGCAGGTGGGGAGTGAGATGCCCAGAAATCCGGATTCTTGGCAGGTGGCCAAGCACAGTGAACTTTTCATGAACCGTTTCAGTGTCTCATCTTCCCTAAGGTAGAGGCAACTCTGAGGAAGGGGAAGGAGGCCATGTCACAAGAAAGAATCCAGACTTTGCTAGTTAAGAGGGCCCTCGTCTTACTAACTGGGCACACTTTTCCTGTAAAGTACGATCTATAAAGTAGTACATGGCAAACATTTTTAGGTTTTGTGGGCCTTTAAGGTCTGTGTTGCATTTTCCTTTCTTTCCTTTCTCTTTCTCTCGTCTTCCTTTTCCTCTCTTTCCACAACATTTCCCCCCTCACCCTCTCTCCTTTCATCAGAGACAGGGTCTTGCTATGTTGCCCAGGCTGGTTTCAAACTCCTGGGCTCAAGCAATCCTGCCTCGGCCTCCCAAAGTGCTGGGATTACAGGTGTGAGCCACCGAGCGCGGCCTTTTCTTTTTGTTTTATACAACCCTTTAAAACCATTCTTGGCTTGCTGGCCATATAAAGAGGCTGCAGGCTGGACATGGCCCCAGGGCTGCAGTTAGCCAATCCCTGCACCACACCGCCCGGTTTATTTCCCTCCTAGAGCCTCTCACAGTCTGAAGTCTTACTCTGTTTATTTTCTGTTTCCTCTGCCATAATGTGAACTCCCTAAGGGCTGAGGACTGGGCTGCTTTATTCTCTGCTGTGTCCTTAGGCCTATGGCAGTTAGGAGCAGAGAGCGGCCACTCGAATGTTGGCTGAATGAGTGGATGTGTTATTAGTTCTAGATGAAAATCTCCGGTAGCTCATCTGTGAAACAGGAGACCTTGAAGAAGTCATGTTCTGAGATTTTTTTTTTTTTTTTTGACACAGTCCCGCTTTGTCACCAGGCTGGAGGGCAGTGGTGCCATCTCAGTTCACTGCAACCTCCACCTCCTGGGTTCAAGTGATTCCCTTGCCTCAGCCTCCCGAGTAGCTGGGATTACAGGCACCCGCCACCACGCCTGGCTAACTTTTGTATTTGTAGTAGAGACAGGGTTTCACCATGTTGGCCAGGGTGGTCTTAAACTCCTGACCTCAAGTGATCCGCCCGCCTCAGCCTCCCAAAGTCCTGGGATTACAGGCGTGAGCCACCACACCCGGCCTCGTGTGCTGAGATTCTAATTCCCAGAGCAATGTGGGGATTTGGTTCTTCTATAGTTGTGTGTGGATTTCTTAGACCTCCCGGAGGGCTCCTGTGAGCAGGGGAGAGGAAAAGCAAACAGCCCAGGAGCTGTGGGCTGCCCCTCACCCCTCGCCCCTTCTTTCCACCGCCTCAGGCCCATTCTGCCCATGTGCAAAGAGGGATTTTTCTGTAAAAATGGGTCTTACCCTATCAATCTTCTGTTGATAACTTGCTGCCCCAGCTGCTGTACAAACACACATGATAGTCCAATTATTTAAAATCAGGTACAAGCACAGGCACTGGCCAATCAAGGCAGGTGGTGGCTACAAGGCCTCTCCGCCGACTTCTCCAGCCTTGGCCCAGGCTCTCCCCTGCACCTGGGCTTTTGCCACGACAAATGTTTCCACCTTCTTTGAATATCCCACGTCTCTCTTCTTTGTTGATGCCCTTTCTTCCACCTGGAATGGACTTCCCCAAGCTTTTTTTTTTTTTCTCTTTTGCCTGGTAAACTCCTATGCATCCTTTGAAGCCCAGCTCAACTGTCAGCTCCTCTGTCCCCCAGGCACTTAGCTGCTCCCTTATCTGCACTCCCATAGCACTTCAACCCTTCTTGGCCATATACTTCCGTGAGATTATTGTCAGTGATTTGGGTTTGTCTCTCCTCTGGATTTGGTCCTCAATGTCTGGCTCCTAAATGTACTCAATAGATGTTTACAGAATGAAAGGGGTGTAGATCAAAAGAATGACAATCACATGGTAGATTCCAGGGAGCAAGCGTCTGGGCCCAAGTGGACACCTCCCTCCTGGGTTTTCTCCCTCCTGGGTTTTCTCCCTCCTGGGTTTTCTCCCTCCTGGGTTTTCTCCCTCCTGGGTTTTCACGTTTGGCTTCATTGCAGGTGCAAGTGGACATTTTTGTGAGACTCACGAGTTGAGAGAATTGGATGGCAGAACCGGGCAGCTGGTCCTTTAAGAACTGGCACCCATTCTGCCAGTGCCCCAGGCTCACTGCAGCCATCTGGAGGAGGTGGAGCTGCGAGGCTGAGGGCAGGAGGAGGGCTGAGTCCAAATCTGGAGACCCCACTCGGAGGCAGGGGACTCACTGGGGAGCCGCCTCACCGCTGTGGGCCTGGCCCCTCCTGTTCCCGCTGAAGTGCCCCCCTCCGAGGTTGCCTCTGAGGTCCCTTCCAGAGCAATAGCGTCGGGGACTCTGCAAAACATGTTTGGTTATCAAATCAGATCCTTTCTTGGCTGATTAAAACCCACCACCCATTCCTTAAATGCCGCCTCCCCTGGAAGTCCCCTCCAGCTCCGAGTCCAATTCCCTCTCTGGGACCTCCAAGCTCCGAGCCACATTGTGCACAGGGTATGGCCGTGACCCAGAATAACAGCAGCTGTGCCCAGAGTACGGCTGAGCATGGACACAGCACTGAGGGTGCACCTGGCAACGCGTGCAGCTCGGTGCTCACAACAGCCTCCTCACCCCAGCATACAGTGCGGCTCAGAGAGGGGAGGTGGCCAGCTGTCTGTGAGCTCCCTGGGCCACCCCTGAGGTCACCCACAAACAGTCCCTGCCCACACTGGCAGCTTCCTGTCTCTCTTCTGAGGGTGTCCTCTGGCTGAAGGAGTGTGCTGGCCTCAGCAGTGGCCTGGTCTGATGTACCAAGTGCCAGGGAGTTGACACCCTGGTGCATCCCCTAAATCCCCAACCACTGAGGGCAGGAGGTGGTAGATAAAAGCCACAGTCCCACCTCAGTGGGACAGCTCGGGGGCGCTCCAGGCTTTCTCCAAAGGGTTCCCTGTGGGGTGAGCCAGCCACGGTGGAGGACGCTCAAGGCTCCCTGCTAATGGTTGCCCCACTTTCCCAGCTGTGCTTCCTGGGATCATGTCCCAGAGAAGCCACCTGCACCCACATCCTTGTGCCAGGCTTGACTTTTGGGGAACTCAAACTGAGACCCTTGTCTGAGAATCCACAAGTGCAGGGGGTGATAGGATTTGAGCCAGGTCAGGCTGATCCTGACCCAGCCACCAAGAGGTGGTGGCTGGGTCAGGAGAAGCTTGTCAGGTCTAGGTCAGAAGCCCCTGGTCAGCAGGGCCACCCCAGCACCGGACTTCAGGGTGGCCTGGGTAGCCTTTCAGTAGGTGTTTGCTGACTGAGGGTGTTTGCTTTCCAGGAAGCCAGAGGAGGCCTGAGGATAACCCATGCCTCTGGCTTCAGGTCAGGCTGTTGGCAGAAGGGGGAGAGATGGGGGTGGGTGGTGGGGAGGGGGCTTGAGGGGGATGCTGTCCCTCAGCCTTACCTCTGGGCACTCAGGCCGGGTTCCTCTTTCCCAGGCCCACCCTTGGCTCCACCTAGCATTTAGCGACTGCCCTCAGGTTCCACGAACTTGGCCGGGAAAAGGGGGACTTCTGTGGAGGGTGTGACCAGCTCAACCTGCTTGGGAGGCACTGTGCAGATGGGAAGGGGATGTATATCCTGGTCCCTACCCCGAAGGGCAGAAACTGGCTTGACAAACTAGATAGGCATCCTTGGAACAATTGCAAACCACTCGAAGCCGAGGATGTTTCTGTTCTAAATTGAGGGACAGAGACTCTTAAGTGTTGATGGCAGCTCAAGAAGGAGGCTGGAGTAGTCCAGGGAGAATTTCTCGAAGAAGGAAAGATTAGGCTCTGGCAGGAAATGGGACACCCAAGTAGGGTCTCTGAGGAGAGACTGGGAACTGTTTGCAAAGGGGAGGTGGGGACACAAGACAACCCACCTAGGATGGGGCAGGACCTCATCGCTAGCACAGGGAGTGAAGCTCCTATCACCCTGGCCAGAAGGTGCAGGGACATCAGAGCTGGTATCGGAACTGGTATCGGAGCCTGGAGCTGCAGCAGAGTATCTCCTATTTTGAGCTGCTGGCCGGAAGGCGAGGAAGCAGCCCCTGCCAATCTGCAGCCCATCCGGGAGGGAGCAGATTCCCCAGACACCCTCTCCTCCTACACTCCGGCCTCTGGCTGGCACCTTCCACTGGACGAGCCCAACCAGGAACTGAGGCCTGGAGACATGTCAGCCCTGGGGCACAGAGCTGGGTAGGGACATGGGGGACTCCGCAGAGAATATCTAGGCAGTGGGGATCCTGGGGGTCTGGCCTGCATTTTCCCATGGCAATGTCTGGTACAGAGGGCAGCAGCCTGATATTACAACCATATGACCTCCTGTTTAATCAGAAAATGTGCCAGGCCCAGAACTCAGTGTGTGGCTTTATTTTCAACTGGCTGCCTTCCTTTCTCTAATTCTAAGGCAACCAAACAGCCCTGCATTTGGAATAATTGCTCTGTCCGTGCCGTTGCTCATGTTTCCCTGACCTTGAAAGAGCCATTTTCCAGGACCGTTGCTAATGGACCTTCACGCAATTGCAATAAAATATCCTGGTGCTTGGAGGAGAAAGGAGAAGCTGCCTCGAGTGACGCTTCGCTTGCCCCAATGTCTTCCTATGAAATCACTAACGTGACTCATTCCCAGCCTCCCTCCCCTGGCACCTTGGCTCTTTTTGTTTTGGCCCCATCCAATGCTGCATTTATAAGTCCTTTGACATTTGTGCAAAACCCACCTTCCCCCATTGAGTAACATAATGGCCCACATCTGACCCTTGTTTTAATGTCTTTTCCAACTGAACACAAAATGCCAAGAACCGAGGGTGAATTGGCCCCGTCAGTCTACGGAGTGGGAAGGATGCTGCCAGTGGATGCATCTGGAATGTTCAGTAAATTTTCGGAGACCTGAAAGATGCCTTTAGGAGGCTGGATGGCCGGGCTCTGAGATGTGTGCATTCCCTCCCTTTGCAGCACACAGCTCACCTCGGAGCTCTGCCTGTCCAGATGGCCTGATCCTCATGTCCCCACCTGGCCTGCTGACTCCCTCCTGGCTGAAGGGTGGAAATGAATCCTTGTACGGAATAAGCCTCTCCGGCCCGACCTGGGAATGAGTAACAGCTTAGCTGGTGACCTTTGCCCTGGGACGACAGCTCTGGACAGCTGCAGGAGGCTTCGTTGGGATGGGGGTGGCCCATTGTGGGGTGCCTGGCAGGAGTCTCTGAGCCATGTCTTTAGAAGGTACGAGTGCAGGACACAGTTCTTTTGTGGTCTGAGATCTGTGCTTAGGCAGAGAACTGTGTCCAGAGAGTCAGGCTGTAAAGTGGGGAGCCTCCCGTGAGGGCTGCAGCATTCCCGTGCAGATCCCTAATTTCCAATCTGGACTCTAGAAGACTTTGGTTCTCTTCCTGGCTCTGGCCTCTGCTGGGACCCTGGAGGTGTCTCCTTTCTCCTTCAAGTTTTTCATCAGCAATGCCAGGATTTGGTAATGACATGAGTCCCTCCTGGCTCAGATAGCCCAGCATCACTGTCACCCTGGGATCCCTTTGCTGACATCCCAGTCCCAGACCAGTAACTGCAGCTCAGAGTACCTGAGGCTCCCCAGCTGTTTCCACGGCTTCCCTGTGCCTCAACCCTTATGACCTTGTTATTCCCCAGAAATTCTGCAGCATGGCAGGCTGGGCTCCCCGCTCCCTGGGGGAGCCTTGTGCTGTGTCACTTCCTCAGACCCCTGCCTGAGCCTGTCCCCTTGTGGGGGACCAGAGTGTATACCTCACCTGAGCTAGCTTTCTGTTGCTGCTATACATATTACCACAAACTTAGTGGCTTAGAACCCCACACTGTATTATCTTACAGTTCTGGAGGGTCAGAAGTTTGACACAAGTCTCACTGGCCTAAAACCAAGGTGCTGGCAGGTCTGACTCCTTCTGAAGGCTCTAGGGGTATATTAGTCTATTCTCATGCTGCTTATAAAGACATACCCGAGACTGGGTAATTTATAAAGAAAAAGAGGTTTAATGGACTCGCAGTTCCATATGGCTGGGGAGGCCTCACAATTATGGTGGAAGGCAAAGGAAGAGCAAAGGGATGTCTTACATGGCAACAGGCAAGAGAACTTGTACAGGGGAACTCCCATTTATAAAACCATCAGATCTTGTGAGACTTATTCACTACCATGAGAACAGCATGGGAAAGGCCCACCCCCATGATTCAATTACCTCCCACTGGGTCCTTCCCACGACATGCGGGGATTATGGGAGCTACAATTCAAGATGAGATTTGGATGGGGACATAGCCAGTCCATATCAAGGGGAGAACCCACTTCCTTGCCTTTTCCAACTTCTAGAGGCTGCCTGCATTCCTTGGCTCATGGCCCTTTCCTCCATCTTCAAAGCCAGCTTTGGGGCTCTGTCACCCTTCTTGTATTGCATTTCTAACCCACTCTGCCACCTCCTCCACTTCTAAGGACTCATGGGTTAGGTTGGGCCCATCTGGATAATGCCACATAATCTCCTCATTTCAAAGCCTTAACTTTCTTCACATCTGCAAGTCCTGTGATCATGTAAGGACACCTTTTCATGGGTTCTAGGGATTAGGCTGGGGATAGTTTTGCCGGGAGCATTCTTCTGCCTACCACCCCACCCAATCTGAGGCTTGGGGTTTGCGCAGGGCACCATGATAGTTTTCCTCTGGGGTCTCAGCTCAGGTGCTAGAAGGGCACCTCCTCTCTGGAACCCTCTGTGATTGCACCAGGCAGAGGCAACTGCCCTTCCTCTGGCAACCACCACCCCCAGCACACTTGTCATGCTTGTGTGACAGTGCCTGTGGGTAGGTCTCCCCTGTTAATTGGGAACAAGTGGGTAGTGTCAGGCCTCTGAGCCCAAGCTAAGCCATCATATCCCCTGTGACCAGCATGTATACATCCAGATGGCCTGAAGCAACTGAAGATCTACAAAAGAAGTGAAAATAGCCTTAACTGATGACATTCCACCATTGTGATTTGTTTCTGCCCCACCCTAACTGATCAATGTACTTTGTAATCTCCCCCACCCTTAAGAGGGTTCTTTGTAATTCTCCCCACCCTTGAGAATGTACTTTGTGAGAGCCACCCTCTGCCCGAAAAACATTGCTCCTAACTCCACCGCCTATCCCAAAACCTATAAGAACTAATGATAATCCCACCACCCTTTGCTGACTCCTTTTTCGGACTCAGCCCCCCCGCACCCAGGTGAAATAAACAGCCTTGTTGCTCGCAAAAAGCCTGTTTGGTGGTCTCTTCACACAGACAGGTGAGACAGGTAGAGACCTTACCTTCTTCCCCCGGGGTGCCCAGTGTCTGCGGGGTGGCAGATGAGCAAGAGGCTGACCTGGGGAACAAGCTCAGAAGCTGTGGGGGAACCGAGAGCTTCTGGGGGTTCGGTGGGAGCAGAGAGGACCTGCCCTAAGCACACCGACATGGACCCTTTTCATGGGTGCATGGACTGTCTTGGCAACAGTGAAACAAAGATCACAGTCCCCATTTCACAGAAGAAAAATCAGCAGCGCGGAGAAGTTAAGGGGCTGCCCAGGCTCCCAGGGGGAGTTTCGGAGCAGAATTCGGACTTGGGCTCCTCACTTGCCTCTCCCCTACTCTCCCCCGATTCTTATGCAGTTATTTTTTTTATTCCACAAATGGCCTGTTAGAGGTTGAACTGTGCTCCTCTACCCCACCCCAAATTCACATGTTTTGTTCCTAATCCCCAGTACCTCAGAATGTGACTTTATTTGAAAACAGGATCATTGCAGATGTAATTAAGATGAGGCCATTCTGCATTAGGGTGAACCTCATAAAAAGGGGAAATCTGGACAGAGACACACACAGGGAGAAGGCCACACGAAGACGAAGGCAGAAATGGGGTGAATGCCACACATTGCCAGCCCCCCGCAGATGCTAGGAGGGAAGCTTGGAAGGAATTCTCCCCACAGCCTTCAGAAGGAGCCAATCCTATTGTTACAGGAAAGGGGTCCCGATCCAGATCCCAAGAGAGGGTTGTAGGATCTATCGCAAGAAGAATTCAGGGCAAGTAGTCTGTAATGTGAGAGTAAGTTTATTAGGAAAGTAAAGGATTAAAAGAATGGCTACTCCATAGACAGCAGCCTCAAGGGCTGCTGGTTGCCTATTTTTATGGTTATTTCTTGATGATATGCTAAACAAGGGGTAGATGATTCAGGCCTCCCATTTTTAGAGCATATACGGTAACTTTCTAACGTTGCCATGGCATTCGTAAACTGTCATGGCCCTGGTGGGAGTACAGCAAGAACGACCAGAGGTCATCCTCTGGTGGCCATCTAGGTTTTGGTGGGTTTTGGCCGGCTTCTTTAATGCAAACTGTTTTATCAGCAAGGTCTTTATGACCTGTATCTTGTGCTGACCTTCTATTTCATTCTGTGACTAAGAATGCCTAACCTCCTGGGAATGCAGCCCAGCAGGTCTCAGCCATATTTTACCCAGCTCCTATTCAAGATGGAGTTACTCTGGTTCAAACGCCTCTGACACTATGACACTCTGGTTTTGGATTTCTCATCTCCTGAATGGAGACAATAAATTTCTGTCACTTAAGCCACATGGTTTGTGGTCCCTTTCTTACTGCATCGTAGAAAACTGCAACGCTGCTCATAAGCCTAGTCCCAGGGGTCTCTAAAGCACACTGAGCTGGTCCCTCCTGTTCCTCCGGCCTCATCTCTGACTATCCCCTCCCTTCTGTGAGCTCCAGACACACCTGCCTTCTACATAATCAGTTTTTAAACAGCTTTACTGGGGTGTGATAGACTTCAATAAACTGCACATAAAGTGTGTAATTTGAGTTTTGGCACATGTACACAACCATGCAACTGTCACTGCTGTCAAGATAATGAACAGATCAGTCCCCCAAGAGGTTCCCCATGCCCCTGTGCTCACTACTGTCCCACCTCCCACCCCAGGCAACTGTTAGATTAATTTGCATTTTCTAGACTTTTATATAAATGGAAACTTCCAGTAAGTACTCTTTTTGTTTTTGTACAGTGGGCTTTTTCAGTTTCTTGGAACTACTCCCCTGCCCTCCATTCACAGGCTCCTGAGAACCCTACAGGACCTGAGAACCGGGTGTGGCTCCCTGTCTGTCACCTTCCATTCGCCAGTGATCCTGTTGGGCCCCTGGAGCAGATGCCCTTGAATGCCAGTGTGAGGCAAGCATTGGGGTGGTGAGTGTCCTTGCACTTTGTAGGAATGAATCTCAGTGATGGATTAGAGGAGGGGCAGGGGGTCAGGTGGGGGCCGTGAGGCAGATGGGAGGGGACTTGTCTTAGTGTCTGTCAAGGCCAAGCAGAGGCAAGGTGTAGGGCGGTGAATGAGGCAGGTGTTCAGTGAGCTCTTTCAGCGTGGAATGGGACAGGAACAGCCTGTGTTGCGGGGTCAGAGGTCAGAGCGAGGGGGTGCTTGGGGGTCCAGGCTTCAGGAACCTCACTGGACATTTCTCACCTTTCTCCTCAGCATCCCCTCTCCTCTGCTGACAGGTGAGGCACAATTCCAAATCCTGGTGTTACTAAGAGGGTTGGTGGCATTCATGAGTCAGCGAGTCATTTTATTTTTTTAAATGAGATTAAAAAGTTCTTTTGCAAAGTACAACATTTCTTCTGTACAATTTATTGTAACCAGGGGGCATTTTAAAGGATAGGTGCTCAGAAGCTGAAGCACCAGAGTGCTTTCTAAACCAGAATAAGGCACACTTCCTCCCCATGGCTGCTGCTGACCTGAAAGCTACCAGTCTGGAGAGCCGAGGGCACACCAAGATCAAGGGGCTGGAGCTGTCGCTTAACAATCTGAGGCCACGGGTGATAAGTTCCCCCATCAGGTGCACTTCTCACTCAGGGTGGGGGTAATCGGCTCCAGATCCCATTTTAAAGGGGTGCACCTGCTTAAGATAGTCAAATGTCCACCTGAAAAGTACCCTACCAAGTTTTCCATGAATCTACATGAGGAGGCCTCATGAGAAATGCTGCAGATGCAGGTGGCCCAGCTTGGGGATCTGCCAGGATGCTTTTTATGGGTGGAATCACCTGCATCCCTTCCAGATCCCCAAGGCTTGGAGAGAGGACGCCCCTTATCACAGCTCCTTCTGCCAACTCCCAATGAGAAATGATGTCCCCACGGCGGGGGAAGAGATGGGTTTCACGTCCACCTCCTGCCATCTTGCTCAGGACCACACCCAGCCCCATGAAGAGGCAGGCAGGGTACTTTTCCAAACCAGTCCGCTTCATGGTGGGGATAAAATAAAGATGCTCTAGGTTTCCCCTCATGCTGTGTGTGCGTGTGCACATGTGTGTGTGCACGTGCGCATGCGTGTTTCCATTTAGGGACTGGGTGAAACTCAAAGTGAACTTTCTTGGAATTTCAGTGGAATTTCTTGGCAGGGCCTTACCTTGGGAAGGAGGAGGCAACCCGGAGGCCTGGGGCCAGGGCGGGGAGGGCGGATGTTCCTGTGGTCTCACCGGCTGCTTCTCCCCTTTCCTGGAAGCCCCAAGCCTGCCTTTGTACTTAGCTGGACCTGCTCTGCAGGACTGAATGTAACTTTGTGTAACTCTTGCTGAATTGCTGGAGGGCTTGGGCTGACTCCTACCCAATGACGATGTGGACACCACTTAGTGCTTCCTTATGCCTAGGCCAAGTGCTTGATACACAGCAGATCCTTTCACCCACACAACAGCCCTGTGTGGAAGGTACTGTTCCTTTCTGCATTTTCCAGATATGGAAGCTGAGGCCCAGAAAGGTTGTTTAACAGCCCACGGTCACTCAGCTAGGAATAAATGGAGTCAGGATTTGAATCCAGACTTTCCAACTTACAGCGTGGCTGTGGGTCAGAGAGCTTCCTTGATGGCAGCTGGCTTCGGCTTCTTACTCTGTTCCTCCCCAAGTTCCCCAAAAGGCCCTTGCTGTCTCCTGGCTTCTAAGTTTCTGCACAGGTGCATCCTTGGGCTGAAACAACCACTCCTGTATCCTCTCATGGGTATTCACAAGGCACACTAGCATGTTAAAGTTACTTCACCTGGCTAACTCCCACTTGTTCTCAGAACCTGGCTTAGAGACTGCCTCCTCCAGGAAGCTCTCCCTGAGTACCACCACCTCCAAAGTCCAGGCGGGGTACCCCTACTGGTACTCCCATGGCATCGGGCCTCCTCCTAGCAGGTTGTTGCCCACTGCTGTTGCCGTGGGGGTGCTGCTTGTCTGTCTCCATCAGTGCAAGCTTCTCAAGGGTGGGGTCTGCTCCTGTGTTTGGGGAATGAGTGGTTAACTCTTGTCTTTTGCTGCAGTGTCTAGGATGATCCATCCTTTGTTTCTGGTTAGGGATGTGGCCGGGTTGCTGGGGGTCCATCCCTCCTCCCTTCCTTGTGCCTCAGTTTCCTATCTGGAATTTCAGGAGACTCACAGTTACCCCTTGTAGCATTGTCATGAGGCTTTAAAGAGTGGATACAGATAGAGCCTGTAGAACAGCCCCGGCCATGTGTGAGCTGCCTTTACTGTGCTGGGTGCTTTTGATGCCAAGGAGGGGTGGGGAGGCTCGGCCCAGGCTGACCTACTTCTCCTCAGGCACTGCTCTCGTGGTGAATGACTCAGCATTTTGAACTCTGACTTCTTTCTTTAGGAGCCAGATCATTCTATTGCCATACCAAAGATATTTGGCAAGGTTAAATGCCAACTATGTGTATGGGGGGTGGTGGGGGGTGGCTGGGGAGGGGAACGGGGACACACGCGGTCCCTGGAATTCAGTGCAACACAGGACTGGAAGTCACACTCTTGCTGCAGATCTGTAGAGCACCAGCTTGCAGCCCCATGAACCTAAAGTGGCCCTGAGGTTATCCCACAGGGAGGCAAATGCATCTTCCATATGGGGAGCTCCAAACTCCCTGAACATGGGCCTTTTCCTCTGTTACCACTGGACTCGCTCTTGCAGGATTTTCCCAGCTCCACTCTACAGAGGCAAATCCCACCAGAGGCTCTGAGAAGAGGCTTCTGTGGTTACATAAATTTAGGACAAAATAAAAAATCAAAACTAAAAAAACAAAAAAATAGAAGTAGGACAACCATTCCTGTATCCGCTCATGGGTATTCACAAGACACACTAGCATGTTAAAGGCCCTGAGAAGTCGTGCAAGAAACTGTTCAACTGTTCCCTGATTACTTGACCACTGTATTAGTCTGTTCTCGAATTGCTACAAATACATACCTGAGACTAGGTCATTTATAAGAAAAGAGTTTTTTGTTTTTTTTTTTTAGAAGGAGTCTCACCGTGTCTCTCAGGCTGGAGTGTAGTGGTGTGATCTCAGCTAACTGCAACCTCCGCCTCCTGGGTTTAAGCGATTCTTGCGCCTCAACCTCTCGAGTAGCTGGGATTACAGGTGTGCACCACCATGCCCGGCTAATTTTAGTATTTTTAGTAGAGACGATGTTTTGCCATGTTGGCCAGGCTGGTCTTGAACTCCTGACCTCAGGTGATCCACCCGCCTCAGCCTCCTAAAGTGCTGGGATATCAAGCGTGAGCCACCATGCCCCGCCAAGAAAAGAGGCTTAATTGGCTCATGATTCTGCAGGCATGTATAGGAAGTGTGGTGGCATCTACTTCTGGGAGGGCCTCAGGGAGCTTTTACTCATGGCGAAAGACAAAATGGGAGCAGGCGTCTTACGTGGCGGGAGCACGAGCAAGAGAGAGAGAGGGGAGGTCATGCACCCCTTTGAACAATCAGACCTTGTAAGCACTCACCATCATGAGACCTGCACTGACGGGATGGCGCTAAACCATTCATGAGAAATCCGCTCCTGTGATCCAGTCACCTCCCACCTGGCCCCACCTCCAACACTGGGGATTATAATTTGACATGAGATTTGGGCTTGGACACACATCCAAATCGTGTCGACCACAGAACCCCTTTTCACATATTTTTCCAGGTCAACCATCAACAACCGTCGACATCCTGCAGTTCCAGAACACACTTTGGGAAACCCCCCACAAAAGTGGCTGGCGCATGGTTTCCATTCAAATGGTTAAATCTACCTTTGGAAACCTGGAAAGAGATCAGTGAAAATCTGTCTTAGTGTCCTAGAGCTAATATCAACCAAGTACTCCAAACTGGGTGGCTTAAAACAGCAGAACTTGATTGTCTCACAGTTCCAAGGGCTACAAGTCCAAAATCAAGGTGTCTGCAGGGCCGTGCCCCCTCTGAACCCTGCAGGGGAGGATCCTTCCTGCTCTTCCAGCTTCTGGCGGCTGTGGGCAGTCCTGAGTGTTCCTTGGTGTGTGGCGGCATCACACAATCTCTGCCTCTGTCTTCACCGGGCTGTCTTGTCTCTGTGTGTCTGTCTTTGTGTGTCTTCTCTTCTTATAAAGACACCAGTCATATTGGATTAGGGGCCCACCCTACTCCAGTGTGACCTCGTCTTAACCTCATTTCATCTGCAACGTCCTTATTTTCAAATAAGATCATATTTCAAGGTAGTGGAGGTTAAGATGTATCTTTTTGGGAGACATAATTTGAACCATAACAAAAACCCATCCGTAGCAGGTGGCTCTGGGTTGGGAGTTACTGTAACCATCCCAGGGGCTTTCTCTACTTTCCAAGATCTGGCAGCGATGCCACTGTGTCCAGTGAGTGTCTACTGCATGCTGGCTGAGTCACAGACACCATCTCATGGAACCTTACTGCAGTCCTGAGCACTGGGGTCTATCATTCTCCCAGGTTAAATGGCCCAGCAAGCCAGGGGTGAGTTGGGGTTTAACCCCAGGGTCTGTGTGCCTGCACCATCCTGGTTTTTATGATCTGTGCTGTGCGGCTTCAGGTGGGTATGAGCAGTCGGGCTTCAGAGGAAGTCACCATGCTGCTGTCAGATGCCTTTTCCACTGACACCTGGAGGGGCCACCCTGGAACTGGAGTTTCCAGCTGGGGGTGGGGCCTGAGCTGCTGGAACAGGGAGTCCATATGAACAATGTGTGCCCATGTCCACAGGGCATGGTCCCAAGTGACTGTCACAGCAGATCCAGGGTGTTGATGGGAAGGCAGAGCACAGGCCTGGGAATTGGGGAGGGGAACCAGAGGGACTCCCCAGAGGCTAGAGAACCAAGCAGGAAACCAGGAGCCCAGGGTCCTTGATACGGTCCACAGATGTCGCAGCAGCTGTTGGTCCCTGGCCATCTCACCTGTGCACTCACCTTTCCATTGTACGCAGGTGAGTCCTTTTCTTGGAAGCACCTGCTGCTCTGTTGGGCATGTGCTCTGAGACATTAACAGATGAACAATGACTCCAGGAGCAGCCCTCAACCCAGGATGGATGAAATTTGGTGTATAACCCCCCACCCCCACCACATGCCCTTACCCCCAGGTTTCTTCCCTTCAGGAGGGTAACTGATGAGTGGTCTGTGCCATCTCCTGGAGGTCCCCAGCAGGCTTGGGCCCCTCTTGCCAGGCAATAACCTGCTCTGGAACACAGCCTTCCTGCCTCTTTGCCTCAGCTATGCTTCCTGGGAGTAGCTCCCAAATAAACTCCTGGCACTTACAGCCTTATCTTGGGGTCAGACCCCAGGAGGCTGGCTGGAGCCTGTTCTTCCCTCCTGCTTCAGGCAGAGTTGGTCCCAGGGCCTGGGGAAGAAAGGAGTGGGAGCTGGTGAAGGAGGAGAGACTCACAGTTTGCCACCAGGGGAGGCTTAACATTGGAGGTTGTGAGCAACAGAAACTCAGCTGGAGTTTTGGTTTAAACCAAAAAGGGAAATACCAGTTTATGCAACAGAAAAGTTCTGATGAGGGTGCCAGCTTGAGGCACAGCTGGATCCTAGGGGCTCAAGCAAAGTCATTGCATCTCTTTCCGTCACCCAGCTCTGCTTTCCTTGTGGCTGGCTTCACTCTCAGACAGAGGGGGTGTTCTTCACCTGGTGCCCCCTACCCCAGTCCCAGGTTTATTTTCCACCTGCTTAGCAACCCCAACAGAAAGACTATGCCTCTTTTCCAGTAATTTTAGCACAAGTTCCGGTCCTCACTCTCAAAGTCCTGAGTAAAGGACCCATCTCTGAACCAATCCCAAAAGCCAGGCTGCAGAGGTAGTGGGCTGACTGGCCAAGTGAGGTCCTGGACCTGCCCACCATGGGGGATGGGATCAGCTCCTAAGAACTGAACCCTGGAGTCTGAGAAGGGGGCATTGTCTCTTCCTGAAAGATGGGCTTTGTCGCCTGTGGAAGAGGGCATGGGAGGTGAAAGCAGCTGATGAGGATGGGCAGGTTGGACTGACAAGTGCCAAAGGAGCATAGGACAATCGAGATAGGAAGGCACAAGCCACAGGCAGAGGGAAGGGAAAGGTGCAGAGGGCTTTCTTGTGGAGCCCAGGCTGTCAGATGCCTGCCCTGATGCTCTGTTATGAGAAGGCAAGGCGTTTTTAAAAATTAAGGGGGAAAAAAGCATTTGCTTCGTTTTTGGGGTTTGTTTTACAACTTTTAATTTTGAAATAATTTTAGATTTCCCCAAGAGTTTCAAAGATTATGCAGAGAGTTCCTATCCACCCCCACCCAGTCTCATGTTACCATCTTACATAGCATGCTGCATTCATCAAAACTCAGAAATGATCATCGGTATATCATTACTATTAACTGACTACAGACTTGATGCAGATTTCTCTAGTTTTCACCACTAATGTCCATTTCTGTTCCAGGAGCTAATCTGCTAATCTAGGATCCCACATTGCTTTTAGTTGTCATGGCTCCTTAGCTTCTTTCCTTCCTTTCTTTTTTTTTTTTTTTTTTTTTGAGATGCTGGGAGTGCAGAGGTGTCATCTTCGCTCACTGCAGCCTCAACATCCTGGCCTCAAGCAATTCTTCCATCTCAGCCTCCCAACGTGTTGGGACTACAGGTGTGAGCTACAACATCTGGCCCTTGTTTCTTAGTTTCGTCTGATCTGTGATAGTTTCTCCATCTTTCCTTGCCTTTCATTACCTGGATACTTCTGAAGAGGAGCAGTCAGGTGTTGAATAGAATGTTTCTCAGTTTGAGTTGACCTAATGTTTTCTTTTTCTTTTTTTTTTTTTGAGATGGCGTTGTCGCCAGGCTGGAGTGCAGTGGTGTGATCTCGGCTCACTGCAACCTCTGCCTCCCGGGTTCAAGCGATTCTCCTGCCTCAGCCTCCTGAGTAGTTGGGACTACAGGTGCGTGCCACCACACCCAGCTGATTTTTGTATTTTTAGTAGAGATGGGGTTTCACCATGTTGTCCAGGATGGTCTCGATCTCTTGATCTCATGATCTGCCTGCCTCGGCCTCCCAAAGTGCTAGGATTACAGGCGTGAGCCACTGTGCCCGGCTGATGTTTTCTGATATGTAGACTGAGGATTGGATTTGGGGAAGAAGCTCACAGAGGGGAAATGTCTTCAGTGCATCGTATCACAGGGGTACAAGATATCAACATGCCTTATCACTAGTGATGTTAACCAGGGGCTCACCTGGTTCAGGGGCGCCTGCCAGGTTTCTCTGTGAAGTGTTTTTCTCTGTCCATACTCTATTTGGAATGCTGGGATGTGGATGAGTTTTGTCCTCCCTAGGAAGGGAGCAGCCAACATTCTCTCTCTCCTCCCCGGTTCTTGCTCTTCTCAGAAACAGGGCTCCACTTACATCTGCTGCCAGATGTTGGAGCAAACACTAGCCTTGTGTTCTCTGTCACTTTCCAGGAAGGCTGGCTGTGGCTTCTTGGCAATGAGGGACTCTGAATCGCAGCTCTATCCTTCTCCCATGATGGGGAGAATGGGCTGCACTGTCTGCCCTTTAACAGAACTGGTGTGTTTCAAGTGCAGCTGGTTGGGGCTTGAGCTGTGCACATCTGGCTACTAATTGGAAAACCTGACCCAAAGCCAGATGTGGTCTCACCCCAACTTCCTAGCAAAAGTTTGTGTTTTCTCAGTGATGAAGAGGGTTTGCTCAAGGAGCTGGGAATAATGGAGTTAACCTAGGAGGGTAGCTAGTGGCCTCTCACTTGCTGGGAGGAGATGGATGTCTCTAATAAACAAAGGGATGGTGTGGGCGGGGGCACTTCAGGTGACACCAGTGGAGGGCTCACAGTTAAGGGACAGGGATCAGGGCCCATGACACTAGCCCTGGCCCACCTTGGAAGCCATTTGTGACAGCCTGTTTGTCAGGTCATCTGCTGACCTGTGGCTGCTCTGGAAGTGACACAATTTGCAGATTTAGGTCTTGTTTGCAGTTATGCTCCAAGGATAAGCAATTGTCAGAGTGAGTAAGACTCTGTGCTTTTAGAAGAAGCACAGCCTATTACAATAACTGTGGTTGATGACCCTGAAAGATTGGAGGTTTGTGCAATTCAAACCTCTGATGGAATTCAGTCACTTTAGTTCATATCGGCATCGAAGGACAGGCTGAGAAGAGAACACTGGATTTGGGTTTGGGGTCAGCTCAGGTAAGTTCAGGCCTTGGCTGTACCCTTTATTAGTCTAGTGTGACCTTGAGCAGCCACGTGACCTCCTGAGCCTCACATCTCCTCTGAGAAATGGGGATAACAATAGTGCAGCCACATAGCCCTGCAGCTCAAGGGCCATTTGGCTTTGAGGTAGGAAATTAAAAAAAAATTATGCATGAAGGATATTTTCTGTTTTGTGGAAGGAAGAGAAACAAGGCTTCTTTTGAGGTGTGCCTGGGGCAGAGATGTACACTGGGGAGGGATTATGCTGTCTGTCTCCCCCAGCCCTTGGATGGAACAGCTGGTTTTGAGCCCTTCTAGAAGCAGGAAACAGAAGTAGCTGCTTTGGTGAAACACTGTGAGATTTAGGGCTTAGGCATCTGCTTGCAGGGGGACCATGTGTGACCCCGACTGAGAGGGCCCCTATGCCATTGGAGCCTGGATTCAGAGGGGCCAAGAGAGCAAGGGCTGGCTGGTGCCTGGCAGGTTCTGTGCACTGGGCACATTGAGAGATGACATCTTGAGCACTATGACGAGGGGCAGGTGAAGCCTGTCACCCGAGTGGCTTGTGGGCTGCAGTGAGGAGGCCAGGGTGGAGAAAGGTGACAGATTGTGCCTAAGCCCATGGGAGACACAAGAATGTCTGGGAGCACCCAGGACAGAGGTTCAAGGTGAGGCTGAGACCCTGAGGGTGGTGTCTGGACATTGAGACCATCCCCACCTGCAGGGCAGCCAAGGACACTTGGGCCAGTCTGTGACCTGCCCTGTTAGGCTGGGGGTCAAGTGACAGCATCTGTGACAAGGCATTCTGACCACTCAAAGGTACCATGACAAACTCCAGTGCACCCCACTCGGCCACCTCTTCGTGACTCCAAGCCTCAGTTTTCCCATGTGTAAAATGACCTCCTTCACCCAGGGTTGTTATGAGAATCAAATGGTAAATATTATTTCTTCGTAGAGATGAAATGACAAGTGCAAAGTAACACAGCTAAGAGCATTGGTGGCGGCTCCTGACTGACCTTGTCCTATTCAGGGTTGCATTCCTGCAGAGCCAGTGCTCAGTAAATGTGGTTGAAGGAATAAGCAAATGCTCTTTTCCATCATTCCATATTATCTCATTAGTGCTCAAAAGTACCAGTCGGCGAAGTCCTGATATGAACACACTCTCATGGAAATAGAAGACAGAACTTGAACTCTGAGCAATGAGTGGCTAATGGTCATTGGGGGCTGGCCCTGCCCGCTCTTGGGTATTGCTTCCTTCCATCTTTGCAATGATCCTGTGAAGTGGGACCTATTACTCTCATTCCCATAGTGTAGACAAGGGACCTGGGTCTTGGAGGGGCTAGGTAATTTGCCCATAGGGAGGCTAGAGGAAAGGCTAGGATTTGAACCAGGTCATTTACTTCAGAGCCCAAACTCTCCAACCCTTCATTTTGTGGTTGCTAAGAGCAGGCCCAGTTAACCTGCGGGTGGACCACGCTTAGCCCCCACCTCTGGTTAACCACCCAGGACCCCCACTGCACCACACTGCTAATGAGCAGTTTCCAGGAGGTAGCTGCCAGGCTACACCAGGCCCTAGGCTTCCTCCAGGAATTGCATTAGGGGATTAAGAAACAGAGATTGTTTCAGACTAGCTATTGGAGCCAACGATTATTATTTTTTGTACAATGGGTAAAATTTTCCTCTCCTTCTGTGCTCCCCTGCTAAAAGACTCAATTGAATAAGAGAAACAGCAGCATGTGTTATTTGAAAACTGTTTAGTGCAATTACTGCTGCAGATTTTACTGAATTTGAAAATGATAGATGGCAAATCTTAATTTCCCAAGCTCTCCATCCCGGCAAGCAGTTTGTTAAAGACTAGCAGTGCGGCTAATCGCTGGTGCATAATGCCCACGAATACACGTTTTTCCTTTTTATATAACACATTATGCTAATCACCCTGTATTCCATTTTTCAATAAAAGGTCAGCAGAGCAGTGTTTGTTCAGAATGTGCAATTTAAACTTCATGTCTGTCATTAGAGATAATCTAGGTTTGCTGTATCAAGTGGGGTTGTCATAGAAACCAGACCCGCAAGCTCTGTTTACGGCCTTTGGAGAATAAACACTTTGCATTTATTTCTCTGGAAAGGGGAAAAAAACCCCCCAAAATCATCGCACAATTAAGTAAGGTTTGAAAACAAAGCAGTCATAGCCCAGAAGAGAGAGCTGTATCATTCATCAAAAATCAATAACTGTCACACAGTTGGTATACGGGGCATTCAAGCAGGTGACTGACGGAAGTGATCAAATATTTCCCCTGGGAAAAACAAGTAAGGGAGAGAGGATGTGTTATTATGCCGAGTGAAGAATTAATTTAAGGATGCTAATGGGCTTTATCTAAGCTACTATACCCTCAAAAAGTGTTTTGTGTAAATTGCATTGAGCACCTGATCAGGCTTTTTATGCCATGTGTTTGGACATTCATGTGTGAGCCCCATATAGCCCAGATGATTCCCATATTATGGTTTCTCTCATCTTGCTTCTGTCATTGATGAGGACTTTCCCTGGAAGCAGCTCAGGGGTCCTGGACTTCAGCATTTAAGATCCTGCCTGAGTAGCATGACCAAATTTATCAAATACAAAATACAGGATGCCCGATTAAATTTGAATATTTTTTAGTGTAAGTATGTGCCAAATTTTACATGGGATACACTTATACTGAAGTTAGCCATCGATTATCTGGAATTCTGATGTGCCTGAGCCCTGTATTTACTCTGCCACACTGTGCCTGAAGGGTCTGAGGAGATGGGAGGTAATTCTCTAACCTCTCCTGCCAGCCTCTGGCTTGTGCTTCCTTTAATAGGGGACTGAAGTGTGTGCACAGGATGTGTGTGCATGACTAATCCTGTTAAGTCACAGCGTAACTGTGGCTCTAATTTGCTGAAAGCACCCACAAAATCAAATTCAAAAAAGTTGCTCACTTGGAAATGGCCAAACACCCACTTGGCATGGCCACTGCATGGGGGAAAGCTTTTGTTTCTGTTTTTTTTTTTTTTTTTTTTTTTTTCCCCCACTGGACCTCCTTCAAGGAAAGAACTCCCCATCCCCAGTTCCTTTGGGCTGTGGGCCAGAGGAAAGGCCTGAGGCTTATCTGTGTGATGTGATGTGCAATCCAGAGCCAAAAAGGTGGGGTTCTGTGAACCTTGACCCTGGCTGAGGGCAACCTTACTGTTGTAATCTCTACTGCAACACAACTCACAGAAATCTGGTAATTGGCAGAAGATGCATTCATTAGACAACTTTATTGGATTCAGGTTGATGGAGCTAGGTAAATACTGAGACACACATTCAATTCAACATGTGGGAATTTAGCATTCGGGGCCGTGGGTCAAGTGTCTTGGGGGACCCAAAGGATGGTCAGTCCTCAAGGATGGCTTTGCCAGTTGGGAGAGTTGTGCACAGATGTCGTCTTAAAACCAGCAGACAGAGCCAAGGGCTGAGCAGAGGCGGAGACAAAATGCCGTGGGAACAGAAAGAAAGAAGAGATGAATTTCATCTGGGGAGTCTGGGATGTCTTCTTCGAGGAAGGGGATTCTCAGCTGACCTTTGAGGTGTCTGTGAATTTGATCAGATTAGTTAACATTAGAAAAGCTGCCTGGAGGCTGATATGTTGGCCTGTCTGGAGTTGGACTTAGCAGAAGCTTCCCTTCAGTTAAAATCAGAAAATCAGAGGAGTGGGGAAGTTCAACCCCATCCTGAGCAAGAAAGCAGAATGATTAAGAATGGACTCTGGGCCTGGCACGGTAGCTCACGCCTATAATCCCAGCACTTTGGGAGGCTGAGGCGGGCAGATCACCTGAGGTCAGGAGTTCCAGACCAGCCTGGCCAACGTGGCAAAAACCCGTCTCTACTAAAAATACAAAAATTAGCTGGGCGTGGTGGCACATGCCTGTAATTCCAGTTACTTGGGAGGCTGAGACAGGAGAATCACTTGAACCTGGGAGGCAGAGGTTGCAGTGAGCCGAGATCGCGCCGCTGCACTCCGGCCTGGGTGACAGAGAGACTCTGCCTCAAAAAAAAAAAAAAAAAAAAAAAAAAAGAATGGGCTCTGGAGCCGAGGAGGCCTGGACTTGCATTCCAGCTGAGTGACTCTGGGGAGCCATGCCACCTATTTGTGCCTGTTTCCTCCCCTGTATAATGTGGATGTTGGTTGTATTTTGCCTCATAAGGTGGTTGTGAGAATTACAGAGATAATGTAATTAATTTCTTAGCGCAGTACTTGGCATGCCCTAAAGGCTTGAAAAGTTGTGTCCTTATTATTTCTCTGTTGCTTTAAATCCCTCAGATTCTGATCCTGCCTCCAAGCCTTTATCCAATGTGAGCTCGATGCCAGGAGTGCCTCTCCTTGCCAGCTGCCACCCCTGTCACTCCTGCCTTCTCTGCCTTGGCTTGTCTGCACCCCTGCAGCCTCTGCTCCACCCCTGAGCTGATCCTGGCAGGGGGCTGCGAATCCTTGGACTTGCCCTCAGGTCTTAGCTCTTGTCACTGCTCCGGATCCAGGTCCTAGATTTCTGCATGGACTACAGTGACCCCTTGCACAGCCTTGCCCTGTGCCCTGGGCCCTGTTCTTTGGCTGCTGGTTTGGCTCTGTGTTCTCTGCTAACCCCTTGTCTTCTCTGTCTTTGGGACTGGAGTCCTTCCTCAAGGAAGGATTAGAGCTGGATTTGCAGAGGGAGGGAGGGGGAAGTCCTTCCAGGTGGGAGGAGCAGTTGTACAAAGGTAAAGAGATACAAAAGCGGGTGGTAGGTTTGGGAAATGACAAGTAGTTAGAAAGAGGGAATCCAATATGCTTACGGAGGGAGATCCAGGGATAAGGCAGAGAGGCAGATAAGAGAGAAGGATGGAGTGCAGTGGTGTGATCTCGGCTCACTGCCTCCCAGGTTCAAGTGATTCTCCTGCCTCAGCCCCCGGAGCAGCTGGGATTATAGGCGCCCACCACCACGCCCAGCTGATTTTTGTATTTTTAGTAAAGATGGGGTTTCACCATGTTGGCGAGGCTGGTCTCGAACTCCTGACCTTAGGTGATCCACCCGCCTTGGCCTCCCAAAGTGCTGGGATTACAGGTGTGAGCCACTGTGCCCAGCCTCATACAGTTCTTGTGAGGTTGTCAATCATGGTGACCCACACTCCTGGGACCCAGCATGTTCAACCAAACCTTGTGATCCTCTTATTCAGGGTCTGGGCATGGGGTGCACGCAGAGCTAGTCGGTGCTCCCTGAGATTGCTATATAGATAAGGAGAGAAATTCTCTTTCCAATGACTTCACTAAATGTATCAGTTATTTACTGCCACAATAATGCTGTGTAATGAGCAACCGCAAAACCTCAGTTACGTACAACAATGAACATTTATTTAGCTCCCAAGTCTGTGTGGCTTGGTGGGGCTTGGCTGGGCTCACTCACATGGCTGAACATTGGCTGCATGTCTGCTGATCTGCGCTGGCTGTGGCTGGTTTGGCTGGAATAGCTCAGTGCAGCCCCACGTGCACCATCCTCACTGGGCTAGCCCAGCATGTCCTGATGGAGCAAGTGAAAATGCACAAGTGCTTTTTCTTTTCTTTCTTTCTTTCTTTCTTTTTTTTTTTTTTTTGAGACGGAGTCTCGCTCTTTCACCCAGGCTGGAGTGCAGTGGCGCGATCTCAGCTCACTGCAAGCTCCGCCTCCCAGGTTCACGCCATTCTCCTGCCTCAGCCTCCCAAGTAGCTGGGACCGCAGGCGCCGGCAACCACGCCTGGCTAATTTTTTGTATTTTTAGTAGAGACGAGGTTTCACCGTGTTAGCCAGGATGGTCTTGATCTCCTGACCTCGTGATCCGCCCGCCTTGGCTTCCCAGAGTGCTGGGATTACAGGCGTGAGCCACCGCGCCCGGCCCTCACAAGTGCTTTTTCAAGGCTCTCTTGCTAACATCCCATTGGCCAAAGCAAGTCACATGACCAAACTCAGACTCAAGGAATGAGGAAACAGACTCCATGTCCTCAGTAAGAGGAACTGCAAAGTCGCATAGACAAGGCATGACTTTAGGAGGGCTGAAAGAGTGGGAAGATGAAGGCAGTTTACTCTGTCACACTACACTGAGCTAGGAGGATGTGATTCAAGGGCAGCTGCTGACCATTTTGCCTCTCACAGGGAGAGAACATACCAGAGAATGAAACCAGGCAAAAAGACGATGAGCCAAGTAATGGGGAACAAGCCAGAGACCTGATCCAGCTTTACCTGCAGTCTCATTCCCCTTGGGCTTCTATGAATTAGCGGGTTCCCTTTTTGATTCAGCTTGGTGAATTGGGTTCTTGCCAGTTGCAATGGAAAGAAGCCTAACTATCATTGCTCTGATTGCCAGGCAAAGATGTTTGGATGCTAAAAATGCTTGAGGAGAGAACCAATATAATCTAACTCCCTGTTTGAGGAATATAATTGGGGGTAGGGTGAAAATTATGAAACCGTTGTAGTAATTCAAACACAAGAGTGACGAGACCCGAATTAGGAGGAGCAGGGCAGTGAAAGCAGAGAGAAGTTGACACAGGTAACGATTTGCAGAGAGAGAATTAATGGGATTTGCTGGCTGGGTGTGAAGTATAATGAGAAAGTGTGAAATAAAATAGAAGTGGGCTTTCTCACCTGGAAGATGGGGTGGAAGTTTTGGTGGTTTGCTGGTGAACTGGCTTTCCCCAAAAACGGAGCCCCTGATTGTAGTGTTTGCCAATTTTTTGTGGCACAAATATTGCCACCATGGCAGGTTTCAAGGGACCAACAGTTTAGCAACCAGCAGGGAAAATTCCTGAGTATTTTATAGTCGACTCTTGGGAGCCAGCACAACCCGCTCCAGCACACCAGTGGTCCAAAGTGGTGGCGATTTCACACAATAAAGAATGCAGCTGGATTTTGGATACCTTAAGTTGGAGTTGCCTGCAGGTCCTGCAAATGAAGATGTCCAGAGAATGTGGAAATATGGCTCTGGGACTCAGGAGAGGTTCAGTCTACGTAGAGTTGTTGGAGAGGCAGCAGCATCATTTTTGGAGAAAATAATGATGAGATAATGATGACATGGCATTGAGTGTCCTTTGACTCTAACCGGGGTGAGGATGACTGGCAGGCCTAATCTGCCTCACAGGTTGATTTTGCTGGCTCAAGTGGTATTACTAAAAATTAAAGTTCATTGCTCTATTACTTTCCTGGGGTTGTTGTAACAAATTACCATAAGCCAGATGGCTTGAAACAACAGAAATGTATTCTCTCATAGTTCTGGAGGCTAGACATCCAAGAATCTGAAAGGAAGGTGTGGATTCCTTCTGATTCCAGCAGGGCTGGTTCCTTCTGGAGGCTCCGAGAGATCACCCCATGCCTCTCTCCTGACTTGTGGTGGCTGCTGGCATCCTCGGGGTCCTTGGCTTGTGCATGCATTGATCTCATCTCGATCCTTACCTTAATTAGCTTATCAAAGACTCTATTTCCAAATAAGGTCACTTTCCTAGTTTCCAAGTGGACGTGAATTTTTGGAGGACACAGTTCAACCCACTACAGTTGCCGGTGGTTACAACTTGGTGGATTTCACAAAAAATAGAGATTCCTAACTTCTCTTGAACAACGCATCTGGCCCACGGGCCTGCAATCATGTCGGGTGGAAAGGCAGCTGCCCCCTTTCCCTGGGTACTTTGCTCAGTTCTTCACCTGCCCAGCCCCTGCCTTAGTTCAGGTGGAACCAAGTCCTGGGGCCTCTGAGAGGCTGGAATCCTCCTCCTGCTCTTTCATCTTCCCGATGTCTCCTTAGCAACAGACATTTATTTATTCTGTGCACAAGCCACTGTTTAACAGTATTTATTTCCAGAGTCAGAAATATTTGATTCCAATTAGGGACACCAGATTGAAACCCATGCAGCGTCAAAGATGCAGGTCAGGCAATAGTTGAGAGCCCTGTGACAGTGGAGAGGGAGGGAGAGCGCAGGCCCCTGGAGGGAAGCCGTGTGAGCCATGCAACCACTGCCCTGATCCCTGTGTGCTCTTGGATTAGTAACTCAGTCTTAGCTGACCTGAGTTTCCTTCCTGTGCAATGGGTATAATAACAGTTCCTTTCAGGACTGTGAGGGCTTGAAATACTACGTGTAAAGTGGCTAGCACAGTCCTGGCATGTGGTAGAGATTTAATAAGGGTATGGCGCACAAATGAGTGAGCTAGTGATTGGAACTTTGTATCACTTCCAGCTGAAACAGGAGATACAGTTCAAATGCAAATAACATTCCCCATGCCACAAGGATATAATCAGAAAAGAAGGTGATGCAATGTTTCCAGGTCTTCCCTGGCCCTGCTGTCGAATAAACTATGCGTTTTTCAGTCAGAAGGAAATTTACTCTGAAATGAAGTGGTAATTCCAAATGTAGTAATAATGACGGACATAAAAATTTCAGATCCCAACAGATATGAAATTTATCTGATTAGGGGACAAAATAAGGTGTTTTTCAAGCATCTAGGATCGCATTTCTAATTGGATGTGTTCTAAAAGAAGTTAATAGATGCTCTATGAAAAAAGGGTTCCTGGTTACATAAGTTGGGAAAATATTCAAGTATGAATGTTATCTTTGCTGTGGGACTTTTCATAGCCTTTATTATGTTAGTATACAGTGTGAATTTCCTAAATGGAGAGAGAACATGGAGTCTTTGTTTTTTTTTTTTTTTTTTTTTTTTTTTGAGACGGAGTTTCCGCTCTTGTTGCCCAGGCTGGAGTGCAATGGCACGATCTCGGCTCACTGCAACCTCCACCTCCCGGGTTCAAGCAATTCTCCTGCCTCAGCCTCTTGAGTAGCTGGTATTACAGGCATGCACTACCACACCTGGCTAATTTTGGATTTTTAGTAGAGATAGGGTTTCTCCATGTTGGTCAGGCTGATCTCAAACTCCAGACCTCAGGTGATCCGCCCACCTTGGTCTCCCAAAATGCTGGGATTACAAGGTGAGCCACCATGCCTGGCCACTGGAGTCTTTTACAAATATATTCGGCCATAAGAACCCTCCCATGCCTCTTTTAGGGGGAACTAACATTGCATGAACACAGCACTGAGTAACACAGCATGACTGTTCATGAATATGGTCCCCCACCAAAAGCCAGACATTCTTATAGGTTTCAGGGGGCTCTGATCCTGGATAACACTGTCAGACTGCACAGTCTTGTGATTTTGATTATTAAATGACAGGTTGATCAAGGCATTTGGTATGGAAGGCAAGACAGTAGGCATTGCGCCTGTCTGGGAGATGTCACCTAATTTAAGGCAACTGGTGAGATTCCTGTAGGCAGCCTGGGGACTGCCTGGAGAGGAGGGGTTGGGAAAGCCCCAGGGAGGTGGAGCTGCCCATTCAGGCTCTCATCTCCCTCTGCTTCCAGGTCCTCCAGGGCCAAATCTGATCTGCAGAGGAGCTTCCATCACACCTTCCCAGGTGCTTGAGCTCAGCTGGGCTCCT
This sequence comes from Homo sapiens, assembly GCF_000001405.40. Taxonomy (NCBI): domain Eukaryota; kingdom Metazoa; phylum Chordata; class Mammalia; order Primates; family Hominidae; genus Homo; species Homo sapiens. The sequence goes on along the minus strand of NC_000010.11, from coordinate 118,943,952 downwards.
GGGGCCTGGGGCTGGGGGTTGCCTGTTCCTGGAGCCATCACCTTTAATCTCCTTACCTTTCTGCCACCAAAACCCACTGGCTAACTCTGCCCAGCAACCACCCTCCCACTCAGACCCAAGGATGCAGGCAAAACTCATCGTCTTTTTTTTTTTTTTAGATGGAGTCTCGCTCTGTCGCCCAGGCTGGAGTGCAGTGGCGCTATCTTGGCTCATTGCAACTTCCACCTCCTGGATTCAAGAGATTCTCCTGCCTCAGCTTTCCAAGTAGCTGGGACTACAGGCAGGTGCCACCATGCCCGGCTAATTTTTGTATTTTTAGTAGAGACAGGATTTCACCATGTTGGCCAGGCTAGCCTTGAACTCCTGACCTCAAGTGATCCACCTGCCTCAGCCTCCCAAAGTGTTGGGATTACAGGCATAAACCACCGTGCCTGGCCCCCATCAGCTTTAAACCCCTTTACCTATAAGGCTCATACATCTTGGCAATTCAGTCACATGACTCTCCCAGCTGCAAGGGAGGCAGGGTGGTAAATCTTCTAGCTGGGTGTTCTTGAGCTCACCTGAACGTCAGGCTCTCTTCTAAAGGAAGAAGGGGAGAATGGAGACAGGGTACTGAGAGGTCACCAGCAGTCTGCCACAGTGCCCCTTACTTTACTTTGGACCAGATACTTTTTCTTTGATTATTTTTTGAAAATTTGAAAGTCCATCATGCTCATGGATACCAATTTGCAAAATATTGACAATTTTCAAAAGAGCAATGGCCACTAATTTCACTTCCTAGAGATAAACATTATTAGCACTATAGACGAAAGTTTTCCACCTCCCCAATATTGAGGTTATGTCTTAAATTTGGTTTTATATCTTGCGTTTTCACTGTATATTTTTGCATGGCATTGAAAATCTTCATAAATATATATATAAAATTTATTATTTATTTATTTATTTATTTTTTGAGACAGAGTCTCGCTCTGTCTCCCAGGCTGGAGTGCAGTGGTGCGATCTCGGCTCACTGCAACCTCTGCCTCCCAGGTTCACACCATTCTCCTGCCTCAGCCTCCTGAGTAGTTGGGACTATAGGCTCCCGCCACCATGTCCAGCTAATTTTTTTGTATTTTTAGTAGAGATGGGGTTTCGCCATGTTAGCCAGGATGATCTCGATCTCCTGACCTCGTGATCCTCCCGCCTCGGCCTCTCAAAGTGCTGGGATTACAGGCGTGAGCTACCGTGCCCGACCCATAAATATTTTTAATGATGACATAAGATTCTGTCGTAGCTATAATTATATGTACCATAATTTACTTAGTCATTCATCTCTAGTGAATATTTAAATTGTTAACAGTTTTTCATTATTAACAATAAAGAAAATTTCCTGGGCTTTGACCTCATTTTGGATTATTTCCTCAGGTTTGGTTCCTAGCAGTGAAACTACTGGTTTACATGAGCTGAAATATTAACATTTCTTGCTATGCAATGCCGAATTCCTTTTCTAAAAGTAGATTCACCTCACTCTCTCCTGGATTAAGAAATAGAGATTTAAAAAACATCATGTGCTGGGCTTGGTGGCTGATGCCTGTAATCCCAGCACTTTGGGAAGCCAAGGCAGGCAGATCACCTGAGGTCAGGAGTTCGAGACCAGCCTGGCCAACATGGTGAAACTCTGTCTCTCTTAAAAATATAAAAATTAGCGGGGTGTGGTGGCACACACCTGTAATCCCAGCTACCCAGGAGGCGGAGGTAGGAGAATTGCTTAATCCTGGGAGGCGGAGATTGCAGTAAGCCGAGATTGCACCACTGCACTCCAGCCTGGGAGACAGAGTGAGACTCCATCTCAAAAAAACCAACCAACCAACCAATCAACCAACCAACCATCCAACCAAACAAAATAACGTCATGTCTGCTTTCACTTTGACAGTGGTAGAATGGTTGTTTATTGAAACAATCTCCTCGTGCCGCTTGGCTAACCAATGTTTGACCACTTGGCTGATGTCGTGTGCTGTTGAAAGGATGGGACCATGGGCATTGTAGCTCACAGACTGGGCACTGCACCACCCTCCGCCATCTTATTAATGTTTCGGAGAAGATCTTCAGCCAAAGCTCTGTGCCTCGTGTGTTGGGTGATGCTGACTGTCTTGTCAATAGTAACATCTCTAGCTTCTCAATATTTCCTGCTTCTCTCTGTCACTGGATGCTTCCTTGAGGGCTCTAAGGATCAGAAAAGAATCCTGCTTATCCAATTCTGAAGGGTTAACTTCATGGCTGTTCTTACTATCTTACTATCTTACTTTTCTATCATCAGTTACCTTGGTGATATCACCAACCCTTTATGGAGTAGAAGTAGGAGGTACAATCTTTGGAGCCAGGACGAACATGGGATCAATTCCCTATGAATGGCAGCAGCAGCTGGTGTCAAGTTAACCTGGATATGGGCTGACTCCTATGAACTGAAAGTTTGTGTCCCCCAGAATTTGTTGAATTTATGTTGAAACCATAATCTCCAATGTGATGGTATTTGGAAATGAGGTCTTTGGAAGGTCACTGGGTCATAAGGGTACAGTCCTTATGATGGGATCAGTGACTTTATAAGAAGAGATAGGACAGAACCCCCCCATCACCCCTGCCTCGTGAAGACATAACCAGGAACTGAATCTGCTGGTGCTTTGATCTTGGACTTCCCAGCCTCCAGAACTGTGAGGAATAAATGTTTGTTGTTTAAGCCACCCATTCTGTGGCAATTTGTTATAGTATCCTGATCTGACTAACACAGATCACCAAAGAAAGTTGAAGCTTTGCCTTCTATGAGGCTAAAGAGGAGAGCTCTCTGTGTTTTCTTTTTTTTAAAAAAAAGATATTTTATTTGAAAACAATTTAAGATAATACAGACAAATTTCAAATGTAGTATAGAGAGTTCTCATATACTTTACACCCAGTTTTCCCTGTTATAAACGTCTTACATTAGTATGGTATATTTGTCACAATTAATGATCAAATATTACTATATTATTGTTAACTAAAGCCCATACTTTATTCAGATCTCTTTAGTTTTTTCCTGATGCCTTTTTTCTGTTCCAAGATCCCATATAGGATCCTATGTTACATTAGTTGTCATATATCCTTAGCCTCCTCTTGGATATGATAATTTCTCAGATTTTTCCTTTTTTTGATGAGCTTTACAGTTTTGAGGAACACTGCTCAGATATTTTGTAGGCTGTCCCTCAACTGGGAATTGTCTATTTTTTTTTTATAATTAGACTGAGGTTATGCATTCTTGGGAGGATGACCACAGAGGTAAACTATTCTCACTATATCAAGGGTACATGCTATCAGCATGACTATCACTATTGATGTTGACCTTGATCACTTGGTTGAGGTTCTATTTGTCAGATTTCTCCACCGTAAAGTTACTTTTTCCTCCTCCTTTCTATACATACTCTTTGGATAGAAGTCACTATGTACAGCTCATGCTTAAGGAGTGGAGAATTATACTCCACTTCCTTGAGGGCAAGTATCTACATAAGTTGTTTGGAATTGTTCTGCACACAATATTTGCCTACTCTCCCCCATTTATTCATCCATTTGCTCATTTGTTTGTCAGTATGAACTCATATGTTTTTAGGCACAAATTCTACATAAATATTTTTATAATAAATATTTTAAAAAGTTTTATTGAAATATAATTTTCATACCATGGCCAGGTGCAGTGGCTCACGCCTGTAATCTCAGCACTTTGGGAGGGTGGGTGGATTGCCTGAGCTCAGGAGTTCTAGACCAACCTGGACAACATGGTAAAACCCCATCTCTACAAAAAATACAAAAATTAGCCAGGCATGGTGGTGCATACCTGTGGTCCCAGCTACTTGGAGGGCTGAGGTGGGAGGATCCTTTGAGCCAGGGAGGTCAAGGCTGCAGTGAGCTGAGATTTTGCCACTACACTCCAGCCTAAGTAACACAGCGAGACCCCATATCGAAATAATAATAATAATAATTTGCCTACTATACAGCTTACCCATTTAAAGTTTACAACTCACTAGTATTTAGTATATTCACGGAGTTGCACAAGCATCGCCACAATGAATTTTAGAACATTATCATCATCCTGAAGAGACTGCTCATGAGCAGTCACTCCCCATTTCCTCCTCATCTCACCAGCCTTAGGCAACCACTGATCTACTTTCTGTTTCAATAGAGTTGCCTACTTTGCACATTTCATATGATACAGACAGTATGTGGTCTTTTGTGATTGGCTTCTTTCATTAAGCATAATGTTTTCAAGGTTCTTCCAAATTGTAGCATGTATCAGTACTTCATTTCCTTTTATTGCCAAATAATGGTATACCATTAAATTGGTATACCACGTTTTATCTATTCATCAGTTGACAGATATTTGTATTGTTGCCCCTTTTTGGCTATTTTGAATAATACTGCTATGAATTACCATGTGCAAGGTTTTGTGTGGACATATGCTTTTAATTTCTCTTGAATATATACCTAGGAGTGGAATTGCCAAGTATATACTCGGCATAGTCATAGTCTTATGACTCTATGCTTAACTTTTTGAGAAACTGCCAGACTGTCTTCTAAAGTGATTGCACCATTTGCATTCTCACTAGCAGTGTATAAAGACTGTAATTTCTCCACATCCTCACCCACACTTGTTATTTTCTTTTTTTTTTTTTTTTTTTTTTTAGTATCCGTCATAATGGGTATGAGATGATATTTCATTATGGTTTTGATTTGCATTTTCTTTTATTTATTTATTTATTTATTTTTTTTTGAGGCGGAGCCTCGCTCTATCACCCGGGCTGGAGTGCAGTGGCACGATCTCGGCTTACTGCAAGCTCCGCTTCCCAGGTTCATGCCATTCTCCTGCCTCAGCCTCCCGAGTAGCTGCATTTTCTTGATCACTAAAGATGTTGATTATCTTTTCATGTGCTTATTGGCCACTTGGATATCTATGAAGAAATGTCTGTTCAAATCTTTTGCCTATTTCTTAGTTGGGTTACTTGTCTTTTTATTATTGAATTGTAAAAGTTCTTTATATATTTTGGATACAAATACCTTATCAGAGATATGATTCAAAAGTATCTGTTCCCATTCTGTGAGCTGTCTTCTCACTTTCTTGATGGTATGCTTTAAAACACAAAAGTTTAAAACTTTGATGAAGCACAGTTTACTTATTTTTTCTTTTGTAGCTTGTGCTTTTGATGTCAAACTCAAGAAATCATTGTGTAATCCAAGGTCCTGAAGATTTATGCCCATGTCTTCTCCTACGATCTTTATAATTTTAGCTTTTACACTGAGGTCTTTAATCCATTTTGAGTTCATTTTTGTATGTGGGTTGGGGTTGGGGTCCAACTTCATTCTTTTTTATGTGGATATCCAGTTATCCCAGCAGTATTTGCTGAAGAGATTATTCTTTCCCCATGGAATAGTCTAGATCAAAGATCAATTGACCATAAACGTGGGGGTTTATTTCTGAGCTTTTAATTCTATTTCATTGATCTGGATGTCTGTTCTTATGCCAGTACTACACTGTCTTGGTTACTGTAGCTTTGCCTTAATTTTTGAAATCAGGAGGTGTGAATCTTTCAAATGCATTATTTGTTATTTTTCAAAATTATTTTGGCTATTTAGAGTGCCTTAATTTTCCATATGAATTTTAGGATCAGCTTGTCAATTTCTGCAAAGAAGTCAGCTGAGATTTTGATAAAGATTGTGTTAAATCTGTAGATAACTTTGGGGAATATTGTCATCTGAACAATAATAAGTCTGATCCGCGAACATAGGATGTTTTTCCATACAAATTATATTTTAATTAAAATATGCTTTCATGCTAGATAAATAAAAGATAGTATGCAAAGCAGTATATAGTTCAGTGTCCAATGATTGTTTCCATTGACATGATATCCAAAACAGCTTTCTTTGACATGAATTGAGAATGTAGCATGTCATGTCACTATAATTATGAACATCTGTTTATTTTTTTTTTGAGACAGAGTCTTGCCCTGTCGCCCAGTCTGGAGTGCAGTGGCTCAATCTCGGCTCACTGCAAGCTCCGCCTCCCAGGTTCAAGCGACTCTCCTGCCTCAGCCTCCCGAGTAGCTGGGACTACAGGCGTGTGCCTCCACGCCTGGCTAATTTTGGTATTTTTAGTAGATATGGGGTTTCACCATGTTGGCCAGACTCGTCTCGAACTCCTGACCTTGTGATCTGCCTGCCTTGGCCTGCTGAGATTACCGGTGTGAGCCACCGCGCCCGGCCCATCTGTCTATTTATCCCTTGATACCATCTTAGGCTGGGAAATATCACAAAAAGAGTGTATGACAACATCTGTATACTCTTGGATTTTACTTGTATCATCGAAAATGACGTAACATGAAAGTTAGAAGTTATCTTTTGTGTCAAGATTCTTCATGGAAATATGGAGTCAAGGAAGCTAAGATAGTTGCTTATGTCCTCAAAATACATGGTCTGTCTCTTTTGTCTGAGTAAAAGTTCAACTGAAAAAATTTGGATCTTTACCAAAATTGGATTTTCCCTAATATAGGAGTATTGTCTTGAGCCATTCTACAAGATTGCTTGTTGCATCAGACAAAAAACCTTGGTAAAGCAATATGCTCTGGAAATTCTTAAGCTGTTTTGTGCCTTGGAGGAAAACTTAAAAACTAAAGCAAATGCCTCTGTCAAATGTTCTCATCCCGCCCAGAATCACTAAACTCTACTGCAATATTTTGAAGCAGGTCATGGAGAAACTACCATTTCCCTTCATTGGAATGAAAGTATTGACATCCCTTAGCTGAGCAAACTCCTGGTTTCCATTTGTTATTTGCACAAGGGCAGCATCAGATTTTATTTTTTGATCCCTTTTGGAAAGTGCAAAGACCTCCTATGGTTTTGTTTTTTTATATATATTTTTATTTTGAGACAACTGTATATTCACTTGCACTTGTAAGAACTGATACGGCCTGATCTCACATATCCTTTATCCAGTTTCCCCAGACAGTAACATCTTGTAAAACTATAGTGTACGATATCACTACCAGGATATTGACATTAATACAGTCAAGATACAGAACATTTCCATCCCCACAAGGATCCCTCATGTGCCCTTTTATAATCACATCTGCTTCCCTCTTGTCTCCACCCTTCCCTTGACCCCTAGCAGCCACTAATCTGTTCTCCATTTATATATATTTTTTATTTTAAGAATGTTATATAAATGGGACCATATAGTATATAACCTTTGGGATTGGCTTTTTTCAACTAAAATGGTTCTCTGGAGATTCATCCATGCTGTTGTGTATATCAATGGTTTATTCCTTTTTATTACTAATTAGTATTCCATGGTATGCATCACAGTTTATTTACCTGTATATCCATTGGAGGAAATCTGGGTTGTTTCCGACTTTTAGCTATTATAAATAAAGCTGCTATAAACCTTCATATATGGTGGTGTGAACATAAGTCTTTCTCTGGGATAAATGTCCAGGAGTGCAATTGCTAGGTCTTACGGTAATTGCATGTTTAGTTTTAAAAATAAACTATAACAGTGTTTTCCGGAGTGACTCTGCCATTTTATATTGACAGCAACAGTGTATGAATGATCCAGTTTCCCTGCATCCTTGTAAGAATTTGGTGTTGTCACTATTTTTTATCTTAGCCATTTGATATGTCCTAGTGATATCTCATCATGATTTTAATTTACCTTTCCATAATGACTAATGATGTTGAATATCTTTTCATGTGCTTATTTGCCATTGTGTATCCTCTTAGTGAAATGTCTGTTTATATCTTTTGCTCATTTTCTAATTGGATTTTTTTCACCCTTGGTTCTTTGTATCTTCTAGATACTAGTTCTTTGCTTGACAAATGGATTGGAAATATTTTTTCCCTACTCTTTAGCTTGTATTTTTTTTTTCTTTTAACAGGATATTTTTGCAGAGCAGAAGTTTTTAATTTTGATGAATTCCTATCAATTTTTCCTTTTAGTGTTAAACCTGAGAGCTATTTGCCTCCTCCTAAATACTGAAGATTTTCTCCTATTTTTTCCTAAAAGTTTTATAGTTTTTATATTTTATGCTTAAGTCCATAATCTATTTTGAGTTAATTTTTATATAAGATGTGAGACTTATCTTGAGGTTCTCCTTAACAACCCCCTCTTTTTTTTGCCTATGGATGTACAACTGTTTTAGCATGATTTGCTTAAAAGACTATCTTTCCTCCATTAAATTGCTTTTGTACTTTTGTAAAAAATCAGTTGGACATTCTTGTGTGAGTCTATTTCTGAGTTTTCTATTACATCACATTGATCTATGCATCTGTTTCTCCACCAACAAACAGTCTTGATTATAGTAGCTTTGTTCTTCCTTTTCAAAACTGTTTTTAGCTCTTCTAGTTCCTTTGCTTTTCCGTATAGATTTTATAATAACCTTGTCTATGTCTATAAAATTCTTGCTGGGGTTTAGAAAGGAAACTGTATATAAATCTGAGGAGAATTGACATCTTTATTTTGTTGAGTTTTCCAATCCATTTACATAGTATATCTCTCCATTTATTTAGACATCCTTAGATTTCTTTCATCAGTATTTTGTAGTTTTCAGTATGGAAGTTCTGTTTATGTTTTGTTAAATTTACACTGAAGTATTTTACTTTCTGAGCAATTTTAAATGGTACTGTATTTTAAATTTTCGGGTCTACATGTTTATTGTTAGTATATAGAAATACACTTGATTCCTGTATGTTTATCTCATGTCCAGTAACACTGCTGGACTCACTTATTAGTTCTAGGAATTTTCTGTAGATTCGTTTGGAATCTACACCTGCACATAGAGACAGTTCTAGATCCTTTTCCCTCTGTATGCCTTTTGTTTCCGTTTTGTTGCACTGGCTAGAACTTCTTTCACTATGTTGAATAAAAGTTGTGAGAGTGAATACCTTTGCTTTGTTCCCAGTCTTAGTGAGAAAGCATCCAGTCTCTCACCATTAAGTATAATGTTAGCTGTAGGTTTTTGTAGGTGTTTTTATCAAGCAGGAGAAGTTCCCACTATTCCTAGCTTTCTGAGAGTTTTTATCGTGAATGCGTTTTGAATTTTGCAAAATGCATTTTTCTGCATCAATTGATAAGATCATATGATTGTTCTTCTTTAGCCTGTTATGATGGTGAATCAGATTGATTGATTGATTGATTGATTTTAGAATATTGAATCAGACTCACATCCACGGAACAAATCACACTTGATCATGAAGTATAATTCTTTTTATATATTGCTGAGTTCTATTTGCCAATATTTTGTTAAAAATTTTTGTGTCTATATTCATAAGGGATATTGGTCTGTGGTTTTCTTTTTTGGTACTGTCTTCGTCTGTTCTTGTATCAAGGTAATAATAGTTTCATAAAATGAATTGGAAAGTGTTCTTTCTTCTTGTATTTTCTTGAAGAGATTGTACAGAATCAGCGTCAGTTCCTCTTTAATAATTTTGTAGAATTCTCCAGTGAAATCATCCAGTTCTAGAGATCTCTGTTTTTGTTGTTGTTGTTGTTGGGGTGGGGGTGGTGATTTAAAATTATACATTAATTTTCCCTGATAGTTAGAGGGCTGTTCACTCATCTGCTTCATATTGGATGGGTTGTGGTAGTTTGTGGTTTTTGAAGAAGTGGCCCATTTCATTTAAGTTGTTAAGTTTATGTGTGTAGAGTTGTTCTTAGCATTCCCTTTTTATCCTTTTGATGTATTTAGGGTCTGTAGTGATATCCCCTCTTTCATTCCTGACACTGATAATTTGTGCCTTCTCTCTTTTCTTCGTCAGTCTTGCTAGTGGCTTGTTAACTCTATTGATTTTTTTCAAAGAATTAGCTCTTTGTTTTATTGTTTTTTTCATTGTTTTCCTGTTCTCAATTTTATTGATTTTTTTCTCTTAGCTTTATTATTTCCTCCATTCTGCTTGCTTTGGGTTAATTTTGCTCTTTTTTTTACCTGGGTTCTTGAGGTGGGAGTTTAGATTAAAAATGATTTGAGACCTTTCCTCTTTTCTAACATATGCATTTAGTACTATAAATTTCCTTCTCAACACAGCTGTGTCCCACAAATTTCATTTCTATTTTTTATTTTTTTTGAGATGGGGTCTTACTGTGTCGCCCAGGCTGGTCTCAAAGTCCTGGGCTCAAGTGATCCTTCCACCTTGGCCTCCCAAAGTGCTGAGATTACAGGTGTGAGTCACCATGCCTGGCCACAAATTTTGATATGCTGTATCTTCATTTTCATTACATTCAATCTATTTGTTTATTTTTCTTGAGGCTTCCTCTTCAACCCGTGAGTTATTTAGAAGCATATTGTTTAGTTTTCAATTGTTTAGATATTTTGTTGTAATCTTTTTTTGCTACCGATTTCTAGTTTGGTTCTATTGTGGTTGGAGAACATACCCTGGATGATTTCAATTCTTTTAAATTTGTTGAGGTTTGTTTTATGGCTTAAAATATGGTCTACTTTGGTATATGTTCTGTGGGTATTTGAAAAGAATATATATTCTGCTATGTTATGTGGAGGCTTCTATAAATGTCAATTAGATCCTGTTGTTGAGTTAATCTATAACCTTGCTGATTTTCTATTTAGTTGTTTTATCAGTTGTTGAGAGGGGGGTGTTAAAGTCTGTGATTAAAATTGTGGATTTGCACAGCCCAAACTGCAAGTTGCTTATTATTTGAAATCCAGTGGATATCTTGACCTACGTGGCTTGGAAGATAAGTGGCTTTCCCAAAAACCGTGTTATTGGAAGTGGTTGCAACCTGGATTCGGCCCGATTCCATTACCCGACGGGGAAAGACTGGGAGTTCACCTATTAAGCTGTCATGGGTGGGTCCTTGGGGAACATGGAGATTCCAGTGTGCCTGTATGGAGTGGAGTGAATGTTGCTTGTGTCTTCCTGAAGATTCTGCACCCAGATTTAGGCACTGATACAGATAAGAAACAGTGGAAAGAGGTTCACAAGCAGGTGGTTGAGAATGCTTACGAGGTGATCAAACTCAAAGGCTACACATCCTGGGCCATTGGACTCTGTAGCAGATTTGGTAGAGAGTATAATGAAGAATCTTAGGCAGGTGCACCCAATTCCCACCATGATTAAGGGTCTCTATGGAATAAAGGATGATGTCTTCCTTAGTGTTCCTTGCATTTTGGGACAGAATGGAATCTCAGACCTTGTGAAGGTGACTCTGACTCCTGAGGAAGAGGCCCGTTTGAAGAAGCGTGCAGACACACTTTGGGGGATCCGAAAAGAGCTGCAATTTTAAAGTCTTCTGATGTCATAGCATTTCACTGTCTATGCTACAACAGGACTTTAGTTGGAGGTTGTGCCTGATATCCTTTTTATCTGATCTGTGATTAAAGCAGTAATATTTTAAGATGGACTGGGAAAAACATCAATTCCTGAAGTTAGAAATAGGAATGGTTTGTAAAATCCACAGCTATATCCTGATGCTGGATGGTACTAATTTGTGTAGTCCTAAACTGGTTTGTGTGAAATAGTTCTGCCACCTCTGAGGCACCACTGCCAATGCTGTACATGCTGCATTTGCCCCTTGAGCCAGGTGGATGTTTACCATGTGATATATAACTTCCTGGCTCCTTCACTGAACATGCCTAGTCCAACATTTTTTTCCAATCAGTCACATCCTGGGATCCAGTGTACAAATCCAATATCGCATGTCTTGTGCATAATTGTTCCAAAGGATCTTATTTTGTGAACTATATATATCAGTAGTGTACATTACCATATAATGTAAAAAGATCTACATATAAACAATGCAACCAACTATCCAAGTGTTATACCAACTAAACCCCCCAATAAACCTTGAACAGTGAAAAAAATTGTGGATTTGCCTATTTCTCCTTCCGGTTTATCAGGTTTTTAAAACTAACAAAAAGTTTTTTGAGATAGGGTTCTGCTGTGTTGCCCAGGCTGGCCTCAAACTCCTGGGCTCAAGTGATCTGCCTGCCTTGGCCTCCTAAAGTCCTGGGATTACAGGCATGAGCCATCATGCCCAGCCTAGTTTATCAGTTTTTGCTTCACATATTTTGCAGTCTGTTGTTTGGTGCATGCAAGTTAGGATTGCTATGTCTTCTTGTTCATCATATAATATTCCTTTCTGTCCCTGCTAATTTTGTTGGATCCGAAGTCTACTTTATCTCATAGTAATATAGTTACCCTTACTTTCTTTTGACTAATGTTTTCATGATATATTTTTTCCATCCTTTTCTTTTAACCTGCCTATATTGTTATATTTGAAGTGAGTTTTATGTAGACAGCACATTGTTGGATAATGTTTTTAATTTACCTTGCCAATCTCTGTCTTTTAATTGGTATATTTAGATCATTTATATTTAATGTACTTACTTATATGTTATGGCTAAGACTGTTATTTTATTTTTTAATTTTCTGGGGTTATTTTCTTGTTTGTTTCTCTGTTTTCTTGTTTCAGCCTTCCTGTGAGTTACTTGAACATTCTTTAGAATTCCAATATAGATATTTACTTATCTATAGTATTGAGTGTATGTCTTTGTTTAGCATTTTTAGTTGTTGCTGTAGGTATTACATTACATAAACATAACTTATCATAGTCTATTGGTATTGTTCCTTTACCAGTTTGAGGTAAGAAAACCTCACTTCCCTCTATGTTTGTTTTTTACCCTTTCTCATTTATCATACATTTGCCTTAAATTTTTCTTCCACATACATTTAGAAACACATCAGATATGGTTATAACTTTTGCTTTAATCTTCAAAAGGAATTTAGATAACTCAAGAGTAGAAGGGAAATCTATTGTATTTCTCAGGTTTTTGCTTATCATTTCCTTCCCTCCTTCCCAATGCTCTAAGGCTTCTACTTTTCTTGTTTACTTTTTCTTTTTTTTTTTTTCAAGAATGGTTAATGTTCTTTAACCATTCATTTAGTATAGGTCTGCTGGGGACAAATTATCTTAGTTTTCCTTTATCTGAGAATGTCTTGATTTCCCCTTTATTCTGGAAGAATATTTTTGCTGGGTATGAGATTCTGGGTTAACAATTTTCTCTTTCACCACTTGAAAAGTATTATGCCACTTCCTTCTGGTCTCTGTGGTTTCTGATGAGAAACCGACTCTCATTCTAATTGTTTCCTCCCTAAAGGTAAGATGCCATTTATCTCTGGCTGCTTTCAAGATTTTTTTCTTTGTCTGTAGTTTTAAGAAGTTTAATTATGATATGTCTTCATGTGGATTTCTTTGGGCTTATTCTGTTTGGAGTTCACTCAGCTTCTTAGATCTATAGGTTTATGCCTCTTGCTAAATTTGGAAAGCTTTCATCTATTATTTCTTTGAGTACTTTTTCAGCTCCTTATCTTTCTCTTCTCCTCAGGGACTCTGATGACATAAATGTTAGATCTTTTATTTATAGTACCACAAGTCCCTGAGGCTCTGTTCCTTCTTTTAAAAAATTATATTTTCATTGTTAAAGTTGGGTATTTTCTATTGTTCTATTATCCAGTTCACAGATTCTTTCCTCTATTTGCTCCATTCTCCTATTGATCCCAACCATTGAGCTTTTAATTTCAGTTATTGTATTTTTTTAGTTCTAAGGTTTTTGTTTGGTTCTCCTTTATATATTCTGGTTATTTGCTGAGACTTTGTTTCTCCTTTTTTTTTTCCCCCCCAGCTTTAATGAGGTATAATTAACAAATAAAAATTATATATTTTTATATAATGTGATGTTTTGATGTATGTATACATTGTGAAATGATTATCACCATCAGAGACTTGCTAGTTTTTTACTTGCTTCAAACAGATTTGTAGTTTCTTGCTTATGCATTTTTATCATGGCTACTTTAACAAATTTTAAACATAATTCTAATATCTCTGTCATCTTGGTGTTGGCATCTTTTGACTCTTTTTTTTTTTTTTTGATAGGGTCTTGCTCTGTCACCCAGGCTGGAGTGCAATGGTGCAATCATGGCTCACTGCAGCCTCGACCTCCTGGGCTTAAGTAATTCTCCTGCTGCAGCCTCCCAAGTAGCTGGGACTACAGACACGTGCTCCCATGCCCAGCTAATTTAAAACATTTTTTTTGTAGAAATGGAGCCTTACTTTGTGACCCAGGCTGGTCTTGAACTCCTAGACCCAAGCAGTCCTCCCACTTTAGCCTCCCAAAGTGCTGGGATTAGAGGCATGAGCCACTGTGCCCAGCCTGTCTTTTATTTTATTTAATTAATTTATTTTTGAGATGAAGTCTTGCTCTGTCTCCAGGCTGGAGTGCAGCGGTGCAATCTCGGCTCACTGCAACCTCTGCCTCCTGGGTTCAAGTGATTCTCCTGCCTCAGCCTCCCGAGTAGCTGGGACTACAGGTGCCCACCACCATGCCCAGCTAATTTTTGTATTTTTAGTAGAGGTGGGGTTTCACTATGTTGGCCAGGATGGTCTCGATCTCTTGACCTCGTGATCTGCCCACCTTGGTCTCCCAAAATGTTGGGATTACAGGCGTGAGCCACTGCGCCCAGCCCCAACTGTCTTTTAAATTTAGTTTGAGCTCTTTATGGTTCTTGGCATGTTGAGTAATTTTTGACTGAAAACTGGACATTTTTGCACTATTATGAGATTCTATACCTTATTTAAACTTTTTGTTTTAGCTGGATTTCTCTGATGCTGCTTCAATAGGGGAAATTGCAGCACTGCCTTCTTACTGACAGATGGGAGTGGAAATCCAGGTTTTCCACTTAGCATCTGTTGACATCTGAGGTGGAGGGTTCCTTATTACTGATGGATGGGAGATCTAGTACTCCATCTGGTCGTCACTGGTGGGCAGAGGTGAGGGCTCATTACCACCTGGTAGGGATGGATAAAAGTCTTGGCTCCCTAGTTGGCCTCCTGTGGTACCACTTGGGCTGGGGTAATGGGACACCTCACTGCAGCCTAATGAAAGTGGAAATTCAGGTTCCCCGGTTGGCCTTTGCTGACATTATAGGGGTGGGACCACCATTTTTACTATGGTATGGAGTAGTGTGGCTATTGGCTACAAGTTTTTTGTCTTGCTGGATGGGTTCTTTCATGGCCTTTGGCTAGAGAGAGTGGGCTTTTGTTGGGACTTTTTGTTTGTTTGCATTTGTTGGCACTTCTGTGTTGCTGGCTGCTTCCACTTCAAGGATGGAATGTATGAGGCAAAAAGAAAACCCAAGAAACTCACCACCGTGTAGTTTCTTGGATTCTGGGGTCCCTAGCTAGTCTTCCTTCCTCTCTTCACTTTTCAAATTCTTCTTATATGTGTTTTATACATAATGTTTAGGATTTTTAGTTGTATTTAGTGGAAGAAGTTGGGAAAATTATGTCTACTTCATCTTCCCCAGTGTGGAAGTCTCGTCTGGACTCATGGACATTTATTCATACTTTGGGTTCTAATCCAGTACTACATTTTTTTTTTTTTTTGCTAAAAAGTTTTCAGCTATGGTCATTAGAAATGTCTATTCTTTTCATGTTAGAATCCCCCTGAGTTGCTTCAAGGGCCAGGGAAGGAAGGGACCTCATGAAAGGGCCAGGCATCCACTTCAATGTGGAAGGAAAGGTTTGACTTCCTTTGTTGGGCTTTTGAGCCCTTCTTCCACCTGACAGCTTGAGTAAAAGTCTAACTTGAAGCCATTTCTGTGGCTCCCCCAATAACTGTTAGACATAAATTGGAGGTGGGCTAATTAACTGATTGCAGGGCAAAGGGCTCAAACCTCTGCCTCTCCTCCCTTGCACCTTGATCTTGCCTATTTGATTGTGACAATTCTTCTTCCCACCTTAGCTAGTGAGGAAATGGGATATAGCCAAGGCGATCACTTACCTGGGGTGACAGCAAGTAAACATGAAAAATGTGCTGGGGAACACAAAAGGACAGTGATCAGAAAGGCTTTTTCTTTCAACCTAAGTCATGATGTTTTGGGCGTCGGCTAGAGTTTTCCAAGTTATTTATAACTGTCCATCCCTGTTAGGAGATATATGTTTTATCTAAAAATAGGTAATCTTTCCTAATCAAATGATAAATGTGTGTGTCCCAAATGGAACCCTTATAGTTAGCCACCTCATTAACAGAAGTTCAGGTGAATAATGGAAATATTACCAGGATGACACTGGATCAGATGCCTCAAGATGCTCAGTGCTTGGACATTAGGGCTCTTTGAATTTTCTTAGTGGAAGACCATGTTAGCAGAGGTAGCCTTCACAAGCCGTGTCTTTTAGAATGATGTTCAACGTACTTCTTAATCCTGGCAGCTAATTATTGTGTGTGTAGGGGGTTTTAGGGTGTGTGTCTTCTTGGAGTTTATGTTGTGTAATGTCAGCATCTGGCTGTTTCTCTCCAATTCTTTTTGAGGAATCCCAATGGGGCATCTAGGCCCCAGCCTTAGTGGGTGTTCAATACTCATTTCCTCTTCCCACTTAAGGAAATTCCCAGCGTGTTAGAGCCAACAGGAACCTACTTACTGTTTCTCAATCCTGGCTGCTCATTAGTAACATCCGGAAAAAACAAAACAA
Organism: Homo sapiens; assembly: GCF_000001405.40. Taxonomy (NCBI): domain Eukaryota; kingdom Metazoa; phylum Chordata; class Mammalia; order Primates; family Hominidae; genus Homo; species Homo sapiens. Next base: position 118,927,424 of record NC_000010.11, on the reverse strand, counting down.
AACAAAACAAAAAAACCTAAAGCCTGGGCCCCATTTTGAGAGGAAAAAAAAAAACCAAACTTTTTTTTTTTTTTTTAAACACCAATTCAGTAAAGGAGGTAGTGTTTTTATCTCCATTTAACAGATAGAGACCCTGAGGCCCAGGTTAAGTTTCTCCCAGACCCGATGGTTGCCTGAGGTTAGAGTCCTGAACCTTAATCAACCTGGAGATGGGCCTTTGTTGGTTTCCTTCTTTTACACCAGTGGTTCTCCAGCCTGACTGAATGTTCAAATCACCTGGGGAGAATTTTTACAAACATAGACACCTGGGCCCCAACCCTGTGCTTCCAGCTTAATTGGCCTGGAAGGGGGTTAGTGCACTGATGAGCTTTTTAATATCTCCAGGTGATTCAAATGTGCACCCAGGATCTAGAACCACTGTTTAAGAGCAAACAAATATGGACAACCACTCATTTTCTAGAAATGGGCCTCAATGCCCAGGATTGGAGGTAAGCTGGAGGTAATGCCCAGAATCCTTCCAGGCTGCCCAGTTTTTGATATAGCAGGGGCATCTGGCTGAATATGGCTCTCAATCTTTTAATTAATTAATTTCAGTTTATATTTTGTTTAAAATATTTTTCAATTGGTTGAGAAATTTAGAAACTGGGAGATTTCACAAAAAAGTCCAGATTTCAGAATTCCCTAAGTATATCATAGTATCTGGTAATACTTGGCTGGACTGAGCTGGGGACAGGGTTGTCCTTTCCAGTTAGCCACATCCTCACCGCCTTCCCGGCATTCCCGTCACTGGCCTCTGACGCCACAGGAGTTTGCAGCCAGCACATTTCCTTCATTACTGCCCCATGATGTCCTCTATCACAAGTACACAAAAATTGTGTACTGGTCTTAGTTGCTTTTCCAGATTGCAAACACCTTAACGCAGCGATTTTTAACCTGAGAGTAATTCTGTCCCCCCAGGATATTTGGCAATGTCTACAGATAAGTTCAGTTGTCACATCTTGGGGTGGGAGAGGGGTGAGGGACAGTGCTCCTGGCATCTAGTGGGTAGGGGCTAGAGATGCTGCTAAACATCCTGCCATGCACAGGACAGCCCCACAAATAGGAATGATCCTGCCTTGAAGGTCAATGGTGCTGAGGTTGAGAAACTGCCTTAAGTGTAGCCTCTGGCCTCTTGCTCATTTCTGTATCCCTTGGCCGGTTTGTGATACATAGTAAGTGGTCAGTTAAACGCCAGTTGGCTACCTGACTCAGGTTCAGGCATGTTGGCTTTTCCTCACGTCCCTGCTGAGTTCAGGTCTAACACACTGTTGCTTGGCTCTGAGTGCACCATATGGCCCCACAATAAATGAGAGAGTCAATAAAGAGCCTGCCATATTTTAAGTGATCTTATGAATGAAATCCAGAGCAGGGACACAATTATTTCATCTGAAGAAAGAGACTAATTAAACACATGATTGCAGCAAGTGCATTTGTTGAGAGAACCAGAGGCATTCTGCTGTGGGAAGACTCATTGCTCATTCCTAGAGTAGGATAATAGGGAGGGAGTCTTAATCATGCTTTTAATGATCAAAGGTGTTCTTAAGATCAATCCTTTCATTAACTGGGTGAAGAGCGATACTGACCTAGTGGGACATTTCAGGCGGCATAAATTAATTATGAACTGCTGCACACGATCTGCTGGGTATTGAGTTCATAGGCCTTTGCGGGAAAAGGCCAGAGGAAATTCTGTTAACACTCTGAGGAGCGGATGTTAAGGAAAGAAAGCTGGGGCTTGCTGAACTAGGCTCTGTGTCACCCTTTCAGTGACTGCTTGGAAATGAGACCATGGAGTGTGCTTGATTTAATCTGGCCACCGCCGTGTCTGGCCTTTCAGCTATGTCCAGGATGAGGTTGAAAAACTTATAGTGACCAATCATCCAGGTTTGCCTGGGACTGTCCCATTGTAGTACTGAAAATCCTGTGTCCTGGGATGTGAAAAATCCTGATTTTCAGTGATGGGTAGGGTATAGACAGTTGTGGCGGAAGTACAAAACCCGTACTAGAGCCCAAAATAGAGGGCTGAATGCAGCACTGATTTAGTGTTAAGTGGGTATCAAATAGGTCATTTGCCCTCTATAGCGGCAGTTGCTGTTTTTAACCCTGTTGACTTTGGGTGGGCTTTTGAATGTGCCCTTTGTTATCCTTGTTCTGTATCTTGTCTGAAATGAATATGAGCAAGGCATGGCTTCTGGGGTCAGATATCTCCCCCTGGATCTTAATAACCTACATTTAAATCAGGTGTCCCATATGAGCTTGCATTAGCCATGCGGCTTGGGAAAAGCCATCTAACCTCTGAGACTTGTTTTCCCATCTATACAGTAGAGATAATAAGAGCACCCCTAGAGATTTGTAATGAGGAGCAAATGGGAAAATGCTGTAAAATGCCTATGGAAGGGCTTGGTTCAGAGTAAGAAATTAATACATGTCGCTGCCATTCATAAATAATGTCACAGCTCTGATTATTACCATCATTGTTGGTGCAGGCAGCCCAGTGGGTGTGACCAGGCTGGATGGGACAGCACAGGGCTGTGCTCTGAGCAGCTTTCCTGCAAGCACTGTGAAAGCACAGAGATGACAGGGACTTCTCTTGTGCACGGCAGAGAGACATGGTATGGTTGTCTTGGACCCTGTTCTCTGGCCGGCCTGGACTCTAGTCATCTGGGGAGGGTCTTGGGAGTGGTGGTGGGAGGTGGAAAGGAGACCAGCTGGAGTTTCAAAAGCCTGTTTAGAAACGCAGGTGTTTCACCTGCCCCTCTCCCTAGAGGGCTCCTTTCCATGCAGGCTGGCATCAGATGGGAGAGGTGGACCCTGTGGACCCCTAAACATTTGGGATACTATCTTCTGGGCCACTGATCACATCAATGAGGCACTCAACAGGTCTGTGGGGCCTGAAGTCTTAGAGAACACAGGCTCCACACAGCCCAATTCTAGCCCTCTCTGTCCTTCACAGCCCCTTCCAAGTTCCTTCCCGGCAACTCACCCAACCCCCACCTTCTGGGTGGGGCCAGCCAGGTCCCTGTGACCAGTTCTTTACATTTTCATGAGCTTTTTTTCCGCCCATTAAAACATGAACATAGGAAGAGGTACCTAGGGCAGTTAAGTCTCAGTCAAACTTTTTTGTTTTTTAAACAAACACAAGCTTGGCCAGGTGCAGTGGCTCACATCTGTAATTTCAGCACTTTGGGAGGCCGAGGTAGTGGCTCACCTGAGGTCAGGAGTTTGAGACCAGCCTGGCCAATATGGTGAAAACCCGTCTCTACTAAAAATACAAAAACTAGCCGGGTGCGGTGGCACACGCCTGTAATCCCAGCTACTCGGGAGGCTGAGCCACGGGAATCGCTTCAACTCGAGTGGTGAATGTTGCAGTGAGTTGAGATGGCACCACTGCACTCCAGCCTGGACAACAAGAGTGAAACTCCACCTCAAAAACAAAACAAAACAAAAAAAACACAAATTCTGCTCAGCTGCCCTCTGCCAACATAAATGTCTTCTTACAGCACTGAACCAGGGCCTGGGAGGAGGGCAAAAGCTTCATCCTCCTGAGCTCAAGTGATCCTCCTGCCTCAGCCTCCTGAGCTGTCAAGTAATTGGAACTGACTCGCCCTTTTAAGGTTAAGGAAGTTCCCTATATTCCTAGGGAGTTTTCTTTTCTTTTAATTAAGAATGGATGTTAGATTTTTTCTTTTTTTCCCCTGAAATACGTGGCACAGAGAAGGATGTTAGATTTTGTCAAATACTTTTTCTGAGTCTATTGAGGTTTTTCAATTTTTACTTTATAATATGATGAATTATATTGATTGATTTTTGAATGTTAAGCCAATCTTGGATATTAAGCCAATTTCTAGGATAAATCCCGCTTGATCAGGATGCATATCCTCTTTACATATTGTTGGAATTGATTGGTTAAATCTTGTTTAGGATATTCGTGTCTATGTTCATGGGGGCTGTTGCTCTTTGGTATATTTTCTTGTCATATCTGTTAAGCTTTGGTATCAAGATAATGCTGGCCTCGGAAAATGAATCGGGAAGGGTTTTCTCCTCTGTAATTTTCTGAAAGAGTTTGTATAGAATAAGTGTTATCTCTTCCTTGAATTATTGGTGGAATTCACCAGTGAAACCATCTGAGCCAGGAATTGATTCTTTGACTTTTCATCTTTTCTTTTTTCTACTTACTTTAGGTTTAGTTTGCTCTTCTTCATCTAGTTTCTTCAGGTGAAAGGTGAGGTCATCAATTTGAGACTTTTTTCTTTTTCTCATATAGGCATTTAGTTCTGTAAATTTTTCCCTAAATACATACTGCTACTTTAGTGCCACCTAACACATTTTTACATGTTATATTTCATTCTATTTTTATTATTTATTTTTAGGAGACAAAGTCTCACTCTGTCACCCAGGCTGGAGTACAGTGGCGTGATCTTGGCTCACTGCAACCTCCGCCTCCTGAGTTCAAGCAATTCTCCTGCCTCAGCCTCCTGAGTAGCTGGGATTACAGGTTCACACCACCATGCCCAGCTAAGTTTTGTATTTTTAGTAGAGACGGGGTTTCGCCATGTTGGCCAGGCTTGTCTCGAACTCCTGACCTTAGATGATCCACCCACCTCGACCTCCCAAAGTGCTGGGATTACAGGCATGAGCCACTGTGCCTGGCCTATATTTCATTTTAAATACCTACAAAATACTTTCTATTTCCCTTATGATTTCTTCTTAGACCTATGAGTTATTCAGGGATGTATCATTTAGTCTCCAAACATTTGAGGACTTTGCAGAAATCTGGAGTTTTCTGTCCTCTCTCCTTTCTGGTACATTGTCCTGTGAACTCCAACTGCTGTGACCTCCCTGGCCTCTCAGCTGTGTCCCCTCAAACTCAGGAATTCTCCCAGGTGCTGCCTGATTCTCCCTCTTTGTGCTGCGGTCTGGAAACTGTCCCAAGGCAACAAGCCAGGGCAATTGTAAGGTTCATCTGGTCTGTTTTATGACTCTCTGGGATCACAATCTTTTATTGCCTAGTGTTCAGCCTCTTGACAACTGTAGTTTCAAATATTTTTGTCCAGCTTTTAGTAGTTTCAGGCAAGAGGGTTTTATGTGGTCAGATTCCACCTACTTTCTGCTTTAAACTCACTGTGATTGCAAAAATCAGAACATTTTGCCATCTTTCTCTCCTTATCCACTTTTCCACAATGTTTTTATTACCTCCACGTTCTCTCTGAATTCTGTGACTTCATGCATCCTTTTTACTCACTAATCTTGATTAGCATTTATCCTCCAATGCAATAGATTTCTCTTTGATCGATGCTATGCAATATGCACACAATGCATTTCTTCTTCACGCTCCCACCCGTTAGCCAAAGGACAAGGAGCACAGCTCTGCCATCTTCATGTACACATTTGCTCTGTCTTGCTACCCAGAGTGCTACTGTAGGTGTTTCTCCCCTTCAAGCTCTTCTATAACCTTCATTCCAGAGTATTCCTCCATCGCCTTCTTTCCCTGCACGATCCTAGACCAAATTTTCCTCATCACTGGCTCGTAATAGCCTTGTTCTTTCTAGGCCCACTATTCTACACATGATGCCATCGTAGGTATTTCTGTAAAGCACAGTTTTGATCACAGCACACCTCATACATCTTCTGTGACTTCTACTGTACTCAGAAATTATGCCCAAGGTTTTTGAGTTCCTTCCTTCATAAAGCCTTTGTCCATCTTCCAGTTGAATGTTTTTTCTCTTCTGGGCCCCTGTGGTGGGTTTGTTTTCTCCTCTAATCATTGTACCCATCATTTTCTTCCTTGAAATGAGCTGTGGACTGCTGACTCCTTCGTAGCCCATAATCTCCGTGAAAGTGCCCTGGAATCAGGGCACCTCAGAGAGCCTTGTATGTATTAGGTGCACACAAAATATACCATGTGCCATCTTGTCTCTGGTTGGCACATTCTCTCCAGCTGAAACAGGCCCTTTTCTCCATGTTTCAGGGCAGGTGGCCATGGACAGACTCGCCAGTGTTCTTCTAGCACCAGGTTCTTCAGCTCCAAATCAGTAAGTCTAGGGGTTGGGTGGGGGGACTTATTGGTCCTGCCTGGGCATCATGGCTTCCTTTGGACCAACCCTACCCAGTTTTTAAGAGAACTAAATACTATAATGGGTCACAAGTCCCAGGTGTGGAGGTAAATAACAGAAGAAGGAAGACTGAGAAGCTTGCATGTCATACAAACAATTGTGTTCTACACAGTGGGAACCACTCCTTCCTGTATCCAGGGAATGGCTGCTCATGTGGGTAACTCGGTTTTGAATTGGTGCCTCTCTGGACTTCACTCCCAATTGTAGGTCATTAAAGCCCACTTACCTCTCTTAAACTCAGGTGTCATTCTAAACATTTTATGCTTGCTTCTGAAAATCGTATTGAAATAAACATGATTGTATGATCCATCAAATTCTAACACAAATTGAAAGTAGCACATTTCTACTTCCTTGTATAAATAGTATTAAATCCCTAGGTATCCATTTCACACAATACCCCTGTATATGATCAAACATGTCTAATCTGAACTTCTTGTGCATGGAGCAGTCTGGATTAGAGAAATAGCTGAATCCTGATATTTATTTTACATCATTCATGTTTCCTTATTACTGATTAGAGTTCTCATCTTAGGCCATTCTCGCATTGCTATAAAGAAATACCAGAGGCTGGGTAATTGAACAAGAAAAGAGGTTTAATTGGCTATGGTTCTGCAGGCTGTATAGGAAGTACGGCCCTGGCACCTGCTTGGCTTCTGGGGAGGCCTCAGGGAGCTTCCAATCATGGCAGAAGGCAAAGGGGAAGCAGGTACATCCCATGGCCAGAGCAGGAATGAGAGAGAGTGTGTGGGAGCATCACACACTTTTAAACAACCAGATCTTGCATGAACTCACTCATCATCAAGGAGATGGCGCTAAGCCATTCGCGAGGGATTTGCTCCCGTGATCCAAACACCTTCTACCAGGCCCCACCTCCAACACTGGCGATTACATTTCAACATGAGATTTGGTGGGGATACAGATGCAAACCATATCGGTTCTTCTATAGACAAACATAATTTAATCTGGTTTAAGTAGAAATAATCTATTAAGAAATTTAGGGCCCAGCGCCTGGCTCAAGCCTGTAATCCCAGCACTTTGGGAGGTCGAGGCGGGCAGAATGCCTGAGGTTGGGAGTTCGAGACCAGCCTGGCCAGCATGGTGAAACCCCGTCTCTACTAAAAATACAAAAATTAGCCGGGCGTAGTGGCAGGTGCCTGTAATCCCAGCTGCTCGGGAAGCTGAGGCAGGAGAATCGCTTGAACCTGGGAGGCGGAGGTTGCAGTGAGCCGAGATTGCGCCATTGCATTCCAGCCTGGGCAACACAGCGAGACTCTGTCTCAAAAAAAAAAAAAAAAAAAAGAAAGAAAGAAATCTAACCAGTCTACAGAACGGTTGGGGTAGCTGAAGAGACTCTGCCAGGATCCATCCCAGTACCCTTCTCTCTCATGTAATTCGTTCCCACAAGTCAAAACCTTGTGAAAGCACCTCTCTGTGCAAAGAGTGTGGTAGACCAGGTGCAGTGGCTCATGCCTGTAATTCTAGCACTTTGGTGAGGCTGATGTGGGTGGATCACTGGAGCCCAGGAGTTCAAGACCAGCCTGGGCAACATAGTGAGACCCCATCTCTACAAAAAAAATTTAAACATTAGCCAGGCATAGTGTTGCATACCTGTAGTCCCAGCTACTTGGGAGGCTGAGGTGGGAAGATTGCTTGAACCTGGGAAGTGGAGGCCACAGTGAGTCATGATCACACCATTGAACTCCAGCCTGGGCAACAGAGCAAGACCCTGTCTCAAAAATAAAAAATTAAAAAAATTAGCCAGGTGTGGTGGCACACACCTGTAGTCCAAGCTACTCAGAAGGTTGAGGCAGGAGGACCACTTGAGCCCAGGAGTTTGAGGCTGCAGGGAGCTATGATCACGGCTCTGTATCCCAGCCTGGGTGACAGGGTGAGACCCATTCTGAGAGACAGAGAGAGAGAGAGAGAGAGAGAGAGTGTGTGCACACGCACATGCATGTGTGGGTGATATCATGAACAGCGGGTAATTCTGAGTAAGTCCCCTCCTCTATCTGGGCATCACTTTCTTCATCTGTCGGGTTATGGGGTTTGACTAAGATTTTTTTTTTTTTTTTTTTTTTTTGAGACCAGGTCCTCACTCTGTGAATGCAGTGGCACAATCACTGCTCACTGCAGCCTTGACCTCCTGGGCGCAAGTGATCCTCCCACCCCAGCCCCCTGAGTAGCTGGGACTGTAGGTATACACCCCCACCCCTGCCTAATTGTTTTTTTTTTTTTTTTGTATTTTTGTAGAAACAGAGTTTCACCATGTTGCCCAGCCTGCTCTCAAACTCCTGAGCTCAAGCAATCTGACCATCTCGGCCTCCCAAGTGTTGAGATTGCAGGGGCGTGCCACCGTGCCTGGGTGACTAAGGGTCTTAAAAGTTCCTTCCAGTTTGAATAGTTCATGACCCTCTGAATTTTCACACAATAGCAGATTCAGAGAAGGAAATCAATGAGTCAATAGAGGAAGCTTTTATTTTTGATTTACTGATGGCTGCCTGTTTCCCTAAAAGGATCTGAGGAGATGAGTGCTCTAGATGTTCCATATGCAGCCATATGTGTCTTTCCCTAAGGGAGATTGGTTGTTCTTTTCAACATATAAACTCATTAGTGCCTTAGAAAAGCCAGGGAAATCCCCTTCTGTCACTGCTGCTACCTATTGCAAAACAGTTCTGGTTTTGGGGCTCAGAATATCTTATGCCCTTAAGCTGGATAAAATATGTAAAGAAAATAAGATTTAGGGGCACAGTGCAACACGTGCCCTGAATGATCTCATGGTAGAAATCTAATTTTGCTTCTATTTATTTGGGGTTATAGATAGGATTATATTTCTCAGGCAGAGAAAGTCATTAATCAAGAAAGGGGCCTCTTAATCCTTTTCCCTATTTTAATGAGACACTTTAAAATGCCTTGCGTTGGTGAATGGCAAGTGTCAGCTGGGTGTGATTAGCAGGCTTTTGTGGCAGGTTTGCCGTGGTACTGTGTGCTCAGGTATTCACCGGCCTAATCCTGCCTGCCTATCACGGGGGCAGAAATGGACAAAGATGGCTTTATGGCCTCACTCAAGTTGCAGGCTGGTGAGTGGGCATTTGAGAGCTTTGGTGCCACAGTCTGGACAATGGCATATGGGATACGTTCTTAGAAATCAGCCCCCCAGTATTAGCGTAGCCCCTAAGCAGAATCTCCAAAGTAAATAATACATACCAGCAACAGAGTTTCACCGTCAGTGTATGGGTGGGTCCCTCCTTCATTGAAATCAGAACGTCTAACCTGGTAGAAAGGTGCCAGAGAACTGGGAGTCCCCCTGTTCCCTCTGTCCCCTCTCTTCCCTCCCTCCTTCTTTCCTTTCATGGCCAGCAGCTGTGCTCATCACTGGGGAGATAGTAATGTATAAGACACCAGTTCCTGCCTTCAAGGAGCCCAAAGGGTAGGAGTGACAGATACGTTGCATTGATCAGTTATGCGGCACAGTAAACAACCTAAAGAAGAGGTTCAAGAGTAAGTGCTGGCCGGCTAGGTTCGGTGGCTCATACCTGGAATTCCAGCACTTTGGGAGGCCGAGGCAGGTGGATCACTTGAGGTCAGGGGTTCAAGACCAGCCTGGCCAACATGGTGAAACCCTGTCTCTGCTAAAAATACAAAAATTAGCTGGGCTTGGTGGCGCATGCCTGTAATCCCAGCTACTCAGGAGGCTGAGGCATCAGAATCACTAGAACCTGGGAGGTAGAGGAGGCAGTGAGCTGAGATCACACCATTGCACTCCAGCTTGGGTGACAGAGCGAGACTCCATCTCAAAAAAAAAAAAAAAAAAAAAAAATTAAGTGCTGGCCGTGTGCAGTGTCTCCCACCTGTAATCCCAGCACTTTGGGAGGCCAAGGTGGGAGAATCACTTGAGGCCAGGAATTCAAGACAAACCTGGGCAACATAGCAAGACTCCATCTCTAAAATACATATATATAAAATATATATTTATAATATATAATATATATACATATATATATGTAAAATATATTAGCCTAGCATGGTGGCATGTGCCTATAGTCCTAGCTACTCTGGAGGCTGAGGAAGGAGGATTGCTGGAGCCCAGGAGTTCAAGGCTGCAATGAGCTACGCTGGTGCCACTGTACTGCAGCCTGGGCAACAGAGTGAGACCTTGTCTCCAAAACAAAAAAAAAGAAAAAAGGAAAAAAAAAGAATAAGTGCTTATTTTGTTCATGCCCCTGAGAATTGGCTGGAGGTTGGCTGATCTAGGCTGGGCACAGATGGGGTGGCTTGGCTGGGGCAGGTCTTCTCCATGTGCCTTTCGTTCTCCTAGACTGGCAGGCCAGCCAGAGCATGTCCTCCGCATGTGTAGAAGTTCACCAGCGTGGGCAGAGTCAAGCCAGGCTGCTTAAGGCCTGGGCCTGGACTGGGCATGCCGTGGCTTCTGCATTATTCTATTGGCCAAAGTAAGTTACACGACTCAGCTGAAAAATCAAAGGGCAGGTAAATATGCTCCTCCTTAATGGGAAAAATCCCAAAGTTACATGACAAAGTGTGTTGATGTAGGAAAAGGGTAAAGAATTGGGGCCAGTAATGCAACTGATCACCTATGTTAACCAATTAGAGCAATAAAGCATCGTATTAGCACTCTTTTAGTTGCAAGCATCAGAAACACTTCTCAAACAAGCCCAAGCTAAAAAAGAATTGCTGGGCTCACGTAGCTGGGAAGCCTCAGAGCTGTTTGACTATGCACAGCTGGATTCAGAACTCAGATGATGATTTCAGGGCTGTGATTCTCTTTTGTCCTCTTGGCCTGGCTTTTCAATGTGTTGGCTTCATCCTGCAGTTGATTTTTTTAATGCAGTTGGGTAAGATGGCTTCAGCAGGCTGGGCAAGGTGGTTCACACCTGTAATCCCAGCACTTTGGGAGGCTGAGGCAGGCAGATCACCTGAGGTCAGGAGTTCGAGACCAGTCTGGTCAACATAGTGAAACCCTGTCTCTACTAAAAATACAAAAATTATCTGGGTATGGTGGTGTGTGTCTGTAGACCCAGCTACTCAGGAGGCTGAGGCAGGAGAATTGCTTGAACGTGGGAGGCAGAGGTTGGAGTGAGCCAAGTTTGAGCCACTGCACTCCAGCCTGGGCGATAAAAGCGAAAACTCCATCTCAAAAAAAAAAAAAAAAAAAAAAAAAAGAAGGTGACTTCAGCAGTTCCAGGCTTCTCCAGTCTTTATTGCTGTCACTGGAGGAGGAGAGACCCTCTCTCACACTAGGAAGCATACACCAAAGTCTTAGAGAAGTCTTTGGCCCTGGTTAGGCCATGTGTGCATCTCTGAGATGGAGTATTGTGACTGGCTGGTCTGTGTCATGTGTCCAGCCCTGTGTTGAAGGGGCAGAAGGACCTGAAATAGGCAAACCAGGCACAAATAAAGTGGGGGAAGGTCGTTCTCTCAAAGGAGCAGCAGTGTGTTTTTACCAGATGGCAGAGGAAAGGGTGCTGGGCACACACAGGTACCAGGTGTCACTTCAGTAAAGGGTCCTGTGGGGGCAAAAAGGAAGGCGTAGAAAGATCCTACTATTTGTTCCTCTGTGGCAGACACATCCCATTGCTGGTCCCAGACAGCCTTTAGTGCTATTTAGTGACAACATAAGAGCCAATGATGTTTGGAGCAATATGCCACCACCAAGAAAGACAACTGGTCTGGTAGGCAAAGGGGTTCATGACCCAGCTCCGCCACCCAAATTAGGATGAATGGACTATGCTGGCCAGGACGAGGCAGACACCAAACTGGGTCACTAGATGATCTGTAAGCTGCCTTCCAGCTCTCATGCTTGTAGTTCTGTCTTTGACCTTGATCACAGGTTGAGCCGGAGCATCTCAAAGGTGACTTTTCCACCCCAACCATGACCTGGTGCTAAGACCCTTACGTGTGGTTGAGGTCAGGCAGAGAGCTGCCGGGGCTGCCAGTGGCATTTGTATTGATGCATTTTCTGATGCAGCGTTTTGGCTTTCAGAGAAGCCAGCGAAGTTTGCTGGGGGAGTGTGGGAGGTGAATGCTTTAACTCCACATCCTATCGAGCACACACATCTCTGTGTGCCTGCCCTGGGCAGGCAGTGGCATTACAAGCACATAAGCCGGACATGGCCCTGCTCTCAGAAAGAAGTCCTGGGATTTAGTCTTGGGCATGTCACTGAGCCTCTTCCAGCCTGTTTTCCCATCTGTAAAATGGGAATGATATATATCCTGCTAACATCACAGGGTTGGTTACGGGAGTCAGTTTACAGAAAAGCAAATGCATGAGAGTATTTTGTAAAAATGTCATACACCAGTAAGGGATTATATTCAGAGAGAATCCCTATCTAATTGGAGCAGTGATACCATCTGTTTTGTAGTGACAGCTGTGCACTCTAGGGATTCCCAGAAGGCACCCACCAAGTGACAGACTTTTATACAGGCAGCTGGGCTACAGAGGAGCAGCATAGCAGAGGCGGGCTGTAGGGCATGTTGGAGATAGCCTCGTGATCTCATCCCTGAGACAGAGTTGCTCACAACCCGGTTTGGATATTTGTCCCTGCTCAAGTCTCATGTTGAATTGTAATCCCTGATGCTGGAGGTGGGGCCTGGGGGGAAGTGTTTGGATTATGGGGGTGGATCTCTCATGGTTGGTGTTGTCTTCATGATAGTGAGTGAGCTCTCGAGAGATCTGGCTGTTTAAAAGTGTGTGGCACCTCCCCAACTCTTTCTCTTGCTCCTGCTTTCGCCACGTGAACTGCCTGCTCCTCCTTCACCTTCTGCCATCGTTGTCAGCTTCCCGAAGCCTCCCCAGAAGCCCAGCAGATGCTGAGGCCATGGTTCCTGTACAGCCAGCAGAACCGCGAGCCAGTTAAACCTCTTTCCTTTATAAATTACCCAGTCTCAGGTATTTCTTTATAGCAGTGCGAAAACTGCCTAATACACTCTGTGTAAAACTGTTGGTCTGAGGGTCAGACTAGGTCCCTAGTCTTAGACGCATCAGAAGGCATTCCTGACATCTCTTGGGCATCAGCTCTTTCAGCCCCCTCTGCTTGGACCAAGCAGTGATGAAGGGAAGAGGAGAGACCACAGCTTGATGGTGAGTCTCACCTAGAAGCTCCCTGCCCTGACCTAGGCTTAGCCCTGCCCCCAGCCTATCCCTTATATGACGTTTCCTTCTCTCATTCTGCTTTTTGTTAAGGCTCTGGAGGTCTGGCCTCTTTAAATAGCACATCAACCCCCCGGAGGAGGGAGGTACAGCCAGGGCTGCTCATGTCCTTGAACTCTGTGGCTGGCTAGGGGTGGGGGCAGGAGGAGGCCTCAGACTGCAGAGTGGGTGCCGCTCTGGAAACACTGGGCTGGGACAAGGGTGCCATCTCCTGCTGGGGCCAGTCTGGAACGGGTCACTGCATGTTGAGCCTCTGTTCCACCTGCTTCCATGAGGGATTGGCAAGTAGGGGTCAAGGTAAAAACACATTTGTGTATACAGGGGTGTATACAGGTATACAGGGGTACACAAATTAAAGATAAAAGAGACCAGGCACAGTGGCTTACTCCTATCATCCTAGTGTTTTGGGAGGCCGAGGCAGGAGGATAGCTTGAGGCCAGGAGTTCAAGCCCAGCCTGGCCAACATAGTGAGACTCTGTCTCTAAAAAATAAAATAAAATAAAATAAAAAATTAGCTGGGCGTGGTGGCATGTACCTGTAGTCCCAACAACTTGGGAGGCTGGGGTGGAAGGATCCCTTGAGTCTAGGAATACGAAGCTGTAGTGAGCCATGATTGCACCATTGCAATCCAGCCTGGGAGACAGAGGAAGAACCCCACTCAAAAAAAAAAAAAAAAAAAAAAAAAAAAGATGAAAGAGAAACTAGCTGGATAAGGAGAGATGGTGACAGAAGCCAGAAATTACATACTTCCTTGTGACTGAGGTCTAAATTTGGCCCTGAACTTTTTGGCAGACAAGACAAAAAGAGCAATATGACAGGTTTCTTAGTCTCTTTGTTTAATTGAAAGAAACAAGTGTTCAGTGAGGGCAAACTTTCCCCTTCTGGCACAAAGTTGTAGAAGGAATTTATCACCTAGGGCCTTATCTAAAGAATATTGGGTAACGTAAATTCATTCATTCCGCAAACAGAGGAAGTATACAAGATGTTGGTCTCATCAGCTGATGCCTTGTGAGTGGAAGCATTTGTGCTCTTTGCTGTTTCTGTCTTTTTCTTTTACATTTCTCCTCCCATTCCTACCTCTCCCTCCTCCTGCCCCCTCTTTGATCTTTGTTGTTATAATGTCTGTGTTTCCTGCTTGACTCTATGCCCTGTGTAGACAGGGGTCTGGTTTCTCTTGCTGTCTGTTGGTTTTCCACATATCAGGGAGGCTTCCAAAAATGTTGAGATAATTTAATAAGTAGTGGTTTAAGGGGAAAACAAGTTATTTTGTGGGTAATTGGAAGGACATCTAATCCAGAACTGGGGGCAGTTGAGGGGGGAGATACTTTCCTAGGGAAAGTGACACTCAGCCAAGATTTGAAGCACTCATAGAAATTAGGTAGAGGTCAGCTGGGTGCGGTGGCTCACGCCTGTAATCCCAGCACTTTAGGAGGCTGACATGGGCAGATCACTTGAGACCAGGAGTTCGAGACCAGCCTGGCCAACATGGTGAAAGCCCATCTCTACTAAAAATACAAAACATTAGCCGGGCATGGTGGTGGACACCTGTAATCCCAGCTACTCGGGAGGCTGAGGTGGGAGAATCATTTGAACCCAGGAAGTGGGGGTTGCAGTAAGCTGAGATCATGCCACTGCACTCCACCCTGGGTGACAGAGCAAGACCCCATTTCAAAAACAAAAAAAGAAATTAGGTGGAAGGTGAGGGGTGAAGACTGTTCAGGGACAGAGGATGTCACATCAGCCATGGCCTCTGTGCAGAGGGCCAGGGGTGAGTGGGGAGGGAGAAGGCTGGAGAGAGAAGTGGGAGCCTCTGAAGAGGAGTTACACTTTGGCCTGAAGACAATGGGAGTCCTTGAAGGGCTGGATTTGATCAACTGGGCTTTGGAAAGATGACTTTAGCTTGAACTGGAGGGGAGACCAAAACTATAAGCAGTGAGACCCAGGAACCTGGGTGAGGAATGATGGTGACATAGACTAGAGTGAGCCTCTGCTTGGAGAAAAGTGGGCAGATTGGGGGAAAAGAGAGAGAGAGAAAAAACAGAGTGTGTGTCTTCAGCCTCTAGAATTGATGGGATGTGGGGGTAAAGGAGGCATGAGTCTAGAGTCACTCCCAGGCTCCATGCTTGGGTGACTCAGGGTGGTTGATGGGCTTTCATTAGATGGGGAACCCACGAGGAGGGGCAGGCTTTATTGGGGGAAAATAAAGAGTTCGGCATAGAAAGGTTGTTCTTGAGATCCTAAAGAATACCCCAGAAGAAATGTCTGGCAGCACATGGTTCTGCTGCCAGGAGGCAGCCGGCAACTGAGATCAAGTTTTGGAGTCATCAGTCTATAGAATATAGGCAAAGTCAGGAGGCTGCCTGAAAGCCCCAGAGAGAGACGGAATGGAAAGAGGACTCAGACTGGACCCTGAGAACTTGAACATCTCATGGCCTGGCGGAGGAAAAATAATCATCAAAGGCAGATGGATACACAAACAAGTGTAGTGTTATGAAGGCCCACGGAAGCCAGCTGTCGAAACTGGCCATTGGGATTTCAAGAAGGCCAGCTAGGCCAAGTGCCACTAAAAGGTCAGCAAAGATAAGGACTGAAAAACATCTTTGGCATTTAGCAACAAGGAAGTCACCGATGACTCTTGCAGGAACAATTTCAGTGGGAGGTGGTGGCAATGGTAGTGGTGGTACTGAAGCCAGAGCTAGTGGATTTAAGCATGAGAGGGAAGGTGAGGAGAGAGAGGAGTGGGGACAGTTCATTAAAAGAAGTTTGGGTGTGAAAGGAAGAATAAAGAAAGAGAGGAGGTTGTAGAGAGAGGTGGGATGAGGAGGTAGAGTTATTATTATTATTTTTTTAAAGACAGGAGAACACAGTGGTTTATGGACAGTGTTTTCAGCTGCAGTTCTGTCCAAGATATAGAAATGGTCTTTGGGTAGTTTCATCCGTGAGTTCTTCAAAAATTCCAGGAAGATACTTCTGGATAAACAAATATGATCCAAGAATTTTGTGGGAATCTCACCCAAGAGGGGACGGAGCTCTGTAAACCCAGAGTGGGGAGAGGCAACGTGTCCCTCCGGGAGGATCTGGGGTATCTCTAGGCTTAGTGAGAGGAGCAGGATGGCTGGCAGCCACTCACCCAACGCAGAGCTCGTTGGCCTGCAGTTGTCAGTGCCCCTCACCCCACTGCCTGGCCTGGCTCCTTGGAGGTGGCGGATGCTGCAGTCCCTCTGTATAGCAGTTGCCTGGTATGACCCAGGAGTCACCCTCCATGGCATCCTATTGGTGTGTGTGTGCTGAGCGCAGCCAGCTACCAGAACTGGCCATTGGAATCCATGTGGGTCTATTGAGAGGGGACAAATGGCAGCCCTCATGTAGGTGGCTGGAAAATGCCTAATGATGAGTGGATTTGCAGCATGAGGGAGGGGAATCATTAATATTCATGTCCTTGAATTTAATCCCTGAGCTGCATCCAAACTTTTCCAACCTCCCAAAAATAGGACATTGAAAAAAGAGGGGAGACCCCCACCCCCATCCCCCCCCCCACACAAATCAGTCAATGAAGACTAAACCTTGGAGCTGGGGACAGCTCTTGTGTTTCAGGACCTCCATTTCTGGACCCAGGGACTTGGGAGGACCAGTGAGGGACCTGTTTCCTTCCTGAGTCTACCAGGTGCTGAGAAGCCCTGGGCTCTGGCCTGGGCCTGGCTTTCTGCAGAAGTTGCCTGCACTGGTCACTTGGGTGTGGGGATGGGAAAGCTCCAATTAGACAAGTCCTGAGGCCACATTTCCTATTGATTGGCCAGAGGCGGAGGAGAGGGGCTGGGGTCGAGGGAGAATTTCTATGGTCTGTTCCTCTACCCCCAGGATTATAGAATGGGGGTGTATGAATTTCCTATGGATGTTTTAATAAATTACCACAAATGTGGTGGCTTAAAGCAATACACACTTATTATCTTGTAGTTTTAAATTCAAGTCGTCAACAGCGCTGCTTCCTCCTTGGAGGCTCTTTGTGGGGGTTCCATTCCCTGCCTCTTCCAGCTTCTAGAGGCCACCTGCAGTTCTTGGCCCCTTCCTGCATCCTTCAAGCCCGCAGCACCGCATCCTCCAGCTCCTGTCTCTGCCTCTGCGATTACATCACCTCCTCTTCTCTCACTCTTCTCCTTGTACCTTGTGAGGAGCCCTGGGATTACACTGGGCTCACCAGGATGACCCAGGAGAATCTCCCCCGATGAAGACCCTGAACCACCTCTGTAAAGTCCGTTTTGCCGTGTAGGTGACATTTCCACAGCTTCTGGGGAGTAAGACCCTGACATCTTTGGGGACCACGGTTCTGCCTCCCGCAGTGGGTGTCTGGCTCAGGGTTGTTTCTGAGTGATGCATGGCACCCAGGAGTTATGTGATGGTTCATAGGGTATGAGGAGGAACCTGCTCTGAAGCCCACCTGCCTTCCCACCTGGGAGGCTGTATTTTTGTCTCTGCTATATATTGGAGTTATTCGGAAGGTTTCATTTGAAGAAAAACATAGAAAACCATGGATGTAGTGCAATCCTTACAGAATGAGGCCCAGAGAGGGAAGATGATGGCCCAGTAATGAGCAGTGAATAATGGCAGAGCCAGCGCTAAACTCTGGGCTCCTGTCTCCCAGGCAGGTGTCCTTTTTACTGGCCCTTCTCAGGGATAAAACGACAACCAAGAATGGTGTGTATGTCCTCATTTATTGTCACAGTAACCCTGAGCAAAAGCAGAGGGTCATTTTTATTTTGCCTTTTTTTGGGCCCCATTTATGGTGAGAAAGGCCCCTGTCTGGTGAGGACAGGTGAAGTTCCTAGTGTGTCACCAGGAAGGGACCAGTACTTTGGTGAGGCCTTCAGACAAGCTCCCATCCCCCCAGACTTGGCCTTCTCTCTCGTTCCCTTCTGTCCCTTCCTTGGCCTCTGGCTAATTGAAATGGCTATCAAGTCAGACACAGCCTTGTTCCTGCTCTGGGGATTCTAGGCTGCAGAATGTCATTAGATTAACTGTGAAGGTTTTCCATGCATGCTGGGAGGCAGGGGTGCACGGGACGTGGCAGGACTCGGGGGCCACTCTCCTGAGTGCCTGGAGATGCAGTAATTCAATCAGGGAGTGCAATGCCTCCCCCAGCCTGGGCCAGGCCCAGACACACAGTCCACCTGCCCGGGAGCCAGACGGATTCTCGAGATGGAGCAATTACATTTAAAGCGAGCTGTCTGAACTGATTTTTCCCCTTCATCCTCATCCAGTTCGGCAAACCCTCTTCCCAGCATCGTCTTGGTTAGCGGCCCAGACAGCCTGGACAGGACTCAAATGGCTGGCTCCAGATTGTGTGCTCTGCACCCTGAAACGCCAGCTCCCGTCCATCTGCCACTTGCCTGCGCAGTCCCTCTCCTGGCTTCCCCAAAGTCAAAGACACTGGGACACACCCTCTGATCTCAGGGGCTGGGCAGCCACGCCCAGCCACACAGCCGTGCAGGGCCAGACTCCTGGGTCAGAGTGTACTTCAGCCCCATGTGAACAGCACCTCCTGGAGTTGTGCAGGTGGTGCCCGGTTCAGGGCAACCCTGAGGGTCAAAAAGAAGGGATTGTTCACAGGACAGTTACTTGCATTCTGAATCCTTTGTGCCTGGTCTACAGTGGGGGCTGGGGGAGGGAGGAAGGGCTTCTCTCTCCAGGAGATGAGAAAGCCCCATTTCATCAGTCACTTCCATCTGACCCGATAAACGGACACCGGGATGGTGGCCCTGTCATCAAGTTCTGTCACATTTGTCTGGGTGGAGAGCCCAGGGGCAGGAAGAACAGGGCAAAGACAGGAGTCTAGAAGCGGCTCTGGACAACGTTCTGGTGTAGCTTCTTAGAATGAACAAATGTCAGTACTCAAGCTAGAGAAACAGGCTGAGTGGGGCAGGGAGGGCTCACAAGCACACAGCGAGGGGAGGTGAGGCAGGCTAGCCTCTTGCTGTTCCATGAGCTCCTGGGCACAGCTCTTGGGCTCAGGCACAGTACCTGGCTCATAGTGGATGCTTAATACCTGTTGGTTGAATGAACCAAGGGGAGCAACAGTGATGAATCTTAGAAGATAAAGTATATTTCTTCTCACCACTTCCCCGGGCCGCTTCTTCCTTCTTCTCCTCCTCCTCCTCTGGCCTCCTTCTTTGGCCAATAACAAGTCATGTCTTCATTTCTATAGCCCCAGTACCTAGAACAGGGTTTGGTATGCAGTGAATGAAGATGCTCAATGAAGATGTGTTAAACAGGTCAATATAATTGGGGACAAGGTGGCTGGTCTTGAAATAGAGTCTACCCTCCCCCATTATGAAAGGGAGCCATCTTTACCAGGACTTTGGCACAGCTGAGGGAAGTTCTGGGAGTGAGGAGTCTGTACCAGCGCTGGGTTGGGTGCCGGGAAACTCAGGTTCTAGCCCCTGTTGTGTGTTGTAGGTAAAGTTGCTTCTTTTCTCTGGGCTGCAGTTTCCCCTTAAGACTTTCTCAAGATGTTGGAGCTGAGTGGGACCCTGGGGACCATCTAGCCCAACCCAAGAGAAGGGAGTTGGGCTAGATGATCCCCAGGGTCCCATTCAGCTCCAACATCTTGAGAAAGTCTAGGGGGTTCTGATGAAGCCCAGGGGCCCCAGGATCATGGGCCCATGGCACTAGTTTCTCATCCCAATGGATCTGGGGAAGGTGGAGAGTATCCGTTTCTTTTTTTTTCCCCAAAGACTTCCAGGCAGAAGAGACTGGAGCAGCCTGGGTCTCAGGAACAGAAATCTAGAAGGAAAGCGGAAAATCAGGCCCTGGTCTTCGGAGTCCCTAGGGAATGAGTCCCCAGCTGCCCAGGGAAAGAGGGCCTCTGTAGAGGGGCGGAACTAAATCATCAACTGGAACTTGATGGCACTGCAGCAGATGACATCCCAGCTCCACCGAGACAAATTGCTGATCTTGAGACACCAAGTGGCATTGCAAATGCCATGTTGCTGGTTCTATGGTGGGGGTCACTTCTGGGGAGACAGGTTGGGGCCTAGGGACATTAATAAGCTGATTAATGTCCTCAATGGCCATTAGGAGGGCCTTGGTTATTTGGAATTTCAGAGTTAACCCCAACCTGGTCTGCGAGTGCTGAAGGAGGGCAGGGAGCCCCAGGGGTGACCTACAAGTTTGTCCCTGGAATTGCTGAGTAACCCAAATGACCTGGTGACATGTGACGGCTCTTACGTCTTCTCCAGTACTCTTAGGGTCTGCTTTTCTCCTTTAACTCATTCTTGGACCTTATTTCAACCTTTGTTAGGTTATAGTCACGTGAGCTCTCTGAACAGTGTTATTTCTTTTTTTTTTTTACTTTTAAGTTCAGGGGCACATGTGTAGGTTTGTTACGCAGGCAAACTTGTGTGCCATGGGGGTGTGTTGTACAGATTATTTCATCACCCAGATATTAAGCCTAGTACCCATTAGTTATTTATCCTGACCCTCTCCCTCCTCCTACCCTCCACCCTCCGATAGGCCCCAGTGTGTGTTGTTCCCCTCTATGTGTCCATGAGTTCTCACCATTTAACTCCCACTTATAAGTGAGAACATGTGGTATTTGGTTTTCTGTTCCCGCATTCGTTTGCTAAGGATAACGGCCTCCAGCTCCATCCATGCCCCTGGAAAGGACATGATCTCATTCTTTTTTATGGCTGCATAGTATTCCATTGTGTATATGTAGCATATTTAAAAAATCTAGTCTATCATTGATGGACATTTAGGATGAATCCATGTCTGTGCCATGGTGAATGGTGCTGCAATGAACATATGCATGCATGTATCTTTATAATAGAAAGATTTATATTCCTTTGGGTATATACCCAGTAATGGGATTGCTGGGTCAAATGATATTTCTATCTTTAGGTCTTAGTGTTATTTCAATAGCTATGAATGCCAAAGTTTAATTATTGGGGTATATACCTATATACAAATATATGTGTGCATGTATACACAAGAGAAAAACACACAAACTCTCAATGCACAGGTAAATATCTGTAGTCATATAAGCCAGTTTTTCAGGGAAGCTAGGGCTATCTCCAATGAGCCTGTTCCTCCCCTCCTTCTGTATTTTGTCTCCATGAACAACAAATTCACTGAGAAACCCAGAGTCCTCTGTGACTCCCTCACACATGCAATTAACCATCATACCCTGTTGATTCTGCTGCCCAAGTGGCTCTGGGTTCCCCCACCACCTCCTGCCTGGAGACACAGCCTCCTCCTCACAGTTTTCTGGTCCATGGGCCTCTGCTCGGCACTTCAGCTGCAGCTTTGACTGCTCCCTCTGGTCTCTGTGCCTTGGCCCTTCCATGGCCTCCCGGTTCCCTGAATATGCCAAGCCCCTCCTCTGCCTGCATTCCTCTGCTTGGGACACTTTTCTACACCACCCCTGCCTCCAGCACCTGAGTATTTCTATAATCAAATGATTATTTTTGCTGGTTCCTTGGATTCATCCCAGACGCCCCTTCCTCCTTGCAGCCTTCCATATTGCCTGTGATGTGATACTGTCTCCACTAAAATCAGTTCCAAACCTGCACAGGAGTCTATTGGCTGTACCTCCATAGTGCACCCTATACCTAGATCTAGATGTATTTTGAGATAAGATCTTTCTCTGTTGCCCAGGCTAGAGTGCAGTGGCGTGATCACAGTTTACCGCAGCCTCTACCTCTTGGGCTTAAGTGATCCTCTCACCTCAGCCTCCTGAGTAGCTGGGATCACAGCTGTACATCACCACGCCTGGCTAATTTTGTTTATTTTTTGTAGAGATGGGGTCTTCCTATATTGGTCCAGGCTGGTCTCGAACTCCTGGGCTCACGTCATTCTCCCTCCTCAGCCTCCCAAAGTGCTGGGAATACAGGTATGAGCCATCATGCCCGGCTACTCATATATATATTGTTTATAAATATATAAATGTCTTCTCTGTTCCACAGTTATAGATAATGCTATATAGAATTTTCTTGATCTTTGGGAGGCAGCATTGGGTAGTGACTGAGAAGGCTGGCTCCGGGTTTGGATGCTGCCTCTTTTACTATATACAAATTGTCTAAACTCTTCGTGTCTCAATTTCATCATCTGTAAATTGGGTGTAATGACAGGATTTACTTCAAGGGTGGTAAGAATTAAACGATAAAATACACATTTTTTTTTTTTTTTTTTTTTTTGAGACAGAGTCTTGCTCAGTCCAGGCTGGAGCCCAGTGATGCAATCTTCGATCTTGGCTCCCTGCAACCTTCACCTCCCGGGTCCAAGCGACTCTCGTGCCTCAGCCTCCCGAGTAGCTGGGATTACAGATGTGTACCACCACACCTGGCTAATTTAGAAAATACGCATTTAAAGTGCTTGAAATAGCAGCTAGCATAGAGTAGGTGCTCACTTATTATAACCTATTTTTCTTATTATTGAATTCATTCCTTACAGATATATTCCCTGGAGTAAGCTTATTGGATCAAAGGTTAGAAGATTTTTATGGCTCTTGAAATGTTTTGACAAATTGCTTTTGAACAGATCGTACTTTTTTCACTCCCATCAGCCAATGCGCGAGTCACAGCTGGTTGCTCTCTCCTGTCTTCCTGCACAGTGTGCGCTGGAATTCAAAACACAGGTTTTAGAAGATGGGAACCATGGTGAACTCCCCGCTGGGCTTCCGGACCCTCCACCTAGCCACGCCCATCCAGCTCTCTTCCATGACTGGTTCCTATGACCTCTCTTTCATTGAGTGTGCTCTATGCTGCTTGGCCCTGCATTTTTCTCTGGTCATTTTGTGGTACAATGATGTATCGAGATATTAATTTATTTTTGTTCTCACTGCAATTAGTGTCTTTCCCTCTTCATTTCAAGGTGGCAGCCAAGCCTAGTTCCTGCACACTGCCAGGCTTTGTGTTGCAAGGCATTGTGGGACCAGATGGCAGTGTGGGGCTAGGCAGGGCTGGGAAGGAAGACCATTGGGGCTACCTGTCTGAATTCAAGCTCCGGGTGTTGAAGCACTCAGGATCAGGGTGGCAGATGGCAATGCCAAATCAGGTAGAGCTGCCTCCAGGGTCTGGGAGGGCAGGGACTTTATCTGTTTCACTCCCTGTTGGATCCTGAGCACCCAGCACAGGGTGGGGCCTGCTTTGGAGGGAGCAGAGGAACTGGCAGATCTCAGGGTAGGGGTGAGAGCAGACACCCAGACCTAGGAGTTGCCCACACTCATGGGAAGAGGGGAGGAGGGAATTTGGGAGCCAGGAATGGTCCTGTCCCAACTCCTGGCTCTGGCAGGCTTGCAGGCTGCCCTTCCAGGCCATGCTGGCTGGTGGCCTGGAGTCACCCCTACTCATGGTCATCATTGTTCTTTGACTTGACCCTTGGTACAGGTGGCAGCAGCAATGACTGGAGAAAGTGAAGGTGCCTAGGCTGCCAGTCAGCAGCAATAACTGTGGTGGGATATGACTGTTGTCCTGCAAGCTTGGCTATGTAAGAAGTACCCAATACCTCTTTGAAACCATATTAACTCTGACCTGTTTAACCATATTAACTCAGGCCTGGCAGGCCTGATCCTGCCAGGCTGGTAGGGTCTTCCATCCTGATTGGGGCTCCTTCCCTTGGCCCAGGGCCCCGTGCAGGTCCTGGGACTCTTGGGCTGACCAAGGGCTCCTGCAGCTTTCACGGCTGCCCATGCTTGGCCCTGGGAGTCATGGTTCCCCAGCCAGCCCCTCTGCCAACTGCCGGGTGGTCTTCACAATCACTTCCCCTAGAGATCCTTCTACCCTCCCGGCTGCTGGGGGTCTCCATCCAGAGCCTGTAGACCTCTACCTTCCTGCCAGGCTTGGAGAAGCACCTCCCCAACCCAATTTCCTGCTGCTTCTGCTCTCTTCAGAGATGCTCAGCTCTCTCTTCTCACCTTCTGGATTATCTAGCGTCAGTCTCTCAGTGAACTGGCACTCTCAGAAGCCAGGAAAAGAGTTTTTCTGCAAGCAACCTCTATTTCAGGCCCTGAGTGTGCAAGCTTCCCTTGAACCAATGGGGTGCTCAGGCTCTGACTCCCTTCTTGGAAAGGGGGATGGAGAGTCTGTGAGAAAAATGCGGCAAGAACAAAATGCAGATTCATATCTCAATAAATGACCTGTCACCCCCGCGCCAGCCATTCTGGGCATGTGGTATGAGTTTCATAAATTCATGCCAGTTGTCTGACTCCCTCTCCACCACCAAAATCCCCTGACTTTATTTATTTATTTATTTATTTATTTATTTATTTATTTATTTGAGACAGTCTTGCTGTGTCGCCCAGGCTGGAGTGCAATGGTGAAATCTTGGCTCACTGCAACCTCCACCTATGGTGTTCAAGTGATTCTCCTTCCTCAGCCTCCTGAGTAGCTGGGATTACAACAGGTGCATGCCACCACACCTGGCTAATTTTTGTATTTTTAGTGGAGACGGGGTTTCACCATGTTGGTCAGGCTGGTCTCGAACTCCTGACCTCGTGATCCACCTGTCTCGGCCTCCCAAAATGTTCGGATTACAGGCATGAGCCACCGCGCCTGGCCTCCCTGACATTATTTATAAAAAGGGAAATGTTTATGTTTGTTCATTGTTTGTTTTGGTGAGAAGAACGTCTGAGCGAGTTTGAAGTGCTATTTACAGAAACTGAATTCAGCTGGTGCTGCTCAGAACTGCCTTGCAGTCTGCAGGTTGGTTAAAAGGTTTATCATTAATATTGCATTGTTATTTCAGGTTCAGAAATCTTTAACCCCTCTCCCCTCAAAACACCCCTCAAATCCACCACTAAATTGTGGGCAGCACGATATTGATTTAAAAGAACAGCATGAAATCATTCATCAGGCATCAGTCCCAGAAAATCGGAGTCGTTGATTCCTAAGTCATTTAATAGCTAATTACATGCTGCATAATGTAAAAATGCATCAAGGGTCCATTAAGAATAAATCCAATTGTTTGCAAGGCGCATTATAGAAATTCAGGTTGGCATTCTTCCACTTTCAGTGACTGTGTATTGAGGCTTTTGGCAAATGAAAGATCCGGAAATAGAACCACTGTTTTTATAACAACCCTGTTACACTTAATGCCCATTTTCTCCCTTTAAGTGCAGCAAAGTATGGAAATATTGCCATGCTCTTTGGGGGAAATTTTCCTACTGTGATTTTTATTTTTATTTTTTTTTCTGCTGTTAAAAGCCCCAAGAGAGTGCATTTACTACCTACTTATTTGCTACCGTCAAAAGATAGCAAAATTCATGAAAAAACTCAACTGTCAATCCCCAACAAATATGCAATTATTTCAGCCTGGTGTTTTAAGCAAAAATGGCTTTCATGGCAGAAACTTGCTTCTATTTTCTGAAAAGGGGTGGGGGAATGTTCTTGCTTCTAGCTGTTCTGGTTTCTCTGAGGATCTCACAGAAACACCTGTTCTAACACACAGAAGTGAATTTCCACTAGCAGGGCCCTGACATCTGGCTGAATTAAACGCTGGTTTGGTGCCCTTTTGTGTATGCCTTGGTGAGTGGGGAGCGGAAAGTCATTTTTCTTCCAGCCTCACAAAGCCAATCTTTCCAGGGCATTACACCAGGATGCTGGACAGCAAATGACGGAAGGGCTTGGAAGGGAGGAGAAAATAGATGATCTTGTCCGCATAATAATACAGGGAAGATGTATAAAGGAAAGTAAGTGGTAATGCTCTTGAAAGATAAACAATTGACTGCCTGTCACAAGTAATTGATGACTGAGATCCTGAAGAATGTGGCCATGATAAAAAATACATATAGAAGAGTACACATTCCACATTCTCCTGACATCTCGTTGCTTTCTTCTTTGCAGGAATCTTTGCAAGATCAAATTAGAAGTATTATTTGCTGAAAGGCAATATTCTCCACTCTAGGCTTGTGAGAGCCGAGCTCCTTGTCTCCCAGGGAGCTTTGGTTTGACTTTCATCTTGATATTGAATTTAAGCCTCATATTTTATGATAAATGTATGTAGCCCTCAGCCTGCCTGATAATAACAACTGCACCTACCATGGACGTTCTATTCAGAAGAAGGACTGGGAGTGGTCTCGTCTGATTACTGGAATCTGTTGCTAATTAACTAAAATCTCCCTCTTGTTTGAGCAGTCCTTCGTGGGATTCTTCCTAAAGCACATCTGCTTGCTTTGCTGTCTTGCCTAAGTAAAGAACACCATTGTGAACAGAATTGAATTCCTGGAGGCAGGCGGCTTCCCGTGGTTCTGCATGGCCTACAGGGCAATGCTAAGACCAGCAGGTGGAAGCCACAGGGATCTTAATATCAGTTCACTGGGGGAAGAACTTTCTACCATGGAGAGTTCTCTGAGAATGGAAATGCTAGACTGCCTTGGGAGGTGGGTAATGAGTCCCCTGTTTTTAGGGGAAACTGTCGGTGGAGCTGGGTGAACCCATGGAAGGGCGTCCTTACCAGTTCGCATCACCGAATCAGACAACGTTTAAATTTAATGACACTGGCCGGGTGCAGTGGCTCACGCCTATAATCCCAGCACTTTGGGAGGATCACTTGATGCCAGGAGTTCAAGACCAGTCTGGACAACATAGTGAGACCCCATCTCTACAAAAAAGACAACATTAAAAAACACTTAGCTGGCTGTGGTATGTGCCTTTAGTCGTTGCTACTTAGGAGGGTGAGGTGGGAGGATGGCTTGAGCCCAGGAGTTCAACGCTGCAGTAAGCCATGATCATGTCACTACACTCCAACTGGGGTGACAGAGGGAGACACCTGTCACACGCATCTGTGTTAAGAGACCACCAAACAGGATTTGTGTGAGCAACAAGGCTGTTTATTTCACCTGGGTACAGGTGGGCTGAGTCTGAAAAGAGAGTCAGTGAAGGGAGATAGGGGTGGGGCCGTTTTATAGGATTTGGGTGGGTAGTGGAAAATTACAGTCAAAGGGGGTTTTTCTCTTATGGGCAGGTGCAGGGGTCACAAGGTGCTCAATGGGGGAGGTTCTGAGCCAGGAGAAGGAATTTCACAAGGTTAATTGCTCAGTTAAGGTGGGGCAGGAACAAATCACAATGGTGGAATGTCATCAGTTAAGGCAGGAACAGGCCATTTTCACTTCTTCTGTGATTCTTCAGTTACTTCAGGCCATCTGGATATATATGTGCAGGTCACAGGGGATATGATGGCTTAGCTTGGGCTCAGAGGCCTGACATTCCTGTCTTCTTATATTAATAAGAAAAATAAAATGAAATAGTGGTAAAGTGTTGGGGCGGCGAAAATTTTTGGGGGTGGTATGGAGAGATAATGGGCGATGTTTCTCAGGGCTGCTTCAAGTGGGATTGGGGTGGTGTAGGAACCTAGAGTGGGAAAGATTATGCTGAAGGAAGATTTTGCAGTAAGGTTGTTAGAAGGGGCATTTGTCATATAGAGTGATTGGTGATGGCCTGGATGTAGTTTTGTATGAATTGAAAAACTAAATGGAAGACACAAGGTCCGAATAAGAGAAGGAGAAAAACAGGTATTAAAGAAATAAGAATTGGGAGGACCCAGGACATCTAATTAGGGAGTGCCCAAGGAGGTTCAGCATAATTACTTGCCTGGTTGACAAGTTTTTAGGCTCTATCCAAGATTTTGGGGTGCAGTTCAAGTTGCGCTGGTGTCTGGAATGAGACTGGGGCCCAGTAAAAAGGAGTGTCCGTACAGGAGCTTAAATGGGCTTTACCCTGTAGCATCTTGAGGACAGGCTCTAATTCTGAGAAGGGCAAGAAGTATAAGTACTGTCCAGTCCTTTTTAAGTTGGAGGCTGAGCTTGATGAGGTATTTCTTTAAAAGACCATGAGTCCGTTCTACCTTTCCTGAAGATTGAGGATGTTAAGGGGTACAAAGGTTCCACTGAATACCAAGAGCCTGAGAAACTGCTTGGCTGATTTGGCTAATAAAGGCTGGTCCGTTATCAGACTGTATAGAGGTGGGAAGGCCAAACCAGGGAATTATTTCTGACAGAAGGGAAGAAATGACTGCGGTGGCCTTCTCAGACCCTGTGGGAAAGGCCTCTACCCATCCAGTGAAAGTGTCTACCTAGACCAAGAGGTATTTTAGTTTCCTGACTCGGGGCATGTGAGTAAAGCCAATTTGCCAGTCCTGGGCAGGGCAACTCCCTGAGCTTGATGTGTAGGGAAGGGAAGGGGCCTGAACAATCCCTGAGGAGTAGTAGAATAGCAGATGGAACACTGAGAAGTGATTTCCTTAAGGATAGATTTCCATGATGGGAAAGGAAATGAGAGGTTCTAAGAGGCCGGCTAGCGGCTTGTAACCTACGTGGAAGAGGTTATGAAATGACAATAGAATAGAGTGGGCCTGTGAGGCTGGAAGGAGATATTTTTCTTGGTCCAAGAACCATTTGCCTTGTGTGGGAAGAGATTGATAGGTGGAAGTTTCAGTGGGAGAGTAGGTGGGAGTGACCAATGAGAAGGAGAAAAACTGGCTGTGAGGGACAGAAGTTGGAATGCTAGCTGCTTCTTTAGCTACCTTATCAGCATAAGCATTGCCCTGAGTGATGGGATCTGATGCCTTTTGGTGGCTCTTGCAGTGTATGACTTCAGCTTCCTTTGGAAGTAAAGCGGCCTTGAGAAGAGCTTTTATTAAAGAAGCATTAATGATGGAGGACCCTTTCATAGTGAGGAAACCTCTTTCAGCCCATATAACAGCATGGTGGTGCAGGATATGGAAGTCATATTTAGAATCAGTATAAATATTGACACGTAATTCCTTTGCAAGAGTGAGGGCTCGAGTTAAGGCAATGAATTCGGCTTGCTGAGAGGTAGTGGAGGTGGGTAGAGTGGTAGCCTCAATGATAGTTGTGGAAGATACTATAGCATAGCCTGCCTTTGCTGGTGTGTGGCGATTAGGCCTGGTGGAACTGCCATCAACAAACCAGGCGTGATCAGGGTGAGGAACAGGAAAGAAGGAAATACGGGGAAATGGAGTGAATGAGATACAGTCATGGGGGTCAGGTGTGGTATCAGGAATAATGTAGGAGGCTAGATTGAAGTCCAGGCCAGGAACAATGGTAACTGTGGGAGACTCCACAAAGAGTGAGTACAGCTGAAGGAGCCAGGGGGCAGAAAGTATATGTGTCAGGTGTGTGGAAGAAAATAGATTTTGGAAGTTATGAGAACTGTAGAGAGTGAGTTGAGCATAGTTTGTGATTTTGAGGGCCTCTAAAAGTATTAGGGCGGCGGCGGCTGCCACACAGAGACATGATGGCCAGCCTAAAGCAGTAAGGTCAAGTTATTTGGACAAAAGGCCTACAGGGCGTGGTCCGGCTCTTGTGTAAGAATTTTGACTGCACAGCCCTGCTCTTCAGCTGTGTGTAATGAAAAAGGGTTGGAACAGAAAGAGGAGTGGGGAAAGGATTTAGGATCTATGGGGTCAGCTAGGTTTCCTTTTGTGAGTTTATATAACGGTTTTGTTAGGATGGCAAAACCAGGTATCTGAAGGTGAAAGTATCCAACCATGCCCAGGAAGGAAAGGAGTTGTCGTTTTGTGGAAGGGGTTGAGGTTTGAGAGATCAGTCGGACATGATCGGCAGGGAGAGCACGTGTGTTTTCATGAAGAATTATGCTGAGATAGGTAATGGATGAGGAAGAAATTTGGGCTTTGCTGAGACCAGCTCAGTTGGGGAGACCCTAACCCAGTGGTGCTAGAGGAATTAAAGACACACACACAGAAATATAGAGGTGTGAAGTGGGAAATCAGGGGTCTCACAGCCTTCAGAGCTGAGAGCCCGGAACAGAGATTTACCCACGTATTTATTAACAGCAAACCAGTCATTAGCATTGTTTCTATAGATATTAAATTAACTAAAAGTATCCCTTATGGGAAACGAAGGGATGGGCTGAATTAAAGGAATAGGTTGGGCTAGTTAACTGCAGTAGGAGCATGTTCTTAAGGCACAGACCGCTCATGCTATTGTTTGTAGCTTAAGAATGGCTTTAAGTGGTTTTCTGCCCTGGGTGGGCCAGGTGTTCCTTGCCCTTAATCCTGTAAAACCACAACCTTCCAGCGTGGGTGTTATGGCCATCATGAACATGTCACAGTGCTGCAGAGATTTTGTTTATGGCCAGTTTTGGGGCCAGTTTATGGCCAGATTTTGGGGGGCTTGTTCCCAACAGAGCTTGACTGAAGTAATGGGGGCTGTCTGTGAAGCCTTGTGGCAGTATACCCCAGGTAAGTTGCTGAGGCTGATGGGTGTCAGGGTCAGTCCAAGTGAAAGCAAAGAGAGGCTGGAATGAAGGGTGCAAAGGAATAGTAAAGAAACCATGTTTGAGATCCAGAACAGAATAATGGGTTATGGAGGGGTTGTGGAGGGAGTTATTGGGATAGGAGAGTATATGGGTTTGGCACCACAGGTTGGATAGGCAAGACAATTTGGTCGATAAGGAGCAGATCCTGAACTAACCTGTAAAGGCTTGTCTGGTTTTTGGACAGGTAAAATGGGGGAACTGTAAGGAGAGTTTATAGGCTTTAAAAGGCCATGCTGTAACAGGCGAGTGATAACAGGCTTTAATCCTTTTAAAGCATGCTGTGGGATGGGATATTGGCATTGAGTGGGGTAAGGGTGATTAGGTTTTATTTTTATTTTTTTAATTTTTTTTTTATTTTTTAGTTGAAGGCTTTATTTTTTTATTTATTTTTTTTCTTTTTCTTTTTTTTTTTTAATTGATCATTCTTGGGTGTTTCTCGCAGAGGGGGATTTGGCAGGGTCATAGGACAATAGTGGAGGGAAGGTCAGCAGATAAACAAGTGAACAAAGGTCTCTGGTTTTCCTAGGCAGAGGACCCTGCGGCCTTCCGCAGTGTTTGTGTCCCTGGGTACTTGAGATTAGGGAGTGGTGATGACTCTTAACGAGCATGCTGCCTTCAAGCATCTGTTTAATGAAGCACATCTTGCACCGCCCTTAACCCATTTAACCCTGAGTGGACACAGCACATGTTTCAGAGAGCACAGGGTTGGGGGCAAGGTCATAGATCAACAGCATCCCAAGGAAGAAGAATCTTTCTTAGTACAGAACAAAATGGAGTCTCCTATGTCTACTTCTTTCTACACAGACACAGCAATGATCTGATTTCTCTATCTTTTCCCCACATTTCCCCCTTTTCTATTCCATCGTCATCATGGCCCGTTCTCAATGAGCTGTTGGGTACACCTCCCAGACGGGGTGGCGGCCGGGCAGAGGGGCTCCTCACTTCCCAGAAGGGGTGGCTGGGCAGAGGCGCCCCCTACCTCCCGGACGGGGCAGCGGCCGGGCGGAGGCGCCCCCCACCTCCCTCCCGGACGGGGCGGCTGACTGGGTGGGGGCTGCCCCCCACCTCCCTCCCGGACGGGGCGGCTGCCGGGCAGAGACGCTCCTCACTTCCCAGACGGGGCGGCTGCCGGGCGGAGGGGCTCCTCACTTCTCAGACAGGGCGGCTGCCAGGCGGAGGGGCTCCTCACTTCTCAGACGGGGTGGCCGGGCAGAGACGCTTCTCACCTCCCAGACGGGGTTGCGGCTGGGCAGAGGCACTCCTCACATCCCAGACGGGGCGGCGGGGCAGAGGCGCGCCCCACATCTCAGATGATGGGCGGCCAGGCAGAGACGCTCCTCACTTCCTAGACGGGATGGCAGCCGGGAAGAGGCGCTCCTCACTTCCCAGATTGGGCAGCCGGGCAGAGGGGCTCCTCACATCCCAGACGATGGGTGGCCAGGCAGAGACGCTCCTCACTTCCCAGACGGGGTGGCGGCTGGGCAGAGGCTGCAATCTCGGCACTTTGGGAGGCCAAGGCAGGCGGCTGGGAGGTGGAGGTTGTAGCTAGCCGAGATCACGCCACTGCACTCCAGCCTGGGCAACATTGAGCACTGAGTGAACGAGACTCCGTCTGCAATCCCGGCACCTCCGGAGGCCGAGGCTGGTGGATCACTCGTGGTTAGGAGCTGGAGACCAGCCCGGCCAACACAGCGAAACCCCGTCTCCACCAAAAAAATACGAAAAACAGGCGTGGCGGCGCGCGCCTGCAATCGCAGGCACTCGGCAGGCTGAGGCGGGAGAGTCAGGCAGGGAGTTTGCAGTGAGCCGAGATGGCAGCAGTACAGTCCAGCTTTGGCTCGGCATCAGAGGGAGACCGTGGGGAGACGGAGAGGGAGAGGGAGAGGGAGACGGAGAGGGAGAGGGAGGGGTGATTAGGTTTTAATGGGATGGTAAGGGGTGCATGAACAGTCACCAAGGAGGGAGTAGAGGTGTCCTATACTTGTGGATTAAGGTGGGGAGATACAAGGGGAGGATGTGAAGGAGGCTTTGGGTTGGGAAGAAGGGTGGCAATGAGATGTGGCTGTAGTCCAGGAATAATCAGGGAAGCAGATAATTTGGTTAAAATGTCTCACCCTAATAAGGGAACTGGGCAGGTGGGGATAACTAAAAAAGAGTGCATAAAAGAATGTTGTCCAAGTTGGCACCAGAGTGGGGGAGTTTTAAGGGGTTTTGAAGCTTGGCCGTCAATACCCACAACAGTTATGGGGGCAAGGGAAACAGGCCCTTGAAGGTAATGAGTGGGTAGCCCCTGTATCCG
Source organism: Homo sapiens (assembly GCF_000001405.40). NCBI lineage: Eukaryota > Metazoa > Chordata > Mammalia > Primates > Hominidae > Homo > Homo sapiens. The sequence continues at coordinate 118,894,523 of NC_000010.11, read as the reverse complement.
TTAAACAGAGGACGGACTTACCCTCTTCTGTAAGAGTTACCTGAAGCTCGGTGTCTGAGATGGTCCAAGGGGCTTCCGAGGCAATCGGGCAGTGTCAGTCTTCAGCTGCTAAGCCGAGGAGATCTGGGAAGGAGTCGGCCAAGGAACACTGGGTTTGGGCTCCAGGGGCTTTAGGAGCAGCAGTGATGTGAGTCAGGCAGTCCGACCTCCAGTGGGGGCCCACACAGACAGGGCATGGCTTAGGAGAAATCCCGGGCTGCAGGCATTCTGAGGTCCAGTGGCCAGGCTTTTGGCATTTGAAGCAAGGTCCACAAGGATGTTTTGAAGGAGCCCCTGGGAGCTGTGGCTTGGATGTTCTGAAGTTCTTGTATGCTGGAGACATGGTTGTGTGTTGTCTTACAGTGGAGGCAAGTAGCTGTAACTCAGAAATGCATTGCTGTCTGGCTACCTCCTCTCTATTATTGTACACCTTGAAGGCGAGGTTGATTAATTCCTGTTGTGGGGTTTGAGGGCCAGATTCCAATTTTTGAAGCTTTTTTCTAATGTCGGGAGCTGACTGGGTGATAAAATGCATATTGAGAATAAGATGGCCTTCTGGCCTTTCTGGGTCTAGGGTGGTAAATGTCTAAGGGTTGTTGCCAAATGGGCCATGAACTGGGTTAAGTTTTTATATTTGATGAAGAAGAGCCTAAATGCTAACTGATCTGGGAGAGGTCGGATAAAGAAAAAGGAGCATTAACCTTGGCTATAGCTTCAGTTCCAGCCACGTCTTTAAGAAGAAATTGTTGGGGCAGGTGGGGGAGGGCTAGTCGCAGAAAGAAACTGTAAGCTAGATGGTGTGTGAGGCGGGGGTGATAAAAGGATTATGTCTTTTTAAAAAACTTTTTTAAAATTGGTGACACCAGTGATGACCTGCCCATATCCCCTCCACCCTTAGCATGTTAGTGTAAGAAGACCTGACCTTCAACCATCAGCACCTGAAGGCATTTTTGTGGCATTCAGATCACTCTGCTTGCCTTACTGTCCATGCTGGAAATGGTGGGGAATGAATGTCCCCTACTCATCTGGCCATCAATCAGTAACCAGTGGGTACTCCAGCCCTCTCACCTCTCAGACCCACTTACTCTGTGTTTGTGTCTACACTCCCTTCTTGAGTTTTCCTGGGGGGATTAAGCTCCAGTTGCCTGTAGTAACTGGCTTGATTAAAGCACCGTTTATTGAATGATATAGTTTGGCTGTGTCCCCACCCAAATCTTGAATTGTAGCTCCCATAATCCCCAGGTGTCATGGAAGGGATCCCGTGGGAGGTGATTGAATCATGGAGGTGGGTCTTTCCTATGCTGTTCTTGTGATAGTGAATAAGTCTCAAGACATCTGATGGTTTTATAAAGGGGAGTTTCCGTGCATAAACCCCTCTTGCCTGCTGCCATGTAAGATGTGCCTTTTGCCTTCCGCCATGATGGTGAGGTCTCTTCAGCCACGTGGAACTGTGAGTCCATTAAACCTCTTTTTCTTTATAAATTACCCAGACTCGGGTATGTCTTTATCAGCAGTGTGAGAACAGATTAATATATTGAATTAGGGCTGGGGTGCCTCTCCTTCTCTGCCTCACATCTCCACACTTCTACATGTTTGTTCTTAACCTCCCAAATAAACTGCATCTCCTTATCTCATGATCTGCTCCTAGAGGAGCCCCCATTAAGACAGTGACCATCTTCTCCAAACAACAAAGGGGTCCATGGCCTGACAATGGGTCATATTTGAAATCCAGGCTGGGGATCAGGGTCCAGAGCTCCAAGGCACCATAATGGGAGGGGCCTTTTCTGCCCCAATGAGAACAGAGATAATTCTCTGATAATATCATCCCTGCTATTCCCACACCCTTTGCTGTCACAGCAGAGTCCCATTAGCCCCACTAACTACTTGCTGCTGGCTGCCCTCTGTCAACATGCCTGTGTTCTAAAGGCAGGGCTCCCCAAGACCTGGGCCACGGGGTGGTACTGGTCTGTGGCCTGTTAGGAACTGGGCTACACAGTGGGAGGTGAGTGGCAGATGAGTGAGTGAAATTTCATCTGTATTTACAGCCACTCCCCATTGCTTGCAATACTGCCTGAGCCCTGCCTCCTGTTGGATCAGCAGTGGCATTAGATTCTCACAGGAGCACAAACCCTATTGTGAACTGCACATGTGAGGGATCTAGGTTGTGGGCTCCTTATGAAAGTCTAATGCCTGATAATCTGTCACTGTCTTTCATCACTCCCAGATGGGATCATCTAGTTGCAGGGAAACAAGTTCAAGGCTCCCACTGATTCTACATTATGGTGAGGTGTATATGGTGAGTTGTACAATGTAATACTAATAGAAATAAAGTACACAATAAATGTAATGCAGTTGAGTCATTCCCAAACCATCACCTCCCCCTGTCCCCGACCCCCCCCACCCCCATCCTGGTCCATAGAAAAACTATCTCCCATGAAACCAGTCCCTGGTGCCAAAAAGGTTGGGAACTGCTGTTCTAAGGGATAATTCATTATTTTCTTTTCTTTTCCTTTCTTTCTTTTACTTCTTTTCTTTTCTTTCTTTCTGTCTTGCCCTCTTGCTCTCTTTCCCTCCCTCCCTCCCTCCCTCCCTTCCTTCCTTCCTTCCGTCTCTTTTTTCTCTTTCTTCTGTTTCTCCTCTTCCTCTTTCCCTTCCCCTTCCCCTTTCCCTTTCCCTTCCCTTCCTTCCTTCCTTTCTTTTCTCACTCTGTTGCCCAGGCTGGAATGCAGTGGTACAATCATAGCTCACTGCAGTCCCCATCTCCTGGGCACAAGTGATCCTCCCACCTCAGGCCTCTGAGTAGCTAGGACTACAGGCATGTGCCACCATGGCTGGCTAATATTTTTTTAAGTTATTTTCAGTAGAGATGAGGTCTTGCTATGTTTCCCAGGCTGGTCTTGAACTCCTGAACTCAAGCAATCTTCCCACCTCAGCCTCCCAAAGTGCTGGGATTGCAGATGTGAGCCACCATGCCTGGCCTCTAGCTTTGTTTCTTGTGACCCATGTCCACCTTGTACACCCATTGCTTCAGAACAGAAGGTCCCCTATTTGGTACCACAATTATTCCAGGTGTCTTTGGCCAAATTCCTACTCCTGGACATTGCTGAGGATGGCCTCTGCCCACCCAGGCTATCCCTTGTCTATTCCCAAGACAGCTGTGAGTTCTGTCCAGCCCTTGTTTTGCTAGCTGGGGATGGTATTGAGGAGACTGCAAGGCCAAAGAGGCACCATTCTGAATATTGAATTTTACTGTGGACTCGGAGGTAGAACCATTAGGAGATTGGGATGAATGGATCCTGGCCCCAACTGGATCTGAATGCATTTAGATGCCATCGTGCCTGCCTCATTAAGAGTCCAGGGCATGAGTCTTGGAACTCTGGTTAATTGAAGGTGGTTAGAATTCTCAAGTCCTAAGTTTGAGAGTATTTCCACATTTATAAATATGGGTAATGCCTCTTTCTGAGTGTTTCCATAGAATGAACAGCCCCAAGTCAGTTTCTTGTTCAAGGACTAGGGGAGAAATACTGGAATCAAATCCTGTAACTCAACCGTAAATGCCATGCTATTAAGCTGCAGATAGCTTTCAGGGCCTCACGACTAACCTGTTCTGTGGCACTTTTCTGGCTGTTTCTGCCTTCTCTCTAGGGTACCCGAAGTGAGGCTCCTCTAGCTGCAGTGCATCAGAATGGGAGGACCAAACTTTTGGTCTCATCTTAAGTCTTTAAAACCCATTTAAAGAGTGTATAACCCTTTAAATGATGTTAAATGTTCCACCTTATTCTAGGCTGGAAGAAACTTGATTTTGCCTAGTAACTAGTCTTTCCAATATTATTTGCCTTGTTTGTTCCAGTAAATCTCATCTATAGCATGGACTTAAGACATCAAACTCTGTTCTACTGAGGAAGGACCCTTTTATTTCCACTAGTTAAGACAAGGGTTTCCTTAGGCTTCAATCATCTGCTAGAAATGCCCAGTAGGATGATTATTTTAAACCTGTAAAAACAGCACAGTATTAAAATGAATATTAAAGGACATTTTTCTAAAATCTCCTTGACCTTGCCCCTTCCCAACTCTTTCAATTTTGGGGTGTTCCCTGTTGGTCGTTGTTTTGTCTGGCAGGCCCTCTGCCAGACTGGGTATTTGCTCTTCACATTGTAGAAGAAACATTTTTTTTTTTTTTTTCATTTTTCTACAGAGACTTCATGGTGAACCATTTAATGGCTGTAAAATCTCAGTGTGCTGATTTGCCAAACCAATCCCTTATTATTGGTAATCAGAAGGGTTTCCAATCTTGAGTGATTTTAGTGAACATCTTCACAAAGAAAGCTTTTTGGGGGCTGGATGCAGTGGCTCGTACCTGTAATCCCAGCACTTTGGGAGGCTAAAGTGGGAGGACTACTTGAGTCCAGTAGTTTGAGAATAGCCTGGGCAATATAGTAAGACCCCATCTCTACTAAGCATAATAATAATAATTATAAATTAGCCCGGTGTGGTGGCACACACCTGTAGTCCCAGCTACTAGGGAAGCTGAAGTGGGAGGATAGCTTGAGTCCGGGAGGTTGAGGCTGCAGTGAGCCATGGTCATACCACAGAACTCCAACCTGGGTAACACAGTGAGACCCTGTCTCAAAAAAAAAGAAAACTTTTTGCTTTCATTGAATTAATCCTTTAGCATGTCGTCCAGGAGTTAAAATATTGGGTCAAAAGATGGAGGTTTTTCTTAGCTTTTGGTAAATATCTCCACATTGCTTTCCAAGAGTGTGAGCCAGTGTCCTCTGACATACTGGTGGGCTCTAGGTGGCCTGTTAGATCCGTGTGTGCAGGACACAGTCTAGAGGGATTTCTAGCTGTCTCTTCTATTGAGAGCCTCAAAAGTCATTCCCATCGTCCTGAGGAAGAGTTAAATATGACATCTTCAGCCAAAGAAACTGACATAACATGCTACCTAACGAAGACTCCAAGAACCCTCTTATGATGATGATTATCATAACATACACTTAGGTGCCAGGCAATGTCTTGCTCTCTCACTTGGTTTATTTTGCTTAGTTCTTATAATAACTCTCCAAGGCTGATATTTACTATCCCTTCTTAAAGATGAGGAAAAAAAAGAGCTCAGAAACTTGTTTCAGGTGACATGACTACTAAGTGTCAGAGCCAAGGTTTGAACTTAGGTCTGCCTGACACCAAGGCCCACGTCTTCAACTGCTATGCCATGTGTTTAGGGAACATGTGGCATGTCTGGGATATTGCTGTAAAGTATAAACATACTTTAGCAGTGAATGTACTTATACAACAAAAATTGGGATGTTAGGGTGTCATCTTCATCAATGTGTGGATGAAGCAAGCCATGAAGATCACTGTCAACTTCAGTGCATCTTTGAGAACAAGGACTGTGGCTGTGGGTGTTGGGGTGAGATAGTCTAAGTGTCAGCCTAGTCTAGGTTCAGTCTAGACCTACAGGCTGAGGTGACAAAGAGACTCACAGGCACACTGTCATGGTATGTGGCTGATCAGGGGAGCCTGGGATCTGTTAATAATCCACAAATGCTGTGGTATTAAATGAGCATCTCACAGGGGAAGGTGATCTAGTCTGGGGAGTCAGGGAAAGATTCCTGGAGGAGATGATGTTTAAGCTACAATTCAAAGGATAAAGTTACCTAGAAGAGGATGGTAGGTGAAATGGGAAGACCATTCTAGCAGGGGAAATAGTATGCACAAAGTCCCTGTGGCCAGGGAGAGTTTGGAGCTTTTGAGAAACTGAGGGAAAACTTGTATGGCTGCAGCACAGGCAGCCTTGTGTTCTCCTGTCCTCATTGATACCAGCGTCCATGAGTGGGCTGATCAGGAGTCAGCTCTAGGCGTGTGCTGCCCCTCAGGGAGGGGCTCAGGAAGGTGGTGGGAGCGTAAGCTGAGGGCGGGTCATTAGAGAGTATGGTAGGTATGCTATGTTGGCGTCCTCAAACTTGCTCTACCTTCCTTCTAGTTAGGGAGGTTGGAAAGTTCACCACCACATTTCCCAGACTCCCTTATAGCTAGTGTTCCAGATGCAAATTAGGCAGGGTCCATTAGATGCAGGTGTGCAAGATTTGGACAGGGGAGTTCAGCAATCATTTCTCAAACCTCTGCTCATGGCCAGCATTGTGCCAGGAGCTGGAAATGGAAACCAATAAGATAGATTTCCTGCCTGGAAGTTACTCATGGCATGATTAGATCCCATGGCTCATGAGGTTCTGTCATTTCCAGTGCTACTCCAATTTCGGCGCATAATGCAGTTGGCATGGCCATGTAAACTCAACACTAATGCCAACTAGTGGTCTTATCTTATAGGCATACTATTCCTAAAATTTCCATCTACCCTGAAAAGTATCTTCCATATTCAGACTGTATCTCTATTTTATGAAAATGGACTGTATTGAGACACTGCTTCTAAGGAACTAAATTTAGTTTGAGAAACTGCTCTGAACTTTGGAGTCATTAAATGTAGTCTTTTAGTGCGTGCACATATGACAGAGAAAAATTACAGTCAGCAGCGTCTATATTGAAAATCCTGCATTAGATTGCCATCAGTTGCTAATAATACATCATAATTATTCTTATAGGGTTAAGCTTTTCTCTTTCCTCTTCCACCTGCCTTGCTGAGATAACCTCTAAGGATGTCCTGGAGGATGGTAGGGCTGGAATTCAAAAGCTTTCATGACAGCTGAGCTCTCCATGCAATTCATTATATTGGAAAGATGAGGAGAGGGGGTTGTCAGCAAAGATAATGGCCATGCAATTTCCAGTCCATTCTCCTTGCAGCCAGATCTTGGAGGCAGCCCATAGACCAATTTCATCAAGCAGACCCTGCTCATCTCTCGTCTGTCTATATTGGGAAAGAGGTTGTGTCTGGCTCAAGCAGGAGCAGGCTGGTGGCAGGGGGTGGTGTGGGGGAATGGGATAGGGGAGGTGTCTGGGGAAATAGGCCAGGGCTCTTTCCCAGAGTGCTTGGTCCTGAGGTTCTTGGGTGTGGTTCTGGTTGATATCAGTGTCAAGGGGCTTAATCCAGAGGGTTGGCTAGGAATGGGAGATTAACCCCCACCCCAGGATACAGTTCTGTACGTTCTGTGTATTCCCAGCTTTGAGCCTGGTGCCAGCAGAGCAGGCACTCAATAAATGTCTGACTGAATGTGCAGGAGACTGAGACAGCACAGGTGTGGGGTTACTTGCCGCAATGAAATCAACCATGTATGCTTCCCAAGGGAAATGAAAGTTGTGCTTTTCTCCAGTTCCTGCCTAGGGAACAAGCTTCTCTGTAGGAAAATTCTAGTATGGTAGCAGCATCAACATTGGATTATCTATTGAGAGAAAGATCTGTTTGGCAGGCATCCCCAGTACCACCTTTGCAGGGACTAAAGGCTTCATGAGACTGGGAATGCTACTCTTGCTGAATCCATCAATACAGGAGAGGACCTATACTGATAGGTCTATTGATAGACCTATAAGATGAAATTCCGCATCTTAAATTCCCAAAGGAAGCCAAGTTGGACTTTAAACACAAAAGAGGTGGCTCCTTCTAACTGGAAGGTGGCAAATGTCACACATTCTGTGTTTCCTGTGCAGGTTTTCATTCACACTTTCAAGGCTGTTTCATTTTCCTTCCCAGCCTTGCTACCCTTCTTCCTTTAGGCCTCCTTCCATTTGTCACCCAGCGTGCCCTTGGCAGATTCCCAAGGTTATGGTCACTACAGAAACAGTGGTCTTGCCTGATTACAGTAAGGAAAGGGAAACACTAAAAGATTACAGAAGGTAGCATGACAGAATTAGAAGAATTATTATATTACATATCTGTAATTCTAGCACTTTGGGAGGCTGAAGTGGGAGGATCGCTTGAGCTGAGGAGTTTGAGACCAACCTGGGCAACACAGTGAGACCCCGTCTCTACAAAAAATTTTTTCTAAAAAATCAGTGGGTTGTGATGGTGCATGCCTGTAGTCCCAGCTATGCAGGTGGCTGAAGTGGGAAGATATCTTGAGCCTGGGAGGCTGAGGCTGCAGCGAGCTATGATTGTGCCACTGTATACCTGCCTGGTGACAGAGTGAGACCCTGTCTCAAAAAACAACAACAAAAAGAATTATTAAATTACAAGTATTTGAAATCTCCTTGCAGCCCACATCCCTCAAAAGAAAGATAATTTAGGTGAGGCATAGTGGCTCACACCTGTAATCCCAGCAGTTTGGGAGGCCGAGGCGGGTGGATCACTTGAGGTCAGGAGTTCAAGACTAGCCTGGCCAACATGGCAAAACAGCATCTCTACTAAAAATACAAAATTTAGCCTGTTGTGGTGGCATGCACCTGTAGTCCCAGGTACTCAGGAGGCTGAGGCAGGAGAATCTCTTAAACCCAGGAGGTGGAGGTTGCAGTGAGCCGAGATTGCACCACTGTACTCCAGCCTGGGTGACAGAGCGAGACTCTGTCTCAAAACAAAACAAAACAAACAAACCATAATTTAGTTGCTTGGCCAATGACAGGGACTGTTAATTGTTCCTGTAAATCAAATCTCTGCTTCTACAGGAAAAATACCTCCAAATTTTAATTGGGCACAAAACCACTTGGAACAAAGACTTCCCCAGTCTGTCTTACAGCTAAGTATGGTTATGTGACTAGATTCTGGTCTTTGAGATCCAAGCAGAAGTGATGTGTTCAACTTCCTTTGTTCTTTTTTCTTTCTTTATTAAAAACTGAAGTATAATTTACATACAGATCTTAGCTATACAGTTCAAGGGAATTTGACAAATGCACACACTCCCATAAAGATAAACAACATTTTCATCATCCCAGAAAGTTCCCTACATTTCCATTTCCAATTATCATCCCACCATGCCCCAATCCAGACAACCCCCTAACCCCAGGCCAGCCACTGTCCTGATTTCTAGCATATAGATTAGTTTGCCTGTTCTTGAACTTCATAGAAATGGAATTTTATGGTACATACACTTTGGTATCTGGCTTCTTTCACTCAATGCAATGTCTGTGAGATCAATCCATGTTGTTGCTTGAATCTATTGTTCTTGTTATCACGGAGTAGTGTTTCATTGTATAGATGTATCATATTTTATTCATTTTCCTGTTGCTGGACGTTTGGATGTTTCTGGTTTAGGACTGTTAGAATAAGGCTGCTGTGAACATCCTTGTACAGGTCTTTTTTGTGGACATTTTTTTTTGTTTGTTTGTTTTTGAGATGGAGTTTCGCTCTTGTTGCCCAGGCTGGAGTGCAATGGTGTGATCTCGGCTCATGGCAACCTCTGCCTCCCGGGTTCAAGTGATTCTCCTGCCTCAGTCTCCTGAGTAGCTGGGATTACAGGCATGCACCACCATGCCTGGCTGAATTTTTTTTATTTTTTTATATTTTTAGTAGAGACGGGGTTTCTCCATGTTGGTCAGGCTGGTCTCGAACTCCCAACCTCTGGCGATCCACCCACCTCGGCCTCCCAAAGTGCTGGGATTACAGGCGTGAGCCACCGCACCCGGCCTGGACATGTGCATTATTTCCCTTAGGGATGGAATTGCTGGATCAGTGGGGAGGCGTATGTTTAACTTTATAAGAAATTGCCAAAGAGATTTCCAAAGTGTTTGTCCTATTTTACACCCTATCAGCAACATATGAGAGTTTCAATTGCTTCATGTGCTCACCAACATTTAAGCTCTTGTTAATTTGAGCCATTCTAGTGGGTATATGTTGGTATCTTGTCATTTTAACTTGCATCTTCCTGTACTGTTGAACATTTTCATATGCTTATTACCTATTCATATTCTTTCATTAGGTGTTTTTAAGTTTTTGCCTATTGAAAAATACGACTGCGTGTATTTTTTGAAAAGCTACATTATTGAGGCACAATTTACATATAATAAAATGTGTCCATTTCTCAATGTAGAGTTCAGAGAGTTTTCACAGATACTTATACTTGTGTAATCACCACTGCAAGCAAAATATAGAACATTTCTATCATCTCAAAAAGTTCTCTAAATGCCTCTTTGCAGCCAATCTTCATCTTTCCTTCCCATTCCTGCCCCAGTCAGCCACTGATCTGCTTTTGCCACTGTGATGGTTTTGCCTTTTGTAGAATTTCAAATGAATAGAATCATATGTACTCTTTTGTATCTGATGTTTTTATTCAGGATGCTGTTTTTGAGTTTTACCTATGTAATTGCATGTATCAGTAAATTTTTTTCTTTATAAAGCTAGATAATATTCCATTCTATGGAAGTGCTACAATTTGTTTATACCTTTGCTAGTTAATGATTGGCACATCAACTGGTATATTGGTTTCAGTTTTGGGCTATTATGAATGAAGCATCTATGAACATTTATGTATAATGTGGACATATTCTTTCATTTTGCTTGTGTAAAAATGTAGAACTTGAATTACTAGGCTATATGTTTAACTTTGCAAGAAACTGCTGTAAGATTTTCCAAAGAGGTTGTACCATCTTACATTCCCACTATTGATGTGTAAGAGTTCTAGTTGCTTCATATTCTCACCAACACTTAGCATTGTCAGTCATTTTAATTTTAGCTATTCTAATGGGTATGTAATGACATCTAAGTGTGGCTTTAATTTGCATTTTCCTGTGACTAATAATGTTGAACATATTTCATTGTGCTTATTTGCCATCCATATATCTTATTTGGATGGAAAATCTGTTTAAATCTTTGTTCCTTTTTTATTAGGGTGTCTTGTTTATTGATACATAATAGATGTGTATATTTTGGGGGTACATATGATACTTTGATACATTCATATAATGTGTAATAATCAAATCAGAGTAATTAGGATTCTCATCACCTTAAACATCTATCTTTTCTTTATTCTGCGAATATTGAAATTATTCTCTGCTACCTATTTTGAAATATACAACAGATTATTGTTTACTACAGTCACTCTACTGATTTATTGAGTGCTAGGTCTTATTTCCTCCATCTATCTGTATTTTTGTGTCCATTAATCAACCTCTCTTCATTTACTCCCACCCCCTCCACTTCTTGGCTTCTGATAACCAAGAAGCCAACTACTCTCTATCTTCATGAGATTCACTTTCTTAGCTCCCATATAGGAGTGAAAACATGTGATACTTGCCTTCCTGGCTTGGCTTATTTTACTTAACATAATGACCTCTAGTACCACCCATGTTGCTGCAAATGAGAAGACTGTGTTATTTTTTATGGCTGAATAAAATTCCATTGTGCATACATACCAAATTGTCTTTATTGATCCACTGATGGACATTTAGGTTGATTCCAAATTTTGGTTATTGTGAATAATGCTGCAGTTAACACAGGAGTGTAGATATCTCTTTGATATATTGTTTTTCTTTCTTTTGGATGTATACCCAGTAGTGAGATTGCTGGATCATATGGTAGCTCTATTTTTAGGTTTTGAGGAATACCTATAATGTTTTCCGTAGAGGTTTACTAACTTACACTCCCACCAGCAGTGTACAAGGGTTCCCCTTTCTCTACATCCTTGCCAGCATCTGCTAATCACTGTCTTTTTGATAGCAGCCATTTTAACTGGGGTGGAGCTCCTTGTGGTTTTGATCTGCATTTCTCTGATAATTTGTGGTGTTGATCAATGTTTCATACCCTGCTGGCCATTTGTAAGTCTTCTTTTGAAAATGTCTATTCAGATCTTTTGCCCATTTTAAAATTGAATTATTTGCGTTTTGCTGTTGTTTGAATTCCTTATATATGCTGATTATTAATCTCTTGTCAGATAAATAGTTTGCAAATATTTTCTCCCATTCTGTTGGTTGTCCCTTCACTTTGTTAATTGTTTCCTTTGCTGTGCAGAAGCTTTTTTAGGTTGATTTATCTTAATTTCTATTTTTGCATTTGTTGCCTGTGCTTTTGAGGTCTTATGCAAAACATCTTTGCCCAGAACAACATCCTGGAGCATTTCTCCAATGTTTTCTTCTAGTAGTTTCATACTTTCAGGTCTTAGATGTAAGTCTTTAATCCATTTTGATTTGATTTTTGTGTATGGTGAGAGATAAGGGCCTAGTTTCATTCTTGATACGGTTTTATCCTGTTTCCCCAGCACCATTTATTGAAGAGACTGTTTTTTCTCCAATGTATATTCTTAGTGCCTTTGTTGAAAATGAACTGACTATAGATTTGTAGATATATTACTGGGTTTTTATTCTGCTCCATTGGTCTATGTGTCTTTTTATGCCAGTACCATGCTGATTTGGTTACTATAGCATTGCAGTATATTTTGAAGTCTGGTAGCGTGACGTTTCCAGCTTTTCTTTTTGCTCAGGATTGCTTTGGCTATTTGGGGTCTTATGTGGTTCCATGTAAGTTTTAGGATTTTTTTTTTCTGTTTCTGTGGAGAATGTCATTGGCATTTTAATAGGGATTGCATTAAATCTGTAGATCACTTTGGGTAGTATTGACATTTTAACAATATTCTCTCCATTGTTAAGTGTGGAATATCTTTCCATATTCTTGAATTCTATTCAATTTCTTCATGATAATTTTATACTTTTCCTTGTATAGATCTTTCATTTCTTTGGTTAAGTTTATTTCTGCATATCTTATTTTTTGTAGCTATTATAAATGGATTTGATTTCTTGTTTTCTTTTTCAGATTGTTTGCTCTTGGCATATAGAAATGCTACTGATTTTTGTATGTTGATTTTGTATCCTCCAACTTTACTGAATTCATTGATCAGTTCTAACAGATTTTTGGTGGAGTCTTTAGGGTTTTCTAAATGTAAGATTATGTCATCTGCGAAAAAGAATAATATAACTTCTTCCTTTTAAATTTGGATGACCTTTATTTCTTTCTCTTGTTTGGTTGCCCTGGCTAGGATTTCCAGTCTTATGTTGAATAAAGTGGTGAAAGTGGACACATTTGTCTTGTTCCAGATCTTAGAGGAAAGGCTTTTAATTTTTTTCCCATTCAGGATGATACTAGCTGTGGGTTTGTCATATATAGTCTTTATTGTTTTGAGGTACCCAGTTTGTTGAGCATTTTTATCATAAAGGGATGTTAAATTTTATCAAATGCTCTTTCAGTATCTATTGAAATGATCATATGATTTTTATCTTTTGTTCTGTCTATGTGATATATCACGTTTATTGATTTGTGTATGTTGAACCATCCTTGCATCTCTGGGATGAATCCCACTTGATCATGGTGAATGATCTTTTTAATGTGTTGTTGAATTTGGTTTGCTATTTTGTTGAGGATTTTTGTGTCTATGTTCATGAGGGAGATTGGCTCATAGTTTTCTTTTTTTCTTGTGTCCTTGTCTGGTTTTGGTATCAGGGTAATGCTGGCTTTGTAGACTGAGTTTGGAGGTATTCCCTCCTCTTCAATTTTTTTTAAGTGTTTAGTAGAATTGACATTAGTTCTTTAAGTGTTTGTTAGTACTCAGCAGTGAAGCCATCAGATCATGAGCTTTTCTTTGATGGGAGACTTTTTATTATGGCTTTGATCTCATTACGATTATGGGTTGTTCAGGTTTTCTATTTCCTCAAGATTTAATCTTGGTAAGTAAGTTGTACGTGTCCAGGAATTTATACACTTCTAGGTTTTCTGATGTGTTAGAGTATAGTTGTTTCTAATAGTTTCTAATGATTCTTTCTCTTTCTGTGGTATTAGTTGTTATGTCTTCATTTTAATTTCTGAGGGTGTTTTCTTCTGATTGAGTTGCAAGAGTTACTTATGTATTCTGATAAAGGATGCAAGTCCTTTGTCAGAAATATATTTTGCATGCATTTTCTTCCAGTCAGTGGGTTGCTTAACAGTGTTTTTCAAAAGAGCGGAAGCTTTTAATTTTGATGAAATGCAAGTTATCAGTTTTGTCTTTTATGGTTTATGCTTTTTTTGTGCTCTTTAAGTCAACTTTCTCTAACTCAAATTTGTGAAGCAATATTCAAATGATTTCTCTTAGCAGCTTTATAGTTTTAGCTTTTACACTAAAGTCTGTGATCCGTTTCAAATTAATTTTTGTGTATGCTATGAGGTAGGGGTTGAGCTTCATTTTTTCCTGCATGGATGTCTGGTGGTTGTTTCAGCATAATTTGTTGAACCACCCCCCACCCCACAAACTGCCTTAATGTCTCATCAAAAATAAGTTGACAATATATATTTGGATCTACTTCTGGACTCTATTCTGTTCCATTCGTATTTTTGTCTCTATGCCAATTCCACACCAATTTAATTATCATAGCCTTATTGTAAGTTGTAGATACAAGTAGTATGAGTTTTTAAAAAAAATTTCCAAAATTATTTTGGCCAATTTAGATACTTTGCATTTATTTCCATACAAATTTTAGAGGGGGTTTTTCAATGTCTATAAAAATAGAATTTGCATTGAGATTGTTTTGAATCTGGGAAAACTTGATATCCTAACCATAGCAAGTCTTTATAACCCATGAACATGGTATATAATTTCATTTTTTAGGTCTTTAAATTTTTTTCTCAGCAATGTTTGTAATTTTCAGTGTGCAGATTTTGCAGGTTTTTTGTTAAATTTGCCCTTAAGTATTTTCTAAATGCTATTGTAGATATTTTTTAAATTCCATTTTGCAATTATTTGCTCCTAGTATGTAGAAATTCAGCGAATGTTTACATATGGCCTGTTTATCCTAAGATGTTGATAAATTCATTTGTTAGTTTTAGGAACTTTTTAGTGATTTCTTAGGTGGATTTCATGTAAACAACCATCACCTGCAAATAAAAATACTTTTACTTTGTTCCAAACGTTATATCCTTATATTATTTCTTTTCTTTTCTTCTTTCTCTCTCTCTTTCTTTCTTTCTTTCTTTCTTTCTTTCTTTCTTTCTTTCTTTCTTTCTTTCCTTTCTTTCTTTTCTTTCTTTCTCTCTCTCTTTCTTTTTCTGAGATGGAGTTTCATTCTTGTTGTCTGAGCTGAAGTACAATGGTGTGATCTCAGCTCACTGCAGCCTCCGCCTCCACCTCCTGGGTTCAAGTGATTCTCCTGCCTCAGCCTCCTGAGTAGCTGGGATTACAGGCGACTGCCACCACACCCCACTAATTTTTTATATTTTTATTAGAGACAGGGTTTCACCATGTTGACCAGGCTGGTCTCAAACTCCTGCCCTCAGGTGATCCGCCTACCTCAGCCTCTCAAAGTGCTGGGATTACAGGCGTGAGCCACTGTGCCTTGCCTATTTGTTTCTTTTTCTTGCGTTATTTCAATGTCTAGGAAACTCCAGCACAATATTGAATAGAAATGGTGAGAGCAGATACCCTTACCTTGTTAATCTCAGAAAGAAAGCATTCAATATGTCACCATTAAGTATGATGTTAGCTGTAAGATTTTTGTAACTATCCTTTAGAAGATTAAGGAAGTTTTCTTGTATGTATATTTTGCTTGGAGTTTTGTTTGTTTTTGGTTTTGTTGTTTTAAAAAATTTGTATTGAATTTTGTTATATGCTTTGTCTGTGACTGCTGTGATGATCATTTGGATTTTCTCCTTTATTCTGTAAATGTGGTGCATTGCATTGATTCATTATTTTTATATGTTAAATTGATGTTGTATTCCTGAAATAAACCCCACTTAGTCATAATGTATTATCCCTTTTATAGATTGATAACATTTTGTTAAGGATCTTTGTGTCTATATTCATGAGGGATATTAGTCTGTAATGGTCTTTGCTTATGACATCTTTGTTTTAGTAAAAAGATTATACAGACCCCATAAAAATGATTTAGTAAATGTTCCTTCTTCTATTTTATAGAATAATTTTTGTAAGATTAATGTTATTTCTTCCTTAAATATTTTTTCCTGGAAGAAAATTTACCAAGGAAGCCATCTGGGCCTGGAGTTTTCTTTATGGAAAGGTTTTCAATTACAACTTCATGTTTTTGGACAGATATATGGCTCTTCAGATTTTCTGTTTTTTCTGTCAGTTTTGATAAGTTGTATTTTACAAGGAATGTGTCCATTTAATCTAAAAAGTAAAAATCTGACATAAGGTTATTAATATTATTACTTTATTATCCTTTTAGTGTACATAGGATCTGTAGTAATGCTTTTTAAAATTCGTAATATTGGTAATTTTTTCCTTTTTTCTCGATTAGCTTTGCTAAGGTTGATCAGTTTTAATCTAGTCAAAGAATCAACTTGTGGTCTTACTGATATTCTCTCTTTTTCATGTGTTTTCTATTTCACTAATTTTTACTTTTAATGTTCTTCTATTTACTTATTTTGCATTTTTACTCTTATTTTTCTAGCTTATTAAATTGGAGGCTTAGATTATTGATTTGAAATCTTTCTTCTATACTATAACCAGTTAAGAATATAAATTTCTAATACTGCTTCAGCTACATACCATAGATTTTGGTAAGTTGTGTTTTCATTATTATCCATTAGAACTATTTTCAGTTTCTCTTGTGATTTCCTTATTGACCTATGGATTGCTTAGGAGAGTGTTGCTTAATTTCCAGATATTTAAGAATATTCTAAATTTTTAAATTATTGATTTGTAATTTACATTCGATTAGGGAATCATATAAATTACCTTGGTCATTTAACATTTTTTCAGACTTGTATCATGGCTTAGTATATTTTGTAAGTGACAATTAGGCCAAGTTGGTTAATAGTGTTATTCAGATTTTATATGTTTCTACTGATATTTTGTCTACTTATTCTATGAATTTCTGAGAATGTGATATGAAAATATCCTTTTATACTTTTGGATTTGTCTATTTCTCCTTTTTAGTTCTGTTAATTTCTGCCACATGCATTTTGAAGTTATTAGGTACATATGCATTGAAGATTGTTACATATTTTAAATGCATTGACTTTTTATCACTAATTCTACCTTTAACTCTGGTAATATTTTTATTATAAAGTCTACTTTGACTAATATTATAGCCACTTCAGCATCTTTATTAATTTTTGCATGGTACATTTTTTCTATCTTTTTACATTTATATTTGTATTTAAAGTTTGTGTCTAGTAGGCAACATATAGTTTGATCTTGCTTGTGTATCTAGTCTGACAGGCTCTACTTTTTAATAGGAGTGTTTAATCCATTTACATGTAATACAATTATTGATATGGTTATGTTTAAGTTTACCATTCTGTTATTTTTTTCCTTTAAGTTCTGTTTTTTGTTCCTTCTTTTCTGTCTTCTTTTGGATTAAGCAAGTGTACTTCATATTTTATGTCATATATTCTATTTGGCTTTTAGCTATATCTCTTAATACTTTTATAATGATTTTACTAGGGATTAACTGTGTATCCTTAATTTATCATAGTCTACCTTGAGTTCATGAATAATGTAAGAACCTTTACTCCCCTCCCATATTTTGTGCTATTGTGGTTATATTTAACTTTTAAATTTGTCATAAATCCCATAATATATTATTATTTTTCAGTTCTAGAATTTCTATTTGGTTCTTTTTTAACTTTTATTTTTTTCAATTTTTATCTTGAAATTACTGATCTATTCAGCCATTATATTCCTCTTTTCCCATAACTTATTTAACATATTTATAACAGTTGATTTAAATTTCTTGTCTGTCAACTCCAACAATTAGTCCATGGATCTGCTTTTATTGACTGTTGATTTTCCTGACTTTTGGTTACATGTTCTTGCTTTTTAGCACATTTCATAATTATTTATTGTGGAGACTGAAGTATAACATTTTTTGTTTGTTTCATTTGTTTTCCAGAGAGTGCAGACTTACTCCTCTTGTCTTGCAGGGAAGGGTCAATATTTGACTCAGGGGAGGTTGGATTGCAGTTTCAGGTATTTTTGATTCACTTTGCATTCAACTCCTCAGGGCCCCAAAATTCAATCACCATGAGGTTGAGTGGAACTAAATGTTTTATCTCTGCTTACCTGCCCTTACTTCATGACCTCTTTCTTGGCAAAATTTTTTGTAGGGGGAGAATTGCTGCTCTGAGCAATTTATTTTTGTATTTGGGGCTCTTCCAGATTCCACCCCATCCTGTCAGCCTACAATCTGTGATACCTCTATATTTCACCAATTTGGCTGGACTGAAGCTATGTTTTCCAGAATTTCCTTTCCTGTGCTTCTGGATTAGTTTAGACCACAAGAGACATTTTGCATAAAACTTGGAAGATGGAAATAAAGCTGCAGCTATATTATTTTATATTCTGAAGGTCAATGGGAGTACCAAGAATACTAACAGGTATGGGGCAGCAGCTGATCCCCAGATTCTCTATCTCCCGGGAGATCCCTTTCATCTTCTCTGAGATGTGGGTCAACTGCATGTGTACCTCTAAAGTAAAGCATGTTAGCTTTTTCAGTAGATGATCCACAGGATTAACTTTGGAAAGAGTGAGTGACAGATGTGTATTCCAGTTTGCCCTTATGGGTTTCAGCTGTCTTCATGGGTCCTAGTGCATCCTTGTGATTCCAGTTTGTCCTTGTCTTTATCCACATTCAGTTTTCCTTTCTGCTGCCAGTCTGACTGACCTCTAGTGATTTTAGGCTGAACACTAGTTGCAGAGGCAACCATTAATGTGAACTGTTCTACCAGCTCCCCATTTTGAGTAAGGTCAAACCCGTGAGAAATATCCCTGGTTCTGTACCAGGAAATGACCTTGATTGACACATAGTCAACTAAGGCTAGGCTGATTCCTCCTCATTGCTAGAAAATCTCTCCCTGTATAACATGCCCCATGGAGCCAAACCAGCTTCTCAACCTTTCTCAGGTAGGAAAGCTGCCATGGCCCTCTTTTCCCTATTAAGGTCTCATTACTTACTGGAATTCAGTTCATCAAGGCTTGCGTACTTCACTCTTTGCTAGACTCATAGAAAAGTATAGTTATTGTGTCCATGTTTTTCTTGTTGGTACTTTAAGATTTAAGGCCTTTTCATTCTTCTACATTTTAAACATCAGCAAAACTCTGTAAAGTGTCCTTAAAGGTAGCTATGTGCCCTCTCATCCCCTTCTCTCATTTCTGAGGATGGAAACATACATTATGACTGGTGCTACAGCAGCCCTCTTAGACCTGGTAACAGAGACCACGCCTAGATGTGGCAGAAGAGAGAATGGGAGGTATGAGGGAACTACTACACAAACCCTGAATTAATAACTTCCAGACTTCTGATATGTGAGACTAAGACCTTGAGTGGTTAAGCCACTGATAATTTTAGTTTTCTGATTCATGCAACCAAATCTGCTTCTCATGGATAGAGCCAATTGCAGGGATTTGTGGTGCTATTCAGGGTGAGTAGTGGAGAGGAGAATGATAGAAGCTGGAGGCAATCTGGAAGGCTCTGCATAGGACAGGCTAGCTGGGGAGGCAATAGAGGTAAAAATAATTGCTGTTAAGGCCAGGTTGGCCATGGCAGAAGGTAGGCTAGGAGGTATATTTAGGAGAGGGTTTAGGAGGAGAGAATGTAAATTATTTTTAGGTAGGCTTGGTATGTGCTATGTGATGTAACTTCCCTTTTGCTGCTTCATCAAGATAACTTTTATATGGACTTGCTTCTTTCCAAAGCATTAAGGAAATGGATCTGGGTTTCTTTGGATGCAGCCCTGAACTGAGACAGGCCTAGAAGAGGCCCAGTTTTATTTAAGTTCTGGAAAATAATTTGAAGAGGACTCTAGGCTTGGGAATCATTTGGTTACTGAGACTCAGTGTTCTCCATCTGAATGTGCCATAAGAGAGGAGTCATTTCCACAGCCTTAGAGTCAAGGAATATCCAATCCGGAAAGGTCTTGGGCAACCATCCATCCACATTCCCCTGTTTCAGATGAAAGCAGTATCTGCCTTGATTGAGGCTTGCTCACACTGCCCATTTTCTCCACTGGACCAGGTTATTACATGGTGAGACTTCTCTCTTGGGCTGCTTGATCCTCCTGGGGACTTGTCTCTTCTCAGCCTAGCTGGGAGCTGAAGATCAGCCAACTATATCTTGTCTATATCTGTGTTTTCCACTAGGAAATTCAGCCTTGTGAAGTTGATGGATATGACTCTTATCATTTCTGGGATTTTCATGGAATGACAAAACTGGAAGGGTAATATCTTGGCCAACCTGAAAGAGGAAACTGTGGCCCATAGATAGAAGTGCTCATCCAAAGACAAATAGCTGATAAGGACTGAGCTGGCCTTAACACCTACATCTCATAGCTCACGGTCCAGAGCACTTCCTGCTACTCCTGACTTGGAGTGGCATGGTACAATGGAAGTAACGTGGGCTTAGAAGCCAGATAAATGACTTTTTATCCTGGCATCCCACTAAATTATTGTTGACCTTCCTTCCATCCCTTTGGGGGCTCTTCTCTCTTCTGATGGCAGCAGAGAGCTGGAATACAATTGCAGCAGCAAATTCATACCCTGACCACACACAAATTCCACTATCTCCCAGCCCTGGGATCTTCTCTCATAACTGATGGTCCCAGGTAGAACAGGTGAGGCAACATGAATTCATGAAACGTGCTTTATCTACCTCAGTTGTTCTCAATTGAGGGGGGTGATTTTGTACACATACCCTCTCCCTTCTGTCTGCCTCAGAACATTTGGCAATGTGTGGAGATAACTTTGGTTGTCATAACTGCAGGTTGGGGCATGGAGTGATAGGGGATGGTGAGCACTCCTGGAATCTAGTGGTTGGAGGCCAGGAATGCTATTAAACCGCCTACAGTTCATAGGACAGCTCCCATGACAAATAATTATCCAGCTCAAACTGGCAATACTCTGATAACCTAACTATGACCAAAGCAGTGGGAGCTACATTAGGTCTGTGGCACCCTCAAACTACCAAGTGTGCAGTCTCAGTACCAGCCCTTTAATTTATAGCTTAAGACCATTTCTGTCTGATCTCATCCTTCACCCACATCTGAATCATTTCCCCAACTCCCCTCGTTCCTAAGGGTGGAACTACAAAGGCCAGAACTTTTAAAATTGCAACATGCATGTGAATTACCCAGGGATCTTGTTAACATGCAGATTCAGGAAGTCTGCGACAGAGTCTGAGATTCTGCATTTCTAATCATTTCCCAGGTGATGCTAATGCTGCTGGTCCACAGACCAAACTTTGAGTAGCAAGGAGTGAGGCCACATGTTGCTCTTCCTCTCAGTACTATTTACTTCTTGCATGTGGCTTTTCTCATTATATCATTAACATGCTGGGGACGGCCAGCATGTCTTGTATCTGGGACACCCTAGAGAGGAGGTAGGCTGCAGAGTTCAGTCTGAGCTGGAAATTCTGCCCCACTTGGCTGCATTCCGTCTTGGCTTAACTCCTCTTGAGGTTGAAGGAATGTAAACAAAAACTCAAGAGATTTGATGTAGTTGTGCCATCAGTTATTTTCTAGTTATTATGTCAGGTTTCCCCAATATCTCCTTTGAATATACTCACAGTATATTTCATGTCCACTAACTAAGCCTAATACATTTCTCTTCTAAAATAAAACTTATTTTACTTTTGATCACCGGTATCCAACTCCCCCACTACACACCAATATCTTTAAAATTTCTTATATCTCTATAAAAAGAAGTCTGCTGTGTCACCCTTGGCTCATGATCAGTATTTCCTTGTCAACCAACATCAGCAAGTTACTTAGCCTACCAAGCTTCACTTTCTCACAGGTAACATGGAGCTAATAGTTTCTACTTTGCAGTGTGGTAGAAATGACCTAAGATAATGCATCTAAACATGTCTAGCTCAGAGTAAGTTATAGGTGGTGGTGGGTTTTAAAATGTACCCGGGACCAGGCATGGTGGCTCACACCTGTAATTCCAGCACTTTGGGAGGATGAGGCCCGACACCAGGAGTTCAAGACCAGTAGCCTGGGCAAAATAGTGAGGCCCTAGCTCTAAAAAAAAAAAAAAAAAAAAAAAAAATGCTGTTTCCCTAAGCAGCCTGAGGTAATCTGTGAAAATGGTTCGCTATTCACTTGACCCGGAGAACCCCACGAAATGATGCAAATCAAGAGGTTCCAATCTTTGTGTTCACTTTAAGAACACCATGAAACTGCTCAGGCCATCAAGGGTATACATATATGAAAAGCCAAGAAGTATCTGAAAGATGTCACTTTACAGAAACAGTGTGTACCATTCCTACGTTACAATGGTGGAGTTAGCAGGTGTACG
Organism: Homo sapiens; assembly: GCF_000001405.40. Classification (NCBI taxonomy): domain Eukaryota; kingdom Metazoa; phylum Chordata; class Mammalia; order Primates; family Hominidae; genus Homo; species Homo sapiens. The sequence goes on along the minus strand of NC_000010.11, from coordinate 118,872,390 downwards.
CAGGCCAAGCAGTGGGGCTGGACACAAGGTCGGTGGCCCAAAAAGAGTGCTGAATTTTTGCTGCACATGCTTAAAAACGCAGAGAGTAATGCTGAACTTAAGGGTTTAGATGTAGATTCTCTGGTCATTGAGCACATCCAAGTGAACAAAACACCTAAGATGCGCCGCCGGACCCACAGAGCTCATGGTCGGATTAACCCATACATGAGCTCTCCCTGCCACATTGAGATGATCCTTACGGAAAAGGAACAGATTGTTCCTAAATCAGAAGAGGAGGTTGCCCAGAAGAAAAAGATATCCCAGAAGAAACTGAAGAAACAAAAACTTATGGCACAGGAGTAAATTCAGCATTAAAATAAATGTAATTAAAAGGAAAAAAAAAATTAGCCAGATATGGTGGCACGTGCTTGTAGTCCCGGCTACTCAGAAGGCTGAGGCAGGAGGATCACTTGAGTCCAGGAGGTCGAGGCTGCAATGAGCTATGATCATGCCACTGTACTCTAGCCTGCGTGATAGAGTGAGACCCTGTCTCTAAAACAAACAAATAAAAAATAAGCAAAAACAAACAAAGGATCTAGGATTTTGTTTTAATTAGGTATGGTAAGATGACAGACATAGAGAAATATGCCTTGAAAGGAGTTTATTACAGTTCCCAAGAGAAGGGGGCATGCTGTGCCATGCAGGGTCACATGCAAAGGCACCAGAGTTGGTCATGAGGCAGAAAGAATGAAGAGAGGGCATGACCCATAGACCTTATTGGGGATTCCGTGGGGAGGGATGGGTGAGGCAGGATTGGCAAGTTTGAGCAAGCTTAGAATTAGAGAGTTTGAATAATGTCTGCGGGTTCTAGGCTATAGGAATGGTCTCCAGTAGTCTGTTACTTGGTCCTGGGGTGATTTAGGGCAAGGAAAATATGGGCTTGGTGTGTGAGAGTTAAATAAAGGAAGTGGTTGGGGATACAGGTTTTGGATTGGTTGGTTTGTATATGAAAGATATGTTGGCAGGCAAATTGTTTACTATCTCTAGAAATTAGCTAGCCCTGGAAGGGGAGTCTCTCCAGGATTAGCAAGGCCTCAGGATGTCAAAGCTTTATAAACTACAGAAGATAAAAAACATCATTAATGCATGGTGTCAAGCATGGCTTAGGGTCATTCACACTCCTTGCCTTGCAGCCTGCTTAACCCTTGCCTCCTTAAGTGAACAGACAACTTATGTAAGCACAATGACTTCCAACCAGATGGCTGCCCTGTGTCCCTCTCTGGAAGGCTTCTCCTGCTGCCTCCTCTTAACAGGAAGTCAATGACAGTGCTGCTTCCAACTTGCACAATTTCCAAATGACTGTGTAATCACAGACCCATGTAACCCTCAGCTCTGGTATTCACAGAGAGATAAGAAAAATTCTAGATTCTTGCCTCCCTAAAGCCAAGGGACTGCCTCTGTGTTTCTATTTCATGCTGGTAGAATGAGGCTAATTTTGACTTTCCAGCAGCTCTGATTCCAAGTGAATAACTAGACGCAGCAAGCAACAGGATTGGAACCTGCTGGAGCAGTTAGAAATAAATTGCATGTGCATGGATTCCAGAGGAAACTGCCCTTTGCGGGGGAGGAGAGAGGGGAGGTGGGTACTGGAACAGACTGATCTGCATCCTGCCTTAGCACTAGGGCTGCTGCTTCCCAGGATGACTCACAGCACCATAGAACAGCCTTCCCTGCGAAGTTAAAACAACAACAACAAAAACTTCAATAGATTTGATGCAATAAAGTTGGCAAACAGCCATTGGGGAAGATGGGGCAATGTGGGGCTGGTGAGGCAGATATTACTATTTCCTGGGAGCTCAGTGGGATTTTCAGGATGCTGGGCTCCCTAATGCCAAGCTGCTGGGAGGGAGAGGGTGCTGCGTCCAGTGGGATGCTTTTAGCTGCAATTAACAAATAAGCCAACTTGACCCAGCTGAAAGGTTAAGGAACTTTGTGGCCTTACCTGAGTGGACGCTCACAGGTAGGGTGGGCTTCAAGACTGTGTGACACTGAGCTTCATGAGGCCATCAAGGATACCTAGTTCTTTCTGCCTCTCTCTTCTGCCAGCCAGAGCATCCACTTCATTTTAGAACCACTTCGTTGTAGATTTGCTGCCAGCAGCCAGCGGGGCTATCTTCTTCCTCATTCATTCTAGAAAGATGGAGAAACTTCCTAATCTTGCTTTTTTTTTTTTTCAATATACGCATATTTAATTTTGGTGGGAATTAAGAACTGCAAAAACTGGCTTTGTGTGTGTGTGTGTGTGTGTGTGTGTGTGTGTGTGTGTGAGACAGGGTCTTGCTCTGTCACCCAGGCTGGAGTGCAGGGACACATTCTTGGCTCACTGCAACCTCCCTCCCCCAGACTCAAACAATCCTCCCACCTCAGCCCACTGAGTAGCTGGGGCTACAGGCATGCACGACCATGCTCAGCCAATTTCTATATTTTTTGTAGAGATGGGGTTTTGCTGTTGCCTAGGCGGGTCTCAAACTCCTGAATTCACACAATCTGCCCACATTGGCCTCCCAGAGTTGTAGGATTTCAGGTGTGAGCCATCTGGCCTGGTCTAATCTTGTCCTTTAATAGTAAGGAAAAATTCCCTAAAAGCCCTCAGCAGACTACTTATGTCTTTTTTTTGTTTGTTTGTTTGAGACAGAGTCTCGCACTGTTGCCCAGGCTGGAGTGCAGTGGCGCGATCTCGGCTCACTGCAAGCTCTGCCTCCCAGATTCATGCCATTCTCCTGCCACAGCCTCCTGAGTAGCTGGGACTACAGGCGCCCGCCACCATGCCTGGCTCATTTTTTTGTATTTTTAGTACAGATGGGGTTTCATCATGTTAGCCAGGATGGTCTCGATCTCCTGACCTTGTGATCCGCCCGCCTTGGTCTCCCAAAGTGCTGGGATTACAGGCGTGAGCCACTGCGCCTGGCCAGCAGACTTTTTGTGTCTTATTGGCAAGAACCAATTCCTGGGACAAGGTAGGTGGCACAAGGTAGGGACAAGCTCAGGCTGGGCTTTTGATCCAATCCCTGATGAAGAGGGATGGGATTCTATAATTCATATTGACTAAGTGAGGCCCATCTGGAGGCAGGGCCAGTCCCTGAAATAACTGTGGCCACACAGAGGGACAGGGCTGGGATGGATGTTGAGGCATCAACCACAGTGTCTACTGCAGCATCTTGTTGGAGCCAGGATATCTGGGCTTGACCACTTGCTAGTTGTGTGACTTTGGGCAGGTGGCTTCACCTCTCTGAGCCTTTGTTTTTGCATTTGTAGAAATGAGAGAAAAACCTGTTTGACTTAGCTTTCAGGTTGTGAGGGTCAAATAAAGGATTGGGTGTAAAGGCCCTTCTGAGGTGCACCTGTATGAGGTCGGAAACATCTGCCTCTTGCCCAGCTCCTTCAGGATAAATTAAGCAGACCAATCCCTGCCTCCTAAAAGCTGACAGTCCAAGATAGTGTGAAGCAGAGAGTAGATGGCTTCACAGGTGAGAATGGGTTAACGACAAAATAGCAAGCCTAGAGAAGTGGAATGAGTCACATAGCAGTGCTGTGTTCCTTGCGCCATGGCTTCGGACAGTAACTTTGGTTACTTGGTTACGGTGGTGTCTGCTGGGCTTTTCCACTTTCATGGTTGCTATTTTCACCTTTGTAGGAAATTGGTATTTTGTGGGGAGGTATTTTGAGACTATGACAATATCTTGTTCATCCTGAAATTTTCACCCACAAGTTTTAGCCTCTGCTAATGATTCTTGCCTGAGTCAATTATCGTTATGATGGTTTGCAAATTGTCATTGTCTAATTGTGCCATTCCCTCAACGTGTATTAATTGTCATTGTACTGAAGAAAGTACTTTATTTTCAAGTTCAATGGCTTCAGCAGGATATGCCTTAATATTGAGCATTCAATATCATTTTTATTTGTTACATGGTATGCCCTCTCAATGGTCAGATTTAGTGATTCCTTCATTTTGGGGGAATCCTCCCTGAATTATCCTTCTGAATATACTTTTTATTTTATTTTGTAATATTCTGTTAAAAAATTTAAAAATTTCCCTTTTCCTTTTGTCTTATCACATATGTGATTTTTCAACCACGTGAATGTGAACACACTGTTTAAAAATTTTCTTGAGTTTTTGTATTAGGGTCCTCTGGAGAAACAAAACTAAATATAAATACAGATACAAAAATAAATATAAATAAGTATATGGAGAAAGAGAGAGATTTTAAGGAATTCGCTCATGCAATGGTGGGAGTTGGCAAGTCCAAAATCTAGGCAGGCAGGAGACCCAGGAAGAGCTAATGTGGCAGCCTCAAATCTAAAGGCAGTCGGAAGGCAGAATTCCTTCTTCCTTGAAGGACATCAGTCTTTTTCTTTTAAGGTCTTCAACTGATTGGTTGAGGCCCACCCACATTGGATTACAGATGAGAGTATTCTGTTAACTAAAAGTCTACTGATTTAAAAGTTAACCACATCTAAAGAATACCTTCATAGCAACATCTAGATGGGTGTTAATCAAACTTTTTAGCCACCATAGTCTAGACAAGTAGACACGTAACATTAACCATGACAGTTCTTTATTTCAAAGGTACCAGCTATTCTGTGTTAGATCATTTCAAAAAAATAGCTGTTATGTTCTAATTGCTCTAATCTCTGCATATATTTCCTCTGCAGTAGTGTGATTATCTCAAAGCTTTCTTACATGCCAGCAATTTGATTTTCAGTGGTGTCTATTTAATTCCTTGCTTTTTCTCTCCTTCCTTTCTCCCTCCTTCTCTCCTTCCCTCTCTCTCCTTTCCCCCTTCCCCTTCGCCTTCCCAGGGATGTGCAGTCCCTGTCACTAATTCAGTGGGCAGCTTGGCCCAGATGTTGTTGGAGAATCTGTCTGCTCCCTCTGACCTCTCTATTCTTTCTATGTAATCAGGTTCAGACAAATGGTCCCCCGTGGCAGTGGTCAGTAGCAGGTTTTTTTTTTCAGCCACTGCCCAGGTTAAATCAAAGCTCAAACAGGTTCTCTGTCTCCTTTTGAACCTGCAGCCAAATCGGCTCAAGCTTCAGCAGCCCATTTTATGCTTTATTTACTTGGGTTTTGGTTCACGGAGATGTTTGTCTTGGTTTTAATGACGGTGTGTCTTTTAACATCTTGCCTTTTATATTTTCTTATTAGTTTGCGTTTGGGGTCAGGCTGTGAGGCTCAATATAGGTACTTGAATGACATCCTGTCTGAATTCCATAAAAAAAAAGGGAGGTGATGGTTGCTCAGAGGGAGACTTAGCCATCAAAAAATGATGTCCCAGGTTGGCAGTAGAAGAATGACAAAGATTGTTTTGGCCAGAGACTTAAGAATCCTGGTGCTCTGCAGATGGAGTAGCCATTCTTTTATTCCCATTCTTTTATTCCTATACTTTCTTAATAAACTTGCTATCACTTTACTCTTAAAAAAATAAAAAGAATCCTGGGTTCTGTTTCCTGTAATACCTGCTAATTTGCTGTGTGACTTTGGACAAATGACTTAACCTCTGTGGGCCTTAGTGCCCTCACTGGCAAAGTGGTGATATTGGACTACTTAACCTCCAAGGTCCTTGTCAGCTCTAGAGTTCCAGGAGTCTACAAGGGAATTGTTTAAAACAATGTTCTTTGTTACAGTTGGATGGGCTGTTGAGAGTATTTGTTCAGTTCAGGCAAATGGCAAATGTTTCGGCCACTCTAATGAAATGAGTACATTTTTCTCTAAATGTCATGGATGTTTATTATCAGATTAAACTAAAGCAGGCCTAATTTTAGCTCTTCCAATTCAAGTGCAGCAATGAAGATTAAATGTTAGGCATAATTAAAGATGCAGATGTAGTTATATTGAATTATAAACCTCATTAAGTGCAACGTCCCAGGAAGGCCCCGGAGACCAGCTGCAAAGGACTTCCAGTCACCATGCTGCAGTTATTAAAATATTGTAAAGTAAATCTCACTCTAAAAATATTATGACTTGGATGGAAGGATTTTTTTCTAACATGGCTGGAGTTGGTTTCATGGGTAATTTCTTTGCTCTGTTTGCAGACAGCTGGGAAGGGAAACTTATTCCTTGGCATCTGCACAAAGGCCTCCCTGGGGCTTGGTGCTCCCCATCCCCGCCACACACATACAGCATGGATTTGATTCTCCTGGGCCAGTGAGAAGAGCAACGCCAAGGTCAGTCAGATTCCATTACAGGAGTTGGTAGCAGGGGAATCGGCAGGGGGTGGTGGAGGAGGCAGGGTTTCTAAGGACTCAAAGTCCATGTTTTTATATAAAAGAGAGATAAGTTTCCTAGGTGACATTTCCACTTTTTTCCTGTCTGTAAATATATTACATAGTCATTTAAAAAATTCACACAATGCAGAATAGGATAAAGAAGTAAAAACACCTAACTTCTTCAAGCTAGTTACTGTTAGTATTTTGGTGCATGTCTCTCTCTCAAATTTGACAAAAATAGATCAAACCTTAAAAGCTATTTTGCAGTCTGTATTTTCCATTTAACATAAAGTATCTTTTCATGTCAATAAATATTGATAAGCATTACCTTTTTTAATGGCTGACATTCCATTGTATAGTCTTAATTTTTTTAAAAAAGCCAATCTATTATTGAGAATCTAGATTGTTCCAAAAAAGTTTTTAAAAAAATGATCGTAAACAACACTGTAAGAGAAATCTTTATTCACACGTTTGCATGTCTGTCTAATGAGCTCCATGGGATAAGTTCCTAGAAAGAGTTTAGGCAGTGTCAGTTATCTATTTGTACAATAATGTTAACAAACAACCCTCAACTCAGTAGCTTAAAACAGTAAGTATAGACATACTTCAGAGATATTGCAGGTTCAGTTCCAGACCACTATAATAAAATGAATATTGAAATAAAACTAGTCACACACACTTTTTTGTTTCCTGGTGTATATAAAAGTTATGCTTACATTATACTGTAGTCTATTAAGTGTTCGATAGCATTATGTCTACAAAAATTCACATATCTTAAGTAGTGTTATTATTATAATGTTGTAATTTAATGTGTTAATATAATAAATAGTAACTTTATTGCTAAAACATGCTAATGATCACCTTCAGTGAATTGTAATCTTTTCGCTGGTGGAGGGTCTTACTTCAATGTTGATGACTGCATGACTGATGGCTGATGGCTGCTGTGGGTAACATTGGCTGATGACCAGTGTTGATGGTCAGGGTGGTGGTTGCTGCAGGTTGGAGAGGCTGTGGAAATTTCTTAAGATGAGACAACCTTTGTAAGTTGGATTCTTAGGTATTTCATTCTCTTTGTAGTAATTGTGAATGGGAGTTCACTCATGATTTGGCTCTCTATTATTGGTGTATAGGAATGCTTATGATTTTTGCACATTGATTTTGTATCCTGAGACTTTGCTGAAGTTGCTTATCAGCTTAAGGAGATTTTGGGCTGAGACGATGAGGTTTTCTAAATATACAATCATGTCATCTGCAAACAGAGACAATTTGACTTCCTCTTTTCCTAATTGAATACCCTTTATTTCTTTCTCCTGCCTGATTGCCCTGGCCAGAACTTCCAACACTATGTTGAATAGGAGTGGTGAGAGAGGGCATCTTTGTCTTTTGCTGGTTTTCAAAGGGAATGCTTCCAGTTTTTGCCCGTTCAGTATGATATTGGCTGTGGGTTTGTCATAAATAGCTTTTATTATTTTGAGATACATTCCATCAATACCTAGTTTATTAAGAGTTTTTAGCATGAAGGGCTGTTGAATTTTGTGGAAGACCTTTTCTGCATCTATTGAGATAATCATGTGGTTTTTGTCATTGGTTCTGTTTATGTGATGGATTACATTTATTGATTTGCATATGTTGAACCAGCCTTGCATCCCAGGGATGAAGCCGACTTGATCGTGGTGATTAAGCTTTTTGATGTGCTGCTGGATTCAGTTTGCCAGTATTTTACTGAGGATTTTCACATTGATGTTCATCAGGGATATTGGCCTAAAATTCTCTTTTTTTGTTGTGTCTCTACTAGGCTTTGGTATCAAGATGATGCTAGCCTCATAAAATGAGTTAGGGAGGATTCCCTCTTTTTCTATTGATTGGAATAGTTTCAGAAGGAATGGTACCAGCTCCTCTTTGTACCTCTGATAGAATTTGGCTGTGAATCTGTCTGGTCCTGGACGTTTTTTGGTTTGTAGGCTATTAATTATTGCCTCAATTTCAGAACCAGTTATCGGTCTATTCGGAGATTCAACTTCTTCCTGGTTTAGTCTTGGGAGGGTGTATGTGTCCAGGAATTTATCAATTTCTGGACCTCTTCAAGGAGAACTACAAACCACTGCTCAACGAAATAAAAGAGGACACAAACAAATGGAATAATATTTCATGCTCATGGATGGGAAGAATCAGTATCATGAAAATGGCTATAATGCCCAAAGTAACTTATAGATTCAATGCTATCCCCATCAAGCTACCACTGACTTTCTTCACAGAATTGGAAAAAAACTACTTTAAAGTTCATATGGAACCAAAAAAGAGCCCACATAGCCAAGACAATCCTAAGCAAAAAGAACAAGGGTGGAGGCATCATGCTACCTGACTTCAAACTATACTACAAGGCTATAGTAACCAAAACAGCATGGTACTGGTACCAAAACAGATATATAGACCAATGGAATAGAACACAGGCCTCAGAATTAACACCACCATCTACAACCATCTGATCTTTGACAAACCTGACAAAAACAAGCAATGGGGAAAGGATTCCCTATTTAATAAATGGTGCTGGGAAAACTGGCTAGCCATATGTAGAAAGCTGAAACTGGATCCCTTCCTTACACCATATACAAAAATTAACTCAAGATGGATTCAAGACTTAAATGTCAGACCTAACACCATAAAAACCCTAGAAGAAAATCTAGGCAATACCATTCAGGACATAGGCATTGGCAAAGACTTCATGACTAAAACACCAAAAGCAATGGCAACAAAAGCCAAAATAGACAAATTGGATCTAATTAAACTAAAAAGCTTCTATGCAGAAAAAGAAACTATCATCAGAGTGAACAGGCAACCTACAGAATGGGAGAAAATTTTTGCAATCTACCTATCTGACAAAGGGCTAATATCCAGAATCTACAAAGAACTGAAACAAATTTACAAGAAAAAAAAACCCATCAAAAAGTGGGCAAATGATATGAACAGAGACTTCTCAAAAGAAGACATTTATGCAGCCAACAGACATCTGCAAAAATGCTCATCATCACTGGTCATCAGAGAAATGCAAATCAAAACCACAATGAGATACCATCTCACGCCAGTTAGAATAGTGATCATTAAAAAGTCAGGAAACAACAGATGCTGGAGAGGATGTGGAGAAATAGGAACAGTTTTACACTGTTGGGAGGAGTGTAAATTAGTTCAACCATTGTGGAAGACAGTGTGGAGATTCCTCAAGGATCCTGAACTAGAAATACCATTTGACCCAGCAATCCCATTACTGGGCATATACCCAAAGGATTATAAATCCTTCTACGATAAAGACACATGCACACGTATGTTTATTGTGGCACTATTCACAATAGCAAAGACTTGGAACCAACCCAAATGTCCATCAATGATAGACTGGATTAAGAAAATGTGGCACATATACACCATGGAATACTATGCAGCCATAAAAAAGGATGAGTTCATGTCCTTTGCAGGGACATAGATGAAGCTGGAAACCATCATTCTAAGCAAACTATCGCAAGGACAGAAAACCAAATGCCGCACGCTCTCACTCATAGGTGAGAGTTGAACAATGAGAACACCTGGATACAGGGCGGGAAACATCACACACTGGGGTCGGTCAACTTAATCATTTTAGCTTTCAGGGCTGGGGGAGGGATAGCATTAGCAGAAATACCTAATGTAAATGATGAGTTGATAGGTGCAGCAAACCAACATGGCACATGTATACCTATGTTACAAACCTGCACGTTGTGCACATGTACCCTAGAACTTAAAGTATAATTAAAAAAAAAAGACAACCATGAATTTGTCCATGCCAATTGATCCTTCCTTTCACAAAAGATTTTTCTGTAGCATGTGATGCTATTTGACAGCATTTTACTCACAATAGAACTTCTTTCAAAATCGGAGTCAATTCTCCCAAACTCTGTAGCTGGTTTATCAACTAAGTTTATGTAATCTTTTAAATCCTTTGTTGTCATTCCAGTGATGTTCCCAGCATCTTTACCAGGAGTAGATTTTGTCTCAAGAAACTCTTTATTTGCTCATCCATAAGATGCAAGTTCTCATCGGTTCAAGTTTTCTCATGAGATTGCAGCAGTTCAATCACATCTTCAGGCTCCACTTCTAATTCTAGTTCTTTTGCTCTTTCTACCACATCTGCAGTGACTTCTCCACTAATGTCTCAAACCCCTCAAAGTCATCTATGAGGGTTGAAATCAACATCTTCCAAACTTCTGTTAATGTTGATATTTTGACCTCCTCCCATGAATCATGAATATTCTTAACGGCATCTACAATGGTGAATCCTTTCCAGAAGGTTTTCGATGTACTTTGCCCAGATCCATCAGAGGAATCACTATCTATGGTAGTTATTTTGAAATGGATTATTGAATAATAAGACTCAAATATTCAAATTACTCCTCGATCCATGGGCTGCAGAATGGATGTTGTATTAACAGTCATGAAAACAACATTAATCTCTTTATACATTTCTGTCAGAGTGCTTGGGTGACCAGATACGTTGTACATGAGCAGTCATATTTTGAAGGGAATCTTTTTTTCTGGGCAGTAGGCCTCAACAGAGAGCTTAAAATATCCAATAAATCATGCTGTAAACAGATGTGCTGTCATCATGTTTTCTTGTTCTATTTATAGAACACAGGAAAAGTAGATTTAACATAATTTCTAAGGGCCCTAGGATTTTCAGAATGGCAAATGAGCATTGGTTTCAACTTAAAGTTACCAGCTGCATTATCTCTTAACAAGACAGTTAGCTTGTCATTTGAAGCTTTGAAGCCACCATTGATTTCTCTTCTCTAGCTATGAAAAACCTAGATGGCATCTTCTTCCAAAAGAAGGCTGTTTCATCTACATTGAAAATATGTTGTCGAGTGTAGCCACCTTCCTCAGGGATCTCAGCCAGATCTTCTGGGTAACTTACTGTAGCTTCTTCAACAGCACCTTTTGCTTTGCCTTGTACTTTTATATTACGGAGATGGCTTCTTTCCTTACACCTTGTGAACCAATCTCTGCTAGCTTCAAACTTTTCCTCTATAGCTTCCTTACTTCTCTCAGTTTTCACATAATTGAAGAGAGTTAGGGCCTTACTCTGGATTGGGCTTTGGCTTAAGGGAATGTTGTGGCTGGTTTGATCTTCTAACCAGACTGCTAAAACTTTTTTCATATCAGCAATAAGGCTGTTTCACTTTGATATCATTCATATTTACTGGGGGAGCACTTTTAATTTCCTTCAAGAACTTTTTCTTTGCATTCACAACTTGGCTAACTGGAGCAAGAGGTCTAGCTTTTGGCCTGTCTTGGCATTTGACATGCCTACCTCACTCAACTTAATCATTTTAGCTTTCGATTTAAGGTGAGAGATGTGTGACTCTTCCTTTCACTTGAATGCGTAAGGGCTATGTAGGGTTATAAACTGGCTTAACCTCAATATTGTGTTTAGGGAACAGGGAGGCCTGAGGAGAGTAAGAGAGATGAGGAACAGCCAATTGGTAGAGCAGTCAGAACACACACATCTTATTGAATAAGTTCACTGTCTTATATGGGTGCAATTTGTGGTGCCCCAAAACAATTACAATAGTAACATCAAAGATCACTGATCACAGGTAAAATAACAGATATAATCATAGGGAAAAAGTTTGAAATATTGTGAGAATTACCAAAATGTGACACAGAGACATGAAGTGAGCACATGCTGTCGGAAAAATAGCACCGATAGACTTGCTTGAGGCAGGGTTGCCACAAATCTTCAATTTGTAAAAAATGCATTATCTGTGAAGTACAGTAGAGCCAAGTGCAGTAAAATAAGGTATGTCTATTTATTGTCTCTGGAGCCTTTTGCTCATAAGTCTGCTGGTTGGCAATTTAGGCTTGGCTCAACTGAGCTGTTCTGGGCTTGGCTGGGCTCACGTACATGTCTGGTCAGCTACAGGTTGGGTGATCTCAGATATCTTTGGCTGGGACAACTGGGGTGGCTTGGCTTTGTTCCATGGCTCAGACATGATCTCAGGTCAAAAGCAGAAGAACAGTAGAGAAAGAAGAAACATGCAAGGGCTTTTTCCAATCTCTGCTTAGAGTCTACTAATATCCCATTGGCTAAAGCAAGTCATGTGATTGAACTCAAAATTAAGAGGAAAAGATAGAGCTGGGCACGGTAGCTCATGCCTGTAATGCCAGCACTTTGGGAGGCCAAGATGGGCGGATCACCTGAGGTCAAGAGTTTGAGACCAGCCTTCAACATGGTGAAACCCCGTGTCTACGAAAAATATAAAAATTAGCTGGGCGTGGTGGCGGGCGCCTGTAATCCCAGCTACTCGGGAGGCTGAGGCAGGAGAATTGCTCGAACCCAGGAGGCAGGCAGAGGTTGCAGTGAGCCAAGATCGTGCCATTGCACTCCAGCCTGGGCCACAAGATCGAAACTTCATCTCAAAAAAAAAAAAAAAAAAAAAAAAAGAGGAAAAGATAGGAGGGAGTAGAAAGTCACATTTCAAAAGTTCTGGATGTAGATTTGGGATCATTAATGCAATCACCTTCCCATGGACAGTCAACGCACATGCACATTTAACATTTTGATATATATTTACAAACTGTCCAGGAGATGGGACCAGTTTCCACTGCCACCAGTGATGCAATGCATGAGCATATCTTTTGTGGCATTTTCAGTTAATGGATCCTACTTCTGCTTCCCAACTGACACACTCTGCTCAAGGGCACCCATGTCTTTCCTTGCATTCCCATGAGCATATTATGCTGGTCTTCTAGGCTCCTGCTGATCTTCCTGTTTCGAATGTTCTCCCTCCTTCTAGTCTACCAAGATCCTACACACCATATATTCAAATCCTGCACATTTCTAAGCCATACCTCTGTTACCCCTACCACTCCCACGAATCCTGCCTTCTTCTGGGACTTTCTAAAGCAGGTAGGGTGACCAACTTCTCCCAGTTTGTCCAGAACTTTCTGGTTTTAAAATGTAAGGTCCTGGATCTTGGGTACTCCTTCAGTCCCAGGCAAACCCAGCCAGTTGGCCACCATAAGAGAAAGGATTGGCAAACTTTAAAGGGTCAGGTAGTAAGTATTTTAGCCTTCATGGGCCATATGGTCTCTGTTCCAACTACTGAATCCTGCCAATACAGTGTGAAAGTAGCCACAGAGAATACAAATGGGTGTGGCTGTGCTCCAATAAAACTTTATTTACAAAAACAGCCAATGGGCCAATTTTGGTCCACATCCTATAGTTTTCTGACTCATTCTCAAGACTTTAACATTTGTACTTCCTAATTTAACCCTATGCCATACTTTTTTTATGTTGTTTCATATGGATGAGTTTTGTCTCCGTGGTTGGAATATAAAGGAAGCTTAATATCTTGACATTATGCTATGTCACTTCACAGCTGTGTGAACTTGGGTAAGTTACTCAACCTCTCTGGCTTCAGTTTCTTTATCTGTTAAAAGGGGATAATTTACTGACTCCACAAGTATTTGTGAAGATTAAATGAGTCCTCTTTGCACAGCAGATGGCACAGAGTGAGTGCTGAATCTATGTTAGCTGCTATCATCATCATTGTTGTCATCCCATGTGTCTTCTTCAGCAGGTAGCTCACTTCTGGCTACAGAAGAGGCTCAGTAAATGGAATCATAAGGACAGATGATGTTAAAGTGGCCAGGGAGCTTAAAGAATGTTTAATCCAACATCCTAATTTTAGAGATGAGCATAAGGGAGTCACTCATATATTCAGGAGGGTTGGGTGCTATAGATCTCAACTGGCAGTGCCCTTTCTCAGATGTTGCCCACCCTTGTGTTTCCATAGTCCTTAGTCTGTTTGTGTTGCTATAAAGGAATACCTGAGGCTGAGCAATTTATAAGAAAAGAGGTTTATTTGGCTCACAGTTCTGTAGGCCGTACAAGAAGCATAGCACCACCATCTGCTTGGCTTCTGGTGAGGCCTCAGGCTGCTTCCACTCATGGTGGAAGGTGAGGGGCAGCTGCGTGTGCAGAGACCACATGGTGAGAGAGGAAGCTAGAGAGCGAGTGCCAGGTTCTGTTTAACAACCAGCCCTGGTCAGAACTAATAGAACAAGAACTCATTTGCCCTTATCTCAGGGATGGCCTGAATCTATTCAGAAAGGATCCACCCTGTGACACAAACACCTCCCATTAGGTCCCACCTCCAACATTGGGAATTAAATTTCAACAAGTGCATTGGAGAGGACAAACATTCAAACTATAGCACGTGGTTACCAGTTAGCCTCTGGGTACCCGAGAGGTCAGACCCCAGCCTCCTCATAACAGACAGTCTGTCCTCAAAGAAGGCAGCTTCTGCCTCGTCTTCCACCCCCTAGTCTCACCTGTCCACCTGCCTGGGCTGCACAGGTGAGACTCAGGAAGGGACCAGCCTGAGGTTGTAGGTAGAAAGTCTAAGACAGGTATGAAGGACAGCATCAGAACAAATGCACCAGTGCACAGGTGTGCTGGGTTTGCCTGGAGTTGGAGTCTGATATGTGGTGCATGAGCAGGTGCTTGGCTCAACAGGCCATACAGGGCCCTGGATTACACCCTGCCCTTCCCTGGGGAGGGAGGAGAAGCAGAGGAGACCTCCTGGGAGATGCTGGTCCAGTGACCTCTTGGGTCAGTATCCCACCATCGGTTCTTCTGCAGGTGCATCTCATCTGAATACCCCTTCTGTCTTTGTGCTGGCTCAGCTTTGATCTCAGAAAATGAAAGACAAGGCTGCTCTGTCCCCTGCTGCCAACTTTTGCAGCAAGAGTGAGACTTCATGATCCCACTGGCTCAAGTGCACTTCATTTCCTGGTAACTAACAAGTGGAGATCAAAGCTGACAAATTGCCCCCATCTCTCAGCACAGGAGATGAAGGTAAATATTTCCAGGAACAGGTTTTTTTGTTTTTTGTTTTTGTTTTTTTCTCATTAAAAGTGACATGTGAAATGTCTTCTCCTTACTTAGAAGAGTTCTAGGTCACTCTAGATAAGATATCTAGTCTGACTACCTTGATTATTTTACACCAATTTTTATCCTATTTATATTGGGCTAAGTTGAGGTGATTGAAGAGGCTAAATCATATCAAATAAATCAGAAGACAAAAAAAGCAAAGAAAGACACCACAGTGGTAACTGGTCAGTGTTGTGGAAACACACACCTCACTCACTGTCACATTGATCACATTCTGTTTGCTGGGCAGGCCTAAGGGCTTCCGAGGCCAGTGTCTAAATGGCTCCTGGGGTTCTACAAACAGGATCTCAGGCGGATGGCCTCATGCTCTCTTGGCCGTGCTCCTGATAATGCCTTTTGAGATCTGCTGTTTTCTTTGCAAGGGAAATAACCCATCCCTAAGGCTTTGAACCCAGGGAGCAGCCTCTCCAAGCTGGGCACACAGTCAGAGGCTTCAAATGCCTGCCGTGTGTCGCAGGCAGACCCTACTCAAGCTGGCCCAGTGAGGAGCAGGTGGTCACTGCAAAGACACCACTGGGACATGTGGGAATTCCACAACCAGAATTCTGGCACTGCTGTTCTCATGGTGCCTGCAGAGCCACGGGATAGAAAGAAAGACAGCAGTTCTCCACAATGTCTCTCTTTCCCTTGCTGCCCACTCTGTCCTCTCCTTGGACACCTTCCTTGGCTTTCAGGTCATTGCTGCTGTCTCCCTCCCGACCTCTGCCTGCTCACCATCTCCAGTGACTGCTCTGAATCCAGGTCTACCTCATGCCTTTCTGCCTAGCTCCCACGGCTGAACTTTTTCGTCCTTGTCCCCCAGTTCCAAATTCCAGAGGCAGAGGGAGAGAAAGGTCTGACCAACCTGGTCTGCCATCTTGAGCCAAGCTACTGAAGTCCTAGGTTTCTGGCTGGTCTGTGGGGGTTCCTCCACCTTTGATCTGGTTAGCTGTAATGGTGGGGCCTCCTCCCTCAGCAGCTGATGTGGGTAGCAAGATTCCTCTCAGGAGGGACTCAGTTGTGTTAGGTTGGGATTACCCTCATGAATGGTGCAGAGTGCTGGAGGGTTGCTTGGGTTAGACTCTTGGCTGGCTTTTTATTGGTTGGATTTTGTTTCTTGAGATGTAATTCACGTACTGATATGGTCTGGCTCTGTGTCCCCACCCAAATCTGATCTTGAATTGTAATCCAAATTGTAATCCCCATGTATGTGTTGGGGGAGGGAAATCATGGGAGGTGATTAGATCATGGGGGCAGTTCCCCCATGCTATTCTCGTGATAGTGAGTGAGTTCTCATGAGATCTGATGGTTTATAAGGGGCTTTTCCCCACTTTGCTCTGCACTTCTCTCTCCTGCCACCATGTGAAGAAGGTGTGTTTGCTTCCCCTTCCACCTTGATTGTAAGTTTCCTGAGGCCTCCCCAGCCTTGCAAAACTGTGAGTCAATGAAACCTTTCCTTTATAAATTACCCAGTCTCGGGTATATCTTTATTAGCAACGTGAGAATGGACTAATACACATACCATAGCTTTCACCCTTTTACAGTGCATAGTTCAGTAGTTTTTAGTATACTCACAAGGTTCAGTACCCACTATCTCTTTCTAATTCCAGGATATTTTCATCACCGCTAAAAAAAAACCTTCACATTCATTAACAGTCACCTCCCATTCCCTCTTCCCACAGTCTCCTGGCAACTTTGGCCTATTTTCTGTCTCTGTGGGTTAGAAAATTCTGGACATTTAATATCAATGGAATCACACAATGTGTGGCCTTTTATGTTTATCCTCTTTCATTTAGCATCATGTTTTCAAGGTTCATCCATATTGTGGCATGAATCAATACATCATTGAATTGCATAATAATCCATTTTATGGATATAACATATTTTATTCATCGTTTCATCAGCTGATAGACATTTGTGCTGCTTCCACTTTTTGGCTACCATGAATAATGCTGTATGAACATTTGTGTGTAAGTTTTTGTGTGAACATATGTTTTCAATTTTCTTGTATATATACCTAGGCATGGAATTGCTGTGCCATGGCAGTTTTATGTTAAACTTTTTGAGGAGCTTCCAGACTGTTTTCTAAAGTGGCCATGTCATTTTATAGTCCCACCAGCAATGTACAAGGGTTTCCATTTTTCCACATCCTTGCCAAAACATTATCTTTCTGATTATAGCCTTCCTAGAGGGTGTGAAGTGGTGTCTCATTGTGGTTTAGATTTCCCTAATTATGAATGATTTGAGGAGCTTTTCATGTGCTTATTGGCCATTTGGGATCATTTTTAGAGAAATTTCTACTTAACTCTTTTCTTGTTAAAAAAAATTTGATTGTTATTGCTTACTAGCGGTTTAACCTCGTACTAGGTGCTCAGTCTCTCTGGGACTGAATCTTCTCATCTTAACAGCAGGGACACTCACCTCACGAGGTTGCTGGGGTGCATAAGATGAGGTGGTACGCATTGATGCTCAACCCAGTGCCTGATTCACGGGAGAAACCTAAAACATTTGTTATTATTGTACCACTGTGAAGACCAGCTGATTTTCTTGAGAGCGTAATCTGTCCTCTGCCAATAAACATTTTTTTCAAGGGACTTAAGAGTATTTTGAGAAGCAGCCTGGGGTATGGATGGAAGGTAAGGACCCCAACCCCACCCACCAAGGAACAAGCTTCATTTGCAATAGATGGTGATGGTTGGTGCCCTTTTAGCTCAGTAGTGTTTCAGGTAAAGGCCAGAGCTGAGGACAATAGAATTTCGGAAGGGACAAAAGGAAACAAGCTGGCTAGTGCCCAGGGAGGATATTTTCAGAGAACAGGGAATTTTTAAAGGTGATTTTTATGAAGCTTCCCCTTATGGTGTGTGATAGAAAATGTCTTTCCGATCTTCCCACCAAGGTGTTAGTAAAATCTTTATCTCATGAAGCATTGTATAAGCGGATCTTTTTTGAGCAATCGCATAAAGTGCTTCTGGCTGGAGAGGGTGGAGAATGAGGTCAGCTACACCTGGAATCGCACTGGGATTAGTGTAAAATGCAGATCAATGAGGGCAGAGGCCAGGAACTCTTTCCTGGCTGCTCACAGGGCTGTTCAGTGTGGGACAGGCTGGCCTGGTCTCCTCCAGGATTCAGAGTGGTATCTTCAGGGACAGAGACCTCCTCCTCCTGCTGTTTGCGGTGCTCAGAATCTGACCCCCACCTTGGCTGATGAGCGTGGAGGTGGTACTTCTGCTGTGCCAGTGCACAGATGCACCTGAGGCTGGCTCTGCAGCTGGTGCAGCTCCTTGGAGAGTGCTCTGAAAACACCATGCCCCTGGGGCCACAGAGGGGGTTCTCAGCCCTTTCAGGCTTCAGGAGGGAAGAGGCTCTTTTTGGCTGGACACTGCGGGGAAGAGTTCTGTGGGCTACCAGAGATGTGCCCCATCTGTGTGGAAGGAATGTGGGTGCACCTGCAAAGCCACCTGCTGAAATCCTAACCCCCAAGGTCATGACGATGTTAGTAGGTGGGACCTTTGGGTGGTGATTAGGTCCTGGGAGTAGAGCCCTCATGAATGGGATTAATGCCCTTATAGAAGGGACCCTGCCTGTAATCCCAGCACTTTGGGAAGCCGAGGAGGGGTGGATCACCTGAGGTCAGGAGTTCGAGACCAGCCTAGCCAACATGGTGAAACCCCGTCTCTACTAAAAATACAAAAATTAGCTGGGCCTGGTGGTGGGCGCCTATAATCCCAGCTACTGGGGAGGCTGAGGCACGAGAATCACTTGAACCCGGGAAGCAGAGGTTGCAGTGAGCCAAGATCACACCATTGCACTCCAGCCTGGGTGACAGAGCGAGACTTTGTCTCAAAAAAAAAAAAAAAAAAAAGAGGGACCCTGAAGAGCTCTCCTGTCCCCTCTGCCATGTGAGGATACAGAGAGAAGTCTGCAGACTGCAGCCCAGAAGAGCGCCCTTGGCTGGGCGCGGTGGCTCATGCCTGTAATCCCAGCACTTTGGGAGGCCGAGGCGGGAGGATCACGAGGTCAGGAGATCGAGACCATCCTGGCTAACATGGTGAAATCCCGTCTCTACTAAAAATACAAAAAAATTAGCTGGGCGTGGCGGCGGGCACCTGTAGTCCCAGCTACTTGGGAGGCTGAGGCGGGAGAATGGCGTGAACCTGGGAGGCGGAGCTTGCAGTGAGCCGAGATTGCGCCACTGCACTCTAGCCTGGGCGACAGAGCGAGACTCCGTCTCCAAAAAAAAAAAAAAAAAAAAGAGGGCCCTTATCAGGACCAGCCAGGCTGGTGCCCTGATTTTGGACCTTCAGCCTCCAGAACAGTAAGAAATAAATTTCTGTTGCTTATTAGCCAACCAGTCTGTGGTAACTTGTTATAGCAGCCTGAACTAGGACACCATCCACAGTGCCTGAAATGAACACTATCCCCTTCCCAAAGAAGCACGGCCTTGCTGGGCCATGACCATTTCATGCCCTGAACACGAGGATTCCATTGCATCGCCAGGATCATTCACTTTGTGCATTAGTGGTGGTTGGTACAAGTACTGCCTGAAGAACTCCTACAGAAGAATCTCTCCCCTTCCCAACACCAGAGAAGACAATTTGTGTGACTACAAGAAACACAGATTAAGCACCCACCATGTAACACACACTGAGCCAGGCATTGTGGGAAGAATAGAGATGAATGAGACTTGCCATTTTCCAGAAGAAGCTTCCCCAGCTCTTTTTAGAAAGAAAGTGAGACAGAAGGAAAAGAAGTTAGCAAGGCCGGGCGCAGTGGCTCCCACCTGTAATCCTAGCACTTTGGGAGGCTGCGGCGGGCAGACCGCCTGAGGTCAGGAGTTTGAGACCAGCTTGGCCAACGTGGTGAAACTCCGTCTCTACTAAAAATACAAAAGCTAGCCGGATGTGGTGGTGCATGCCTGTAGTCCCAGCTACTCAGGAGGCTGAAGCATGAGAATCGCTGGAACCTGGGAGGCAGAGGTTGCAGTGAGCTGAGACAGCACCACTGCTCTACAGCCTGGGGGACAGAGTGAGACTCTGTCTCGATTAAAAAAAAAAAAAAAAAGAGTTAGGGAAGATGAGAGACTGGGAAGAAGAGAGTGGGGATTATTAGGTTGGCTCAAGGGAGACGGGGAGGAGGCCTGATCCAGAACGGGGCCATGTGAGCCTGGAGAGGGCTGGTTAGGCTGAGTCCCTAAGGGGCAGGAGCCGGGTCTTCTCTAGGGTTGGTATTTCCTGTACAAGGTCTGTGCATAGGTGCTGGCAGATCAGCCATCTCCTCCCCAAGTCTGCCAGGAGATGCCTCTCTCTTCTTGGATCCACAGGAAGACAGAGCACCTGAGTCATTTGGGAATCTCTGAGTCAGCGGCTCAGGACAGCAGGGAAAGTGTAAAGGCATTGGCTTCAGGGAAATGACCATCAGTTGGCCTTGGCATGGGCCTGTCATCCTAGGCCCACCCAGTGAGGTTCCAGCACCATCAAGACACAGAGAGCATTTGCCTTATAGGACAGAGGGATGGAGGCCTTACAGGACACAGGCATGGAGGCCTTACAGGACAGAGGGATGGAGGTTTACAGGACACAGGCATGGAGGCCTTATAGCACACAGGCACAATGGCCTTATAGAGCAGAGGCATGTTAGCCTTACAGGATAGAGGCACAGAGGCCTTACAGGGTAGAGGCACGGAGGCCTTACAGCATAGAAGCATGGAGGCCTTTCGGGATAGAGGTATGGAGACCTTACAGGATAGAGGCACAGAGGCCTTTCAGGATAGAGGCACAGAGGCCTTACAGAACACAGTCATGGAGTCCTCACAGGACAGAGGGATGGAGGCCTAATAGGTCACGGGCATGGTAGCCTTACAGGACACAGGCACGGTGGCCTTACATGTTCTGAGTTAGAACCAATGGGAAGTGGAAGAAAAGAAAGTCTCACTTCTTCTTTCTTTCACTGAGCCAGAAACAGCCTATCCTGGAGTGCTGAGGGTTTGTGTAGGGCCCTGGTTCTCCTAGGCCTGCCCACGGAGGTCTGGCCCAGAACATGTATTTTTACCAAGTGATTCTGATGCCCTGCGAAGCTGGAGCACTACTGGTTTGATAACTATTTGCTGAGAAAAAGGAAGAGGCTCTGTTCTGTGGACCCCTTGGCTTTACTCAGAGGTCAAGCATCCAAATGCACCAAGGTTCAAATGACCTTGAACAGAAGAAGCCACTGGGTTTTCTCTTCCCATAGGAAACTACCAAGTTGAATATCTGCCAAAATATTATTCCAAGTTTGTGCAAGAAATGTTTACCTTTTTGTAAGTAAGAAGCCACCTGAATTTCTGTAGATCTTAACAGGCTGTGTATATAGTATATGGCTTGTATATGTACTTGATTATACCAAGTAATAATCCCAATTAACCCGGTTCTACCCCAGCCTTACACATAGGATCTTTAGCCCTGTTATAAAACCACCCAAGCAATTTAGGGAGTTCCCATAAAGCAACTTCAACAAACTGAGGATCAAGTCCTCTCCCACCAGGTGGCGCCACGGGCTACCCAAGGTTCTGCTAGGCATCTGCCATCTTTTTGGCCAGGCCTCCCCTGGGTACTACCATCATCCCTCATTGAGGCCCAGGCCCTGGGTCTTCCAGGGGTCAATACATTCAGGGTCAGAGGAGTTGCAAGGCATCAGGCTGAGGGCTTTATGGAGTTCTTACAAAACAGACCATGTGCTCTTTCTTCCAAGAGCTAGTGGTTTGAGAGGCTGCCTGCCAGTCATTGTTTTAAGTACTTTACATGTCTAGTCATGTATGATCTCTTATTCTTGTTCTTGCTTCTCCATTTTTTTATAATGGAAAATTGAACATATGCAAAATCAGATAGGATAATATAATAAATTCCATGTTTCCATCATCAAGGTTTAACAATGATCAATTCATAGCTAATCTTATTTCCTCCCATATTATTTGTTTAAAAAATAACACATATCAGTGCATTTTTAATGCTTAATTTTTTGTTTTTTTTTAAATTCACAAATAATGTATATATTATGGGGTACAATGTGATGGTTTGAAATATGTTTATAATATGAAATGATTACATCAGGCTAATTAACAAATTCATTGGCTCACATACTTGTCTTTTTGTGGTGAAAACATTTAAAATCTACGCTTTTAGCAATTTTGAAATATACAGTGCATTATTATGTATTGTATGCATCACTCTGCAATAGATCACTAAAGCTTATTCTTCCTAACTGAAGTTTTGTACCCTTTGATCAGTATCTCCCCTTTCCCCATCCACCCCGTCTTCTAGCCTCTGATAACCACCATTCAACTTTCTACTTCTATGAGTTCAACTGTTTTAGATTTCACATATAAATGAGAGCATGCAGTATATTTGTCTTTCTGTACCTGGCTTATTTCACTTATCCTCCAGGTTCACCCATGTTATGGAAAATGACAGGATTTCCTTCATTATGGCTGAATAATATTCTATTGTGTGTATATAGCATGTTTTCCTTGTCTGTGATTAATCTGATGATGGATACCTAGGTTGCTTCTGTATCTTGGCTATTGTGAATAATGCTGCAATGAACATAGGAGTACAGGTACATCTTCAGCATACTGCTTTCAATTCCTTTGGATATATACCCAGAAGTGGGAGTACTCGATCATATGGTAGCTCTATTTTTAGTTTTCTGAGGAATCTCCATACTGTTTTCCATAATGGCTGTATTAATTTACATTCCCACCAACAGTGCAGCAGTGTTCCCTTTTCTCCACAACCTTCCTAAAACTTATCTTTCATCTTTTGAATGATAGCCATTCTAAGAGGTGTGAGGTGATATCATTGTGGTTTTAAATTTTATTTCCCTGATGACCAGTGATAATTAGCATTTTTTTTCATATCCCTGTTGGCCATTTGGATGTCTTCTTTTGAGAAGTGTCTATTTAGGTCCTTTGCCCAATTTCTTTCTTTCTTTTTTTTGAGACGGAGTGCAGTGGCACAATCTTGGCTCACTGCAAGCTCCACCTCCTGGGTTCACGCCATTCTCCTGCCTCAGCCTCCTGAGTAGCTGGGACTATAGGTGCCCGCCACCATGCCGGGCTAATTTTTTGTATTTTTAGTAGAGACAGGGTTTCACTGTGTTAGCCAGGTTGGTCTCGATCTCCTGACCTCGTGATCCGCCCGCCTCGGCCTCCCAAAGTGCTGGGATTACAGGCGTGAGCCACCGCGCCAGGCCCTTTGCCCAATTTCTGATTGGGTTCCTCCCATATTATTTTGAAGCAAATCCCTAACATCCTGTTTTATTTGTAAACATTTTAGCATGTATCTGAGATAAGGACGCATCACATAAGGACTCTATTTGTAAAAAAACAGACAAAAAAAAAAGTCCATAAAAGCATTATCACCTCTAAAAGTGATTAATAATGATTTCTCAGTATCATCGAGTATCAAGTCAATGTTCAGATTTCTAGTTACTTCATAGATATCATACTTTTTAAACAGTTTATTTGAATCAGGATCCATAAAAAGTCAGTATATTGTGATTGGTTCATTTGTTTCTTAAGTTTTTGTTTATTCTGTTGTTTCCTCCCTCCATTCCTTTTTTTTCCTCTTGCAATTTAATCATGGAAGAAACCAGGTTGTTTGCCCCATAGGGCTTCCTCCAATCTGGGTTTTGCTGTTGCACCTGCTTGCTGTCCTTTAACACATTCCTTGGTTTGTTGTATTTTCTATAAACTGGTAGTTGAATCTAGAAGCTCCAGCTGATTCAGGTTCATTTTTTAAAAAAAATCACTACTTCATAGGTGTTGGTGTGATCTTCTACCAGGAGGCACACAGTGTCTGATTCTCTCTCTCTCTCATGTTAGCAGCCATTGAGGATCAATGCTTCAATGGTTAATGAATGAATCTGAATTCACTAGGGATTACAAAATGGTGACATTCGAATTCCATCATTCTTTCTTATTTACTAGCTGGGATACTTCTAGAAAGAGAAACTTAACCCCCATCAACTCTTGAGTTCCCTGGTGGCACAATCCTTATTGGAAAGACAGGTTAAATATTTAATTCTTTCAATTTAATCAGTGTTTTTTTTTTTTTTTTCGTTGTTTGTTTTTTTTTAGACAGGGTCTCTCTCTGGTTGCCCAGGCTGGAGTGTAGCGGCACAATCTTGGCTCACTGCAGTCTCAACGTCCGGGGCTCAGGTGATTCTCCCATCTCAGCCTCCCAACTTGCTGGGACTACAGGCACACGCCACCACACCTAGCTAACTTTTTTGTTTTATTTTTGGTAGAGACAGGGTTTTGCCATGTTTCCCAGGCTGTTCTCAAACTCCTGGACTCAAGCAATCCAAAGTGCCTCGGCCTCCCAAAGTGCTGAGATTACAGGCATAAGCCACCTTGCCCTGCCTTTAATCAGTTTTAATCAACTAATAAATGGGTTCCCCAGCATCCTACAATGACAATCAGTTAGTTGTTTTAGTAGCATTATGGACTTCATGGGTTTCAATGTATTTGCTGTGTTTCCATCCACAGCAGTTTATTACCCTTATTGATGTTCAGACTTTCCCAACTCTGGCCAGTGGCAGTTTCTTCAAGTTAGCCTCTGAGTCCTGTTGTCTTGACTCTTAAGTTTTAGTTTATTCTGTTGTTTCCTGCCTCCATCCCCTGTTTTCCTCCTGCAACGTAATCGTGGAAGAAACCAGGTTGTTTTCCTCGTAGGGCTTCCTCCAGTCTGGGTTTTGCTGTTACATCTGCTTGGTGTCCTTTAACATGTTCCTTGGTTTGTTGTATTTTCTATAAACTAGTAGATGAATGTTGATACATTTGTGTCCTCATGAGTCTCATCTTGTATATTTCCTGAACCAGTTCTGGAACCAGTCATTTCCGAGTTCCTTTAGAAGGGAAATGGTATTTCAAATGCCCCATCTAGCTGTGAGGGATGCTTATTTCTCCTGGATTGGTGATTGTTTCTAGGCCTTTTCAGTGAGTAAATCTTGTAAATAGTTCTTTTCTTTTTAAAGATAAAATATATCATAAATACTTACAGGGCTGGGCGCGGTGGCTCACGCCTGTAATCCCAGCACTTTGGGAGGCCAAGGTGGGTGGTTCACCTGAGGTTGGGAGTTTGAGGCCAGCCTGACCAACATGGTGAAACCCCATCTCTACTAAAAATACAAAATTAGCCGGGCGTGGTGGCGCATGCCTGTAATCCCAGCTCCTCAGGAGGCTGAGGCAGGAGAATCACTTGAACCGGGAGGTGGAGGTTGCAGTGAGCCGAGATTGAGCCACTGCACTCCAGCCTGGGCAACTAGAGCGAAATAACGTCTCAAAAAAACAAACAAAACAAAACAAAAACAACTTACTGATGCCTCCTACTCAAATTTGACCACAGATCCTTTACTAGATTTCTTCTCTCTTACATATTTGTCCATTTTCTCCTATGCCAAGGATCTGAGAATGATAGAATTAGAAAATCATAAAATCATTCACTTTTTAAAATCCCATGATACTGCTTGAGCATCCCAGATCAGAAAATCCAAAATTCAAAATGCTCCACTATCTGAAACTCTTTGAGCACTGACATCTGACATGACTCTCAAAGGAAATGCCCATTGGAGCGTTTTGGATTTCAGGTTTTCTGATTTGGGATGCTCAACCAGTTAGTCTAATGCAAATATTCAAAAATCTGAAAAAATAAAAAATCTGAAACACTTCTGATCTCAGGCATTT
This sequence comes from Homo sapiens, assembly GCF_000001405.40. Classification (NCBI taxonomy): domain Eukaryota; kingdom Metazoa; phylum Chordata; class Mammalia; order Primates; family Hominidae; genus Homo; species Homo sapiens. The sequence continues at coordinate 118,846,462 of NC_000010.11, read as the reverse complement.
CAGGTAAGGGATACCCAACCTGTACACACAGGTTAGTCAAATAACTTATACAAGGTCTCATGGGTATTAAGAGGTGGGCAGCAGGACTAGGCTTAGGCTGCCTGGCCTCAGAACCTGTTAATGAGTATGCACTAAGCTACCTTTCTCTTCCCAGCTTCTGCTGTCTGTAAAATTCCATCAGGAATCCACAGGGGCCAGCTGGGGAGCCAACCCATACAAACAACAAATACCACATCGAGCTCTCTCCCCTCCAAAAATCTGTTTCTGGGGCAATAACTTCCACCTAGCCTCCCTTTTTCCCCATGGAATGGATCTCAAGATGCAGCTTGGCCTTCTTGCAAACACAGATCTGGTGGAACCACCATTGGCTTTCCCTGACACGCCCATGCAGGTCTGTCCTCACAGATCTCAGTGGGACTCCAGCTGCTTTGACATTGCCTCCCCGCCATTTTCCCTTTTTTCTTATTCAAGGCTAAGGCATCCCCAGCAAGTCTTGACTTGACCCTTGCTTAGTTTGATTTGAGGGCTGAGGCATGAGATATTTCAGGATACTGAGGGTCATATCATGGTGGCATAATGAAAAGAACACAGGATTCAGATGAGCTGACTTGATTTTCAGCCTTAGCTCTGCCTAAGTAACTTCCCCAAGTCTCAATTTTCTCAACTGTAAAGTGAGATGCTCTTATGGAAAGGTGGGATGATAACAGCTCCTCATACAGGGAAAAGGCTGTGCCTTGAATCCCTTGACCAATTGTTTTCCTTGGGGCCTCTGCACCCCGGGACTGAAGTGGTGGCTGGGAAGGGTTTGGGCACCAAACATCACTTGTTGCCAGTGGCAAATCAGGACCACAGTATCTGAATGGGAAAGGCTGTTAGAAAATTTATTTTGCCTCTAACTGCCTCAGTAACCCGGCAGCCTGCTTGGTCCCCTGTGCAGTGGATGGGCTAAAATAATTGCTCAAGTACTTTGTTAAAAGAAAAAGGCTCTCCACGTTTCCATTAACTCCCTGCGTGGGGCAGTTCCAGCCCACTGCTCCAGGTAGCATTTACAGTTCAATTTCACAGTCATGATGGACTGAAATACCTGAAACTCACTTCCGCTCCTCTCCACAAGCCACATGCATTCACAAACAGCTGAGGTTCATCACCGGTCCTTTCTTGTTAATCATCTCCTCCTCCAGATCCTTTCCCCACCTCCTCCTCTTCAAAGAGAGCCATGACTTTGAATTTTAAATGTCCCAAGAAGTGCTTTTATCCACAATGGGGACTGATGAGTTAATTTCTTAGAAAATAAACTGAGCACACAGGAGCTGTTAAAATTCCCTTCCTCCAATGCCAACATCACAAAGAATAGCACAGTAGCCCATAAATCTACTACTTGCATATGTTTACTTAATCACATTGGAATTCTCTTTGAACTTGACCCCAGGGATAGAGATTACAGAATTGGCTGGTAGCTAAAATAATCCGCTGAAAGAGTTCAGTGTCATGAGAACTTCAGGATAAAATGCAGAAGGAGCTGCTTGTGAAAAGCACCAAACCAATGTGACTTCTAAACCATTCAATTCTGACAACAGGCTTACCCAGGCCTGGGTGCGCCTTCCCCACTTTAGGCTGTGGTTGCAAACTGGCTGTGAGGATAAGATTTTCTTTGGAAATAAATACTTGCCCCTACCTTGAATTTCCAAGCAGTCTGAAGTGTCTCATCTCTAGGAAAGGCCCTGAGGCTAGGCTCCTTAAGGCACAGTGGTAGAGTGGATAGTGCTGTCTTTAGAAATGAGTGCAGTCAGTCGGGCGCAGTGGCTTATGCCTATAATCCCAGCACTTTGGGAGGCTGAGATGGGTGGATCACGAGGTCAGGAGATCAAGACCATCCTGGCTAACATGGTGAAACCCTATCTCTACTAAAAATACAAAAAATTAGCCGGGCGTGGTGGTGGGCCCCTGTAGTCCCAGCTACTCAGGAGGCTGAAGCAGGAGAATGGCGTGAACCCAGGAGGCGGAGCTGGCAGTGAGCCGAGATCGCGCCACTGCACTCCAGCCTGGGCGACAAAGCGAGACTCCGTCTCAAAAAAAAAAAAAAAAAAAAAAAGAGAGAAATGAGTGCAGTCTGGGAATCAGAGAGCTAAGGGCTGGGCAGGCCTAAGGACAAGCCAAGAGGAGCAAGGGTGGAATGAAGTGATGGACACAAGACCACCACTACTGACAGGGCCCAGACCCGCCCCCCCACCCCAGGTCATTGCTATTAAGAGTTGCTTGCCTCATGTTACAGGATTTTTGGGGTGTTGTTTTTCTGGCTGGAAACCTCTGTGCCAGTGGTGCCTTTGCCCAAGTTTCACTCAGGCCCGCTGGGTTCGTTTCACCCAGTTGGCCTGGCAGGCTGCACTTGGCTTATGCTACTGGCCTGGGACTCACCTCTGCCAAGGGCAAGTCAGGTGTGGAATGGCAAGGGGTGTATGAGAGAGCATGGGGTCCGGCCACTGCGCACAGTCAGACATGCTGGCTGCTGCAGCAAGGCAGGCAGCTCCAGGTGCTGGCATGGGTGCCGGCTCACTGCTAGGTTATGGCAGGACCAGGCACACCACAACCTGCTTCCATGGCTGGCCCAAGGGAACACAGTGATGCCCTGAAGGTTGGAGATACCATGAACCACAGGGCCCCAAAGAGTGAGTCACAGCCCTGGTTCAGGAGCTCCCAAGTCTGGGCCCCTGAAGGGCCGTAGCTCTTCTTTCCTTCTCTTTGCCCATCCTGTAGCTCTTCTTTCCTTCTCACCCACAATGTGGTGAGCAAGGGGCATGTCTCAGCCCTGTTTGTGTTACAGCTCTTTTAGTTTTACCATTCAGCCGGCCCCAAGTTCTTGCCCTGTGACCAGGAAGAATGAGGTATGCAGACAAGTGGAGGGTGACTACGTTGAAGAGGAGCTTCACTGAGCCATAGAATAGCTCAGAGGAAACCTACAGGGGGCAGCTCCTTTCTGCAGCCAGAGTGTCCCGACCAGTGTTCAGCTCCTAGCAGAGAGGGTAGCTCCTCTCTGCTATGCAAGTTGTCCTGGCAAGTGTTCAGCTATCAGCAGAGAGGGTAGCTCCTCTCTGCTATGCAAGTTGTCCCAACCAGTGTTCAGCTCCTAGCAGAGAGGGTAGCTCCTCTCTGCTATGCAAGTTGTCCTGGCAGGTGTTCAGCTATCAGCAGAGAGGGTAGATCCTCTCTGCTATGCAAGTTGTCCTGACTAGTGTTCAGCTCCTAGAAGAGAGGGTAGCTCCTCTCTGCTATGCAAGTTGTCCCGACCAGTGTTCAGCTCCTAGCAGAGAGGGTAGCTCCTCTCTGCTATGCAGGTTGTCCTGGCAAGTGTTCAGCTATCAGCAGAGAGGGTAGTTCCTCTCTGCAGCTGGTCTTCCCATTATCTGTGCAGCTCTCAGCAGAGAGGAGGCCCTAGAGTGGGTAGCTCCTCCCTGCAGCTGGTCATCCCAATGTCTGCTCAGCTCTGGCTAAGCCTGGGGTTTTTATGGGCCTCAGAGGGGAGGAAGTGTATGCTGATTGGCCCATGGGCAGCCATAGGTGGGTCTGGAAAAGGCACCACAAGTTCCCACTCCAGTCTGTGGGACTGGCAGCCCAGCCCTCCCTGGCCTAAAGGTGGGGCCTCACCAGGACCATCCCCATCCACCCAGGAACCTGTCTGCCTCCTGCTGCTGTTCTTGGTGCCCAGGCTGTAGGTGCCAAGGGGTGCCTGCAGGCCAGTGCCGAGCTGCCCTCAGCCCCCACTCAGCTTCCCTCCTATGTTCGTGGCACCCAAAGTCCAGAGGGGGCTGAAGAGGCAGGGGGCTGGCATGTCAGCACTGCTCCGAGTGTGTGCACACCCAGCTGGGCCACAACAGCACCCAGTCTTGGCCCTGACTTTGCTCTGAGATTGGAGCAGGCACTGACAGCAGGGAGAAGCCAGGCAGCAGGAGCAGGCGCTTGCAAGCCGGTGAGGGTGGCAGCGGCAGGGGGTCGGGGGGTACTTGGGCCTTCCTGGGCCCCCAAGAGAGCAGGGATGCCTGGTTCCACAGCCATGGTTTGGGCGGCTGCAGCTGCACCCGGGGGCGCTGGGCTCCTGCCTGATCCATGGAGCACGAGGCCCAGGTCTGCAGCTGCAGTTTCGGTGGCTGCAGCTATGCCTGGGAGGCTGGGGCTCCTGCCTGCTCCGTGGAGTGGGAGGCCCAGGTTTACAGCCAAGATTTGGGTGGCTGCAACTGTGTCCCTGGGAGGGTGGGGCTCCCACCTGCTCCTGGGCCCCAAGAACCTGGGTCAGCAGCCGTGGCTTGGGCGGCTGCAGCAACACCCAGGGAGCTCCCACCCCAACTTGGAAGGGGCTGGGCTCTCACTTGTCCTCGGCTCCTGCTGGCTCCACGAAGCATGCAGCCTTGGCTGTGCCTCCTTGCGTGGCCAGCGTGATGGCAGTGGCTGCTCCAGATGGCCTGCCGCTGCCATCACTGATACATGAGTGGATTAATGCAGGCATTGACACATTGTGGCCTGTGGGCCAAATCTAGACCTGTTTTGGTATAGCCTGTGAGCTAAGAATTTTAAAATATATTTTTAAATGGTGGGAGAAAAAAATAAAAAAAGTATTTTGTGCCATGTAAAACATATGAACTTCTACCTCTGTGTCTATAGAGTTTTATTGGAACACAACCATTCATTTATATAATGTCCAAGATTGCTTTTGTGCTGCGACGGCAGAGTTAAGAGGCTGCAATTGAGGTCTGTGTGCATGGCAGAGGCTAAAAGATTTGCTGTCTGGCCCTTTACAGAAAGAGTTTGCCAACCTGTGAATTAGGGTCATTTAGAAGTGTGGGTTTGAGACAACTGGGGCTCTGGATAGAATTAAGGCTGAGCGAAATGAGCCACGAACTAGCAGGTCTCAGCTAGGGCCAATTTCCTAATCTGTGAAATGGATGGATTAATATCACTCATCTCATAAGGCGGCTGCCTCCTAAAATCTGCTGACAGAAGGTTCATAAACGGTATGGATTTCAAGGCACTCGCACAGCTGGGAAGAGCCACAGATACTGGCTGGAGAATGGTTTCAGACCTGAGTCCTTGTCAGACCCACTTGCTGAGCTTTGAAGAACAGGAAGCCCTGGGCCGCGATTCCTTGGACATATCACTCTCTCCAGGTCTGGGGTGGGGCTGGGCATCTGTCCTGTCCACAAGCTGCCCAGTGATTCACACATTCAGGCCGGTGGGAAGCTGTGATTTGGCCCATGTGCCTCAAGGCATGGATGAGGAGACACAGGGGTTGATTACTCCTCTAGGCTCTGTCCTCCATGGTTCCTCCACCAGCACCCTTTCTTCCCGAGACCTCATGGCCCCACGTTTCTTCTCCTGTCCCCTCAGTGAGCTCAGTTTGTCCTGTGGCATGGCAGTTTGAGAACACCATTCTTTGGCCCTTGAGGCTGGGAGCTTTCTATGGCCGGGTGTGGGGGCGCACTTCGGTCTCCCCACCAAGGCCCTGGGGTGAGCCCACACTTGGTTCCACAGACAGCCCAGAGTGGGCAGCTGAGCCGCAGGGGTCAGGACAGCTGATGGGGTCAGGGGCACAGCTTTGACTCTCACTTGGCTCCTTCTCAACTGGGGTCACTCAGGTGAACCACTTAACAGTCCCCCACCCAACACACACCAGCCAAAATTTCCTCATCCATAATATATGGCTCCTACACCTGACTGGTTCTCTTCATCCTATGTGGCTGTTGTGGGGCCCAGAGAGACGACAGTCACAAAAGCACTCTGTCACTGGAGAACGCTGTGCAGGTGGAGCCGGGGCCCTTCAATATTCAAGAAATGAGTTCAAACTGGCCCGGAACCAAGGCAATGTGCACTCAGCCCACCCTCTGGCCATGTAGCCTTACCCTTCCCAAGCTACCCACCAAGGCTGTTGACCTTCCTCTCAATAAAGAGACATGGACATGGGCCTCGGTTGACCAACACTGAAAGTCCTGTGCCCTGGGAAACCTTTGCAGTGAATTCTTATAATTTTATGTTGCCTCAGCATCCATCTTGGATACACATTTAACTTTCTCCTACCAGAAGCAGGGCTCAGTTACTCTTGAGACTCTTGAGACAGTTTCCAGCTCCACACCCAAATGACTCAAGCCGCGGCTCCAGGTGAGAACTTAGAGGCCTCTCTCCCGCCCACCAGATGGGCTCCCCCGCCCCCGCCTTCCTGCTGCTTCCTTTAAACGGGCCATTCAGACAGCTGCCCATGAACTTAAGGTGACTCACTTCCTATTCCCTTATATACTACTCTTTGCCTCTCTGTCTCTCTCTGTCTCTGTATCTCTCTGTCTCTTTCCCTCTGCTTGACTCTTTGTTCCTGCATTCCATGACCCACGGACAGTGGACTGCCCTCCTTACCCATGGTGCCTTCCCTGCCCCGGATCTGTAAGTAAAAATATTTGAACTGACTTCCTGTCATGGTCGTGTATCGAACTTGCGCCTTCCATCTGAAGAACTGGGGGCTACCCCACTGGGTTTTCCCTGGGACATGGGAGTGGTGAGAAACACAAGGTTGGGCTTCCAGGAGGGCCAGAGTGACGGTCAGGTAGACACAAACTGGACACAGGTCAGACAAGACACAAGATCGTCTACCAGCATAAACACATTTCCTATGCCAGGCACCCTCCATTTGAAGGTTGGATAACCAGACATTAGGCCATCCGACAAGTAGAAGGATCGTGTGAAAGGCGTCCTGTAAACAACATGTTCACCTCCTCTTCATTTCTCATTAGGGCAGGGTTGCCAGCTGTGCTGGTACTGGAACCCCAATTTAGCTGAAGGCTCTCAGAACACCCCTCAATCCTGGGCAGATGGGATGGTTGGTCACCCCAGCTGGGCCTGACCCAGGGACTGAGCCTCTGCTCGCTGGCACAGGGTGGATCAGCTGGTTGTGATGGACAGGCAGGAGGCATGGCAAATTAGGGAAGTGACCTGTAAAGACTCCTTTCCTCCTGGCCATGACCTCTGCCCCACCCCCAGAGCCCCTCTTCTCCCAGGTCCCCCCTGAGTCCACACGGAACCTAATCTAAGCCTGCATTTGGAAATGGTCCAGTTTTCTCTCTCCCCTGCCCTCCTAAGTCTGAGTCACCATCACTTCTCACCTGGAGGGACTTCCAAACTCGTCCACCCATTTCCACTCTGTCCTTGTCCAATCTACTCTCCACACTGTCTACACAATCAACAAACCAATTGCCTCAAAATGCCAGTGTAATTATGTAGTCTATGCTTAAGGATTTTAGTGGCTAACCCGGTCCTCTTAGGATACAGACCTACCTCCTCACCTGGTGGGAGGGCCTGGCCCCATCCCTTCCTCCTCCCCAGGCTTCGTGCTATCCACCCCTACCCCTTGCTCACCCTGCTGATCTCCTTCCAGCTTTGGGGGCTGTTATGCACTGAACGTTTGTCCCCCTCAGATTCATACATTGAGACTCAATCCCCAATGTGATGGTATTTGGAGAAGGAGCCTTTGGGTGGTAATCAGGTGATGAGGGTAGATAGATCCCTTATGGGTGGGATTAGTATTAGTGGCTTTATAAGAAAAAACCAGAGAGCTAGCTCACCCTCTTTTCACCGTGGGAGAATGAAAAGTTGGAATTCTATAACCAAGAAGAGGGCGCTCACCAAAACCCAACTATGCTGGCATCCTGATCTCCAACTTCCAGCTTCCAGAACTGTGAGAAATAAATTTGTTGTTTATAAGCTTCCGAGTCTATGGTAATTTGTTATAGCAGCCTGAGTTGACTAAGAAAGGGACCTTCACACACATAACTCTGGTGCTTGGTCAGCTCTTCCTGCAAGGTTCGCCTGGTCAATTCCGTTCCTCTTTCAAGCCTCAGCATCAATATCATTTCCTCAAGGAAGCTTTGCTCAGCCTCCCTGATTGTACTGGTTTTACTGGTACTTATTCACAGCACGTAACACAAATGTAATTCTTACTTGTGTTTGTATGTGTGTGTCATTACTTGTCTTCCCTACAAGGCTAACTCCATGAAGGCAGGGATCACACTTCTTCCTGTATATCCCCTAAAGCAGGGATCAACAAACCTTTTTTGTAAAGGATCAGATAGGAAATATTTTAGGCTTTATAGGCCACATGGTCTCTGTTGAAACAACTCAACTCTGCTGTTGTAGCACCATAGCTATGGAGAACATGTAAATTGGCCAGGCACAGTGGCTCACGCCTGTAATCCCAGCACTTTGGGAGGCTGAGGCAGGCACATTACTTGAGGTCAGGAGTTCAAGACCAGCCTGGTCAACATGGTAAAACCCCATCTCTACTAAAAATACAAAAATTAGCCAGGCGTTGTGGCGGGTGCCTGTAATCCCAGCTACTCGGGAGGCTGAGGCATGAGAATCGCTTGAACCTAGGAGGCAGAGGTTGCAGTGAGCTGAGATCATGCCACTGTACTTCAGCCTGGGCAACAGAGTGAGACGCCATCTCAAAAAAAAAAAAAAAAAAAAAAGAACATGTAAAGCAATGTAACCAATACGGTTTGGATCTGTGTCCCTGCTCAAATCTCATGTCAAATTGTAATTTCCAGTGTTGGAGGTGGAGCCTGGTGGGAGATGATTGGATCATGGGGTTGGATTTCCCCTTTGGTACCATTCTCATGATAGTGAGTTATCATGAGATCTGGTTGTTTAAAAGTGTGTAGCACCTCCCCCTTCTCTCTTTCTTCCTCCTGCTCCAGCCATGTAGGTTGTGCCTGCTTCCCCTTCATCTTCTGCCATGATTGTAAGTTTCCTGAGGCCTCCCAGCCATACTTCCTGTATTGCCTGCACAACCGTGAGCACATTAAACCTCTTTTGTTTATAAATTACCCAGTCGCAGGTATTTCTTTATAGCAATGCAAGAATGGACTAACACAGTGATTGCGTTCCAATAAAACTTTACAAAAACAGGTGGCGAGTTGGATTTGGCCCATAAGCTGTAGTTTGTCAACTCCTACCTTGGAGCAGTTTTTCAGCATCACCTGGAAACTTAAGTTCTTGGGCCCTGCCCTATATCTGCTGAATCAAACAAATATTTTCCTGTTCATAGCCTTTACTTTCTTCTGGGATTCCAATTATATGTGTATTATTGCTATAGGTTGCTTGAAGTTGTTCCAGAGATCACTGATGCTCTTAAAGTTTTTAAAATCCCTTTTTAAAAAACCTATTTCATTTTGGATAATTTCTATTGCTGTGTTTTCAAATTCATTAATCTTCTGCAATGTCTAATCTACTAATCACATCCAGTGTTGCTTTTGTTCTGAGATGTTGTAGTTTTAATCTCTAGAAGTTTAATTTTGGTCATTTAAAAAATATATTCCATATGTAACTTTTTGAACATATGGAATACAATTATAATTGTTTTAATGTCCTTGTGTGCTATTTCTGACATCTGTGTCATTTCTGGGTTTTGATTGCTTGATTTTTCTCATTAGGGTTCTATTTTTCCTCTTCTTTGCATGCCTTGTAATTTTTGATTGGATGTCAGATGGTGTGAACTTTACCTTGTTGGGTGTTGGATATCTTCAAATTCTTGACCTTTACAGTTTGACCCCTTTGGGTTTTGCTTTTACGATTTGGTAGGCAGGGCTCAGGCTGGCATTAATTATTCCCCACTACTGAGGCCAGACTTTTCTGAATAGTCAATGCCCATGAATTATGAAGTTTTCCAGTCGGGCTGGTGGGAATAGGCACTATTTCTGGCTCTGCTTTGAGAAATTCTCTCTGTGGCCTTGGGTAGTTTCTTCCCAGGCATATACTGCAGCCCTGACTACTCCATCTTGGTCAAACACATGTCCGTAAGCAAACGTTTTGATCTTTAATATTCTGATTGGACAGAAGAAGTAATTCAGATCTTACAAATTTTAGCACATTCGATTCCTCAAAAACTCCAATGAAGTAGTTATTTTCATTAAAATAGCTGAGAAAAATAAGGCTCAGACAAGTGACGTGACTGCTTGTTAGACTCCCAAGCTCACCTATTTCACCACTTGATGTTGTTCTCTTTACACGTCTGCCAGCCCCTGCTGGAATGTCTCCTCTTCAGACCAAAGCACCCCTGGGAATGTAGTAGGTTAAGTTAGATCCTCCTCACTACTCAGAGTGAGGTCTGGGGGCCAGGATCATTGGCATCGTAGGAGCTTGTTAGAGATGCAGAGGCCCAGCCGTGCTGAATTAGAGGCTGCATGGTAGCAGATCCCTGGTGAGCATTACTGTTTGAGACACATTAAATTTGGAAAACAATTCCTGGGCCTTGATCACTTGAGCCCAGTCCTGGCTCCCTGCCAGAAAAGACACACTCAGAAGCCAGGACCACATGCAGGGTCACTTTAGGTGCCCATATCTCCTCCAATGGTAGCTCATGTGCCAGGCATAGCCCACTCTGGACAAGGCTTCTGGAGGAGCACACTGGACCCAGCCTCTGCCCTCTGGGAGTTTGCCTAGCCCATCAATTTCCAGAAAGCTGTGACTCATCTTGCTTCATCCATATCCCAGGTGCTGTCCTGGCTGGAGGCCAGAGGACTGAGCGTGGGAGAACTAACCAGGAAGGCCTTTGGGGAAGAGGTGGGGAGGGAGAGGAGATGGATGGCAGTGGGCAGGTGCCATCTCTGCAGGGCTGGCCAGGCTGGCTGAGTCTGGCCACTGCAGCACTGCCAGCTGCTCTTCTCAGCCCTTCAGCTCAACCACAGCTAGAGGCAGTACAGGTCACCTCCACACTTACCTTCTTATGCTTCCTCTCTGCCTTTCTGGGAGAACATTTCTGGAAATCCTCTGGATTCCTTGTCAGTAGGGCGGGACTGCCAAGCTGATGGTGCTAGCAGACCAAAACCACAAGAGAAGGAGAAAGCGGAGCTGCTAAAGGGGCTGTTTATTTCTTACTTCCTCTGAGGTCCTTACCTCACAATTCAAACAAATTGCCCCCTGGAAGAGGGTTATCCTAAGGTCCAGAGAACTGACAGAGGCTTAGCAGAGTTCTAGGTCAGCATCCTCTTCCCAAGCAATCACGCTGTTTCTATAAAGACAGAACTCCAGGTGCAAATAGAATTGTTCTCCTTATCAGGAGACTCTCAATCCCTGTCTAGGCAGGGGGTTCTTAGGCCCCTCTAACCAGTACCCACACCTACACAATACTTACAAAACATATTGTAGAACACATACTAGGGCAAAATGGAACAGGCACAGATGTGAAGGCATGGAAACCTGGCTTTGGATCTGGAACTGCATGGGGTATTAGCTGTATGACTTTCAGGAAGCTTAGGAGCTTTAAGCCTCAAATTCTTCACCTGTACAGTGGGGTGATAATAAGACCCACCTAAAAGAGTTTCAATAAAGTGAGTTAGTGTACGGACCAGGCATACAGCAAGTGCCCCCATAAATGGCAGCGTTCATTATTGCAGAATTACAGAAAGATGTAAGGACACACTGATAACAGACAAAGGCATCTTTGCCACTGTCCTGCTGCTGTTATCATTAGTTTAATGGCTCTTAACAGAGTCACCTGGAGGGCTTGTGATACAGTTTGGCTCTGTGTCCCCACCACAGTCTCATCTGGAATTGTAATGCCCACGTGTCAAGGGAGGGACCTAGTTGGAGGTGTTGGGATCATGGGGGCGGGTTTCCCCAATGCTGTTCTCCTGATAATGAGTGAGTTCTCATGAGATCTGAGGGTTTTATAAGCGGCTCTTCCCTCTTTGCGTGCTCATGTTCTCTCTCTCCTGCCACCATGTAAGACATGACTGCTTCTCCCTCCACCATGATTGTAAGTTTCCTGAGGCCTCCTCAGCCATGTGGAACTGTGAGTCAATTAAGCCTCCTTTGTTTATAAATTACCCAGTCTTTTGGATAAAGAACATGTGGTACATATATACCATGGAATACTATGCAGCTATAAAAAGGAATGAGGTTATTCCTTTACAGGGACATGGATGAAGCTGGAAGTCATTATCCCTAGCAAACTAACGCAGGAACAGCAAACCAAATACCACATGTTCTTACTTATAAGTGGGAGCTGAACAATGAGAACACATGGACACCGGGAGGGGAACGACACTTACTGGGGCCTGTCAGGGGAGGGTGAGCCGGGGTCAGGGGAGAGCATTAGGGAAAAGAGCTGATGCATACTAGGCTTAATACCTAGGTGATGGGTTGATAGGTGCAGCAAACCATCATGGCATATGTTTACCTATTTAACAAACCTGCACATCCTGCACATGTACCCTGGAACTTAATAAACTTTAAAAAAAGTAAAAGAAAATACATTAAAATAATTAAAATAAAAATAAAGTATTTTAAAACACTATCTTTAATGTTTATAGTCTAAAATATATTTTTCTAAATAAATTACCTACATTCAAAAAGTAAATGAATTACCCAATCTCGTGTAGTATCTTTATAACAACGTGAGAATGGACTAATACAGCTTGTTGAAACACATCTTCCTGGGTCTACCCCTACCCCAAGTTTCTGATTCAGTGGGTCTAAGGTGGGCCTGATAATTTGCATTTCTGACAATTTCCCAGGTGAAGCTGGCCTGGTGACTTCACTTTGAGAACCACTGGCTTAGTCTACCTTTGTTGTTTCTCCCCAGGAAGAGAACACAATCTGGTTGCATATTTGAATCACCTGCGGGTTCTTCAAACTCTAAGGCTGCCCAGGTTTCACCCCAGGCCAATTAGGTCAGGATCTTTGCAGAATGTGGCTCAGGGAGTGTTTCAAAACTCGCTGGGTGATTCTGATGTTCATCTAGTGTGGAGAACCAATTTGAATGCTTGAGTCAAAATCCCTCCTTGGGTAGATGCACGACCCTGGCTCTGATGTTTGGGGCTTTAGGACACTGTGTCTTTGTACATGGCTTCCTCTGGCTTTTTATTACAAACAAAACAAAAACATTCAGCCAAAGGCCCAATTCAATGACTACGACCTCCATAAGCGTAGCCATATTGCCTCTCCTCCCAGCAGAATTAATTATTCTTCTGTGCATACACCCTGTATTGAGACCCCTCTATCAGTTCTTATTTCTTTCTATTTTTTCTTAAGATTTAGTTGTTTATGTATCTGTGTACCCCTTCCCACCAGGCTGTGAACTACTTGAGGGTGGGGATTGGGTCTTAATTCAACTTTATGATTTCCCCAAAGAGCCTAGTTTGGTGCTGACTCAAGATAGCCTCATCAGTTTTTGTTCAAAAGCAATAAAATTCAGCTAGGTCCAGTGGCTCATGCCTGTAATCCCAGCACTTTGGGAGGCTGAGGTGGGCAGATCCCTTGAGGTCAGGAGTTTGAGACCAGCCTGGCCAACATGGCGAAACTCCGTCTTTACTGAAAATACAAAAATTAACTGGGCATCCTGGCAGGCACCTGTAATCCCAGCTACTCAGGAGGCTGAGGCAGGAGAATCGCTTGAACCCAGGAGGTGGAGGTTGCACTGAGCCAAGATCATGCCACTGCACTCCAGCCTGGGTGACAGAGGGAGACTGTCTCAAAAAAAATAAATAAATAAAATAAAAATAAATAAATAAATAAATAAAATTCAACTGAATGGTGATCCTTTCCAATCTCTAGTCATGTATTTATACCAAAAAAAAAAATAAAATAAATAAGGACAAATAGCTAAATAACCCAGGCTACAAAACTACCTAACTGAAATGTGAATACGTGTCTAATTTATCTGGAGTTTTGCTCAAATCCCTGCTTTTGTTGTCTAGCTGCACCTCACTGTTAAGCAGGGAGTGTGAATGTATCTTACAGTAACTGAAGCCACTTAGAAATAACTCCACCGTGATATTTAGCAAATTATTTTTAATCTGATGGGTAAACTCACATTAGTGCAGCTGTTCATGTCAAAGAGAAGGGAATAGAGCGAGGGGTGTTTCGCATGCCTGCTGGGCTCACTTCATAAAAGAAGGCTTGTTATCTTGCATTCTGTCTCCGGTCATGCTATTTCTGCTGGGGCAAGCTGTCACTGACTTGTCGCTGATGGCAATAATAAAACTTGAAGAATGGAGAAATATCCTAATTCAGTTAGAAGGCCCTGATTACATAAGTGAGGCAGTTTCCCGGATGAGGGAGGATCCTGGCCCCAGTTTCACTTTCCCAAGCCATGTGCCAGGCAGGCTTCCTGCAGCTACCGTCCCTGCCACCCCCCACCCCGCCCTGCTTCATTGCAGTTCTGTTTTCTTCTGTAGAACTCACTTCCAAGGCAGACCGCATCAGCTGCCTCATTCACTGGCTGGTTTAGTTCACCTGCCCGTGGGACTTAGGTCTTCCAGCAGAGCCACCTTCAACATTGCTGTTCAGCTAGAAAGAGGCTTCCTCCAGGCATTTGCACATCTGCTTCCTCACGATTCAGGCCTCAGCTCCTCTCCTCCTCAGAGAAACCCTCCCTGACCACCTGTCTAAAGCAGCCCCCACCCCCGCCAGCAGTCCCATTCACTGTCAGTGTTGTGCCAAACCCCTATTAATCTCAATAGGGAAGGCGCTGGAACCCAGTGGCAGAGAAGAGACCCAGAGGTAGCAAATGAGACATGGGGTTTTATTCGGGGCTTACATATAGGGGAGGGTCCAGTGGCAGCAGGCTGGATAGGAGAACCACCTCACATACAGAAATGGTCCTGTGGCAGTGGACTGGACAAGATATCCCCTTTCCTATGGTCCAGAGGCGGTGGGCTGGGCAGGAAAACTGCAATCACCTGCAAAGATCATGCCGTTTTGGTAGCATTTTCATTTAACACCTTCCCTCTAACAACCTTAATCTGGTAACCTTCATTTAACCCAAAACTCAGGGCCTCCATCCCCTGTTCCATGCGACATGCAGCGGGTGGGTTGGGGGGTAGGAGTGGAGCTCAGATGTTTCAAATGTTTATCATAGAGTTTCTCATAGATAAGTAATGACTCTCCAGGTTGGCCATTCCTGGATTCCCTAACTGGGAGCACACATTCAGGTGCATCTGCCATGTGTGGTCATTCTAAGGATATGTTTCAATTATTGCTGTCAGGTGCATTTACCCTATAGCTAGCCACTTGAGCAAGCCATTTTGGATGTTTGCTCAGTCAAGCCTTCAGATGACTGCAGCTCCTGCTCGTATCTAACCACAAGGACACGAGCAACTCCAAGTGAGAACCTCCCAGCTGAGCCTAGTCAACTCTCAGAACCATGAGAGATGTTGTTATTAATAGTGGTTGTTGCAAGCTGCAGAGTGTGCTGATCATCACAGCAAACCAGTGAGGAAGTCATTCTTATCCCCTTTAGAGAGGAGGAAACAGAGGCATAGAGAGGCTATTTAATCCCCACAACTATGGTGTGAGGCATTGATAGCCCCATATTACAGAGGGTAAATTGAGGTTCTCAGGCATTAGAAATCTGCCTGAGATTCCCAGCTGGGGGTTCCACCCTCACTGAAGCTTCTGTCCTCTGCCATGTGGGGCTCTCTTCCAGCTATGTTTCTGCATTTCACACCCAACAGGCCCTTCCAGGGAGCTCCTCCCTCCCCAAGCGAGCACCAGGGACTAAGTTCAATGGTGCCATCTTGGCTCACTGCAACCTCTGCCTCCCAGGTTCAAGTAATTCTCGTACCTCAGCCTCCCAAGTAGCTGGGATTACAGGCGTGCACCACAATGCCTGGCTAATTAAGGGGCTAACTTTTTATAAGCTAAGAACAGCACTGGGCAAAAATAAATTCCAGGTGGAGCAAGGAGCTAAACAAACAAAAAAACTAGAATAGGATAATATTTGCAGAAAATATAGGAGAGTATTTTTGTAATCTTGGGGAGTGTAAGCCTTCTCAAACAAGTCACAAAACCCAGATGCTCTAAAGGAAAAGATGGACATACTTGACATGTGACAGGCATTTATTTCTAGTGGACAATGCTGTTCTAGAATATGACTGAGTGAATACTTTTTGTGGGCCATATAGAGGTGTGGTTTGGCTCATCCTGGGTCTAATTCTCTCCAACCCTTAGTTAAGGGGGCTGTAATGACTCAAGCTTTCCATTTTCCCATCCTGGAATGAGGGGTGGATTAGGAGGAGCTGGAGGGGCCAAAGATGGTCTCTCTCTCTCTCTGTTGGGCTGGAGACTGGGCACATCCCTGCCCTTCTTGTCCTCAGTTTTCCCCTTTTACATGACATGAATGAAGAAGGTCATCTCCAAGGCCTCTGCTTGGAGAGAGGGAGACTGGCTGTTTTCCTGGTCCTCCAAGACCATGGTGATAGAGGGTGCTCCTGATAGCAGCTGCTCTTGGCTGAACTCTTAGAGAGGCAGGCAGACAGGCTTATGGGACTTAGAAAGAGGTCACCTCAATGGGCAGTGGCCTTAGAGGGAGGGTTGGCAAGCAGAGCTGGATGAGGATGGGATACAGGAAGCCAAGGGCTCTGCAGCCCAGCTCCCAGCCAAATCCCATGGCTATGTGGGTCCTGTCTACCTGAGCACATAGGTGGGCTCAGGGGGGCTAGAATGTTCTGATACAACAGGAAGGAGAGCAGGGCCAGTGTGTCTAGAGTGTGTTGGGGGGTCACCATGGCCAGATTTCTGCTCTCCACTTTCACAGGGGGGTTCCCCTTTCTGGGTGGTTTCTGCTTGCAGTCTGGCAAGCTTTGAGAGGACCAAGCCTTTGGGGCTACTCACTGCTGATAGTGAGGATGGCCATGTTCCTTGTTGCATGACTTAGAAATAGTATTCAACTCAGAACAAAGAAAGAGCCTCCCCACATCCCCAAATTAAAACCATGGCACAAGCACCTGAAATCAGGTGTTTTGGTTTTCCTCTCATGTAGAAGTCCAGGGAAAGGTGGGCCAGAACTAGTACGGGTTCCCACAGTGATCAGAAATAGATTCCTTCTGCCTTTCTGCTCCACCTTTGTTGGTGAGTGGCTTTCATCCTCAAAGTAGTTGCCTCTGATCCAAGATGATTATTGAGCTCCAGCCATCACATCTACATTCCACGTAGAAAAAAGAAACAGAGAAGAACAAAAATCAGCTTTCTGTTTTCCTCAGAAATCCTACCCAGCAACCTCTGCTCACATTTCATTGACCAGAATGTAGTCACTCAGGTTCAGGGGAGGCTGTGAAATACAGTTTTCTTGCTGAGTGAATTAAATAAGGATTCTGCTTCTAAGAATGAGAGAATGGATATTGGTAGGCAAACAGCAGTTCTGCAAGTAGCAGTTTCTTAGCATGGCAATCAAAGCCTTAAATGAACTTTCACCCCAGCAAGTCCATTCTGTTCCTCCCTTCCTGTATTACAGGCCTGGTTCACAGAGACAAGAGGATGGGAAAGAGAAGGTCATTCAGCCCTGACTTTGATCACCAACCTCTGACCATGCCTGAGCATTTTGCCTTCAGTCTCAGACTTTCTGCTTCTTCCAAGGTGGCCTCTGGAAACCCACATGAAGGGCAGAGTGGCCGATGGGTCTTATTCTATTCCCCAGCAAGTAGGGATAGTTTTCATTCAGCCTCCCTGGAGTCACCCACCAGGAAGCCACTGCTGGCTTAGGGCCACAGGTTGGAGCCTGCCATATACACATCACTGCATCCCCCAGCTGACTTGCTGTGTCTCACTCACTCACCCACATGTCCTCTCAACTCTAAGGAAAGAAAACCTCTTCTAGAGTTACTGCCTTTTAACCTGGAACTGGTGAAGCAGATAAATGGTCCCTCTGGTCTGGAGGGTGCAGTGATGGTGGCCTTTGGGCCATGGACACCTTCATTATTCATCCTTTCAGCTGGGCAACCTCTCAGATCAAATATGGGGTCTAGTTTTTAAAGCTGCTTTCATGACAGTGGTTTTCCATTTAATCCCCCAGAGCTAACAATATGTAATCAGTTTTCCTTAACAAATGACTTCCTAACTTCATTAGTTCATAATTAATTTGCTAGCATGTAACCAGATAATTAACACTCCTGATTAGAGACAAGCAAAAGAGGAACCTCTTTTTTCATGGTCGAAGCAAACATTGATTAAAATCCGAGCTGTTCCTTGATTTTCCCTACAATTTAAGTCAGTGAAAGTGGTGATTGGTGATTTGTGGTGGTGGTTTAAAAAATTAAATTGGAAGTGAGACCAGTGAGTCTTGCTGTGGAGCACTTAATTACCAACTTAGGTTTTGGATAATTTTGCTTTCTTTTTCTCAGCTACAAAGGTATGAAGCAAGAGAATCAAGTGGTAGCTGAATGTGTTTAATGGAAACCTTAAATACCTGGACTTCCAACTTGTTAGGAATGGGGCTGAGCTGGGGAGAAGAAGCTGAATGGAAAGGATCCTAGTCATGGACGTCATGTTTTGAGTGGTCCAGCCCACCATAGAATACAAAGCCCCTTCACTCCCTTATCTTATATGGTCTCCACACAACTCTGGGATGGGGATGGTGGGGAGGGACCAACCCAATTAGCCCTTCAGATGAGAACACAGCCCCAGGAAGTGAGGTGAGGAAAGTGGTGCAGGAGCTGGGAACTGCGCCCCCTGCAGGCGAGCCTGTTTCTTTCTCTTCTTCCTGGAGGTTGACACCAATGTCCAGTGATTCAAGGTTTTTTGCATCTCTGTGTCACCTGCACACGTTAACAGAGCAGGACTGGGACTAGATAAGCAAGGCATCTGGCACAAAATTGAAGGAAGCCCTCACTCTCAGACTTATATTTTGTGCCCTGGGAAGCTTGCTGTTCTTCTGAGCCCAGGCCCTGTATCAGAGCTGACCAACATCTGTTTCGCACCTACTCCCTGCCCTGTGCTAAGCATTTTCCTGCGTTGTCTCATTTAATCCTCACAGCAGCCCTCATGATGTGGGTGCGATTGGTATCTCCATTTTTACTGATGAGGAAAACAGAGCTTGCAGAGGAGTGACTTGCCAAAGCCATGGGCTAGAAAATGGTGGCTTGATTGACATGCTGGCTGGCTGGCTCCAGGGCTGGCTCGCCTCTGCTCTTCCAGCTGAGCCCCAGGTATCCCAGGCAAAGAAATGCTTGCAATTGGATGTCATCTATCCATGGCTGCTAGCTTAGGCTGGCCCTGGCTAGGGTTCCTCTGAGAGGGGTTGGGGAAGGGAGAGAAAGCCCAGTGCCACATGTGGCCTTGGGAATGTGGCCAAATTGTATGTGAGTGGTGGCAGGGAGGGTGGGGCCCCAGGAGGGGAGCCAAGGAAACTGGCTCAGTTCCCCAAGCAGGGCGGGACCCTGCTATGAAGATAGGGCTGCTTCACACAGCTTCTTACAGCCTCCAACATGGTATGGATGTGCTCAGTGGGGCTGGGGCTTGGGGGTTGGGACTTGGGTGTGGTCAGCTCTAGGCTTTCAAGGTCAGTGGGAAGGCCACTTTCTGGGAGTCCTTCCAGAGCATCCCCTCAACACCAGCCCAAGGAGCATTTGCTGTCTGGGGGAAGGAAAGCTAGGGGCAAGAGGTAAGCACTGCAGGGTAGGCAGAGACCCCCTCAGAGCAGCGCTCTGAGGAGAGCCGGGCCAGATCCTGCAGGCAGGGGTGAGAGCCAGAATGGCAGCTGATCCGAGAGGCTGTGATCTCTAATTTATACCCAGCTCCTTCCAGAAAGGACTGGCGACTGCCTGCCAGGGGATCTGTAACTGTGGGCATTGCTTTGATGAAGCTAAGGGGGGATTTCAGGTGGTCCCTTGGGTGAAGTGTTACTGAATTAAGACCATCTATGAAGCAGTTTCCCACAGTGTATCTGCTTTCATCCTCAAAACACTGCTCTAGAGTCAGAATGATTATTTCCATGTGACAGATGGGGAGACTGAGGTGCAGAGGGTGAAGTGACTTGTCCAAGGTCCGACACCTGAGGGAAGGCAGGGCTGAAATCCGGGTCTGTTTAGTTTGAGCAGCATCCAAGACCATTCCCTGGGAAGCAGATGGTGATACCATTTTAAATCTCTTACCCAAATCTCTTTGGTGCCTACAGCCATTTTAGGCAGGACCCAGCTCTGCAAATTACCCAGATGGTTCTATCCACCCACTGAACACTGGCCCATATTTCCCTGGAACCATTTCCATCCAAAGCATGGGTCTTGGCTAGTCCCAGGTGGATTGTCTTTTGTTACGTAGAGTAAGGAGGGAAGCGGGTAAGATCTTACACTCTGTATACTTTGTACACACAGACCCAGCCATGAGGATGCCTCCTACCCATCTCTCCAATCAAAGGGTTCAATTGTAGATGATGAAGGCCTACCATGGAGTCAGATTGTCTCGTTCAAATGCTGGTTCTGCCATTGGGTGATGTCTTGGTCAACTTGGGCTGCCATAACAAATAGCACAGACTGGGGGGCTTAAACAACAGACATTTATTTTCTCACAGTTCTGGAGGCTGGAAGTCAAGGTCAAGTATGGGTAGGGTTGGTTTCTCCTGAGGCCTCTCCTTGGCTTACAGACCGTGCCTTCTTGCTGTGTCCTCACATGGCTTTTCTTCTTTATGAGTGCGCCCCCCTTGTCTCTTTCTCTTCTTATATAAGGACACCAGTCATATTGCACTGAGGTCCCACCCTTATAACTTCATTTAACCTTAATTACTTCCTAAAGGTCCTGTCTCCAAATATAGTCACATTGGAGGTCAGGGCTTCAACATAGGAATGGGGGGTGGGGATACGGGGAACACAATTCAGTCTATAATAAGTAGTGTGGCAAATTCATTTGATAACAATAACTTAAGCATACCCACCCAAAGGAAAAGTCATATGAAAAAGACACCTGCACACATGTTTATAGCAGCACAATTCGCAATTGCAAAGATATGGAGCCAATCCAAGTGCCCATCAACCAACGAGTGGATAAAGAAAATGTGGTATATATAATATACACCATGGAATATTACTCACCCATAAAAAGGAACAAAACAATGTCTTCTGCATCTACTAGGATGGAGCTGGAGGCCATTATTCTAAGTGAAGTAACTCAGGAATAGAAAAACAAATATGTATGTTGTCACTTATAAGTGGGAGCTAAGGTATGAAGATGCAAAGGCATAAGAAATAATGAACTTTAGGGACTGTGGGAGGGTAGGGTGGAAGCAGGGGTGAGGGACAAAACACTACACATTGTTTGAACAGTGTACACTGTACAGGCCTGGCATGGTGGATCACCTGAGATCATGAGTTCGGGCCTGTAATCGCAGCATTTTGGGAGGCCGAGATGGGTGGATCAATTGAGGTCAGGAGTTTGAGACCAGCCTGGCCAACATGGTGAAACCCCATCTCTACTAAAAATACAAAAAAATTAGCCAGGTGTAGTGGCGCATGCCTGTAATCCCAGCTACTCGGGAGACTGAGGTAGGAGAATCTCTTGAACCCAGGAGGCAGAGGTTACAGTGAGCCAAGATCATGCCGTTGCACTCCAGCCTGGGCAATAAGATCAAAACTCCATCTCAAAAAAAATTAAAAAATAAAAATGAATAGTGCACACTGTACAAACACATTGGGTACAGCGTACACTGCTTGGGTGATGAGTGCACAAAAATCCCAGAAATCACTAAAGAACTTATCCATGTAACCAAACACCACCTGTTCCCCAAAAACTATTGAAATAAATATAAAAATTAAAAATCTTAAGCAGACCCTGAGAATGACCCTGTATGACAGATGCACTTGAGTGCAGTTTGGAGCTCCCAGCGAAGAATCTGGGAGTGGCCTACATGGAGATCCATTCCTTATCTATGAGGAACATCTGAGCACCCAGCCTGTTCTGTGGAGCGTGGGCCATACAGGGGATTGAGGCCCTTTGAGTTGGGCTAGATGTAGGTTGGCAGGTGGAGATCATTAGGGGGAGGGTGCTAAGTGAAAATGCTGTATAAAGTGCATGCATTTTGTAAGTGGTTGTGGTTCTCCTGTCCAGCCCACTGCCCCTGGACTCTCTCCCCTGTATATAGCCCCTGATAAAATCCCATGTCTCATTTGTTGGCTCTGGATCTCTTCTTCAGCCTGTTGAAACTGGTGCCATCCCCATGGGAGCTGATAGGGGTTTGGCGTGACAAAAGTGACCTTAGCCAAGAGCTTCCCTAAGCCTCAGCTGCCTCATCTGTTACATGGGGATAATAAACATAACTACTCCATAGTTTCTGAGGGAATTAAATGAGGTAATATGTGTAGACCAAAGCATGGCAAGGGCTTTGAGCGAGGGCTCAGCATGCTGGGTATCATGATCACCATCATCATCATCACCACCACCATCACCACTGCATTATTTTCATCAGTCTAAATCAAATGACCAGGATCCAGAAGGCTGCTGGTTTCAGACCTTTAGATCCTGCTTGCCATTGCTGTGCGAGGTTACAGTCACAGAAGATCAGAGCTGCAAGGATCTTGACCTTGACACCAAATGCTGATTCTACAAGTGAGGAAACTGAGGCCCAGAGCGAGTGGCTCAGCTACGGTCAGAATGCTGGTATCCTGCTTCTGGGCCTGGTGTTCCCATGGCTTCTCGAACCATTTCACTGACCAGTAGGGGTCAGGAGAAGCTCCCCTCCGTGTTGGGGTCATGTAAGAAGTATTTGGACAATTCAATTTGTTTTTTTCCCCTCAATGTTTTATGGACTGTTTCCCTTCTGTCTTAGTGGAGTGCTTGTCACTTAGTGAATGAATACACGTCGTCAGTTACCAAGTCCCTACGCAGTGGTCCCTTGCCCAGCCCCTCTCCATAAACACAGCATTCCAGCTCCTGCTGTGATGACATCAAGCCTTCCAAGGGCAGCCTAACATTTCCTTGCCTTATCCCATGCATGCATCTGTGTCCTCCCTGGGAATTTGGATGAAGTATTAAAAATTCACCAGGCTTCAGTTAGAAGGGCATGATGACTCACTTGTTTTGACAGTATAATATCTCCAGTTAAAAATAATGCAGAAGCTCAAAAACAGAAAAACCAACAAGGCCTGGCAGCTCAGTTGGTTTCCAACCCAACATCCACTTCTTCCATCTTCCTTCCAACAGAACCTCAAATGTGGTCAGATACAGGGCACAACATGCTCGGTGGGGGTGAATCTCTGGCCCAACCCTCATCCCTTGGCCTACAAGAGCATTAGGGCTGGGCATGTGACCAGCTCTAGCCAATAAGACTTGAGGGAAGTCTCTTGGGGTCTTGATTTAGATGAGAACCCCTCCCCCAACTTCAGATTTTGGGATGCAGTTGTTTGGGGAAGTGATGCCTGCAGCAACTGTGTTGGAATCAGGAGGGCAAGGTTAACACAATAGATTCTCAGAGAATGTGTCGTGCAGCCCCGATGCTGCGGAGCTGTGAACCTCCCCTCA
The DNA here is from genome assembly GCF_000001405.40 of Homo sapiens. Lineage (NCBI taxonomy): Eukaryota > Metazoa > Chordata > Mammalia > Primates > Hominidae > Homo > Homo sapiens. Next base: position 118,823,209 of record NC_000010.11, on the reverse strand, counting down.
AACCTCCACCTCCAGACTTCTTGTTATATGAGATGAAAACCTCTACTGTTCAAACCACGTTTGTTTGGGTGTTATTTGCAGCCAAAGCCATCCCAACTGAAGCCATCCTAACAAAGAGAAGGAACAGGGAGCAAAAGCTACCACCCATAGTACAGGAACTATGGCAATTGAGAGCTGGTACACAGACAAGGGGGACTAAGGGCTGGTTTGATGGTCTTGTACTCACCTGGGTCTTGTACATAGCCTGGGAAACCAGTGCTATGATAAGGATGTTCCTTGGATTGTCCTTGTGCAAACCCTTTAACAACTCTTACAGGATTTTTTTGGAAGAATAATATTTTTAAATTGAGGTTTAACTTAAAAGTGAATTTGAGAACCCAAATCTTAAGTGTACAGTGAGATGAATCTTTACATATGTATATACACCCATGTGGCTACTCCCTTATCAAGATCTAAAATACTCCTAGCATTTTAGAAATTTCCCTTGTGCTTGTATTTCATTTTATTTTTTTGAGATGGAGTCTTGCTCTGTCACCAGGCTAGAGTGCAGTGGCGTGATCTTGGCTCACTGCAACCTCCGCCTCCCAGGTTCAACAGATTCTCCTGCCTCAGCCTCCTGAGTAGCTGGGACTACAGGCACGCACCACCATGCCCAATTAATTTTTGTATTTTTAGTAGAGACAGGGTTTCACCACGTTGGCCAGGATAGTCTTGATCTCTTGACCTCATGATCTGCCCGCCTCTGCCTCCCAAAGGGCTGTGCTGGGATTACAGACGTGAGCCAGCGCGCCCAGCCTCCCTTGTGCTCTTTATCAGCCAGTACCCAACAGAGGCTGAACAGTAGTCCAACCTCCATCACCATTGATGAGTTTTGCCTCTTTGAATCGGTAAGATTCATTCATACTGTTGCATGCGTCAATGATTCATTTTTAGTGTTGAGTAGTATTCCATTGTGGGAATATTCCACAAATTTATTTATCCAACTGTTGACGGAATTTTGTTTGTTTGTTTTTGTTTTAGACAGAATCTCACTCTGTCACCCAGGCTGGAGTGCAGTGGCGTGATCTTTGATTACTACAACCTCTACCTCCCTGGTTCAAGTGATTCTCCTGCCTCAGCCTCCCCAGTAGCTGGGACTACAGGCACGTGTCACCACGCTTGGCTAATTTTTGTATTTTTAGTAGAGATGGGTTTTCACCATGTTGCCCAGGCTGGTCTCCAACTCCTGGCATCAAGTGATCCACCCACCTCGGCCTCTCAAAGTGCTGGGATTATAGGTGTGAGCCACCGCACCTGGCCCAACTCTTGATGGACTTTTGGGTTATTTCCAGTTTGATCTGTACAAACAAGGCTACTATGAACCTTTTTTTTTTTATTTTTTTAGAGACAGAGTCTTGCTGTGTTGCTCAGAATGGAGTGCAGTGGTGTGACTGTAGCTCACTGCAGGCTTGAACTCCTGGGCTCAAGTGATCTTCCCACCTCAGCCTCCCAAGTAGCCAGAACTACGTGTGTGTGCCACCATGCCTGCCTTATGAACATTCTTGTACAAGTCATTTGGTAGAGTGCTTTCTGAAATGCTTATTTTAACTTGAGGCTTTACAAAGACAGCACCAGAATTGGTTAAAAATGAGTGAATCTGTATTTTGGAATCAAGTATGTGCAGTCTAGTTTACAAAGCGTTAACTCAGTTACACCACAATCGTTTTGATTGCCAACAGGTATATCTCCAGAATAGCCTGGAATAAGCCACCAATTCCTCCCACTAGGTTGGTGATGAGGCCCTTGGCCAAGTGCACAAAGGGAAGGCGTCTGTTCCCAATCAGGGATGGAGGAGATTGTAAGGATGCTTGGATTCGGTTCTGTCTTGAGGTCTCACCTGTGACAGGTGGTCAGATGGTTCTCCCACACTTTCCCGCTTCCTATCCACCCCTCCCCCACCTTTGTGCCACAGATCAATGGGCACTGTTCTGGTAAACAAGGTGCAAACGCTCAGATCCCAGCTTTCTTCCGCGCTCCCTCCTCCCCAGCTCTGGATCATTGCCTCTCTCTGCCTTCCCCATGGCTGTTTCTGCACCCTCATCTCCGCATCTCATCCTTTTCCTGGACTTCCATTTCAAATGCACATCCCATCAGCAACCACTGAGGACTAAACGCATGCCAGGCTGTATATGCATCCTACACTGTATGCATCCCCGTACAGAGGATGATGGGTGGCACCCGGGCTGCAGACAGCAGTTACCACACTTAGCAGATGGGGAAGGAGGAACTGCATGAGGCTGAGCAGCTGGCTCCGAGGTCCCACGGCCCAAGTTCTAGCCCAGGATGCCTGGCCTCGTGCTCAGGCCCCTTTCTGCTAGTTTTTCCTGTAAGATGCGGGTGGGTGGGTAATATAAGGTAGTGACGAGGGTCTCAGCATGAGGCTAAGTGGATTCAGATGTGGCTGGGCTAGGGCACTGGGGCCCACCCAGAAGTGTATTTGCCTGATGGACTCAGGAATTTGCTGGGAGAAAAGCCCCCTTAAAGTAGAGGCAGTTAGGAAGACAAGCTCAACCCAGCACTGGCCATGGTACAGCGGGAGGGCTAGTGGGGCGGCTAGCGGGGCTACAGCACAGCTTGGGATCTCCAGGTGTAGCACCCTCTGGACTCATCTCTGCAATCTGTGGGGCGGGGGCTGGGGAGGGGCAAGTAATACCATGAGATGCCAGCTTGGCCACAGTGCAACGTAGAGCCCGCAGGACCAAATGGGAGTCCTGAGTTGGGGAAGAGTCCTCAGCATAGCGTGGGGGTGGTACTGGGATTCTGGGGAAGATGGAGCCTCCCCGACTACTCTTGCCAGGCCAGTGGCTGGGGAGAGACTGACACACACACAGGCAGGTCCAGTGCCCCAGGTGAGATGTCATGAGAGAGGTGGGTATGCACAGGAGCTGCGCCAACTCCTCTAGCCCCCAGCTCTTTTATGGCACCCTTATTGAGATTTGAGGGCTCATCCTTGGAGGAGAGCTGCAGGCAGCCTCTTCTGCTGGCTGCTGCTGCTGCTTTTCTCTTTTTTTTTGAGATGGAATTTCGCTCTTGTTGCCCAAGCTGGAGTGCAATGGCACAATCTCGGCTCACCGCAACCTCCACCTCCCACGTTCAAGCGATTCCTCTGCCTCAGCCTTCCCGAGTAGCTGGGATTATAGGCATGTGCCACCATGCCTGGCTAATTTTGTATTTTTAGTAGAGATGGGGTTTCTCCATGTTGGTCAGGCTGGTCTCGAACTCCTGACCTCCCGACCTCAGGTGATCCACTTGCCTCGGCCTCCCAAAGTGCTGGGATTACAGACGTGAGCCACCATACCCCGACTTTTTTTTTTTTTTTGAGATGGAGTCTCCCTCTGTCACCTAGGCTGGAGTGTAGTGGCGTGACCTAGGCTCACTGCAAACTCCGCCTCCCAGGTTCAAGCAATTCTCCTGCCTCAGCCTCCCAAGTAGCTGGGATTACAGGTGTGCACTACCACGTCTGGCTAATTTTTGTATTTTTTGTAGAGATGGGATTTTGCCACGTTGGCCAGGCTGCTCTCGAACTCCTGACCTCAGGTGATCTGCCTGCCTCGGCCTCCCAAAGTGCTGGGATTACAGGCAAGAGCCACTGTGACCGGCCTCTGCTGGCTTCTTTACCCAGGGGATTGAAGCCCATGGTTGGCAAACTGTGGCCCAAGGGCCAAATCTGGCCCACCACCTGTGAACTAAGAATGGTTTCTCTTTCTAAATGGTTAAATTTTAAATATTTTAACAAGTACCTACGCAGTATCCTCAATTTTGAGCTCTTGGCCTGCAAGGCCTGAAATAATTACTATCTGAGCCTTTACAAAGTTTGTCGGTCCTCGGGGTGGTCTGTTGGTAGAGTCCAGCCTTGGGGCAGCAGCTGCCAGTGGGGAGAGTTGGCCCTGCCCCCACATCTTGGCTGTCCTCTGGTGACAATCCCCGGGGATGGTGGGATGTGGGTTCCCTGGCCTCCGTGCAGTGTGCCTCCATACCCTTTAGCTTTTCCCTGAGGTCCCCCATGCATAGAGGGGGCCTCTGAGGCCTAAGAGGGGTTGCCAAGCCCTGAGAACAGGCCCACTGCTCCAGCCTCCCCAGCAAAGTGTGCCCAAGGCCGCCAGCGCTTCTGTGGGCCACTGCTGCGGGGGGGCAGGTGTGTTCTTGCCAACCGAGCAGCATCTTGCTGATAAAACCTAATGAGCTGCGTTTAACAACAACATGGTCCTGCCATGTGGCTTCCTCCTGGGGCTGCCCATCTGTCGGCCCTGGGAGGCCACTCTCTGTACAGCTGGAACCCTCCCCAGTCATCGAATCAGGAGAGAGTCGACGTCCCTCGAGTCAGGCCCAGCACACAGGCCAGCAATCTCCGCTACCATCCTGCGCCAGCTCCTGGCCACCCTCCAGGCTCCCAATGACACCGCCAGATGGTGGCTAACGGAGGGTGAAAAACCTCCCGGGAAGGCCTGGGCACGGAGCAGTGAGGAGAGGCCAGCCAAACAGAAGGCACTTGACCATGGCTATGGGGAGGGCTCCAGGTGTGGCCTGCCTTTGCTTGGGCCAACCAGCTTTTATTCTTGACACCTTGCCAGCTGCCTTTCCTTTCCATGCCTGTCACTATCCCCAGGGACCTGTCAGCTGGATGCTTCTATTTGCTGAGGACTGGCAAAGGTGAGATGTGGGTAGGCACGCCCAGTACACAGTCCTGCGCCAGGGTGTTCTGGGGAGGTGGCTGCTCCATGGTCATCCTGCTGCAGATGTCCCAGCAGAGGTGGACTTTAGGCTGGATCAACCTTTTCCCATTCTCTGGAGTGAACGACCGGGGATGATGTCACAGGTCCACGAACTCTTCGGCCCATCCTGTACCCTCTGAGCCACAGGCTTGGCTGCTCAGGTCAAACAGTTTGACTAACTTCTCGGAGCTGTGACTGACCTCTTCCTAGCCCCTGATAGTCTTAAGTGTAGTGCTAGAGAGGCCAGGCTCACATACAAGTCCAGTCCCCGTCTCGGCTAGCCGTCTCCTCTTCCTCCTTCCCCAGCCCCACCCCAGCCCCACCTGAGCGGAGAAGCAGGTAGGCGAGACCAGGTGAGAGAGCTGGACTGGGCCGGGGCACATCCAGCTCCCCATACTGGGTAAAATATCACTATAAGAGATCCAAGCTGACTCCAGGGAGGACGGGCCAACTTCGTATCAACTCAAGGGAGTCAACGTGCACATCCCAGGCTGCAGTCAATGGTATGCTGTTGTGAGAACGTGCCATTGTGGACATGCAAAGGGGCTCTGGGCTCTTTGGCATTTGGAGCTGGAGAAAGCTGAGATACTCTGCACGATAAAGTGGGGGGATTTTTGGAAGTTGCAGGGGGATCTACAAGGAAAGAGTAGGCTGAGTAGCCTGGTAGGAGCTGGCACCCAAACTGGTGCGATGGCTGAGGTTCTCCATGAGGGCAGGCACATCCAAGATTTAATTTCAAACCCGTTTTGTAGATCCTTCTGCCCTCTGTGTTCCCAAATCGCCGTTGCAGTTTCCTGCTCAGGCCTGGAGTGGATGGCGGGGTCTGTGTCCTGTGGTTGGCCAGGGACCGCACGAGTACGAGGAAGCAAGCCTAGAACGTGGAGCTGGAAGCGGAAATTCAGGGGAATGTAGTGCTTTGGGGAGGCCCGGGGCTGGGCCGTGGAAGGGGGTTTGAGGCAAAGATGTCTAGATCTGAACAGGCAGGGAGACCCCAGGTGACACCTGGGTTATAGGTACTCTAGATAAGTAATCTGAGCCACCTGAGCCCATGGTGGGTGGTTCTGGCCTGTTTTCCTGCCAGGTTTCTGGTCAAGCCCACTGTCCACACCTCACTGGCCTTTACAGCGAAGAGATGAGTCCACAGACCAGCTGAGGCAGGGGCTTTAAATGGGCACAAGCCATCCCTTCTGAACATTGGCAAGGAGCTGGGGCATTTGAATATTTCTTTTTGTCTTATTTCATCTCAACTGGTTGGGCGTAAATGATAGGAATTAAAAACCTAAAGAATTGTTATAGAATTGTTTTGGGTTAGGGACGTAAATTCGACTCACGTGGGCTCAGGTGCAAATAGTTCTGGAGGAGGCTTCCCCTGAGGGGGCCTGGAAGTGCTGCCAGCCTAGCCCTGCTCAGGTGGAAGGGCCTGTTGGCTGGAAGGCAAGAGGCGGGTCCTAGGGTTCTTGGTTGCAGGCACTAGTGAAGGTAATGCTTGGCCAGGGCCTAAAGAGCTTAAGGAGGTAGAGCCTAAAACACAGATGTGCCCTTTCAAGTTCAACGAGAGAGGGAGCCAGCCCCCGTTGGGGAGTCCTGGATCCCACCTAAGCCTCTGGGGAGGCGGGCGTGGCACAGAGCCGTGCCAAATGTGGTGTGGGGCAGATTGCATTTTCCAAAGACAGCTGCACCAACATGTACTCCACCCTATGCTCTTCTTACAGTGTGACAGCAATGCTCCTTTATGAGAGGAGGGGGTCTATGCTCTCTCCCCTTGAAACCGAGCAGACATTTGTAACTGGCTTGACCAATCATGTGACAAAGTGACTTCCGAGGCGCGTGTGAGAGAGAGAGAGGGAGAGGGAGAGAGAGAGGGAGGGAGGGAGAAAGAAAGAGCGAAAGAGAAAGAAAGAGACCCAAGGAGCCCAAGCTGTTAGCTGCTATACGGTCCCAGCCCAGACATCAGACACAAGAGGGGGCGAGACCTCAGATGATTCCAGCTCCCTGCATTCAAGTTGCCCCAGCTGTTGCTGAGTGAAGCAGAGATGAGTTGACCCACTAAGTCCTGCCACTCACATGCAAAAGAAAAGACTACAGCTTCACTTGCAAAAGAAATGTGTTGCTGTTTTAAGCCACAAAGTGTTGGAGTGTTTGTTATGCAGCCATAACTCATTGATACAGGGGTGGGAGGAGGACATTACTACCTATTAGCCATTTTCCAGATATTTTTCAGGCATGAACCCATTCCATTCTTTTTTTTTCTTTTGAGACGGAGTCTCACACTGTCACAGGGGCTGGCGTGCAAAGGCACAATCTCAGCTCACTGCAACCTCCACCTCCCAGGTTCAAGCGATTCTCCTGCCTCAGCTTCCCGAGTAGCTAGGATTACAGGCACCCGCCACCACACCTGGCTAATTTTTTGTATTTTTAGTAGAGACGGGGTTTCACCATGTTGGCCAGGCTGGTCTTGAACTCCTGACCTCGTGATCCACCCTCCTCAGCCTCCCAAAGTGCTGGGATTACAGGCATGAGCCACCACGCCCGGCCATGAACTCATTCAATTCTTACACCAGAAGGGTAGGCACCTCCACCAGCCCTGCTTTGAGATTGGGATGCAAGGAATCATAGGGACTAAGTAACTTGGTCACAGACGCACAACTGTGAGTGGCAGGCTCGGAACTAAAATCCAGGGCTGGCCCAGAACCTAAGCTTTCTCCCATGGTGGTGCCTCCTTGTTCTGGAATTCTTGCCCAGCTCTGTCCTGAGCTGACCGACCAGCCTGGGTCAAGCTATGCCCCTCATCGTGGAACAAGAGATCCCCAGTCCTGACCCTTTACCTGTGGCTTTGCCTGAATGCTTTTTGCTTGGCCACATGAGGCTGGCCCCTGTAGGCCCTTTGATGCCAGTAAAGCTGGGATTCATATCCATGCATGAGGGGCAGCTCCCCCAGCAACAGTGGCAAGGGGAGAAAACTCTGCTCTGGAACATAGAGCTTTTCTGGAGGATGGGGAGCTAAGAAATATCGTCTTTTTATTGTTAGCATTTCCCACGTATCAGGCGCTGCTCTGAATATTAACCCATTTAATCATCACAATAGATCTAGGGTATAACCTCTATTGTGCAGTTGGGGAAACTGAGACACAGAGCAGTTAAAGAACTTGCCCAGAGTTTCATGGCCTGCAAAGGATGCAACTGGGATTTGAACCTAGTCAGTCTGGTAGAGAAGAATCCCATATGGAGGGTCTTAAACAGTCCGCTCCATGAAGCCTGATGCTGCTGTTTGTCCTACAAGGGTGATTTGATCCACACCTGCAGGAGGTAAGGAGGGGAAGGAAGCAGGGTGGGGAAGAGGGAGAAGTTGAGCTTTGATGCAGTTTCGAGGGAAGCTTCAGCCTACCCTGCAGGGGAGTTCTGAGGTGGGATGGCCCTTGAGGGCTTGCTATGGTCTGAGTGTTTGTGCACCTGCTACATTCCTGTGTTGAAATTCTCACCCCCAAGATGATGATATTAGGATGTCAGGCCTTTGGGAGGTGATTAGGTCATAAGGGTGAAACCCTCATGAATGGGATTAGTGACCTTGCACAAGAGGCCCAAGAGAGACCCCTCACCCCTTCTGCCATGTGAGGACATAGTGAGAAGCCACGTTCATGAGGAACAGGCTAAGACACAGATTCTGCTGGTGGCTTTATCTTGGACTTCCCAACCTCCAGAACTCTTGGCAACAGATTTCTGTTGTTTATAAACTACCCAGTTTATGGTATTCTATAACAGCAGCCCAAACAGACTAAAACAGGGCTGTACAAATTTGGGGTGAAAGGATGGGGACTTCATGCCCCCTGCACAAGCTCTCTAAGAAGGAGGTGAGACCTTGGGCAAGGGGGCTCACTCAGCTGAGGCCATACCCAGAGGGGGTGATAGCTAAAGGCTGTCCTGCATTCTGAGGGTCGCCTTTTCTTTCTTTTCTTTTCGTTTCTTTTCTTTCTTTCTTTTAGACTTAGTCTTGCTCTGTCTCCAGGCTGGAGTGCAGTGGCACCATCTCGGCTCACTGCAAGCTCCACCTCCTGGGTTCAAGTGATTCTCCTGCCTCAGCCTCCTGAGTAGCTGGGATTACAGGGACACAGCTAACTTCTGTATTTTTAGTAGAGACGGGGTTTCACCATGTTGGCCAGGCTGGTCTTGAACTCCTGACCTCAGGTGATCTGCTCGCCTCAGCCTTCTAAAGTGCTGGGATTACAGGCATGAGCCACCGCACCCAGCCATCACCTTTTATATCTGAAGGGGGTCTGGGTGGAGCATCCCAGCCTCCAGCACAGGTGTGCGGTGAGATCTGAGAAGCTGACATTGGAGAAATGTCCTGGAGGGGAGACAATAAGGTCAGCACAACTAAGGTAGACTGGGGAGGAAAGGAGGAGGAGATCTGGGGGTAGCAGGGACCAGGTTCCTCAGGGCCTCAGAACCTGTGGCTGCTCCCCAAGTGGAGTGGGAAGTCACTAGTGAGCAAGGGACGCAGTTTGACTTCACGCTCACTCTAGCTGCTCCGTGGGGAGGGCAGTGAAGGCGGAGATAGGGACAGCCTATGATGGCAGTACAGGTGGGGAAAGCGGGGGCACGTGGAATATTTTTTGAAGGTTAAACTCCAGAGGCTTTACTGAGAGGTTGGATATGGGCACAAGAGAAAGAGAGGGGTGCTGGTCCAGGATGGGCCTGAATAATTGGAAGAATGGACTTGGCAATTATGGGATGGGGAGAACAGTAGGAGAAGCGAATTTAGGGGTGGGGGTGGCATCTTCAGAAAATTCCACCTTCTTAACTTCCCAGGACCCCATCTTTCCCTGTTAGGGTGATTTGGAGCCATACTTAGCCGAGCTGGCACAGCCTGGGCCCCTCCACCCTGTTTTTTGGGGGAACTGTATGTATGTAAGTTTGTATTTATTTATTTATTTTGAGATGGAGTCTTGCACTGTCGCCCAGGCTCACTGCAACCTCCGCCTCCTGGGTGCACGTGATTCTCCTGCCTCAGCCTCCCGAGTAGGTGGGATTACAGGCGCACACCACCACACTCGGCTAATGTTTTGTGTTTTTAGTAGAGACGGGGTTTCACTATGTTGGCCAGACTGGTCTCGAACTCCTGACCTTGTGATCTGCCCACTTCGGCCTCCCAAGGTGCTGGGATTACAGGCATGAGCCACCGTGCCCGTCCTACTTATTTATTTTTATTTCTTTATTTTTTCGAGATGGAGTTTCACTCTGTTGCCCAGACTGGAGTGCAGTGGTGCAACTCTCAGCTCTGCAACCTCCGCCTCCCGGCTACAAGAGATTCTCGTGCCTCAGCCTCCTGAGTAGCTGAGATTACAGACACACGCCACCATACCTGGCTAATTTTTGTATTTTTAGTACAGACGGGGTTTCGCCATGTTGGCCAGGCTGGTCTCAAGTTCCTGGCCTCATGTGATCTGCCTGCGTCCCAAAGTGCTGGGATTACAGGTGTGAGCCACCACGCCTGGCGCTGTATTTATTTTTACCTTCTCAGTAACTGCTTGTGGAACGGGTATGGGGTGAAGGAATGCGAGAAAATCTTGGGGTAGAAAGTAACACTTGGCTCAGTGAGGGTGAGGGGACAGTGTTTTCTAGGCTTGCTGACTTCTGCTGGTGGGAGTGGGATAGGGAGAGAGCCTTTGTGGCAGGTGAATTCCCAGAGAGGTTGGTCCCGACCGGAGTCTATTTGGGTGTGAAGAACTTGCCCAGGGTTTTCTCGCCTCTGCACATCCATTGTCAGTTGATCTGAGACTCCTGGAGAAAGGAAAGCCGAGAGCACTGGCTGCCACCGAGGGAAATGTGGGGAGCTCCAGGCTTCTCCCAGGCTGCAGGGATGCACTCGGTGAGCAGCGCTCCCACACAATGAGGGGAAGAGCTTTGAAATGTCCCTGGAGAGCAGGTTCCCAACTGAGCAAGCTCAGAGTCTCCGCAGTGTTCGTTGCCATGGCAAACAGCCATTCACAGAGAGCCAAACAGATCATTCCAGAACTCCCGCCCCACCAGTTACCCTGTGACCCAGCACCGTGAAGAAGCCGAGCCTCCATCCCCAATCTGAGCATGCTATCTGGCCTCGCCTTTGATTGGCAGGGCCCACGCTGCTGCTTCTCCCTCACCCCACTGCTCTGCAGGAAAAAAGTGCAACGTTCTGCTGCTTACAGCCCCTCGGCCTTGGAAAGCGCGGTTCCTCTCCACGTGGATCACCAAATGCCAGTCCAGAGCCATTTGCCTAGGGGTGTCCCTGCGGGCCTTGCAGGTCACCACATGAAACACGCAGGAGCAACTCACAGGCCAGCGATGGAAGTTGAGTTACTATTTTGTGGGGCCAACCAGAATGTCAATTTTTTTGGATGCTGGGTAGATAGAATGAGGTATAGTAAACCAAGGGTCTAACACAGTGCCTGGCCCCAGGTAGGTGCAAAATGCATGCTTGTTTCTGTTTCTTATCTTTATGTGCACCCACCCCAGTTCTTTGCTCTCTCTTTCCTGAAAATGGGCTCTAGAAGCTTGAAAGAAAGCCTAGAAGGCTTCCTGGAGGTGGTGTCCCTATACCCAAAGTAGGTTGTGTTATCTATTTTCCAATAAAATAATGGCTCCTATCATCTAGAGTGTCTCCTGTCTCCTATATGACAGGCACAGTCTGTATGCTGTCTCATGTAATTCTTTTTTTTTTTGTTTTTGTGAGACAGAGTCTCCCTCTGTCACCTAGGCTGGAGTGCAGTGGTGCAATCTTGGCTCACCGCAACCTCCGCCTCCCGGATTCAAGCAATCCTCCTGCCTCAGCCTCCTGAGTAGCTGGGATTACAGGTGTGCACCACCATGCCCGGCTAATTTTTTTGTGTGTTTTTAGTAGAGACTGGGTGTCTCATGTAATTCTTATTGCAACCCTTTAGGTTTCATTATTTCTATTTTTCAGATAAGGACATTCAGATGAGACTCAGATAAATTATTTACCCAAGATCACCCAAAGTTATTTGAACCGGGTGGTCTGACTGTGGGGCTTGGATATTGAACCAACATGCAATACATGTTTGCATGATGCTGGTGTCTGTATTTGCACTGGGCCTCCTCCCAGCGCCCCTTCACACCCCCTCCCTTTCCTGCTCTGGCTTCTTGGAGCAATCATGTCTGGCTCCCCTGAGGGACACTTGGCCTCTTCCTGCCTCTGCTCCCTTTTAGCTCTTCTCTGCTTTCAGTAAGGCAATGACTGCTTCATCCAGCCACTGAACCACACTGTCCAGTCCACTGAATAAATATGAAAAGAGGAAAGAAGAAAGGAGACAAGTTTGGGTGTGAGACCTACTTGGACCACAGTAATCCCAGCTGACAGGCTCATGGGAAGGGTGAAGGCCCCGGGACCAGGAGAATGGGGCAGGTGTGGCCCTGGCAAGGCCAACCAAATGACCTGCTGTCCAGGCTCCAACAGATGTGGCAAGCTCCGGGCAGTCTACCCCAAGCTCCAGCCTCGAGGGAAGAGACTGGGAAACTCCAGCAGGATGCTGGGGCCCCCACTAAGCAGACAGTGGGGTCAGAGCAGGGCTCAAGGTCTGTGGGGCAATGGAGTGCTGGGCAGGGAAAGTGAGGCAGGAATCTTGTCCTTTTTTCTGAGCCAACCTAGGGGTCAACTTGCAGGCATGTGACCCTAAGGGTGACTTGGAAATATAGGCTTAGGCCTGTGGACAGTAGGAAGTCATCTTAGCCCCAAGGGCTGGCATTACTGAGGTTGTCAAGATACTTGCTGCCCATTAGGATGGTCTCAGACCTAGGTAGGGCTGGGTCTGCAGGTGGTCATGGGTATTCTAGCTTGGGGAGCAGGGAAGGAAATTCAGGTGAGAAGAAGTGAAGATGGTACCACTCAGCACCCCATCTCTCCCACCCCAGGTTCCTGGCTGCAGAGAGGTCCCCCAAGTCCTGCTCTCCAAGGACATCTCAGAGTTGGTGTTTCCTAGGGTTTAGGAGAGAAGGACCCGATAGCCTAATTGCAGCACGTTATACTAAAGTGTCAATGACTACTTGTTTTTTTAAAAAAAGGGTCTGAGGACCTCAGAGCAGCCCCTCCTTGGTGTGATGTCAGGGGTGGTGGTGATGACTCAGCCAGGGGGTGCCATACATACCAGGAGCCTAATTGGAAGCTTCTTGCCCCAACTTCACACCCAAAACCAGAGGTCAGGACTGCAGTTTCCACCAGGGGGTTTTCAATGGTATTATTCACAGACTGCTTCTGAATACCTAGAACGTGCCAGCACTTTGTGCGTGCCCCCTCAGCGAATGTAACAGCTTGTGGGCGTCATGTCCCGTATTTACAGGTGAAAAATCTTAGACTCAGAGAAATGAACTAGTTTGCCCAGTCACTAGCAAGTAGGCAGTGAAGCCTGGCTCCAGCCCTGACATCTGATGAGACCCCCGGGGCTGTGCTCTGCACCCGGTTGGTGTCCCCGTGGGGCTGGCAATGGTCACGTGTCAGAAAGCATCCAGCTGCAGGATGGTGTCAGGAATGATCTCATGTCTGACCAGTTCTGGCCCCAAATGAAGCTGGTGCTCCTGCTCTGAAATCCACCCCCCATCCCTAGCAGTCCCCTTCTCTGCTTCCTCTCAGCCCTCCTGGCTCCTTGGCTCTCCTGCCTCCCCCGTCTTAACCCCACCTTCTCATTCTTCCCTCTCTCTCACCTGACCACAGTGGGAAGCGACTGCCCATCTTGGCTTTGGCACCCAGCCTGGGCATGATCTCTGGCGTTTGCTCTGAACCCCATGTTGGGAGTACCAGGGAGAGGGGCCTCCTCATCTTGGACCCATGGTACCAACCAGCTATACCCAACGTGCCCAGCCTCCCTCACCGGGCCACTCTGGGTAGGAGAGATAGAGGAGGAAGTGACAGAGTAAGTGTGACCCTGCAGGAGCCAGCAAGGCTCCTCTTCCTCCTGCCTGATCCCTCCTTCTGAGGAAGAGGCAAAGGCCCCACCCACAGCACAAAACAAGCCAGAGGTCACCGCCCTACTCTCCAGCGGGCACTTAGAGTCCTGATGGCCTCCACGGGTGCCTGTCCCTGTCGGCTCGGGCCTGCTGTGAATTCACACGCTGTGACCCATTTCTTCTGGATGGAGGGGCTGGCCCCTGCAAAGCCACTGGCGAGAGAGGAAGGCCAGTCATTTGTGCTGGCCGGGGCTCTCTGCTGCCTGGCTCCGTGTGCGGTGTTCATTATTCCTGATCCCATGGCTCTGCCTGCAGCTGTGGCCGCCTCGCTCCATCCCGCCAGCTTCATTCCACCTAATGACCATTGGCCACCTGCACAGGAAGATAGATGATTGCTGTCACCCAGGCAGGTGTGTGACACGAAGGCACAAACTGAGAAAGACAAGGGCAAACGCAGCAGTTGCAGACAGGCCGGGAGCTAGTTCTACCTCTGGGGGAGGACAGATGCCCCGGTTCAGGTCATCTCAGGGAATGCAGTTGCCCCTCGGCCTCGTCGTCTTTCCTCTCTGCCTCATTCCTGGAAGGCAGCCAGCTCTCCCACATCAGGACCACCTGGCTGGCGGTGGAGCAGCGCCATGCGCAGCTCCTCTGATCCCTCAGCCTCTTCCCGCTGTGGATGCAAGGCGAGGCCGCCCAGTCTTACAATAACCCCAACTGCTGGCTGCCTGGCCTTGGCCTTCTGCTTTTGGCCTGTTGCTGTCATTACTGTTTCTGCCCTATCTGTTACCAGCATCGGAGGAGGAGGAGCAGCAGAGGGGCAGGGTGGAGGGGCAGGGACATCCCCTCCCATAGGACCCTCTGGTGGGAGAGCTCCCCTCCCACCAGGTTGTGAAACAGAGTGGCCCAGGACTGAGGGGGGTTACTGGGAGGTGGGCTAGAGGTGGTGCCTTGGTGTCCTGCCTCCCCTGCTCCCTCGAAGCCTCTCCAGGAAAGTGGTTCTGTGGTCACCAGGCAACTTGGGGTGAACCTGGGGGTGGCTCCTGGAGGACAAGGTCTGTTCTTCATTTGTTTCCCCACTCAGAGTCCCCCTGTGAATTCCATGTTCCTAGAACTGGTGCACTTGGCATCTTGGCAGTGCCTGGAGAATGAGAATGTCGGTTTCACTCTTACTGTCCTGTCCCTTGGGTGGGGTGGGAAACACAGCCTGTCCAGTAGAACTGAAGGGCCGACCCGGAGAAGTAGATGCATTGTCAAGTCCAAGGGTGAGGTGGGAGGTGACGGGGCCAAGGACCTCTCAGAACATGAGACCAAGTCAGAAGGTCAGGAGCTGAGAAAATCCAGGAACAGAACTGGTGCAAATAAGGACTCAGTGGCCTGCAACGAGGCTCAGTGAGACGGTGATCTGGCTGTGTGGGCCAGAGAGTGGGAGCCTTGCTAAGGGCCAGGAAAGGCCAGACAGGCAGCCTGGAGCAGAGGTGACAAGTCTAATTTTCTCATGGAGTGACACGGCTGGACTTTAGAGAACACACATTGTCTAGCAGAGGCTGGTGGGGTCCACCATGTGCCCACTTGGTTCCAAGCCCAGCACGGGATGCAGAGGAGAAGTCGGTGAATGCACGCTCCTGAAGCAGGAAACCTGCTGTCTTTGTCTGTGTGGGCTGCTGCCACAGAATACCATACACTGGGAACTGTATCAACAACACAAGTTCATTTCTTACAGTTTTGGAGGCTGGAAAGTCTAAGATCAAGGCACCGGCAGATTCCATGTCTGGTGAGGGCCACTTCCGGCTCGTGGATGGCATGTCACTGTGTCCTCACATGAGGGGCAAGGGGTCTCTCTTGGGCCTCTTATATAAGGAAGCACATCTTACTCATGAGGATTCCACCCTCATGACCCACATCACCTCCCACAGGTCCCACCTCCTAATACTATCACCTTGTGGGTAAGGAGTTCAGCCTAGGAATTTGGGGCTAAGGCACAAATATTCAGGCCGTTGCATCTGCCCATCTTTTTCACTTATTTCCCTAGCAACAAATAATAGTAGCTAACACTTCTTTAGTGCTTAACATGTGCCAGGCATTGTTCTAAGAAACATTTTCAACAGTTTTATTGAGATCTAATTCATACTCTACGACTCACTGATTTAAAATGTACAGTTTGGCTGGGTGCAGTGGCTCACGCCTATAATCCCAGCACTTGGGAGGCTGTGGCAGGTGAATTGCTTGAGCCTAGGAGTTTGAGACCAGCCTGGGCAACCCCGTCTCTACAAAAAATATATATATGTAAAAGTGAGCAGAGTGTAGAGGTGCACACCTGTAGTCCCAGCTACTGGGGAGGCTGAGGCAGGAGGATCACTTGAGCCCAGGAGTTCAAGGCTGCAGTGAGCTGTGACTGTGCGACTGCACTCTAGCCTGGGTAACAGAGCAAGACTCTAAAAAAAATAAAGTGTACAATTCAATGGCTTTAAGTATATTTACAGAGTTATGCCACCATTACTACAATAAATCTTAGAACATTTCGTTACCCCTAAACAAAACCCTGTATCCATTAGCAGTCCCACTTCCCCTCCTCCAGCCCCATGCAATCACTAATCTACTTTCTGTCCGTAGATTTCGCTGTTCTGGACATTTCCTGTAAATGGAATCGTACAATATGTGGACCTTTATGGCTGGCTTCTGTCACTTAGCATAATGTTTTCAAAGTTCATCCTTGTGGTGGCGTGTGTCATTACTGCATTCCTTTTTATTGACAAACAATACTCAATTCTATAGATAGCCCTCTTTTTATCCATTCATCAGTGGATGGATGTTTGGGGTGTTTCTACTTTTTGGTTGTTATGAACATTTGTGTACAAGTTTTTGTGTGGACATATGTTTGCATTTCTTGTTCTCAGAAACTTTAAGAAGTAGGTAACATCATCAGGCCTAAGGCTTAGAGAAGGTCATTAGCTTGGCCAAGTTCACATAACTTGTTGTTTTGTTTTTGTTTTTGTTTTTGTTTTTGTTTTTGAGTCTTGCTGTGTCGCCCAGGCTGGAGTGCAGTGGTGTGATCTCAGCTCACTGCAACCTCCGCTTCCCAGGTTCAAGTGATTCTCCTGCCTCAGCCTCCCGAGTAGCTGGGACTACAGGTGTGCACCACCATGCCTGGCTAATTTTTGTATTTTTAATAGGGACAGGGTTTCACCATGTTGGCCAGGCTGGTCTCGAACTCCTGAACTCAGGTGATCCACCTGCCTCGGCCTCCCAAAGTGCTGGGATTACAGGGGTGAGCCACCACGTCCAGCGGTGCAAGCAGAGAGAGAAGCCCAGGCAGTCTTGCTCCAGAGTGGGGCCCGCAGCCACTGTGCTCCATCACCTGAAAGATGGCCTGGCGCACTCAGCAGGCACTTATGGAATGAGAGGCCAAGTAAGACAGGGGCCCTGCTCTCCAGAGACTGGTACTGCGGTTGCCTCCTAGTAGACAGCTTCTCTCTAATTAATCTTCATAATACTCTCAGGGCTGAAAACACAGGAGAAGGTCAGCTGGAAGCAGCTATTCAGAAGTGAGATGTGCCTGATGTCAGCTGCAGATAGGGACACTTTCAGCCAGGGGTGAGGCTGCAGGTTCCTGAGGGAGGGAAGAGCCAGCACTGGGGCCTGAAAGATTTGAAAAGTTATAGAAAACTTCCTTTTCAGAGAGGCAAATGGGAAATCTACTTTTTTTTTTTTTTTTTGAGACAGAGTCTGGCTCTGTTGCCCAGGCTGGAGTGCAGTGGCGCAATCTCAGCTCATTGCAACCTCCGCCTCCTCGTCAGCCTCTAGAGTAGCTGGGATTACAGGTGCCTGCTGCCACACTTGGCTAATTTTTGTGTTTTTTAGTAGAGACAGGATTTCACCATGTTGGCCAGGCTGGTCTTGAACTCCTGACCTCAGGTGATCTGCCTGCCTTGGCCTCCCAAAGTGCTGGGATTACAGGCGTGAGCCACCGTGCCTGGCCGGAAATCTACTTTTAAAAGATGAGTGACATTGAAGCTCATTTGTGAGCCTGGTGGCCTCTCTCCCTTAGGCCATAGACTGCCTTTTCCACGTTACCTGTCACAGGAGGACCAGGATGGCTGATCCTGGGCTGTGATTCTGGGGGCAGCTGAGCCAAGTCATCTAGAACCGTAACTAGAGTGGCAAGTGCCGAGGTTCAAGGCGCGGGAGGTGGAAACCCTCATCCTGCCTCCAGGCAAGTTAGGAGCTGATGCTTAAGGTTAAAACCCCGGCCGACCCCAGCAGACCTGGGCAGATCCTGACAGACCCCAGCGGACCCATTCCCCAGAGCCCAGCCTGCTGTCCCCGCTGTCTGCAAGGTTGGTCTCAAAGACTTTGCTCACAGTGCTCTTCCCTGCCCTTCATACCAGCATCTACTCCGTAGGCACTTCCATGTTTTCACGAGGCGACACTGACTTTTACAAACCAGACAGTCATCAACATGAGCCTCAGACACAGCTCTGACCCTCTTACTCCCAAATCAAAACCTTTCAGTGTTCACAGAATTAAGTGCAAACCTCTTGCGGGGCACTCAGCCCTCTCTGGCCCAGCTCCTGTCTTCCTTCAGGTTCTTGCTTTCGGCAGAGCTAACCTTTCGTCTCCCCTGCCCACCTCTCCCTCCCCAGCCCAGCATTCTGGGTTCCAGCCTCTCCTCCTTCCCTGCACAAGTTCTCTTTTGCTTCCCAATCTTTGCTCAAGCTGTTCTCTTGGCGTGGGACTGCTCCATATCAACTCCCACCTCCTCCAGGAAGCCTTCCTGGTCCCTCTGGCCATAGGGAATCTCTCCCTTCCTCCACTTTGTCCCCATCTCTTATAGCACTTCTCCCTCATCTGCAGTTTCCAGCGTCATTTGTTTATCTTGTTCCTGGGGGCAAGGGTTAAATTGCCTTTGTGTCTGCTCATTCCATAGGCCTGGCAGAGTGCTGACACATAGTAGGTGTTCAATAGATGGGTTGCCAGATTGAGCTGAAAACTTCCAGTGAAAAGAGTCTGTAGCTTATGTGTCCTGAGTCACACAGACACAGACAGCCAAGTGTCCTAATGCCCTTTGTGCCTAATTCTGGCATAAAGACACTTTCTCCTGCAGAGAAACTTCCCAGTCCCACAACTCCCCCAGCAAGTGAGCAGTGAGTTTAGAGTAAGGAAGGCTCCCGAGTAACCTTCTCCATGGTGACATCGGCCACTGGCAGGCAGGGCTTAAGGGAGGACTGAATTGGTTTCTACCAATATAGAGGCTGGTGTCTTGTCTTTTCTTCCTTTCTTCCTATTACTCTTTAAATAAAAGCAATAACTGCGCATGATATAAAAACTTGACCAGTACAGAAAGATCTAGAAAAATGATTAAAATCTCCCTGCTTTTCTCTGACCCCAATCCTCATCCCCAAAGTTTCCTATGTATCCCACCAGAAAAAAGTATGCATGTATCTACATATAAATATATATCATTTTAAACAGTTACATAGGGGAGCAAGGTATACGTACACTATTCCATATCTGGCCTTTCCCCCATTTATTTAATGATATATCTTCAGGGTCTTTTACTCTGAGTCTAGAACTTTGCCTCCTTATGTCTAATCACTGCAGACTATTCTGTTGTATGGATGGGCTGAAATTGATTTGGCCTGCTTTGACAAACTGAGAGTCATTTGGGTGGCCTCCAACTTTTGGAGTGACCGTCACGTGTGCACAGCTCGATGTTTTTTTGTCCATGTATCCATTAGGGGGCACCTAGTGGTAGAACCGCAGAATTAAAGGAAACCTGCATTAGAAATGTCAGCTGAGGCCCGGCGCGGTGGCTCACACCTGTAATCCCAGCACTTTGGGAGGCCAAGGCGGGAGGATCACTTGAGGTCAGGAGTTTGAGACCAGCCTGGCCAAGATGATAAAACTCCGACTCTACTAAAAATGCAAAAATTAGCTAGGCATGATGGCGGGCACCTGTAGTTCCAGCTACTCAGGAGGCTGAAGCAGGAGAATCGCTTCAACCTGGGAGTCAGAGGTTGCAGTGAGTCAAGACTGTGCCACTGCACTGCAGCCTGGGAGACAGAGCAAGACTCCGTCTCAAAAAAAAAAAAAAAAAAAAAAAAAAGTCAGCAGAATTGCTAGAAAGACTGTACCTGCTACTTTCCCACCAGCTGGGTAGAAGGGCACGGCTGGTTTCCCAGCAGGCACCAGTACCTGAGACACCTTTGCCCTTTGTTCAGGGTGTGCCCTTTGTGCTCTGGGGAGCTGTCCTCCTCGGCTCCCTCTCCTTTCCTCTGTCCTGCCTCAGGTTCTGTCTCTGGTCAGGTCTTCGGGCTGCCAAGCTCCCAAGTGAAAGTTGAAGCATCAGGCAAGCCTATTGTTTGGCACCCAAGATGCTTATCAGTAAATCAGTTCAAAAGTAGCCTGAGTTCAAGTGTTCTTTAAAGGTGAACCAATCAAGTTGATCTGGTGGAATTTATTCAAATTTTTGTACCCTCTTAATCTCTATGTAGAAAAGATGAAGAAGGCCCAGCATGGTGGCTCAGGCCTGTAATTCTAGCACTTTGAGAGGCCGAGGTGGGAGGATTGCTTGAGCCCAGGAGTTCGAGACTAGTCTGAGCAATATAGTGAGATCCCCATCTCTACACAAAATAATAAAATTTTAAAAAAGCAAAGAGGAATAGATGTTCATTTGAATCAACGTATACAATTTTGGTGGAAGGGCTATGTGTATCTGAGAGCGGCAAGACCAGACCAAGTGATGTAAGGCAAGCAGGTCCAGAGTCAGAGGCTCCTGCAGGCCCCACAAGGATTAGGGGCCCCTAGGACACAGGCTGTGCCTGCGTGAGCGGCCCCTGTCAGCCACCCCACCACGCCCTTTTCCCTTCCCCCACCATGCTCCAGACATGTCTGGACTTTCTTCCAGGCCTTGCTAAGGGCTCATGACCCATGCTCTGCCTCTTCCTGGACCCCTCTTTTCTGCCTTCCACACGGCCAGCTCCTTCTTACCTTCAGGTCTCAGAGAGGCCTTTCCTCCCTCTGTCCTCCTCCCCACTCTTCCAAAGGACACTCGGCCAAGTCCTTCACAGCATCATTCTGTCCTTATTCACATCTGTTTGTTTGTTTTGTTTGCTGTCTACCTTCCCCGCCATAGGGTGTCAGCGCCACGCCCTGCCTATCAGCGCAGTGCCCAGTGCACAGGGCCTCATGCGAGGAGTCACTTGGTAGATGTGGAATAAAGGCATGCATCTGGCTGGGGGGGGGGTGGCTCACGCCTGTAATCACAGCACTTTGGGAGGCTGAAGTGGGCAGATCACAAGGTCAAGAGATCGAGACCAGCCTGGCCAACATGGTGAAACCCTGTCTGTACTAAAAATACAAAAATTAGCTGGGCGTGGTGGTGCACGCCTGTAGTCCCAGCTACTCAGGAAGCTGAGACAGGAGAATCTCTTGCACCCAGGAGGCAGAGGTTGCAGTGAGCCGAGATCGTGCCACCACACTCCAGCCTGGCAACAGAGTGAGACTCCGTCTCAAAAAAAAAAAAAGGCATGCATCTATGAATGAAAAACCAAATTAGGAAAAGTGAAGGAGGAAAGAAAAAATTAAAGGAGATCTTCAGTGAAAGTAAATAAGTCCCCCGCTTCACCAGGCAGCAACAAAGAGGAGCGTCCACTTCTGGTGGAGATCAGGCTACATCAGCCACTGCCATTTCCTGACCTAGGAGCTCCTAGTCCCTCTGAGGAGGTGGATCCTCTGAGAGGGCAGTTGCTATGGAGGTGGAGCCGAGAGGTGATTCCTGGCTGCTCCCAGACTATGCCAAAGAGGCAGAGAGATGTGGTAAGTGTACAAGAATGACACAGGAGTTTATGGGAGTTCAAAGACTCTCTGACCAGTCCGAGAATAAAGCATTAGGGAAAAAGGCACTGGGGAGAAGTTGCCAGGAATTCTCAGCATCAAGCAGGAGGTTACCCACTTAATGTTTGGTATGGCGTTAGAGGCTGTCCTCAATGGGATAATCAGATAAGCATTTTTTTTTCCCGAGACAAAGTCTTGTTCTGTTGTCCAGGATAGAGTGCAATGGCATGATCTCGGTTCACTGCAATCTCTGCCTCCCGGGTTCAAGCTATTCTCCTGCCTCAGCCTCCTAGGTAGCTGGGATTACAGATGCCCGCCACCACGCCCGGCTAATTTTTGTATTTTAGTAGAGATGGTGCTTCACCATGTTGGGCAGGCTGGTCTCAAACTCCTGACCTCGTGATCTGCCCGCCTCAGCCTCTCAAAGTGCTAGGATTACAGGCGTGAGCCACCACACCTGGCCCAGATAAGCATTTTAAACACTGACACCCCTAATTGCTCTGTTACAGGACATAACAGATGTGGACTGTCATACACTAACTACTGAGAAAAATAATTTGAGCTGCCCCCAGGTGGTGCTGCCTGCCAGCCAACCATTCACTGTGGGCAGTTGCTCTCTTTGTTCAACAGAACATGCGTAACTATTTGAACATTTTACTGTGCTTTGTCCATGTTGTTTTACAAAAACAAGTGGAAAGTAGAAAAAAAGAGTAATCTCAAAAATAAGCAATATAAGTTTTCTATGCTTAATACACTTGCTTCCAAAATGGAGATCAGTGGCCAATCTTTGAGTTCAATTGAATGCTTACTGGACTTAAGTGGGTCCACTGTAGACTTAATGGCAAAGGAAAAGAACAACATATAAGAAAATGCTATAAATATGTAACTGGAATTTAAAACTATTTTGGACCTCTCAGAATCAGGGCCACTACGAGCTAAATGGTGTCTTGTGCAAATTGGGAAAAGGAATTCCTTTCTTTTCTGGATAAGTACAACTCTACATCAGGATACACATCTAGATTTCAGTCTAACCCTTGGTCAGATGCCCTTGTGTAGTGTACAGCCTTACCAACTCTACAGTGCTGCCTGGGATGGAACAACCACTTATAATGTGTAAGTCTCTAATTGCACTCTATACAGTTAATTTGATACATATTTTCATATTTACAAAAGCAGAGGACTGCCTGTGTACAGTTTTTCTGTTCACTTACTTGTAAATTAGAAGGCTTGTCTCATATTTGAGACATACCTATGCAATTTGAGAATGCAGGATCATTAACTATGAAAAACTGCCTGAAGGGCAAGACCAGGGTTCACATTCCCCTCCTTCAGCAATCCTACTGCCTTTTTAGAGCAGAAGCTGCTCTTTACCTTGTTTCCTAGTTATTTGGATGGCTTCTTCCTTCTTCTACTAGATTGTCAACTCTCTGAGGGCAAGAGCTGTTTGTCTCATTTGTCTCTTTACTTCTAGCAAACAGTACAGAAACTTGTGGGGGTTCGTTGATTTCACTTTGATAGACAATGACAAGAATTTCTGCAATAATTGTTGTTATAATGCAGAAGGGTTGATATATTTTCTCCAGGTGCTTGTACCTCTGAGCTTCTATAGCCTTCTGAGCATATGCAGCACCTGGCTAACTGATTTGCTTTTATTTTAGAGGTTGATGGGAAAACCACTCAGACACCAGGAGGTGTTATGGCTCATGGACGTTTGTTAAGTATCAGATGTTACTCAGGACTGAGTCATGCCTTTTCAAAAGGACTGCATTTGGAGACTGGCGGGTTCTAGCACTTTCAATGAATAGTGCATTTTTTTTTTTAGTGGGTTCCTTCCTATCCATGCCTGGGAGCATGGGCTGAGCTTTTGGAGTAAGCCAAATGGGATAAAGGGTCAGATGTCGGAAAAAGGAAGCACCCACAGTGGCCGTACATGTGATGGGCTTTTGGGCAGCACCACGGACCATGGAATGGAATGGCTTAGGTCCTCTTCATGAAGAAATAACTCTGGGATACACTTAGGAAAACTGCAGGACCCTTTCAGTTGGCCACACAATGGAGCTGCATCAGCTGGGTGCTGCCTCAAAGAGGAGTGAGTTGTGCTCATTTCCCGAATGTTGCAAATCTGGAAATTATCTTACGTTGGAAAAGCGATGACTGTTCCTGCACTCTCCCCCAATTTCCTGAAAACTTTGATTTTTTTAGGATATTCTGAGAAGAGTAAAAACCCACGGCTGTGGCCAGGTGTGGTGGCTCACATCCGTAATCCTAGCACTCTGGGCGAGAGAGACATCAGGTGGATCACCTTAGGTCAGAAGTTCAAGGCCAGCCTGGCCAACACGGTGAAATCTTGTCTCTACTAAAAATAAAAAAATTAGTCGGGCTTGGTGGCGCATGCCTGTAGTCCCAGCTACTCGGGAGGCTGAGGCAGGAGAATCGCTTGAATCCGGGAGGTGGAGATTGTAGTGAGCCGAGATCACGCCATTGCACTTCAGCCTGGGCGACAAGAACAAAACTCTGTCTAAAACAAACCAACCAACCCACAGCTGCTCCTTCTAAGCTATGTTTTATGCCACAGGCCCTTGGGTAATGTGTTTCCGCTTCTCCCCAGATAGAATACCACTCATTTTAGCTTAATGTCTTTGTTCTTGAAATTGTCCGTCTCACCCAATCTTCCTCCCATCTCAGAGGCAGGAATAAAGCTTACCTTGTTCAGCAAGCAGAGTACTGGCTCTTGGGTGGAGGAAATGTATTCACAATTTACAGATAAACCTCACAAAGTTGTTTCTGATCAGCAATTGCTTTGAGAGTGAATCTCTCCTCAAACTCCACCAGCAGATTGTGTTCTGTGTTGCCTTTCTCAGCAGCTTTCTGGATCCTTTTGGGCTAGGAGCAGCTCTTCTCGGGCTTCATGCTTATTTTCTGTAAAATGAGCAGGAAGTCAATGTCTCCTAAAGTCTTGCCATTTCAAAGTGTGCTCCTGGGACAAGGGGAATCTGCAGCACTCTGAAACTTGCAAGAAACGCAAAAAAAAAAAAAAAAAAAAAAAAAAAAAATTCAGGCATTGCACCAGGACTTCAGAATCTGTGTCCCCAGGTGATTGGCTTGTACATGGAAGGTCGAGAAGAGCTACTCTGAAGTCCCTTATTGCTATAAAGCTTTATGATTCTTTGGGAAGGTATCCTGTAGCAACAGCCAAAACACATTGAGTCCTTAACTCTGTGCCAGGGATTCTTACATGAGCTCATCTCATCCTCAGCACAAGCCCAAGGCAGGGGTAATCATGATTCATATTTTACAGGCGAGAAAGCTGACACTTGGCTCAGAGAAACTGGCTTCCTTGGCAAAGGTCACCCAGCTAATTGGGTACAGAGCTCGATCCACCCTCAGGTCAGCCTGACTTCAACCTCCCCTCTATGTGGTGTTGCCTCAGGGGTCCAAGGCAAGGTTTTGAGGAGGAATTGACCTGTGAACTTTGTATTGTCAGATGATGAGTTTGCCAGGTTGTAAGTGGGAGAGAGTCATTCCAGAGGAGAAAAGAACCAGCGAGTGGCCCAGAGGAAGGAGAAAGCTGGGCAAGTCCAGAAGGTGGTCTGAGATTTAGTTTTAACAAAATGAATGTTAATTTGGTATGAGCTTGTTTCTGTTGAGCACAGGGTGGGAGGAGGGAGAGATAGTCAGGTTACCGAAATTACCAGCAAGTTTAGATGAAATCTAATGACATTTTAATGTGTTTTCTGAAGATACTGTCTATTGAACTGAAATATATCACACCAGTGAAGTATGCTCATTGTTCTGGAGAAAGATCATTCTTGCGGATTGACTTTGATTTTTGTAATTTTGCTGCCAATATGTAAAAAAGGTCAACTTCACCCTTGCTACTTAAAGCAACTCCAAGTCAATAGAGCCTAGAAGTCTCTCTTTGGAAGGATGGATGTTACCAAGGAATTGTATAGTTGAAATTCTTCTTGCACTTGCCAGGTTCTGAAGTTGTCCTCAGGGGATCCCCATTTCACTGGGGAAAGGATCAAAGAGTCATATAGAGAGGCCAGAAGTAATTTCCTAACATAGTAGAGCCCTGGTAAAACCCTCAAAGTCAAATCTCAGAGCCATCTATTGGAGTGAACATTCTTTTTTTTTTTTTTTAATTATTATTATACTTTAAGTTCTGGGATACATGTGCAGAACATGTAGGTTTGTTAGATAGGCATACACGTGCCATGGTGGTTTGCTGCACCCATCAACCCGTCATCTACATTAAGTATTCCTCCTAAAGCTATCCCTCTCCTAGCTCCCCACTCCCCAACAGGCCCCAGTGTGTGATGTTCCCCTCCCTGTGTCCATGTGTTCTCAGTGTTCAACTCCCACTTATGAGTGAGAACATGCAGTGTTTGGTTTTCTGTTCATGTGTTAATTTGCTGGGAGTGATGGTTTTCAGCTTCATCCATGTCCCTGCAAAGGACACGACCTCATCCTTTTTATGGCTGAATAGTATTCCATGGTGTATATGTGCCACATTTTCCTTATCCAGTCTATCATTGATGGGCATTTGGGTTGGTTCCAAGTCTTTGCTATTGTGAACAGTGCTGCAGTAAACATACATGTACATATGTCTTTATAGTAGAATGACTTATAATCCTTTGGGTACATACCCAGTAATGGGATTGCTGGGTCAAATGGCATTTCTGGTTCTAGATCCTTGAGGAATTGCCACACTGCCTTTCACAATGGTTGAACTAATTTATACTCCCACCAACAGTGTAACAGCATTCCTATTTCTCCATATCCTCTCCAGCATCTGATGTTTCCTGACTTTTTAATGATTGCCATTCTAATGGGCGTGAGATGGTATCTCATTGTGGTTTTGATTTGCATTTCTCTAACGACCAGTGATGATGAGCTTTTTTTCATATGTTAGCTGGCCGCATAAATGTCTTCTTTTGAGAAGTGTGTTATATCCTTTGCCCACTTTTTGATGGGGTTGTTTGTTTTTTTTCTTGTAAATTTGTTTAAGTTCTTCATAGATTCTGGATATTAACCCTTTGTCAGATGGGTAGATTGCAAAAATTTTCTCCCATTCTGTAGTTTGCCTGTTCACTCTGATGATACTTTCTTTTGCTGTGCAGAAGCTGTTTAGTTTAATTGGATCCCATTTGTAAATTTTGGCTTTTGTTGCCATTGCTTTTGGTGTGTTAGTCATGAAGATTTTGTCAATGCCTATGTCCTGAATGTAATTGCCTAAGTTTTCTTCTAGGGTTTTTATGGTGTTAGGTCTAACATTTAAGTCTTTAATCCATCTTGAATTTATTTTTGTATAAGGTGTAAGGAAGGGGTCCAGTTTCAGTTTTCTGCATATGGCTAGCCAGTTTTCCCAACACTATTTATTAAATAGGGAATCCTTTCCCCATTGCTTGTTTTTGTCAGGTTTGTCAAAGATCAGATGGTTGTAGATGTGTGGTGTTATTTCTGAGGCCTCTCTTCTGTTCCATTGGTCTATATATCTGTTTTGGTACCAGTACCATGCTGTTTTGGTTACTGTAGCTTTGTAGTATAGTTTGAAGTCAGGTAGCGTGATGCCTCCACCTTTGTTCTTTTTCCTTAGGATTGTCTTGGCTATATGGGCTCTTTTTTGGTTCTATATGAAATTTAAAGTACTTTTTTTCTAATTCTGTGAAGAAAGTCAGTGGTAGCTTGATGGGGATAGCATTGAATCTATAAATTACTTTGGGCAGTATGGCCATTTTCATGACATTGATTCTTCCTATCCATGAGCATGGAATGTTTTTCCATTTGTTTGTTTCCTCTCTTATTTCCTTGAGCAGTGGTTTGTAGTTCTCCTTGAAGAGGTCCTTCACATCCCCTGTAAATTGTATTCCTAGATATTTCATTCTCTTTGTAGCAATTGTGAATGGGAGTTCTGGAGTGAACATTCTTTTTTTTTTTTTTTAATTTTTTTTTTATTTTTATTGATCATTCTTGGGTGTTTCTCACAGAGGGGGATTTGGCAGGGTCATAGGACAATAGTGGAGGGAAGGTCAGCAGATAAACAAGTGAACAAAGGTCTCTGGTTTTCCTAGGCAGAGGACCCTGTGTGTTTGTGTCCCTGGGTACTTGAGATTAGGGAGTGGTGATGACTCTTAACGAGCATGCTGCCTTCAAGCATCTGTTTAACAAAGCACATCTTGCACCACCCTTAATCCATTTAACCCTGAGTGGACACAGCACATGTTTCAGAGAGCACCGGGTTGGGGGTAAGGTCATAGATCAACAGCATCCCAAGGCAGAAGAATTTTTCTTAGTACAGAACAAAATGGAGTCTCCTATGTCTACTTCTTTCTACACAAACACAGCAACAATCTGATTTCTCTATCTTTTCCCCACATTTCCCCCTTTCCTATTCGACAAAACCGCCATCGTCATCATGGCCCATTCTCAATGAGCTGTTGGGTACACCTCCCAGATGGGGTGGCAGCTGGGCAGAGGGGCTCCTCACTTCCCAGAAGGGGTGGCCAGGCAGAGGCGCCCCCCACCTCCCGGACGGGGGGGCTGGCCGGGCAGGGGCTGCCTGGAGTGAACATTCTTTAAGCCCATCTTTAAAGAGTTTGTTAGAGGTCCTCACTCAGGGATGAATCACTTGGATAGAAACATGAGAAAGAAAAGAAAACCTATACATCACTCTCTATAACTTGGATTTTCCTCTTCTGAGGGGGTATCTGAATCATCTAGGAAGAATTGAACTATAAGGAACACAACCTGCAAAGAAAGGTGGCCTAAACCATGAGGACAGGTACCAAGTAGCCCTGAGTTAGGGCAGCTCCAAGGCTTGCCAATTGGGTGGATTTTCAATGACATTTTGAACTTGGGCTCTTCCCAGTCTGTCTTCTTCAGCCTGTTGGTTTGTCCTCTTGCTGGCCCCCTCATGGTCCCAAGATGGCGGCAACAGTTCCAAAAGTCTACTGGAATGATAAAAGGAAGAATCATCTCATGGATCTCTTTCAAAGAGGAGGGAAGCCTTTCCAGAAAGCCCCTCAGCTGACTCCTCACATCTCATTGGCTGTAACTGTGTTATATGCTCTCTCTTCAACCAATTGCCAGCAAGCTACACTTGGCTTGGATTGGTTAAGATTTTTTCCCTATAGTTGAAGAGGGCACCTTCCCTGGTGCTTGTCCAGGCTAGGCAGAGGGTAAAATCCTGAAGAAAATCAAGGTTCTACCAGCAGCAAAGAATGGATTTGGGTAGACAACCAATAAGAGCTGCCATTAACAATCACTTATTAAGGCCTGGCATGGTGGCTCACACCTGTAATCCTAACACTTTGGGAGGCTGAGGTGGGTGGACTGCCTGAGCTCAGGAGTTCAAGACCAACCTGGGCAACATGGTGAAACCCTGTCTCTACTAAAAATGCAAAAAATTAGCTGGGCGTGGTGGCACGCCTGTAGTCCCAGCCACTCGGGAGACTGAGGCACGAGAATCTCTTGAACCTGGGAAGCAGAGGTTGCAGTGAGCCAAGATTGCACCACTGCACTCCAGCCTGGGCAACAGAGTGAGACTGTCTCAAAAACAAAACAAACAAACAAAAAAACCAATCACGTTAAAAATAACAAAACATTTCTTCAACTTCTGAAGTCAAGGAGTGTAATATTCAACTATTATATAGAAATGCTGCGTAACAGCCACAACAATTTCAGCGGCATAAAACAATAATAGCCATTGATTGAGCTCATCTGTCTGTGGGTCAGCTGGAGGTAGTCTAAAGTAGACTAGGCCTGGCTGGACATGGCTCAGCTCCACCTGACTCTTATCCTTCTCCTGCAACCACAGACTGGTTTGGGCATGTTCTTCTCGCCAAGACGGTTGAGGTACAAAAGCCCAGGCCCGGAGTGTAGGTCTGTTCCAAGCCTCTTCTTGCATCATGTCTGCCAACATCCCATTGGCCAAAGCAGGTCTCGTGGCCAACCATGGCATCGGTGGGGCAGAAAGCCATGTGATGCCCACTTCATGGAAAGTCCCAGAGTCAAATGACCGAGGGTGTAAATACAGGGAAGGGTGACAAACTGGAGTCAATGATGCAATCTACCACACAAGAGGAAAGAAAGAAAATATTACATTGAAAATAAAATTGGGCTGGGTGTGGTGGCTCATGCCTGTAATCCCAGCACTTTGGGAGACCGAGGCAGGTGGATCACCTGAGGTCAGGAGTTCAAGACCAGCCTGGCCAACATGGTGAAACCCTGTCTCTTCTAAAAGTCCAAAAACTTAGCTGGGCGTGGTGGTGGGCACCTATAATCCCAGCTATTGGGAGGCTGAGGCAGGAGAATCGCTTGAACCTGGGAGGTGGAGGTTGCAGTGAGCCGAGATCATGCCATTGCACTCCAGCCTGGGCAACAAGAGGGAAACTCCATCTCAAAAAATAAATAAATAAATAAAAATAAAAATAAAAAATAAAATTAAGGGTAACTTTAAAAATCCTTTTTTTTTTTTTTAAAAAAAACTGTACTTTAACGATTTAAAATCTTTCTTTAGAGTATAAAAGAATTAGAGGCTGTTCAGGTGTGTCTAAACGTTAAAAAATTGTGTGTGGGTATGTGTGTATAGATAGCAAAGGGTCTCAAAAGCAGATTTTTCTAGCTCTGAATGCCACCACTACCTATTGTTCTATTAGCACTATATATTAGGGTATCAGTTTTACAGAGCTAACTACTCCCATTGCTCCCTCTCCCCCTCTTCAAAAGCAATCTGTACAGTCTATATTGAGGAAATAAATGAAAACCACTGAAATGAGAAAAAACAAGGCTGTTTATTTAGAACAGAAACTCAAAGGCAGGCAGGGGAATGGGGAAGCTTTATGGTGAAGAAAAAGGAAGACTTCGCATGTACTTTGATTGGAGGTTGTTGGCCTAGGGAAGCTGGAGGCAGACTAATTAGAAACAGGGCATTTTATGTGATTGGTCCTGAGTTGGTTGGAAGCAGGGGCAAAAAATAGGGAAGCTGGCAGTTGTTGCCCAAAGCCTGACTTTTCTGGCTGATTGCTGCAGAGGCTGTGGTTTGGCTTCTGGGCAAGTGACTGCTAAGTTTGTGGATCAGAGGTCTACAGTCATCTAAGGTCTGGCCACTGTCCATTTGTATATTCAGTCTCTCAAGACACATCAGAGAAAGCTCCAGCTCCTCAGCATAGAATAAAGAGCCCTACACACTTGACTCCAAGCAAGGTGGGGTTTCTGATCCCCTCTCCTGACATCAGAGCCACCCCTACCCACAGACACATCCAGATCCCACCTCACCAAACCAACCATGGCAGGTCTTCCATGTCCCCCGTACAGAGTGTGTCTTTCTCATGCCATACCTTTGCCTGAACTTGCCTTTGGCCTGAATACCTCTCCATTGCTTTACACCTGTCCATCAAGAATGGGCCAAGAACCTGCACCCTGCACCTTTTCTCAATCTCTTTTCCTCCACCTTACCTGGTTCTACCCCAAACAGAATTAATTGCTTTTTTCTCTGTGGTCCCTGAACTATTTATATGTACATTTATTGGAGTGGGGGAACTGCACTGTGCTAAAGGCATTTGCTGCTGCTTTTTCCCTTCCCCTATGCTGTGAACACCCTGAAGAACATTATGCTTTATTTGTTTCTAGTATAGGACTCTGCAGATAGTAGTCTTACAACAAAGGCTTTTTTGAAGGAAGAACAGAGGAAGGAAAGAAGGAAGCAAAGAAGAGGGAAGGAAAGGAAGGTCATAGGTAGGGTTGACAGATAAAATACGGGATACCCAGTTAAACTTGAATTTCAGATGAATAACGAATAATTTTTAGTATAAATATGTTCCAAATATTGCATTTGTAATTTTTTTTTTTTTTTGAGATGGAGTCTCGCTCTGTTGCCCAGGCTGGAGTGCAGTGGCATGATCTCAGCTCACTGCAAGCTCCGCCTCCCGGGTTTTCACCATTCTCCTACCTCAGCCTCCGGAGTAGCTGGGACTGTAGGCGCCCACCACCACGCCCGGCTAATTTTTTTTTTTTTTTTGTATTTTCAGTAGAGACGGGGTTTCACCATGTTAGCCAGGATGATCTCGATCTCATGACCTCGTGATCTGCCCGCCTTGGCCTCCCAAAGTGCTGGGATTACAGGCGTGTGCCACCGCGCCCGGCTGCATTTGTAAATTTTTAAATATTCCATGGGACATACTCATACTAAAATACCAGTTGTCCCCTATACAAAACAAATTCAACTGGGCCTCCTGCATTCTTATTTGCTAAATACAGCAACTCTGGTCAAAGGGCAAACACCTAATTAAACATTATTATTACTATTATTTGGGGGGTTTTCTTTTTTTAAATGTCAGTCATTTTTGGGAAACAGGTGGTTTTCTCTTACATGGATAAATACTTTAGTGGTAATTTCTGAGATTTTGGTTCACCCGTCCCACAAGCAATGTACACTGTACCCAGTGTGTAGTCTTTTGTCCCTCACCCCCCTCCCACCCTTCTTCCTGAGTCCCCAAAGTCCATTATGTCATTCTTTTTTTTTTTTTTTTTTTTTTGAGACGGAGTCTTGCTCTGCTGCCCAGGCTGGAGTGCAGTGGCGCGATCTCGGCTCACAGCAAGTTCCGCCTCCTGGGTTCACGCGCCCGCCACCGCGCCTGGCTAATTTTTTTGTATTTTTAGTAGAGACGGGGTTCACCGTGTTAGCCAGGACGGTCTTGATCTCCTGACCTCGTGATCCGCCCGCCTTGGCCTCCCAAAGTGCTGGGATTACAGGTGCGAGCCACCGCGCCCGGCCCCCCATTATGTCATTCTTAGGCCTTTGCGCCCTCATAGCTAAGCTCTCACTTGTAAGTGAGAACATAAGATGTTTGGTTTTCCATTCCTGAGTTACTTCACTTAGAATAATGGTCTCCAACTCCATCCAGGTTGCTATGAATGCTATTCACATGAGTAGTATTCCATGGTGTACATATAACACATTTTCTTTATCCACTCATTGGTCACTGGGCATTTAGGCTGGTTCCATATTTTTGCAATTGCGAATTGTGCTGCTATAAACGTGTGTGCAAATGTCTTTTTCATATAATGACTTATTTTCCTCTGGGTAGATACCCAGTAGTGGGATTATTGGATCAAATGGTAGATCTACTTTCAGTTCTTTAAGGAATCTCCATTCTGTTTTCCATATTGGTTGTACAAGTTTACCTTCCCACCAGCAGTGTAAAAGTGTTCTTTTGTCACCAAATCCATGCCAACATCTATTATTTTTTGATTTTTTATTTATGACCATTCTTGCAGAGTAAGGTGGTTTCTCATTGTGTTTTTAAATTTGCATTTCCCTGATACTTAGTGATGTTTAACATTTTTTCATGTTTGTTCGCCGTTTGTATATCTTCTTTTGAAGAACTGTCTATCCATGTCCTTTGCCCACTTTTTGATGACGTTGTTTTTTCTTGCTGATTTGTTTCAGTTCCTTGTAGATTCTGGATATTAGTCCTTCGTCAGATGCATAGTTTGCGGATATTTCCTCCCATTCTGTGGGTTTTCTGTTTGCTCTTCTGGTTATTTGGTTTGCTCTGCAGAAGCTTTTTAGCTTAATTAGGCCCCATCTATTTATTTCGTTTTGTTGCATTTGCTTTCGGGTTCTTGGTCATGAACTCTTTGCCTAAGCCAACGTCTGGAAGAGTTTTACCAAAGTTATCTTCTAGAATGTTTATGATTTCATGTTTTAGATTTAGGTCTTTGATTCATCTTGAGTTGATTTTTGTATAAGGTGAGAGATGAGGATCCAGTTTCATTCTCCTACATGGGACTTGCCAATTATCCCAGCACCATTTGTTGAATAGGGTGTCCTTTCCCCACTTTATGTTTTTGTTTGCTTGGTTGAAGATCAGTTGGCTGTAAGTATTTGGCTTTATTTCTGGGTTCTCTATTCTGTTCCATTGGTCTACATGCCTATTTTTATGCCAGTACCATGCTGTTTTGGTGACTATGGCCTTATAGGATAGCTTGAAGTCAGGTAATGTGATGCCTCCAGATTTGTTCTTTTTGCTGTGTCTTGCTTTGGCTATGTGGGCTCTTTTCTGGTTCCATATGAATTTTAGGATTGTTTTTTCTAGTTGTTTGAAGAATTATGGTGGTATTTTGATGGGAGTTGCACTGAATTTGTAGATTGCTTTTGGCACTATGGTCATTTTCACAATATTGATTCTACCCATCCATGAGCATGGGATGTGTTTCCATTTGTTTGTGTTGTCTATGATTTCTTTCAGCAGTGTTTTGTAGCTTTCCTTGTAGAAGTCTTTCACCTCCTTGGTTGAGTATATTTCTAAGTATTTTATTTTATTTTATTTTTTGCAGCTGTTGTGAAATGGATTGAGTCTTTGATTTATTTCTCAGCTTGGTCGCTGTTGGTGTATAGCAATGCTACTGATTTGTGTACATTGATTTTGCTTCCTGAATTGATTTTGAAACTTTACTGAATTCATTTATCAGATCTAGGAGTTTTTTGGATGAGTCTTTAGGGTTTTATAGGTATATGATCATATCATCGGCAAACAGCGATGGTTTGACTTCCTCTTTACCGATTTGGATGCCCTTTATTTCTTTCTCTTGTCTGATTGCTCTGGCTAGGACTTCCAGTCTATGTTGAATAGAGGTGGTGAAAGTGGGCATTCTTGTCTTGTTCCGGTTTTCAGGGGCAATGCTTTCAACTTTTCCCCATTCAGTATAATGTTGGCTGAGGGTTTGTCATAGATGGCTTTTATTACCTTGAGGCATATCCCTTCTATGCCAATTTTGCTGAGAGTTTTAATCATGAAGGGAAGCTAGATTTTGCCAAATGCCTTTTCTGCATCTATTGAGATAATCACATAATTTTTGTTTTTAATTCTGTTTATGTGAAGTATCACATTTATTGACTTGCATATGTTAAACTATCCCTGCATCCCTGCTATGAAACCCACTTGATTATGGGTGTGTTATCTTTTTGATATGCTGTTGGATTCAGTTAGCTAGTATTTTGTTGAAGATTTTTGCATCTATGTTCATCAGGGATGCTGGTCTATAGTTTTCTTTTTTTGTTATGTCTTTTTCCGGTTTTAGAATTAGGATGATACTTGCTCCATAGAATGATTTAGGGAGGATTCCCTCTTTGTCTTTTGGAAGAGTTTCAATAAGATTGGTACCAATTCTTCTTTGAATGCCTGTGAATCCGTCTGGTCCTGGGCTTTATTTTGTTGGCAATTTTTTTTTT
Organism: Homo sapiens; assembly: GCF_000001405.40. Lineage (NCBI taxonomy): Eukaryota > Metazoa > Chordata > Mammalia > Primates > Hominidae > Homo > Homo sapiens. The sequence continues at coordinate 118,788,457 of NC_000010.11, read as the reverse complement.
TTTTTTACTGTCTTAATCTTGTTATTGGTCTGTTTAGAGTTTCTATTTCTTACTGATTTAATCTGGGAGGGTTGTATATTTCCAGGAATTTATCCATCTCTAGATTTTCTAGTTTGTGTGCATAAAGGTGTCCACAGTAGCCTTTTGTATTCCAGTGGTATCAGTTGTAGTATCTCCCATTTCATTTTTAATTGAGCTTATTTGGATCTTCTCTTGTCTTTTCTTGGTGAATCTCGCTAATGATCTATCAATTTTGTTTATCTTTTCAAAGAACCAGCTTTTTGTTTCATTTATCTTTTGTATAGGTTTTGTTAGTTTGATTGTTTCCATTTTATTTAGTTCTGCTCTGATCTTGATTATTTTTTTTTCTTCTGCTGGGTTTGGGTTTGGTTTGTTCTTGTTTCTCTAGTTCCTTGAAGTGTGACCTCAAGGCTGGGGCACATTAGCCCTACCACCACACCCAGCTATTTTTCTGTCTTCTTGTCTGATGTTTTCTCACCCCAAGCCAGCACCACTGCCCTGCCAACTGCCAGGGTATCCTCAGATTCTAGGAGCACTGCCTATTATTATTATTTTTAATTATTCTTATTTTTTGAGACTGGGTCTCACTCTGTTGCCCAGACTGGAGTGCAGTGGTGTGATCTTGGCTCACTGTAATCTCTGCCTCCTCAAGCAATCCTCCTGCCTCAGCCTACCAAGTAGTTGGGACTGCAGGTGCACACCACAATCCCTAGCTAATTTTTGTATATTTTGTAGACATGGAGTTTTGCCATGTTGTCCAGGCTGGTCTTGAACTATTAGACTCAAGCAATCCTCCCACCTTGGCCTCTCAAAGTGCTTGGATTACAGGCATGAGCCACCACACCCGGCCCCTGATTAGACTTGAAAATAGTCTGATTCCTAGGCCCAGAGAAAGTCTCTTGGGTCCACTTTTCCCTTCCCTGTTTGCAAGAACTCTGCCATGGGGCTGGCCAGGTTTACTGCTGTTGGGCTGACATGATAAACCCACCAAAAGGGTGGCTCCTTTTTTGGAGATCAGAAACTAGGCTGGTGGTTGCCCAGAGAGTGCTTTGAAGCATCATAGAGGAGAGGAAATGCATGGAATGATTGTGGGAAGACAGGGAGAAGGAACCATAGGACCCCTTTTCTAAGTCTCAGGCATTTCCTCCTCATGGAAGATGTGAGTTGACTGTAAAATACAAGGAGGAAGGCTTCCATGATAAAGCATGGTGTTCAGAGGAGCCCTGCAGAGTCAGGAAGGAGGGAAAGACAGAGGCTGGTCCACACGGTGCCCCAACTCTCATTCTGGACCCCAATTCATCCATTGACATTGCAGGGAGAACGTGTGCAGTGGGCTGAATGATGACCCTAAAAACCTGCGAACGTGACCTTATTTGGAAACGGGGTCTTTGCAGATGTAATTAAAGATTTTGAGATGAAGTGGTCATCCTGATTATCCAAGTGAGCCTGAAATCCAATGACACATGTCCTGATAAAGGACACACAGAGGAAAAGACAGAAACATGGATGAAAAGGCAAAGTGAAGACAGAGCAAAGCCGTCCAAGCCAAGGAATGCTGATGGCACTAGAAGCTGGAAGAGGCAAGAAAGGAGCCTCTCCTAGGGCCTTCAGAGGGAGCGTGGCCCTGCTGACACTGCCGACACCTGGATTTCGACTTCTGGCCTCCAGAACTGTAAGAGAACAAATTTCTATTGTTTTAAGTGGCTGAATTTGTAGTAATTTGTTATGACAGTTGTAGAAAACTAATGGGACATAGGACTAGAGTCCTAAAGCCCAGTCCATGGTCAGGGAAGTGGAGAGGGAGCTGAGGATATCCTCCCCAGGGGCCACAGACTCATGTGAATATAAAGCCTTTTTTGGTTTCTTTTGAGTAAATCACTCGCAATCCCATAGATTTCTGATTTTTTTTTTTTTTTTGAGACAGATTCTTGATCTGTTGCAGGCTGGAGTGTAGTGGCCTGATCTCAGCTCTCTGCACCCTCTGCCCCCTGGGTTCAAGCAATTCGGGTTCAAGTGATTCTCATGCCTCAGCCTCCTGAGTAGCTGGGACTACAGGCATACACTACCATGCCCGGCTAATTTTGTATTTTTAGTAGAGACGGGGTTTCACCATGTTGGCCAGGCTGGTCTTGAACTCCTGGCCACAAGTGACCCGCCTGCCTCAACCTCCCAAAGTGTTGGGATTACAGGCATGAGCCACCGCGCCCAGCCAGATTTCCAATTTTATATAAGACCAAGCCCTACTTACCAGATACTTTTATATAAACTATTCAGTTGCTACTAACATTGGGCATAAGGCATTGTTTTACACTTTAATATCATGTACAAAACCACTTTTTTTTTGATAAAGCAAATCAGTGGTTTCCAAGTGGGGCGCTCAGCACAAGGTGCTGGGTTGTGTGAAAAAATATTGGAACTTTGGGGCTAAAAAAATAACAAAGCAATTATACTTTCCTAATCTTTTAATGTTCAGAAGATGATACTTTCAAGGATCATTTCTATCATTTGTTACTAGAAAAGTTTCTCTGAATGTGTAGAACACCAAAAAGTATTAAACAAAAATTTTAAAAACCCACAAAGCACAAAACGGACTCAGCTTGACAGTCATAGCTTTCCTCAGAGGCTCCTTTGCCACCCATGGCACAGGTGCAGCCTTGAATGCTCTGTGATGTGGGGGCCGGTGCTGGTAACCTCACCACCTGCACATCAACACTCAGGGGAATCTGAGATAGTTTGGTCTATTCGCAAGTGGGTAGATGGATTTATAAACTACACAACCTAGGCCATTTTTTGTTTTTGTTTTTAAAGAGACAGGATCTGGCCCTGTCCCCCACACTGGAGTGCAGTGGTGCGATCTTAGCTCACTGCAGCCTCGAACTCCTGGGCTCAAGCAATCCTCCTGTCTCAGCCTCCTGAGTCGCTGTGACTATAGGTGCATGCCACCACACCCAGGTTTTTTTTTTTTGTTTTTTGTTTTTTTCCTGTAGAGATGAGGTCTTTTTGTGTTGCCTAGGCTGGTCTCAAATTCCTGGCCTCAAAAGATCCACCTGCTTCAGCCTCCCAAATTGCTAGGATTTATAGATGTGAGGCACTGGACCCAGCCCATGATCTAGTTTTACCAAAATTGATCTTTACAAAATGAAAATGTTTTAATAGATTATTATAGATTGAAGATTAAAGATAATACTAATAGTATAAGTCCCAGAAAACCATAAGAAATTGGCAGAGCTTATGTGGCTAGTATCAGCTCTATATCAGCACATTATGAGGTAAAATGAAATCTGCCAAGAAGTCAGCCTCTTTGCCCCCCAAACTAAAATGATCAAGAGGGTCCCTTGAAAGATGGATTTATGTCCACTGTCATTCATGAGCTCACCCTTAGTGTGTATTGTGCCTTGCAATATTATTTATTAATAAAAAAATGCCATCAAAATTAACACTAAAATATTACATCTTTAACTCATCTTTAAAAAATTTTTAATGTAATGTATATATAATGTATACATAAATATGCATGTATTGGAGCTGCAAATGTCTTAAAAAATAGAGATTTCTATGGACTGAACTGTGTTCCAACAAATACATATGTTGAAGCCCTAATCCCCAGTGTGACTGTATTTGGACATGGGGCTTTTAGGAGGTAATTAAGGTTAAATAAGGTCATAAGGGTGGGGTCCTAATCAATTGAATTGGTGACCTTGTAAGAGAGGGATGAGAGAGATATTGTGCTCTCTCTCCCTGTGCATACATCCAGGAAGGACCATGTAAGAACATAGCAAGAAGGCAGCCATCTGCAGACCAGGAAGAGAGACCCCACCACAACCCAACCATACCAGCACCCTGATCTTGGGTTTCCATAACTATGAAAAAATAAACTTCTGTTGTTTAAGCTATTCTGTCTGTGTTATTTTGTGATGGCAGCCTGAACAGACTAATACAGGGATATATGATCAAAAACATTCGGAGACCACTGAGAAATGGGTCAGTGTAGTTGGTTGTGGCAGTAACAGCTCCCACTTGTTCCTGGTTCCCTCGTTCCATGCCCTTGGGTGGTCCCCTCCCACGGACTCTGGCCTTGTGACTTGCTTTGGACAATGTAAAAATAGCTAATGTGTCACAAGCAGAGGAAAGTGCTTGTGAGTTGGTGTTTGCCTTCTTTCTTACCGTGGGACCTTCTGGCACCTACTGAACAAGACCATTGTACCCTCCTTGTGTGTCCAGAATTGGCGGGTTCTTGGTCTCACTGACTTCAAGAATGAAGCCGCGGACCCTCACGGTGAGTGTTACAGCTCTTAAGGTGGCGCGTGTGGAGTCTCTCCCTTCTGATATTCAGATGTGTTCGGAGTTTCTTCCTTCTGGTGGGTTTGTGGTCTCGCTGGCTCAGGAGTGAAGCTGCAGACCTTCACGGTGAGTATTATAGCTCTTAAGGCAACGCGTCTGTAGTTCGTTCCTTCCGGGGGGCTCGTGGTCTCGCTGGGCTCAGGAGTGAAACTGCAAATCTTCGCGGTGAGTGTTACAGCTCAGAAAAGCAGCGTGGACCCAAAGAGTGAGCAGTAGCAAGATTTATTGCAAACAACAAAAGAACAAACCTTCCACAGTGCACAAGGGGACCCAAGCCCGTTGCCAATGCTAGCTCGGGCAGCCTGCTTTTATTCTCTTATCTGGCCCCACCCACATCCTGCTGATTGGTAGAGCCGAGTGGCCTGTTTTGTCAGGGCGCTGATTGGTGCGTTTACAATCCCTGAGGTAGATACAAAGGTTCTCCACGTCCCCATCAGATTAGTTAGATACAGAGTTTCGACACACAGGTTCTCCAGGGCCCCACCAGAGCAGCTAGATACTGAGTGTCGATTGGTGCATTCACAGACCTTGAGCTAAACACAGGGTGCTGATTGGTGTATTTACAATCCCTGACCTAGACATAAAGGTTCTCCAAGGCCCCACCAGAGCAGCTAGATACGGAGTGTCGATTGGTGCCCTCACAAACCTTGAGCTAAACACAGGGTGATGATTGGTGTATTTACAATCCCTGAACTAGATATAAAGACTCTCCACGTCCCCACCAGACTCAGGAGTCCAGCTGGCTTCACCTAGTGCATCCCGCACCGGGGCTGCAGGTGGAGCTGCCTGCCAGTCCTGTGCCCTGCGCTCGCATTCCTCAGCCCTTGGGTGGTCGATGGGACTGGACGTCGTGGAGTAGGGGGTGGTGCTCGTCGGGGAGGCTCAGGCCGCACAGGAGCCCATGGAGTGGGTGGGAGGCTCAGGCATGGCGGGCTGCATGTCCCGAGCCCTGCCCCGCGGGAAGGCAGCTAAGGCCCAGCGAGAAATCGAGCGCAGCGCCGGTGGGCCGGCACTGCTGGGGGACTCAGTAGACCCTCCGCAGCCACTGGCCCGGGTGCTAAGTCCCCCATTGCCCGGGGCCAGCAGGGCTGGCTGGCTGCTCCGAGTGCGGGGCCCACCAAGCCCACGCCCACCTGGAACTCCAGCTGGCCCGCAAGCGCTGCACGCAGCCCCGGTTCCCGCTCGTGCCTCTCCCTCCACACCTCCCTGCAAGCTGAGGGAGTGGGCTCCAGCCTTGGCCAGCCCAGAAAGGGGCTTCCACAGTGCAGAGGGGGCGCTGAAGGGCTCCTCAAATGCCACCAAAGTGGGAGCCCAGGCAGGGGAGGTGCCGAGAGCAAGCGAGGGCTCTGAGGACTGCCAGCATGCTGTCACCTCTCACTTGTAGGTTAAGAAACCATGGGGAAGGTGGCTGCAAACATCCCAACTGAGGCCCAGGACCCATGTATCATCCTGGACCACCCACCTCTGGCTAACCTGGTCCAGAACACAAGAATTGCTCGGATCACCCATAGAGTCATGAGAAAGCAGAAACATCTGTTGCTTGAAGCCACTGAGTTTCTGGGTGGTTATGGAGAAAAAGCCAAGTCATACAGTGGGGCAGGTACATCACAAACTCTTGCCCGGTTTAAATGCCTTGTAGCCTAACAAATGGATGTTCATCAGATGTGTGACATTTCCAGAGCCTAGAATAGGGCCTAGCACATATTAGATGCTCAAAAACATTTATTGAGTAAATGAAGAAGATAAATCATAGCAAACACACACTGAACAGTTCCTAAATATGTTTACATGGATTCTTGCACTTAATCCTTTGCCCAAAACATGAGGTAGGTACTATGATTTTCATGCCCATTTTAAGATGGGGCAACCAAAGCTTAGGGAAGTTAAGTCCCTTGCCCGAGATTAGACCACTGGAAACAGCTGGATAGGGACTGGGTCTCTCCCATCCTGCCTGTCTGCCTGCATAGTAGCCACTTAGGTGCTGTGCAATACCACCAATTCTAGACTGCCTGTCCCTCTATATGGAATGAAATTCTGAGAATAAAAGCCAGAAACAGAATTTTCAGAGTCCCTCTGTTGCTTAAGTTGTCCTTAGTTCATCGGGCCCCTCCAGGCATACAGTGGTGGCTGGGGTCTGATCATTTAGCTCTGAGAACCAGGTTTCTCATCATGGTGGCAGCTGTGTGCCTAGTGGGCCCTGCTTGATTGGGAAGAGGTCACCAATGGAGGTCATTAGGAGTAAAAGACGCAGACCAGGAGCTGGCTGCTTCCAGAGCCAGTACCTAGGAGGAGAGCCAGGCTGTGCTCCAGCTTGGGCTCTATGAGAACTAATTGATGCCAGTTGCATTCCCTGGGACCCAGGTGGTGCCCATTATGCAAAGGAACAAAGCCAGCTCAGTAGAGAGTCTGTGCTAGGCAGGGCTTCTGCAGCCAATAGCTTTCCCTGGTGGCATTCTGTGTACGGCCTTCTGTCTGTCCATCCTGACCTGCATCCATCTTCAGATGGACAGAAGCAGCACAGATTGGATTGGCTGCGTAGGGTCTACGCACAGGGTGCATGCTGGGCCACTTGGGCTTTGTTTACGGCAGGCCCCAGTCTGAAGGGAGCAGGTCTGGCAGCTTCTAGAAGAGGACTGTCATGTAACTGGCTAGTGTGCTCAGAGCTTTACATAAGGTTATTCTTTCAGTCCTTGAAGGGAATGAGCTCCCAGTTCCAAGTGTTCCCATGCTGTTATTCTCCATTACAGTATACTATTTGTTGTGATGATTTCGTGTATTTATTTGCTTTCTTTCTCATCTCTTCCCCATTGGGCTTCAAGCTCCATGAAGGTCAAAGTCTTACCTGTCTTTTTCTCCATATCTTCAGCATAATATCATGCAAATAGCAGATGTATAATAAAAATTTGTTTGGTGTTTTTTGAGATGGAGTCTCATTTTGTCACCCAGGCTTGAGTGCAGTGGTACAATCTCGGCTCACTGCAAACTCCACCTCCCAGTTTCAAGTGATTCTCCCGCCTCAGCTCCCAGAGTAGCTGGGATTACAGGCGCGTGCCACCAAGCCCCGCTAATTTTTGTATTTTTAGTAGAGATAGGGTTTCACCATGTTGGCCAGGCTGGACTCGAACTCCTGACCTCAAGTGATCTGCCTGCCTCGGTCTCCCAAAGTGCTGGGATTATAGGCTTGAGCCACCATGCCTGGACTTGTTTGATAAATTCTTGAAGAAAGATATTTTAATTTTTATTTAATAAAGCAAAACTAAAGTTTAGGAATGTTGGGTAACTTACTCATGGTTACACAGCAGTAAATCTTAGAAACTAAATTCTAACTTGGGTTCAACTGACTTTGAAACCTGTGAGGTTTTTCTAAAGCATGAGGTAGGTACCACCTGTGGTAGGAGAGATAATTTAAGTCATGCACAAGCACATTTAAAAAATATTAAATTATAATGCAAAAGTCATTTCCTTTCCATTTATCTTTCAGTTCTGATTATTTCAAGAAAATAATTTTTCCAAAAAGGAGCAGGCCTCAAGTTCAAGAGCAAGGCTAGCAGATGAGGTTTGGCTGTGAGAGGCAGAAAGCTTGAAAAGAGTGGTATTACAAGATAAAGTATGGTTCTTTCTCGTGTAAATGAACCAGAGGCAGGCAGCCTAGGGTTGGAAAAGCAGTTCTATGATTGTCAGAAACTCCTTCTACTACACTGCTCTGGCACCCATATTAGAGTCTCTACTTTATAGCCCAAGATAGTTGCTGCAGCTCCTGCCATCATGTCTACCTTGTAGCCATAAGGAAGAAGGCGAAATTCCTGCCTTCTTCTTTCAGAACCACTTCCTGGAAGTCATATGCAACAATTCAGTTTATAGTCCTTTAGCCACTAGGAGAATTGAAAAAAGAAGGAATGGAGGGAGGAGGAAGGAATGGAGGGAGGAGGAAACAATAATTATGTTTCTATCGCTGTATTAGGAGCCTGGCTTTCACAAGGCCCATGGGCTCGTTGTACTTGGCGGAGTCTCTAAGCTGGAAGCTTTGATCAGAAGATAAAGAAGTGCTTGGTTGTTGGACTGCCTGTACACTGGGACTTGCCCTGTGGTTCTGGGTCCACAAGACTGATGAAGAGAGGAAGTCACTGTACTGGGCCTTGTGGGAGAGGGGCAATTTCCTTTTCTCCCCAGGGTGTATATGTGGGAGGAGGGGCTGTTCCCCTCATTATGCCTCTAAGCCCAATGAAGGGGGAAGATTGCAAAAGAATCCCTATAGGGCTCAGGTGTACCCTGCGGAAGCAGAGCCTGGTACTCCATCCCGGTCAGATAATGCCCAGGCCCTGGACGTGCTGATCTCTGGATGCACCGATCTCTGGATGGGCCTCATTGAGCAGGGGAGAAGAGGGCAGAGAGCAGGCTGGGACAGGCACCTGTCCACCCATGTGTGGCCCTGAACATCCATATGTGTGAGTTTCCCAGGCGTCCAAGGTACGTGGTGGAAGGTGGCTGCCTCCAGGCAAAAGGACCCCCCAGCAGCAAGAGGTTGTGGGTGTAACTGCCAGTGAAGACAGCTCAGGTGTGTGGTGGAGTGGAGCCAGGTTGCTCATGTTAGGGAATCAGGCAATGGAAGGCCTGCCTTGGATCTAGGTGAACTCATGTCTGCATCCCGCAAGGCACCAGCCTCTGGAAGCTGCCCCCAGTAAGGGTTAGACCTGCAAGCAGCACCCACCAACCCTGAGAAGACTGCAATGTGACAGCTACACTAGGAGACTGCTGTCCTTTATCCTGAATTTCCAGCTCCCAGCTCCTACTGCTAAGAAGCTGGAGAAGAGAAGGGGAGGGTTGTCCCAGAGACAGACCAAACTTCCCTCCACCCCTAGGTCAGAGAGGAGGAAGACGGGAAGGCAGATTGCTTGACCTTGTGCAAAACCCTGTAGCTGCAAGCCCAACTGTGGTGGGGAGGGGGTCATCTTGGAGTCAGATAAGAGATTAGAGTTCTAAACCAGACGGGGCTGAGCGTCAATAAGGAAAGGGATCCGAAAGCTCTGAAATCTGCCCAAGATCTTGTGAAGTGATGGGAAAGCAAGGGTTAACAGAGACTGGTTCATTCTTTTATTTGCCAAATGTACTTGCCACATACTATGTGTTAGACACTGCCAGGGGCACAAGTCTCTGCCCTCATCGAACAGTGGGAGAGACAGATGATGAAAAATAAACACACACTCCAGGATCAGGGAGTGAAAAGTGCAATGAGGGACTAGGAAGGGCTTGGAGGGAGACAGCCACCTTCCCAGGAAGCGATACTGAACAAGGACTTGAGTGAGGGGGAATTCCTGTGACTGCTTGCGGAAAGACCCAACTGAGGTGGATGTCGGCATTTTCTCCCTATTTCCCACTGGAGGTGGCCCACCCAGCCTGGTAGAGTCTCCCTGAGTGTGTCAAAGCTGGCTGGTAATAAGAATCTCAGATTCCCAAACCCAACCCTGGGATTCTGACCCAGTTGCAGGTGTCAAAGCTGGCTGATAATTAGAATCTCAGATTCCCAAACCCAACTCTGGGATTCTGACCCAGTTGCATAGGGGGAAGAGGCAGGAATCTTTCCCCAAACTCCTCATCTGAGTCTGATCATCTGGAAGTCTAAGAACCACTGACTGACTCAATCATCACATCTGCTACTCACTAAGCCCCTGCTAGACTGAGGAGAGAGTTGGAACCATTGGTACTGGGAGCTCTTACTGTGTATCAGGTACTCTATTAAGCACTTTACCTGCATTATCTTTAAAAAAAAAAAAATCCTTGTGAGAACAGTGAGTACCATTATTCTACCCATTTTATTTTTATTTTTTAAAAACACAATTAGTACATTGATTATTCTATGCATTTTATAGATGAGGAAACCAAGGCTCAGAGATATTAAATAACTTGTTTGAGATCACAAGGTGACATATGGTAGAACCAGGTTCTGACCTGGGCATCAAACTGTGGCCCTGCCCTGTGCCCTGAGATGAGAGACATGCACTAAGGAAGGAACCAGCCATACAAGGCAATAAATTCCAGGTGACAAATAGGAGTGGAGCATGCACAACTTAAGATTTCAGAGGACAGAAAGAAGCCAGTGAGGTCTGGATGTTCAGATGTAAGGGCTGGGCCATCTCCGGTGGGGAGTAGAGTGCAGGAAAGGAGAAGCAGGCAGAAGATAATGGTCTAGATCCGGAGTGTGGAACAGTTGCAGGAGAGAAGCAGAGACCAGAGACCACGTGGGCCCTGGATGGGGAGGTGGAGATAGTGAAACCGACCCAATGTCCCATAGATCATTTAAAAAAAATAAATATATATATATACACACATAGAAATGGACCCTTCTGGTCTTAAAGCTTGAAACTTACATTTGTTTTATCTGAGTTCCTTCCTCAGGAAATGACCTTCAGGCCTCTCAAAAAAAGTATCAGGCCAGGCGCGGTGGCTCACGCCTATAATCCCGGCACTTTGGGAGGCCGAGGCAGGTGGATCACTTGAGGTCAGGAATTCAAGACCAGCCTGGCCAACATGGTGAAACCCCGTCTCTACTAAAAATACAAAAAAATTAGCCAGGTGTGGTGGCGGGCGCCTGTAATCCAAACTACTCAGGAGACTGAGGCAGAAGAATAGCTTAAACCCAGAAGGCGGAGGTTGCAGTGAGCCGAGATTGTGCCACTGCACTCCAGCCTGGGCAACAGAGTGAGACTCTGTCTCAAAAAAAAAAAGTATCAAAGAACTGAAACTCACCAGATCACCCCATCCAGACAAAAAGACTCCAGGCCCTTCGTTCATCATGATTGCTTCCTTCCCCACCTAGTTCCTGTTTTCTTACACATTGTTACATTTATTCCTTGCTGTATAAACCACTAGTTTTGGTTGGTCTGGGAGATGGATTTGAGCCTGAGCTCCTCCTATCTCCTTGGCTGCAGCACCCGATTAAAGCCTTCTTCTGTCATCTCAATGATTGGCTTTCTGTGTGGCAAGCAGCAGGACCTAGACCGAGCCCCTGATGTTTCTGTAACAGTAGTACTTGCTTTGGCTCTCTATGGTAAGAGATAAGGATCCTTGTCCTAGGGTGGAGAGATAAATGGAGTCCGGGGACCAGAATTTTCCTGGAAGCTAATACGAAACACCTAACAAACCAGAGGTTTCATATTCAACATAGCTAAAGATAGGAACTCAATGCAAAAACCAAAATGGTGAAAGTTCGCTCCTCTATCTTTGTGGCATCCCCATTGACTGGCACTCAGGGACATGCATCTTCTCTGCCCTTCACTTCCCTTTGCTATGCCTCTGATCGTTTGCAGGAGGCTTGGAGGTATTTTGTTTTTCTACCTCCAGCATTCATGAGATCTCGGTAGTCTTATAATAAACCCTGCCTTCTGCTTCAGTTAGTTTGAATAGTTTCTGATCCTTGCAACCAACATATCCCTGCCTAGAATAGAAATAATGGGGGAAAAAAATAGAAATGACAAATATCGTTTCTGATACAGGCAAGTTGAGATGCAGGAATGGACCACATATGTGGAACTCCACCAGGAAGCTGGGAATTGAGTGATGGCACTTGAGTGATGCATTAGTTAAGATAACATGAGGTGCAGTGGCTGAGAAAGCCTGAAAACCTCAGTGGCTTAACACATGTTTATTTCTTGTTTGTACCATAAATGTGGCTATTTGTGTTCAGGCAGCCTTCATCCAGGAAGTACATCCTTCCTTCTTGTGGCTCCTCCCTCCTGTATAACCCTGGAGTCCTCTGCAGTCAACTATGCCTAGGCCAGGCCTGTGGGAAGCATTGTGCCCCAATGTGACAAAGATCCCCTCCGCTCACTTGCAATCGGCAGTAACAGGTTTTCAGTCACGTGATCCCACCAAAATCCAAGGAAGCTGATGCTGTGGAAAATAGTATGGCTATTCCTCAAAAAGTTCAACAGAATTACCATCTTGACCCAACAATTCTATTTCTAGGTTTCCATTCTCAAAGAATTGAAGACAGGTGTTCAAACAAGTACTTGTACACAAATGTGTGTAACATTATTCACAACAGCTCAAAGATGAAAAGAGCTCAAGTATCAGTCAGTGGATGACTGGATAGACAAATTGTGGTCTAGTCATGCAATGGAATATTATTTAGCCATAAAAAGGAATGAAGTGCTGATATATGCTACAACGTGGATAAACCTGGAAAGTATGTTAAATGAAAGAAATCAGGCACAAAAGGCCACATATTGAATGATTCCTTTTATAAGAAATATCCAGAATAGGTCAATCCATACAGACAAAGCAGTTTGGTGGTTGTTAGGGGCTGCGGGGAGGGAGGAGTAGGAAGTGATTACTTAATAGGTACAGGCTTTTCAAATCTTGGAGTGACGAAAGTGTTTTGGAAGTTGATATACGGAGTGGCTGCACAACGCTGTGATTATACTAACTGCCACTGGATGGCCCACTTTCAAGTGGCTAATTTCATGTTATGTGAATTTCATCTCAATTTTTTTTATTTTTTTATTTTTTGAGACGGAGTCTCACTGTGTTGCCAGGCTGGAGAGCAGTGGCGTGATCTCGGCTCACTGCAACCTCTGCCTCCCAGGTTCAAGTGATTCTCCTGCCTCAGCCTCCTGAGTAGCTGGGACTACAAGCGTGTGCCACCACGCCCAGCTAATTTTTGCATTTTTAGAGATGGGGTTTCACCATGTTGGCCAGGATGGTCTTGATCTCTTGACCTCATGATTCCCCTGCCTCGGCCTCCCAAAGTGCTGGGATTACAGACGTGAGCCATCCACACCCAGCCTTTTTTTTGTTTGTTTCTTTTTGAGATGGAGTTTCGCTCTTGTCGTCCAGGCTGGAGTGCAATGGCACGATCTTGGCTCACTGCAACCTCCACCTCCCAGGTTCAGGCGATTCTCCTGCCTCAGCCTCCCAAGTGGCTGGGATTACAGGTGCCCGCCACCACGCCTGGCTAATTTTCTGTGTTTTTTTTTTCTTTTGAGGCAGAGTTTCACTCTTGTTGCCCAGGCTGGAGTGCAATGGTGGAATCTTGGCTTGCCACAACCTCCGCCTCCCAGGTTCAGGCGATTCTCCTGCCTCAGCCTCCTGAGTAGCTGGGAATACAGGCATGTGCCACCATGCTTGGCTAATTTTGCATTTTTAGTAGAGATGGGGTTTCTCCATGTTGGTCAGGCTGGTCTCGCACTCCCGACCTCAGGTGATTTGCCCTCCTCAACCTCCCAAAGTGCTAGGATTACAGGCGTGAGCCACCACGCCTGGCAATTTTTTGTATTTTTAGTAGAGACGGGGTTCTGCCATGTTGGCCGGGATGGTCTCGAACTCCTGACCTCAGGTGATCCACCTGCCTTGGCATCCCAAAGTGCTGGGATTACAGCCATGAGACACTGCACCCGGCCAATCTGAATTTTTAAAAAGGTAGCAAGGGGGCTGGACAATGTTATCCCTGGCTGGACAGCTGGTGCTTCCTAATGATAACCCCATAATCCAGAAGGGGGTCATGTATCTTTGGTGACCAGCTAAATACCTGTGTGCACATATCTGCCTCGCACTGTCCCCAGAATACAAACCTTCTCCCCAAAGGAAATATCTCAAAGACCTCTTAGGTCATATCCAGCTCAAAGCTGAGGATATGCAGTCCTCTGTTGAGTTTGGATGCGACTTCTCTTGCTTTGGTGACACGTAAACTAAAAGCACAAGTTATCCAAATGACTCCCCACCGCCCCCACCTCCACACCCAGCATACAGAGGCAGAGTAGAAACAGCATGATGGCCCGGCGCGGTGGCTCATGCCTGTAATCCCTAAACTTTGGGAGGCCGAGGCAGGCAGGTCACCTGAGGTCAGGAGTTTGAGACCAGCCTGGCCAACATGATGAAACCCTGTCTCTACTAAAAATTCCAAAAATTAGTTGGGCGTGGTGGTGGGCACCTGTAATCCCAGCTACTGGGATTACAGAAGGCTGAGGCAGAAGAATTGCTTGAACCTGGGAGGCAGAAGTTGCAGTGAGCCGAGACCATGCCACTGCACTCCAGCCTGGGCAACATGAGCAAAACTCCGTCTCCAAAAAAAAAAAAAAAAGAAGAAGAGAGAAAGGAAGGAAGGAAGGAACAACATGACTACTGGCTGGGTGCAGTGGCTCACGCCTGTAATCCCAACACTTTGGGAGGCTGAGGCAGATGCGTCACTTGAAGTTAGGAGTTCAAGACCAGCCTGGCCAACATGAAGAGACCCTGTCTCTACTAAAAATACAAAAATTAGCTGGGTGTGGTGGTGCACGCCTGTAGTCCCAGCTACTCGGGAGGCTGAGGCACGAGAATCACTTGAACGGGAGATGGAGTTTGCAGTGAGCCAAGATCGTGCCACTGCACTCCAACTCCAGCCTGGGGGACAGAGTGAGACTCCATCTCAAAAAAAAAAGGAAGAGCATGACTACAATAATACACACTTGAATTCAGAAAGGGAAGAATGGCAGACTGACAGCAGCCCCTGGCTATAGCAATTGTGAGATCCTGCAAGGGCAGACACTGGGGAGGTGAGACCACTGATGGAGTCCCTCCATTAAACCCCATTCTGACTCCTAGGAGGAGCACCCTGATCCATTGTTCTTGGTGGCCCTGACCCCCCCTTTGGGAGATTCCTCCTTGATCATTATTTCTTGGGCCACATCTAAAGTGAGTGCTGGGGAGTTTGCCCCACTTAGAAAGAGCCAACTTCAAGCCTGTGCAATCCATGGGGCCCAAGGATTGTTTAATGCTTGAACAGTCAAAACCTTTCCTAGTTTCGGCTTGTCTTTTCTTTGGCAATGAAATGCCCTCAAAAATGTACTGGGCTTCTTACCACACACAAAAAGTACATACTGTATTATTTTAGTTATGTTCGAGAATAAGCAAAATTAATCAATGGTGACATTTTGTGCAATGCCAAGCACTTTCCCAGAAAGAATCCCTTTGATTGGAATCATAGATAAGAAGAGAGAGGCTGGGCATGGTGGCTTACGCCTGTAATCTCAGCACTTTGGGAGGCCAAGGTGGGTGGATCACCTGAGGTCAGGAGTTCGAGACCAGCCTCACCAAAATGGTGAAATCCCATCTCTACTAAAAAATACAAAAAATTAGCCTGGCATGGTGGTGGGTGCCTGTAATCCCAGCTACTCGGGAGGCTGAGGCAGGAGAATTGGTTGAACCTGGGAGGTGGATGTTGCAGTGAACCGAGGTTGCGCGATTGCACTCCAGCCTGGGCAACAAGAGTAAAACTCTGTCTCAAAAAAAAAAAAAAAAAAGAGAGAGAGAGACAGAGGGACTAAGTGACTTGCCTAAAGTCACATAGCCAGTTTGAGCAGAGGCAAAACTGGAACCCACATCTCCATGTTTACAGCCCAGGGAGTTCTTTCACTCTTGGCTGTAGCAGGGAGTGTATAGACATGGGAGTTACCAAATGCAGCTTTTTCTTTTGGTGCTTTTAATTAGCACATATGAAATACACTGCCAATCTAATTTAATTATAATTAGGTAACCAGAAGGCTGATTATGTTGTAAATTTAGATTAAAGAGCTGTTGTTTTCAATTAGGCTTGATTGTAAAGTGCTTTGACACTTTTCCCAGCCTCAAGGAAAGCTCATAATTTCCCACTTATTCACTTTGATTTTGCCCAGGTCTGGGGTGGTAATAACTGGACTCAAGTTCACAGGGCATCCCTAGTGTGGTACAGATTTAGACCTGGTACATATCTTGGTGGCAGGGGTCCCCAGATGCTGCTGGGCTGTTTGGTCAGGTGTTTTCAGCTGCCTGTAATGGAGGATCCAACTGAAAATGGCTCAGTCCTCAAGAGGACTTAACATCTAACATAATAAGAAGCATGGAGATAAGAGAGTTCCAGGGTTGGTTAATCTGCATTCATAATGTCCTTAAGGACCTGGACTCATTCCATCTTCCTGCTCTGCCAACTTTGGCATGTTGGCTTCTATCCTCACGCTAGTCGCTGACTGGTTGTATGATGGTTCCTGCAGCCCCAAGCTTTCCCGTCCCCCCAAGAAGAGAACATTCCTTCTTGTATCCCTTCAGCTTCTGGTAGACTTCTCATGACTCTTTGGCCATGATTGCAGCACAGACCTGTTCTTAAGTCAATCACTCTGCCTAAGGAATCACCGTGATTGGCTTGAGCAAATCAAGATTCATCTTGTAGAATCTTTCCTGGAGATCATGGTTGCCTGATGCCTGCCAGCAAATCCACAGAGGCCATAGGGACAGGGAGTAGCTGTTGCTAGGCTGCCAACTGTCCACACCTGGAACTAGTGTGGCCACATCCTCAGCAGGTCTGGGTGAGCCAAGCCCAAGTCTGCAATATAATCAGAGAAATCCAGCTGCAAATAATTGCTTCTTGACTCTCCATCAGATATCTGCCATCTCTATGTTTCATAGGGCTATTGGCAAAGAAGCCAAACTCTGTAAAATATTTGAAGAGATTTATTCTGAGCGAGGTGTAAGGACCATGACTCATAACACAGTCTTAGAGGTCCTGAGAACCTGTGTCCAAAGCGGTTGGGTTATAGCTTTGTTTTATACCTTTTAGGGAGACATAAGACATCATCAATCAATACATGTAAGGTACACATTGGTTCTGCCCAGAAAGGTGGGACAACTCAAAGTTGGGGGCTTACAGGTGGATTCAAAGATTTTCTGATTGGCTTGAGAGAGGTATGCTATTATCTAAAGACTTGGAATCAATAGAAAGTAGTGTCTGGGTTAAGATAAATGGTTGTGGACATCAAGGTTCTTATTATGTAGATGAAGTCTCATAGGTGGCAGCCCTTAGAGGGAATAGATGGCAAGTGTTTCCTATTCAGACCCTCAAAAGGTGCTGGCCTCTCAGCCAGTCTTTTCGGGATCAGAAGAAGACCTGAAAAAGGAAGGGGATTCTCTATAGACAGTAAATTTTTCCCACAAAAGAGATATTTGCCAGGCCATATCAGATTATGTCAAATAAATATATATTGGGGTAAAATACTTTGAATTTTTTCAGGGCCTGCTGTCATGTGATGCTGTACTAGAGTCAGGTGGGGATTCAGTATCTTATTGCTACAGTCTGTTCTGACTGTCTTCAGATCTCTGTTTTAATGTTAATGCTGGTCAGTTGTGCCCGATATGCCAAAGGGAGGAGAGTATAATGAGGCATGTTCAACGCCCTCCTCCCATCATGGCCTGAACTAGTTTTTCAGGTTTCTTTGAAATCCCCTTGGCTGAGAGGACGGGTCCATTCAATTTGGTTGTGGGGCTTAGAATTTTATTTTCGGTTTACAGGGATAAGCTTTAGCATTGCTTTTAGGTAGTGTTGGCAGTATAAGGCATAGTTAGGTGGGGAAAAAGGATGGTAAAAAGAGGAGAAAGAGAAGACCTTTTAAAGATGAAGAAGGAGGTTAGCTGATGGGAAGAAGAGAAAAGTACAAATGGCTAGGGAGTGGCCAAGCCCTCCCACACCCACCTCCATTGTCTCTGGGGAATATTGAGAGAGGTGCCTCTTGGAAAGAGGGTATCAGGAAGAAGGAGACAGGCCCTCAGCACCTGAGGGAACTCTCCCAGCAGTTCTCAGAGGTAAGTGTTATCTGTCTGACCTAAATGCTCTTGTCCTATTACCCAGGCTGGCTCTGGAACTGACCATCCTCCTGCTGGCCAGCCATCTTCGTTTCTCCAGGGCATGTGCATCCCTCTGGGCCATCTGTGGACACCTCCAGAATGGAGTGCGGGGGACACCTACTTACATTCCAGCTCCTCCTACCTCTCACTGTGGGATTTCCTTATGCTCTCTTAGCCTCAGCTTCCTCAGCTGTAAAAACTCTACCTCACAGGGTTCTAGTGAGGATTAAATAAGATAATCCATAGAAAATGCTTAGCGCAGTGTCTTGCATGCAGTTGTTAGAAATAAATTTTTGGTGCCACCAAAGAAATAGCACTGAAACATAAATTTAATTTTCTTAGCAAGGCAATTTTTACTTCTACAGAAGGGTGCGACTTGCGGATGGAGCAATGGTGAGAGCATGCCTGAACGAGGTAGGGGAAGGGGTTCTTATTCCTGACGCAGGTAGCCCCTACTGCTGTGTCGTTCCCCTCTTGGCTAGGGTTGGACCACACAGTCTAAGCTAATTCCGATTGGCTATTTTAAAGACAGTAGGGGTACAAGTCTGAGTGATGGGGTGAGTAGCTTCAGCGGGAAAGACGGTTAGGGAACAGGTAACTAAAGGTGACTTAGGTCAGAGCAGGTGACCAAGGGTGACTCAGGTGAAAGCAGGTGACCAGGCTGGGCACAGTGGCTCACGCCTGTAATCCCAACACTTTGGGAGGCCGAGGCAGGTGGATCACGAGGTCAGGAGATGGAGGCGATCCTGGCTAACATGGTGAAACCCCGTCTCTACTAAAAATACAAAAAATTAGCTGGGCGTGGTAGCGGGCGCCTGTAGTCCTAGCTACCTGGGAGGCTGAGGCAGGAGAATGGTGTGAACCCGGGAGGCGGAGTTTGCAGTGAGCGGAGATGGGGCCACTGCACTCCAGCCTGGGCGACAGAGTGAGACTCTGTCTCAAAAAAAAAAAAAAAAGCGGGTGACCAGGATGAGTCAGGACGGAGCAGGTGACCAGGGGAACAGATGTGAACTACTGATTAAAACTGGTGGAAAAGGTTGTTTACTGAAACTATGAGGAAGTTAAACTTTAAAATGAAGGACAAAGAACAGGGGAGCTGAACATACTGATACATTAGTTCCTTGGAGAGGATCTCAGAACTCATTGTACTTAACAATTTACAGGCTAAACCCTTTGAAGAGGAATTTATTATATCCTACACAGTTAACATGCAGTGAATGTTTGCCATTAATATCACTGTTAGTAGTAGCCTTAATATTACTGATATAGTCATGCACCACATAAAGGATGTTTTGGTCCGCGACGGACCATATGCGTGATGGGAGTCCCAAAAGATTATAATGGAGCTGAAAAATTCCTGTCATCTAGTGATGTCTTAATGATCCTGACCCTGTGTAGGCCCAGCTAATGTGTGTTTGTGTCTTAGTTTTTAACAAAAAAGTTTAAAAAGTAAAAAATTAATTTTAAAATAGAAAAAAGTTTTCTTATAGGATATAAGGAAAGAAAATATTTTTGTATAGCTGGACAACGTGTGTTTTAAGCTAAGTGTTATTACAAAAGAGTCAAAAAGTTAAAAAATTAAAAAGCTTAGAAAGTAGAAAAGTTAAAGTAAGCTAAGGTTAACTTATTGGAGAAAGAAATGTTTAAAAATAAATTTAGTGTTAAGTGTACTGTGTTTGTAAAGTCTACAGTAGTGCACAGCAGTGTCCTAGGCCTTCACAGTCACTCACCACTCACTCACTGACTCACCCAGAGCAACTTCCAGCCCTGTAAGCTCCATTCGTGGTAAGTGCCCTATGCAAGTATACCATTTTTATCTTTTATACCATATTTTTTGGCTGTACCTTTTCAATGTTTAGGTATGTTTAGATCCACAACATGTTCCAGTTGCCTACAGTACTCAGTACAGTCACGTGCTGTACAGGTTTGTTGCCTGGGAGCAACAGGCTATGCCATATAACCTAGGTGTGTAGTAGGCTGTGCTGTTGAGGTTTGTATACTCTATGATGTTCCCACAACAACAAAATTGCCTAACAACCCCTTTCTCAGAATGCATTACCATCATTAAGTAACACATGACTGTGTTATTAGGCATGGTGCTCTTTTCCACATGGAAAAGCTGTATAATGCTGTGGCCATCCTCACCCTCAGGCTCCTCAGCACTGGTTTTAAGGGGAGTTCTAGTCTAGAGGAAAGGCAGCCCAGGCCGGATGAAAAAGCCCCTGGTATGGGCCAGGCACCCAGTCGCTTTACAACAGCTATCAGATGCCTTCCCTGACTTAGAATTATACAACCACGTCAATGACCTTCCCATTTTCAAACCTTGAGGATGATGCTTAAACTCTCACCTCGGAGATACTGAATCTCTGATGACTGCACAGGAAGGCCTCTGTTTCCTTACAAAACATGCCTCTCAAAATGTTGGGACAACTGAACGGTTCTCATAAAGCTAAAAATATTATAAAATCCTCAATTACAATTGTCCTTTCCAACAGTCCTTGATAGTACTTTGTTGCCTTTTGAACTTAATTTTGTTCTTTACGTTGCAATTAAACACGTGAATGACTGGCTGAAGTCCCATGAATGATGGATAGAGATTAGAATGCCTGCTTGCCTCCTCCTAATGGTTTCTATCTGTGTCTAAATTGGATTAACTTTATAGCTTTTTTTCTTAATCACTGGTATCAGATCATCCAGTTTTCCATTTTCTACTCATTTTTATGAAGTAATGAGGCAAAACATGCAATTTTTATAAACATATAATATTGACCAGATACGTAAAGGATTGCTGCCAAAACTGACCTGTGGACTAGCAGCAGGCACCCCCGTGCCAAAGCTGATGTTTGGGTTTAGAGTATGAAAGGCAATTTGAGGTATGATGTATGAAAGAGCTGACTGTGTGTGAAACAAGTGAAGTGGAGACTCATTTGTATCTGCTGCCTCTTAAATATGACAAGATAGATACCAACTCCTCCTGGATGATTACTGTGGCCTTCAAAAGGCACCCTGGCCTCTACCCAGGGTTAATCCATTGAGAGTGTTGGTGCCAAGATCGAATAACCAGGTGTCTTGTTGCTCACAGCTGCCAACATCAGATCTGCCTATGGCACCTGGCAGTGATGGCTGACAGTGGAGATCCAGTCCTACATTTCAGTGCCAGGAAGGGCCTCCCTTGCAGGCCACAGCTAAACTGTGTTAGGCCCAGGTACCCTCTTCCTCTAAGACTCCATTGGGATTGGACACCCTGGACCACTCGATGTTGTTTCATCACCCAAAGTACAAGCAATGACTTTTAATACACCTCTGAGTTTTTTTTTTTTTTTTTTTTTTTCCTGAGATGAACTTTCCCTCTTGTTGCCCAGCCTGGAGTGCAATGGCGCAATCTCGGCTCATTGCAACCTCTGCCTCCCGGGTTCAAGCGATTCTCCTGCCTCAGCTTCCCGAGTAGCTGGGATTACAGGCGTGCGCCACCACACCCAGCTAATTTTTGTATGTTTGGTAGAGACAGGGTTTCACCATGTTGGTCAGGCTGGTCTTGAACTCCTGACCTCAGGTGATCCACCTGCCTCGGCCTCGCAAAGTGCTGGAATTACAGGCATGAGCCACTGCGCCCGGCAGCACATTCTTTGATGTATTTTTTGCTTGAAATATTCCCTGCAGGTTCTTGCCTTAACCTGAGCTATTCTCTGAGCACTGCGTCCCTTGTGACCTCTGAAGGGCACACTGTTTTCTCATGTCCCATATTCCTCTGATAGGGAGGTGGTGTTGGTGTCTTCCTTGTTCCCACACTGCTTCCATTTCAATCCTTCCCTTCCCTTTCCGCTGAGGCTCCCACCATTGAAGTTTTCCACCTCACCTGCTCATAGAAGCAATCTCCTGGTCATTATCAACCCCGCCCTCTCTCTCTCTCTTTTTTTTTTTTTCAGATAGAGTCTCACTCCGTCTCCTGGGCTAGAGTGCAGTGGTGCGATCTCAGCCCACTGCAACCTCTGCCTCCAGGATTCAAACAATTCTCCTGCCTCAGCCTCACGAGTAGCTGGGATTACAGGCGCGTGCCATCACACCCAGCTAGTTTTTGTATTTTTTGGTAGGCATGGGGTTTCGCCATGTTGGCCAGGCTGGTCTTGAACTCCTGATCTCAAGTAATCTGCTCACCTTGGCCTCCCAAAGTGCGGGATTACAGGCATGAGCCACCGCGCCCGGCCAACCTCCTCTTTTTTGTTCCTGGATGGCCTTAATCTCCATGCCAGCTCCTGTCATCATTCATTGTCTTGAGGGAAACATTAACATCCCCACGGATGGCCCTTCCAGTCCTCTGGCCTCTTACCTCCCTGGCCTCCTCACCAGGCCTAATTCTAACATTTGCAGCAAGAGTGCAAAATGACTCATTTGTATGTCTAAATATTTAAATGTTATACATACAGCTAACTGCTAAGTAACACACTTCCTATCCTCCTTCCTTGACAAACATACCTTCAGATGATAACAAAATAAAAAATGTATGTAAAGCTATGGTAAAATAACAAGGATGACTGAATGGAACTATTATTGTGTATGTCTGGGTGTTCTTTTGATGGACTGGCAACATGTGGATGAGTAATAAAAAAATACATAATTCATAAATTATATGTATTTTATGAAAGTTAATTTTCTTGCCTTCTTTTAAGTAAATTACCAATTATGTTGTTATAATCAAGACTTTTACATAATTTGTGTTCTATTGAGAGTAATGACAAATTAGGCAACCTTTCTGGGGACATTATGGTTCTTAGGGTGTTTTTCATTAATTTGAAAATGCAGAAACTATGTTCTGCTGAGGTCAGAGCAACTGGAATTATCAATTAAGTTCTTAAAGCCATACTTAGATGGGAAATGAACTATAAATTTAATATATCATGCTCAAACATTTTAATGGGGTTAGGCTGTATATAATCAATCACTGTCACAGAAAATAGTAAAAATATTTTAATTTCATTATATAAATTTCTTTTTTTTTTTTTTTTTTTTGAGACGAAGTCTCGCTCTGTTGCCCAGGCTGGAGTGCAGTGGCGCAATCTCGGCTCACTGCAAGCTCCGCCTCCCAGGTTCACGCCATTCTCCTGCCTCAGCCTCCTGAGTAGCTGGGACTACAGGTGCCTGCCACCACGCCTGGCTAATTTTTTGTATTTTTAGTAGAGATGGGGTTTCACCATGTTAGCCAGGATGGTCTCGATCTCCTGACCTTGTGATCCGCCTGCCTTGGCCTCCCAAAGTGCTGGGATTACAGACGTGAGCCACCGCGCCAGGCCTCGTTATACGAATTTCTACCAGTAATATGAGTTTCACTATCTCTAAGCAACATCAAGATCAATACAGTACTTTTAAGTATTTTCCTTTCAAATTCTTTAATGCTGGGATGTAATAAGAAAATTGACAACAGAAGCATGTTATTCAATTTATTAAAATCTTTTTCCAGATTGTATCCTGATCTAAAATGGCCAAAAATAATCTCCAAAGAAATTAAAGGAAATTTTTGGAAAATCATACATTAATTTTCTTCATGGTCATACAAACATGTTTGTTTCCTTTTAAATTTTCTTTAAAAATTAAAAAAATTAATCATTCAAAAAGTAAAATAGACAAACTTAACTCTAGTTTTCTCTAGTAAGTGACAGTTCACACCAAGTAACTGTGGATAGTGCAAATACGAAAGTAATTTCATTTTCCACTAAAGACCACCATTCACTCATATTTGAACATCATTTATTGTTTCACTGAACTCTTCCAGTACGTCTCATCTATCTTGTCTAAATTAAATTGCTTTAACGCAGCGAGTAGCTCCAGGACCCTGCATGAGAACACAAAAATGGTCACTTGGTGCAACTGGGAAATGATACTTTGCTGTGCAAGAATCTATTGCATCAATGCCAACTGGAAAGGATTTGAGAAGTTAGTTTTCTCTCTCAGTTAAGTGCTTCTGTTGTTCAGATCCTCTCTGCACTCTGAAGCAGTTTCTCTCATTTGTATGACACCACCCAGAAACCTTCATGGCCTCCAGATGTGGTTGCTTTCTGATCTGAGGACCAAGAGTGCAGAGAAGCACTTAATGGGAGTTGCGTGTTGTGAGGCACGAGAGTGAATGTGTAGGGTGTGGTTACGCTGCGCCAGCTCTGAGCACAGAATACCAATGCCTGTATACCCTTGGTAAATTTACTGTGTGTAGCATACAAAGGGCATATACAGAGCCCTTTAAAATGTGGGGCCCATGGCAATGGCCCCTTTTGAGGTGAGGTCTCCTCCTGCCCAGGGACTTTCGCTTCCACTGCATCTTGGCCAACCACTCCCAAGGTCCCACTATACCTGTCTATGTTTCTGTTTGCAAACAACAGAAACCAATGCCAGTTAACTAAAGTAGGAGAGGAATTTATTGGAAGGACGTTGAGTAGCTCACAGAATCAACAAGAAGTTTGAGGAAACTGGCCTAGAACACAGACAGAAAGCAAGGAAATCTGGGCAGTTGAGAATACAGCTGAGGTCACACCAGAGGGGCAGCTTGGTTAACCCATTGCCTCTAGTCCTGCCCTTACTGTGAAACCTGAACTCTGCAGATGTCATTAATCATTTCCAGTGATTCCCATGGTTTTGTGTTACTCTCTTCAGACTCAAATACCTTGGCAGAAAGATCTGGTTGGCTGAGCACAGCATGTGTGCCCTTGCTCTTGATGGTGGCGTATGGGGAGAGGGAATGTCTGGCACCCTTTGGCTTCCTGCACCAAAGCAAACAAATGTGAATGTGTACAAATAGGAAGCAAATCAGGCACTTGACAGCCAAACAAAAACAAAGGTCAATGTCTGCTATTCCCACTGTAGGTCTTGTCACCAGCAGCAACTGCAATACCTTTGAAATCATGAATTCAGCCTACTGTTGGGTTATGACCCATCCTGCTAGTTTCTTGCTTAAGGACAGATGTCCCTTCCAATAGCTCTTCAACCCCATGGACACCTCTCATCCATGAAAAACTCTACCTTCTCTCTACCCATCTGCTCCATCTGTCTTTACTTTCTTATTCAGCTTGGAGTCTATGGCTGATTCATCATTTCCATTGCTCACTGAACTTTCCTCCCCTTACATGCATCTGATAAATTCCTAGCTTTGAATAGAATGTGATGCTCTATCCCGGTGTATACCAGAGTAAGGCATCTTTGAAACCTTTCTTTCCCTGGTCCTCAATGTCGAATCCACCATCAAGAACTGTCCAGTCTAATGTCAAAATCTGTAGCCTACCAGTTCTCTCTATATCCACTGCCATCCTTCTAGTCCAAGCCACCATCATCTCTTGCCTGAAGTATTGCCACAATTCCCCAGTTAGTCTCTGTTTTCACTCTTTCCTTTCCTATAGGCCACTCCCCTCAAGGCAGTTAGATGTCCTTATCAAATGTAAGTCACATCCTATGCCACTTCTCTACCTCTTTTCCATTCAAACAGAAACACTAAATTCTCAACAGGCCTTACGAGGACTTGCATAACCCAGCCGTGTCCTGCCTTTCTGCGTATGCCATTCCCATCCACTTCCCTTCACGCTACTGCAGTCTTGTTGCCTTTCTTTCAGTTTAGAGATGATGTCAAACGTCTTCCTTGTGTTCTCCCTTCTGCCTGGAATGTTTTCTTCCTAACTTGTCTGGCTCTCTTCTACCCATCCTTTCATCTTAGCAGAAATATTCTTTTTCACAGAGGTTCTCCTCGATCCCCCAAAGTAAAAGAATTCTCTCAGTAATGCCCAGTCATGGCATTCTTTCCTAGCGTTTGTCATGCTTTGGCTCATGTGGTTGTTTAGTGCTTGATACCCTCATGGAATGGAAACTCCATGAGGAGCAGAGTGCTTTTTGTCTGTTTACTTTTTTTTTTTTTTTTTTTGAGACAGGTCTCACTCTGTCACCCAGGCTGCAGTGCAGTGGTGTGATCTTGGCTCACTGCAGCCTCCCCCTCTGAACTCAAGTGATCCTCCCACCTCAGTCTCCTGAGTAGCTGGGACTACAGGAACACTCCACCATGCCCAGCTAATTTTTGTATTTTTCACAGAGACAGGGTTTCACCATGTTGCCCAAACTGGTCTTGAACTCCTGGGCTCAAGTGATCCTCCTGCCTCAGGCTCTCAAAGTGTTGGGTTTACAGGCGTGAGCCATGCACCCAGCTATCTGTTTACTCTTATAGCCCCCGCACAGTACCTGAACACAGAAATATTGGTGAATGACTGAGTGAAAGGGACAGGCCTGCAATGAAGTGTCGACATAACTCCCCGTCTCTTGCCTGCTTGTTTTCCCCCAACCTCCTTCAGCCTCAAGTCATTTCCTTCAGCTCCTAAATTCATCAGGCTTATGAGAGAATCTGCATCATTTCCTCTGTTTCCCTGCTAGGATGGAATTTAGAATTCAGATGCTAAGATGTAAAAGGAAGGAATAAAATTGAACATGGAAAGAAATACTGAATACAGAATACTCCCCCGAGTGGCTACCCATCTTCACTGTAATCAGTAATCTCAGTGTGCAACTGTTGAGGCTTGAGTTTACACGGCAATAATCCTCTTACCTTCTAATCAAGATCACTCCAATAGCTTTGCAGTTAGACTTCCAACTGCATTATGCATTCACAAATTATTTCTTTGTCAATGCTGTATTGGTACAATTCTAATCTCCTAGGGATTAAACACAAGTATTCATTCTTCTTTATCCTAATATAGTTTATCTCCATCAAAGTTGAATTTTTATGTTTTCCATGCTAATTCCTTTGTGTAATTAATAGTCCATTTAAAATGAATAGCAATTAAGAGAAAACACCTATATGTCTGTATGTTGTCTACTACAGTCTTTTCTGATTCAATGAGTTCTTGACTACTTAGAAGAGGCATGTATAATTTTTGGATTTTTCTCATATATTTTTTCTCCTCTTCTTTCCTCTTATTCACTTCTGAGCAATTTCATCCTTTACTAACAATGCCACAAATGCCAGGTTGGTATGATAGATGAAAAGATGTAAAAATTGCAATAATACTTTCTCTCAGGGACTAATGTATCGCATAGTACATGCTATGCTGTCAGAGTTGACCAAAGAAGAAAAGTCTTTTCAGCCAGGTACCATGGGCCACACCTGTAATACCAGCACTTTGAGAGGACAAGGTGAGCCCAGGAGTTTGAGACCAGCCTGGGCAACGTGGTGAAACTTCATCTCTACAAAAGTTACAAAACTTAGCTGGGCATGGTGGTGCACACCTGTAGTCCCAGCTACTTGAGAGGCTGAGGTGGAAGGATCGCTTGAGCCTGGGGGGTCAAAACTGCAGTGAGCCATGATCATGCCACTGCACTCCAGCCTGGGCAACGGAGCAAGACCTTATCTCAAAAAGAAAAACGTCTTTTGATATAAAATAGGATTTCAAGTAGATTTAAGCTAGTCATACACTTATTCATTAAAAAGTATTGAACAATTACAAATAAATATTGTTTGGGAAAGTGACAATGTATTTAAAGCCGTACAAAGACTAATTCTTAGTGACCAAGTCTCTGTAGCCCACCCCCCCCCAATGTTTTAACTATTTTAGACAATTGGCCACATGGCATTTCATAATTAAACAAACATGGGTTATGTCTTTTATTTTTATTTTTTTTTAAGATGGAGTGTCACTCTGTCTCCCAGGCTGGAGTGCAGCGGCATGATCTCGGCTTACTGCAACCTCCGTCTCCCAGGTTCAAGTGATTCTTCTGCCTCAGCCTCCCAAGTAGCTGGTGAGAGGTGACAGCGTGCTGGCAGCCCTCACAGTCCTCGCTCGCTCTCCGCACATCCTCTGCCTGGGCTCCCACTTTGGCGGCACTTGAGGAGCACTTCAGCCCGCGGCTGCACTGTGGGAGCCCCTTCCTGGGCTGGCCGAGGCCGGAGCCGGCACCCTCAGCTTGAGGGGAGGTGTGGAGGGAGAGGCGCGGGCGGGAACCGGGGCTTCCCGTGATGCTTGTGGGCCAGCGCGAGTTCCGGGTAGGCTTGGGCTCGGCGGTCCCCGCGCTCGGAGCGGCCAGCGGGCCCCGCCGGCCCCGGGCAGTGAGGGGCTTAGCACCTGGGCTGGCGGCGGCGGAGGGTGTAGTGGGTCCCCCAGCAGTGCCGGCCCACCAGCGCTGCGCTCAATTTCTCGCCGGGCCATAGCTGCCTTCCCGCGGGGCAGGGCTCAGGACCTACAGCCCGTCATGCCTTAGCCTGCCCCCGCCTCCGTGGGCTCCTGTGCAGCCCCAGCCTCCCAGACGAGCACCGCTCTCTGCTCCACGGCGCCTAGTCCCATTGACCACCCAAGGGCTGAGGAGTGTGGGCGCAGGGCGCGGGACTGGCAGGCAGCTCCACCTGCAGCCCTCTTGCTGGATCCACTGGGTGAAGCCAGCTGGGCTCCTGAGTCTGGTGGGGACTTGGAGAACCTTTATGTCTAGCTAAGGGATTGTAAATACACCAATCAGCACCCTGTGTCTAGCTCAGGGTTTGTGAATGCACCAATCCACACTCTGTATCTAGCTAGTCTGGTGGGGACTTGGAGAACCTTTATGTCTAGCAAAGGGATTGTATATACACCAATCAGCACCCTGTGTCTAGCTCAGGGTTTGTAAATGCACCAATCAACACTCTGTATCTAGCTAGTCTGGTGGGGCCTTGGAGAAACTTTATGTCTAGCTACGGGATTGTAAATACACCAATCAGCACCCTGTGTCTAGCTCAAGGTTTGTAAACACACCAATCAGCACCCTGTGTCTAGCTCAGGGTTTGTGAATGCACCAATTGACACTCTGTATCTAGCTACTCTGGTGGGGACTTGGAGAGCCTTTGTGTCCACACTCTGTATCTAGCTAATCTATTGGGGACTTGGAGAACCTTTGTGTCTAGCTCAGGGATTGTAAACGCACCAATCAGTGCCCTGTCAAAACAGACCACTCGGCTCTCTGTAAAATGGACCAATCAGCAGGATGGGGGTGGGGCCAGATAAGAGAATAAAAGCAGGCTGCCGGAGCCTGCAGTGGCAACCCGCCCCCGTCCCTTTCAACACTGTGGAAGCTTTGTTTTTTCACTCTTTGCAATATATCTTGCTGCTGCTCACTCTTTGGGTCTACACTGCTTTTATGAGCTATAACACTCACTGTGAAGGTCTGCAGCTTCACTCCTGAGCCAGCGAGACCATGATCCCAGCAGAAGGAAGAAACTCCGAACACATCCGAACATCAGAAGGAACAAACTCCACACGTGCCACCTTAAGAGCTGCAACACTCACTGCGAGGGTCTGCAGCTTCATTCTTGAAGTCAGTGAGACCAAGAACCCACCAATTCTGGACACACTGGGATTACAGGTGCATGCCGCCACGTCCAGCTAATTTTTGTATTTTTAGTAGAGACAGGGTTTCAACACGTTGGCCAGGCTGGTTTTGAACTCCTGACCTCAGGTGATCCACCCGCCTTGGCCTCCCAAAGTGTTGGGATTACAGATATCAGACACTGCCTGGCCGGTTATGTCTTTCTTGATTCTAATCAGTATGTACATAATTTTGCATAGATATATTGATTAGGGAGGCATTTATGAAGGGCAGGTAGTGGAGAGGCTGGGGTAAGGTTAGGTAATAGGAGTTCTAGGGGATTCCATACTTTGGCCTATAATGGAATTGTAGCCTACCCAGCACTTTAAACATTCCCGATTGACTCCAATATTTGTTCTTCTAGCCACTCCTTCCCCTCTCAGCCAATGTACTTAGGGAGAAGCTGATCCCATGCTAAGTTCCAGGAATGGGCTTTATTTTCCAGGAATGAATCCATACCCTTTCCAGTAAAGGGCTCTGGAATCCAGGTCTAATGAGTCCATACCCTTTCCAGTAAAGGGCTCTGGAATCCAGGTCTAAGTGCCATGTGATTGGTTTAGGAATGGACCAATGAGACACTGTGAGGAAGTTTCCTGAGGGCTTCTGGGAATTTTCTCATAATAGAAAGCTACCAGAATTCACAGGCCCTTTTCATCTTGACTTCTTGTCCATAGACCTGAGGCCAGGGGCTGTGGCAGGCATTTTGTAGGCAGCCTAAGGGTGAAACATGCACAAGAGAGAACAAGACAACACCACAGAGAAGCAGAGCTCAGTAATGGCTGAGCCCTGCCTCACCTCCACCATTCCTAGACCTTCTCAGTCTCTTAGCCAATGAACAGCCTTGATTTTAAAGCAATTTTTATTTGAGTTTTTGCTTCTGGAAGCCAAAACAAACATTTTAGCCTATGGAATCCCAATTTATACTTAACGTTTTTATTTGTTAATCTTTAAGTTTCAGAATTCTTTTCTGATTATAAAAATAATACATACTTATTGTAGAGAACCAAGAAAACATTGAAAGATATAAAGAAGAACATTAAGACCATCCATAATCTCACTATCCCTAGATAACTGCTATTGAGTTTTGAGTTAGTTTCCTCTTTATGTATCCAAACTTACACAGAAATTTTACACATATATTTATCCTGCTTTAATGAAATTCACAGCCTAGTGGGAAATAGAAACAGACAAACAAAAACCGAACAAATAGATGAATATCTGCGACTATGGAACGTCATAGTAACTACTAACCTTGTGTTCACTGTTTTTGGGTAAATGTTGCTAATAATGTTATACCCCATCTCCACAACCCAGAACAAATCAAAGATTTATGTTAATAACTATTAAAATATAATATGCTCTAAAGTATAACAATGTCTCATAATGCCACAAAATCAACCAGTTACCAATATGTTCATTTGGTTTCCCTTCAGTAGGATTTCTTATGGGAAATTGTCCCCTGTCAGTGACTGGTTTCGCTCAACTGTCATTAGGTCTTGTCACAGTAGTTTAATTACAGCAAAAATGGCTGTTATATTGATCATTTTGACAACACACACACAAAAGGTTCAGTATTCATCAGTGTGCTGGGTAAAAACCCTTGGAGCAGGGCCCTCAAGAGGATGGAAGTTACATTGCTATGATTAGTACCAAGCCCATCAGTTCTAAATGTTTTCTAATTTCTATTATGATTTTATGACCCATGAGTTAATTGGAATAGTGGAAATATGGGGCTTGCCAGTTACCTTTTGGTTATTGATTTTTAACTTACCTATATAGTGACCAGAAAATGTGGTTACTATGATATAAATCCTTAGATATGTGGAGACTTGCTTTATGACACAGTATGTTCAATTTTTGTAAATGTTTAGCATATTCTTGATAGGAGTGTGTATTCTATGGTCATTAAGGCAATATTCTACACATATATATTAGATTAAGCTTGGTAATTGTGTTACTCAACTCTTCCAGTACCTTAAAGATTTTTTTGGTCCCCTCGGTCTATGTATTAGTTTCCTGTAATCAGTTGCTTAACAAATTATCACAATAGGTGGCTTAAAAAAACCGACATGAATTCTCAGTTCTGGCATCTAGAAGTCTGAAATCTACATGTTGGCAGGGTCACAATCCCTCCAGAGGCTCAAGAGGAAAATTTGTCTCTTCCAGCTTTGGGTGCTGTCAGCATTCCTTGACTTGGGAATGCCATCACTCCAATCTCTGCTTCTGTGGTTACATTACCTTCTCTTCTCTTCTACCTCTCTTTTATAAAGACACCTATCATTGGATTGATGGCCCACCTGGATAATCCAGGATGATCTTCTCATCTCAAGAACTTTAATTACATCTGCAAACGCCGTTTTTCCAAATAAGGTCATACTCGCAAGTTCTAGGAATTAGGATATGGACATATCTTGTGGGAGGCTGTATTCAACTCACTGCAATTAGAGAGGGAGTGAAAAATCACCTACTCTGATGGTAGATTTCTTTGTCTTCTTATACTTCTGTTCATTTTCGCTTCATATATTTTGTGGCCATATAGTCGCTATGATATAAATCCTTAGATATGTAAAGACTTGCTTTATGACACAGTATGTTAGAGACACTTTTTTGACTCTATCTTCCCTGTATATTGGACTTTTTTTTTAAATGTAAAGACCCTTCTTTATCCCATCGCACTCACCCAGCCATCTACCTAGAGTCTGTTGATGATAAACCATTAGTTGTTTGAAACAGAATTTGCCTTCCTTCTGCCTCTCTTTTTGCCACACATGTAATTCTAAGGTTTTATGTTTTCCCCTTCAGCATACCACTTAATTCTCTTTTTTTTTTTGGAGACAGTCTCACTCTGTCACCCAGGCTGGAGTGCAGTTGCGCGATCTCGGCTCACTGCAGCCTTGACCTCCAGGGCTCAAGTGATCCACCTAAGCCTCCAGAGTAGCTGGGACCACAGGCACACGCCACCATGCCAGGCTAATTTTGTTTTTAGAGGCGTGGTCTTGTTATGCTGGTCTGGCTGGTCTCGAATTCCTGGGCACAAGCGGGCCTCCCATCTCTGTCTCCTCAAGTGGTTGAATTACAGGCGTGAGCCACTGCGCCCAGCTCGCATTTTTTTTTTTTTTTTGAGATGGAGTCTCGCTCTGTTGCCCAGGCTGGAGTGCAGTGGCGCGATTTCGGCTCACTGCAACCTCTGCCTCCCGGGTTCAAGCAATTCTGCCTCAGCCTCCCGAGCAGCTAGCTGGGACAACAGGCACGTGCCACCACGCCCGGCTAACTTTTTTGTATTTTTAGTAGAAACGGGGTTTCCCGTGTTAGCCAGAATAGTGTCGATTTCCTGACCTCGTGATCCGCCCGCCTCAGCCTCCCAAAGTGCTGGGATTACAGGAGTAAGCCACCGCGCCCGGCCTGAGCCGGCATTTTTAAAAGTTGGGTTGCTGGCCTTAGTGCATACAAACGTAAAGGAATTTTAAAAACACATGAGTAACTCAAACGCATTTCTTTTTTGCGCCATCCTGCTATGTGTGATTCGGTTTTTATTCTCGATTTTGTGCGTGTGTGTCGCGACGGCTGGGGACCGACCCAAGAGCAGTCGGACCACGGGCCGCCCAGGGCGGTCTCATCCGTTTATAACCTGCGACCCCGGGGCCTCTTGTGGTCCCGTACCTCCGTCCCAAGCAAAAGCCGGGGCTCTCAGGCACTCAGAGGTGCGAAGGCCCCGTAGACTTGGAGGACGCGAGGAAAACACCTCCAATCACTCTGGCCAGTCCACAGCTACTGCCAAGACTGCTCCGCGCGCGTCCTCAGGAACCGGCGAGGGCCTCGTCGTCATGGTAACCAGATTGCGAACGCGCGTGCGCAAGACACACCTTTGTCACGTGAGGCCGGGCAGGGGGCGGGGCCGGCGAATGCCCGTCCCGACCCGTCGCGCCTCCCCTGTTAGCTCCCTGCCAGCCGAGGCGGGGCGAACCTCTGCCCTGTTGCGTGGGAGTGACTCACAGCTCCCGCCCCTTTTGGCTCCGCTTTCTCGCGGCCAGTCCCTCGCACCACGTGCCCTCCTGGCCGCGCCCCCAGCTGCCCTTTCCAACTGCCTGTTGGAAGCCGCTGTAAAACGTCGTGAGGAGCGCCGCTGCTTTACGGCTGCCTCTCCCAGACTAGAGCCCCGGAGCGCCCACCGCCGTCAGCCGCGTCTTCAAGCTAGTCGGCCCCGCGGAGAGCGAGAGACCCTGCGCACCGCAGCCCTCTCCGCTGCGCCCATTCCTGCCGCCGGCGATGTAACTCGGGGAGGCAGCGGTGCCCGCTGGCCCGGGGTTGAGACAGGCGGCAGGTGCCTGTGAGGCGGGCGGGTGCCGGGGGCCAGCAGGATGGAGGAAAGCATGGAAGAGGAGGAGGGGGGCAGCTACGAGGCGATGATGGACGACCAGAACCACAACAACTGGGAGGCTGCGGTGGACGGCTTCCGGCAGCCCCTGCCACCTCCGCCGCCCCCCTCGTCGATCCCGGCCCCTGCCCGAGAGCCTCCGGGGGGGCAGCTGCTGGCGGTGCCCGCGGTCTCCGTGGACAGGAAAGGCCCCAAGGAGGGGCTCCCGATGGGGCCGCAGCCACCGCCGGAGGCTAATGGGGTGATCATGATGTTGAAGAGCTGCGACGCGGCCGCCGCCGTGGCCAAGGCGGCCCCCGCCCCCACCGCCAGCTCCACCATCAACATCAACACCTCCACCTCCAAGTTCTGTGAGTCCAGCCTTTCCCTGCAGCCTTGGCTTTTCTCCACCTCACTCGGACGCCGAATCCACCCCCTCTTGGAGAAAGCTCCGCTTCCTTTGTTTCAGGCCTCGGTCTTTCCTCTTCTCCCCGTCCGCCTTCGCCTCCCTGCCTCCTTCCCCCTCACCGTCCCCTCCCCCTCATTTGGTGTCTGCGGCCAGCGCCTGAGCGGCCCTGGCTTCTTGTATTACCTGGCCTAGAGAGGCAGCCTGGTACACACGGAGCCCCAAGTTCGGTCAGTGCGATCCCTATCACAACTGGCAGTCTCTCAACATTGGGAAGCTCTTTTCGCACCCGTCTTCTCTTGAAGTTTCACCCTCAAAGTGAGGGGAAAATAAGGCTGCCTGAGTCTCGTTAGGGAAAGGCCTTCAGTCTTCTGCAGCCAGAGAGAGAAAAGAAATCTGGCAACTTGTGTTCTTGTGTTTTTGGCCAGGCTGTGTTAAACAAGTAAGGAATTTGAAAGTTGACCTATATCTACACCTTGTTCCTTCTCTACTGTGTTACACTTTTGCATCCTGCTAGGGAAATAATGAGTTGCTTTCCGATGCAGTGGCAGCTCCGACATCGTCTTGAAGCTAATAATGCATAAAATCACTTTTCAGAGCTTACACTCATAAGAATAAGCCTTTCAGGATGGGTTATGTCTTGTGTCCAAACCCAAGATTGGGTTGCATGTTGAACTTTATGTTAGTAGTCTGTCTTAACGCTCAATTGCACGCATTAAGATTTAAGACCAAAATCTGTTTTGTAATCCGAAACTGCCTCTGACCAGGATATATGTATGCTTCCATAGCTAGGAAAAGAATGTGCTTTTACTTTGGTTTGTGTGTATGTGTGCGTGGCGGTGGTGGTGGTGATAGGATGTTGAAAATGATTGTGACCATCACAGCCAGGTTTTTCTCTCCTATTATTAACTGCAAGTTTTGAGTGGCATCTGGTAAAGCAACTGGAGAGTTCATTTCTAGCTACTAATTTTATGAAGCTGTACTTGTCCAGTTAGCTGTGCAGAGAAAATATTTGCCTTGATGCAGATAGTCGGAATCTTACACACTGTGTGTGGGAACAGCGCGTAATTTTATTTGCCCCAAGATACTGCCTTAGTCAAAGACATTGATATGTACGTTTGGTAAGATTATATACGCTTTTTCTCCTTATTCATGATAATCATGTTTATATTGTATAGTTTGTGTGTTGAAGGCTGTGTTGTGGAACCAGACCTCCTGTAGAGTGGCAGAATGACTTCACCTGAGTCACGAAGGAAGATTGCCTTAGTAAAGTTCCTTTGAAGAGTTCAAAAAAGAGCATAAAGTTAGGAACAGAAATCAGTAAAATTGAGAACAAAAGGATTTGTCACACCAAAAGATTATTTTTGTGAAAAGATGAGTAAGCTAGGCAGACAGACCTCTGATAAAAACGACAAGAAAAAAAGATGCAAATAAATGAAAAATGGAAAATAACTACAAATATCAGATTAAAAAAAGAACGTTATGAACTTAGGCTGATGAATTTGAAAGCCTAAATGAAAAATATAGTTCTTAGAAAACTAGTAAATGTGAAAATTGGTATCAGAAGAAATATCTTGAACTAATAAACTGAAATGGTAAAGATCTCCCTTTTTAGAAGCTCTGCATCCAGATACGCTGATGAGTTCCACCATACTTTAACACTTAATTCTTTTTGCAAGTTGCACTGGAAAATAGAAAAAATACCAAGTTCATTTTATGAGGCTTGTGAAATCTTGATTCTAAAACAGATAAGGACATGTAAGAAGAGAAAATTATAGGTCTGTTTTACTTAGCATAGAAATGAAAATACTGCAGAATAAATACTCGCTCATCAAATCCAACAGTGTGTTACAGAGTCCTGATCCATAGAGTTAGTCCTAGAGATGAAAGCATGGTTTAACATCTACTTATCTAATTTAGCTCTTTAATAGACTAAAGGAAAAAAATTACGATTATCTCAATTGGTGCCCTGAAATCATTCAACTAGATCCAGCAGCTATTTATGATAAAAACTCTTGGTAACCTAGGAGTACAAGATAACTAGATAAAGGTCATTACCAAAAACCTTCAGTAAATAATAATACTTAATGGAGAAATTTTAGATACATATACTTTAAGATCCGTAACAAGATAAGGATGCTCCTGTCATTACTACTGTTTAGCATTGTAGGAAGGTCCTGGCTAACATTATAAGGAGCAAAAAAATAAGGTATAAAGATTGTAAGGGAAGCAATAAAAGTTATTATTTGCAGATAATATGATCACCTACCTAGATGAACCATTAAAATCCAGAGAAAACTTAGAACTAGTAAGAGTTTAGCAGGATTGCTGGATTTAAGATAAACTTACAAAAATTTGATAGCATTTACTAAACTAGTGATAACTAGTAAAGATAATCAAAAGTAAATACTATATGTAATAATAGCAACAAAACTCTAAAGTCTCTAGGAATCAACCCGTGAATACGCAAGACCTTTAAAAAGGAAACTTTAAAACTTGAAAAAGAAACTAGAGGATAATCTAAATAAATGGTACAATTTTCCTTGCTCTTGGATCAAATTACTTACAAGAATACTAATTTTCTCCAATTTATAAATTCAGTTTAAATGACGTCAAAATTACATTTGGTTTGACAAACTCAATAGCCTAAGTCTAAAATTTATATGGTGTGTGGGATAAAGTTTGTGAATAACAGAATCAATCTTAAAGATTTGTTTGGGGATGGGAGGCTTGCCTTATTAGAAGTTAAGATGTCAAGGCTGTAGTTAAAGTGGTGTAAGTGCGAGAACAGAAAAATAGACCAAGGAAACAAATTGGAGGGCAGAGACTTACCTGGATACATGTATAAAAGTTGGGAACTTTTTAAGTGGCATCATAAACCACTGGAGAAAGGAGTCATATGTTGTTAGGGAGAGTGACTCACTATATAGAGAAAAAATAAATTTAATATCATAAATGGATAGACTCCAAATGAATTAAAGACCTAAATGTGAAAAGAAAAACCAAAGTTAACATTATTGAAAATGTTAAGCTCTTTCCCTAGGGACAGGGAAGTACTTTTTAAAGCTTCAAAAGTTTATAAAGGTGAAAAATTAATTATTTTGATTATATGAAAATTATTCATTTGGCAAAAGATGAAAAAATTAGAGAAGATATTTACAGTGCCTAAAATTAACAAGGGATGATGATCTGACTAGACAAGGGACTACTTACTATACATCAACAAGAGGGCAGCAACTTCTGTAGAAAAATAGGCAAAGGATATTAATAAGTAGCTTATAGAAAGAATAGGAAACCCTAAAAAGCATAAGAAGAGATGAATTTATTAATATTCAGAGACATGCATATTAAAATAGTAATGGAAAAGAGTATAATTGGATTGTTTGTAAAACAAAGGATAAATGCTTGAGGTGATGGTACCGCATTTTCCCTGATGGGATTATTACACACTGTATGCCTGTATCAAAATATCCCATATACCTCATAAAAATATATGCCTACTATATACCCACAAAAATTAAAGAATAAAATAGTAACGGAATGTCTTTTTCCACCTTTAGGTTGACAAAAATTAGAAAGCTGAATGAATAGTGCCAAGTGCAATGGGGATATGGTAATACAGGAAAACGTATACTTGCTTGTGGGAATAGCAGTGTAGTGAACTTGTGAGATGTTGAGATGTCCGAAGTCTCTGTGGACCAGATAGTGGAAGATAGCTGCCGCGTTAATGTATCCCTCAGCTATGGCAGTGAAGGTATACTTTAGACTGTAAGGTGAAAACAGCTTCTGTTGGTTTCTAGTTTTGGGACAGAGATAAAAAGCATTTATTATCTTGATGGATACATGGTAGGTGCCAGGGATGGTGTTGATTTGTCACAGTGAAGAGACCATGTCTGGAACAGCAACTAAAATTGGAGTCACTTTGGATTTGATCGATGATAATCCACAGTCATGCTCCAAGACTCATCTCTTTTGCTCTGGCCAAACAGACCCATGAAATAAGAATGTCATAATTATCACCATTCCTTTTTTTTTTTTGAGACAGTCTCGCTCTGTCGCCAGGCTGGAGTGCCGTGGTGCAGTCTTAGCTCACTGCAATCTCCGCCTCCCGGATTCAAGCAATTCTCCTGCCTCAGCCTCCTGAGTAGCTGGGATTACAGGTGTGCACCACCATGCCCGGCTAATTTTTGTATTTTTAGTAGAGATGTGTTTCACCATGTTGGTCAGGCTGGTCTCAAACTCCTGACCTCAGGTCATCCACCCGCCTTGGCCTCCCAAAGTGCTGGGATTACAGGCGTGAGCCACCACGCCCGGCCCTCCTTTCTTATTTTTAAAGTCTTTGACATTGATAGTGTTTTCTATAGTTCCCACAGAGATGTGTTGTTTGTTGCTTCGAGTTTATTACTTTGGTAGGAAAGGGTACATCTAGCCCTTCCTATGTTGATATTCCTGACTTCACAGGTTAGGGAACCATGAACTAGTTTCAGAACTGGGGGAGTTACAGTGTTACTACGGGTCCACCAGCCCTACTGTGAGATGGATTGAGGCCAAAACACCATTTATGTGACGTCCATAAGCCCCTGATCTGCCTGGTTTACCATAGTGACGTTCCTGTCTCTTAGGGTTCGTATTGGCTTAGAGCCAGTGTTTATTAATCTTTGAAAAGTCTCAGTGATTTCCATTTCCCAAATGTACTATCTCCCTAATAAATACCTGCATGTTCTATTGGAAAAGGCTAGGAGGAAGACTTTAATTATGTGGGGTTCTTCCTCAGTGGAACTCATCCTCTTCTTTATTCCAGCATTTCTGTGTCTGTGAATAGGCTCATTGTGGGTTTTAGGTGAGGTTACATGGCTTTCCATTATGCCACTTAGGTGAGACCTCTGTTTAATATATCTAGAGTTTTTCTTTTCTGTCCATTATAACAGATCAAGTAATACCCCAGTATATTGCCTTTGTTTTCCTAAGGATATCATGGTTAGCCACCATGAGGGAGATCCAAGCCACCAGAAATCCAAGCCACCAGAAATCCAAGCCATTCTGCTGATCACTCTGGCCCTGCTGCCTCTTTAAATAATCATGCCCATTTTATATCTGGAAGTTATTTCCACTTCGTCACTCTGGAAGTAGAACTATTCCACTGAAATCAGGGAACCTCTTTTAATGGCAGTATTGCCCATCGTTAACCCAGAATTACAAGGGACAACCACCACAGCATTTTTTTCAGTAATTATATTTAATTATTTATATATTTCTCAGTTGGTGAAGGACCTTCTCAGAGCACAGTTCAGGGAGTAAGAGTGGGTTAGAACATGACAAATTTATATTCCTTTCTTCATATGTCTGGACTCATTTCTCCACGTACTAAGTAATTTCTGTTCTGACTGCTTCCTCCCTCCTCCTGACTCTTCTTCCTTTTCCTTTCCTCTTTTTCCTGTGTCCATTTTCTTCCTCCACACCTCTTCTCCTCCATTCAATATAGTGTACCCATTTTAGGTGTGCAGTTTGATGCATTTTAACCCATGTCGCCGTCTGGTGTGGAATTTGATTTTACCCTACTAATACTTAAAAGGTAGCCTATTACTGTTACAGGTTGACTATCCCTCATCCAAAATGCTTGGGGCCAGAAGTGTTTTGGATTTCAGATTTTTTTCGGATTTTGGAATATTTGTGTTATACCAAATGATTGAGCATCCCAAATCCAAAAATTCAAAATCCAAAATTTTCCAGTGAACATTTCCTTTAAGCATCATATTGGTGCTCAAAAAGTTTCAGATTTTGGATTTTTGGATTTAGGATTCTCAACTTGTATTACTGGGTGCTGACATAAGATGGGGGACTCCTGAGTGAGAGATGAAGGAATTTATTTTTCTTGTCATAGCACACAGCATGAGAATTGCTATATTTGCATAGTTTCCCCTTCCCCCAAGTCCCAAGAGGGTGACATACTATGACCAAGATGGATGCTCTCTCAGTGGTTCTGTGTTGCAGCTGAAGAACATCAAACTTGGGGAATCCACTACTTTTATAGAAAGCAGTGAGCAAGCCTGCTCTTTGTCTAGCGGGAGATGTTATCTCGTCTTTCAAGGTTACCAGGTACAGAATGGCCCAGGTTCAAGAGTGATTGCATTCCTGGCATACTCAATAAGACATGTCGGAGTGCGTGAGGCCCACGGAGGACTGTCTGTCCAGCAGTAACCACCACAACAACCAAGAGAACATTTCTGTCACCCTGAAATACTTCCCTATGTTTCTCTGTCTCTCTCTTTTTTTTTGGAGATGGGATCTCACTCTGTCGCCCAGGCTGGAGTGCAGTGGCACGATTTCGGCTCACTGCAACCTCTGGCTCCCGGGTTCAAGTGATTCTCCCACATCAGCCTCCCGAGCAGCTGGGATTACAGGCACACACCACCACACCTAGCTAATTTTTGTGTTTTTAGTAGGGATGGGGTTTCACCATGTTGGCCAGGCTGATCTTGAATTCCTGGCCCCAAGTGATCTACCTGCCTTGGACTCCCAGAGTGCTGGGATTACAGTTGTAAACTACCATGCTCTGCCTTCCCTGTGTCTCTTTGCAGTCAGTTAACGCTGCCTGCTTCCTCCAGCCCCAAGCATTCCTACTGATCTGCCTTCTGTCACTGTAGGATTTCATATAAATGAAATCATACAATGTGTATTGTTTTGTGCTTGGCTTGTTTCTTATTCTGTTCTTGAGATTCTTCCACGTTCTCGCATATGTCAGTTACTTATTCATTTTTCTGACTGAGGAGTAGTAGTTTTTTTTTTTTTTGGATATCCCAAAGTAGTCTTTTTTTTTTTTTTTTGATTTACCAAAAAATCATTAATTTGTTGGTCATTAGGTTGATCATTTAGGTGGTCTCTGGTTTTGGCTGTCATGAACACAACTGCTGTAAACAACCATGTACAAGGTTTGGTGTGGGTAAAGGTTTCATACAAGTGGAATTCCTTGCTTATATATTACTGATACGTTTAACTTTATGAGAAACTGCCAAACAATTCTTTAGGGTGGTTGCACCATTTTACACTCCCATCAGCTGTATATGACAGCTCCAGTTGCTCCACTTACTTAATTGGCACTTGTACTGGTTAGGCTCTGCATTCTTGGTATTGTCAGTCTTTTAAAGTTTAGCCTTTCTAGAGCATCGGTCCCCACCAGGGACCAGTTGCGTGGAAGAGACAATTTTTCTGTGGACTGGGGGATGGTTTTGGGATGAAATTGTTCCACCTCGGATCATCAGGTCTTAGAGTCTGGTAAGGAGTGCGCAACCTAGATCCCTTGCGTTATAGGGTTGGCGCTCCTTTGAGAATCTAATTCCTGCGCTGATCTGACAGGAGGTGGGGCTCAGGTGGTAATGCTCGCCGGCCCACAGCTCACCTCCTGATGTGTGGCCTGGTTCCTTACAGGCCACCGACCGGTTCCTGTGGCCTGGGGTTGGGGACCCCTGTTCTAGAGAATCGTAGTATCTCTTTGTGTATTTATTTTGCATTTCTCTTTTACATGTGCCGTTGGCTTTTTCATGTGATCATTTGCTTGCCTTATAATTTTGTTTGTGATAATCTGCTCACATCTTTTGCTCATTTCTTTTGTTGTTTGTCTTAATGTGTTTAAAGAATTCGCTATAAATTTTGGATACAAGTTTTGTCAGACAACTATTATTACTGTTTTCTCCCTCTGGTTTGTCTTTTTTTTCTTAACGGTGTCTTCTGAAGAGTACATGTTTTTCAGTTTTGATAATGTCTAAACTGTCAATTTTTTCTTCTAGCTGTTGTTTTTTGTATCCTAAGAAATATTTGCCTACCCCAAAGTCAAGATTTTATCTGTAATTTTTCTTAGCAGTTTTATGGTTTTAGCTTTTACGTTTAGGTCTGTGATCTGAATTATGAGTTGATGTCTGTATAGTGTGAGATAAGGATTGAGGCTCCGTTTATTCTATATGGATATCCAATTGTGTTGGCACTATTTGTTGAAAAGACTATCCTTTTCTTACTGGGTTACTTTGGAAACTTTGTCAGAAATAACTGACCATGTATGTGTGGGCGTCAGTTCTATTTCATTAATCTTATTTAGTCCATCAGATTTAGGATTGTTGCATATCTTCTTGATGAATTGACTGTTTATCATGATGGAATGTCTGACTTTATCCTTGTTAATATTCCTTACCCTAAAGACTCCTTTTTTTTTTTTTTTGAGACAGTGTCTCGCTCTGTTGCCCAGGCTGGAGTGCAGTGGTGCGATCTCAGCTCACTGCAAGCTCTGCCTCCTGGGTTCACGCCATTCTCCTGCCTCAGCCTCCTGAGTAGCTGGGACTACAGGCGCCAGCCACCACGCCCAGCTAATTTTTTTTTTTTTTGTATTTTTTTTTTTAGTAGAGATGGGGTTTCACCGTATTAGCCAGGATGGTCTCGATCTCCTGACCTTGCGATCCACCCACCTCGGCTTCCCAAAGTGCTGGGATTACAGGCATGAGCCACCATTCCCAGCCAAGACTACTTTTACTTGTAGGCATTCCAGGTTTTTTTTTAAGGGTTATTGTTTGCATAATGTATCTTTTACCATCATTTTACTTTTAATTTATTTTTTGTGTAAAGTACATTTCTTGTAGACAACATATGGTTGGATCTTTTTTAAAATCCAGTCTGACAACCTCTGCTACCATTGTGTTTAATGTAGTTACCAATATGGTAGGGTTTAAATCATATTGTCTTGCACTTTTGTTTACTCTTTGTCCATCTGTTATTTAAAAAATGTTCCTTTTTTCCTGTCTCCATTTTTTTTTTTGAGACGGAGTCTCACTCTGTCGCCCAGGCTGGAGTGCAGTGGCACGATCTCGGCTCACTGCAACCTCTACCTCCCAGGTTCAAGCGATTCCCTTTCTCAGCCTCCCGAGTAGCTGGGATTACAGTCATGTGCCACCACACCCAGCTAATTTTTGTATTTTTAGTAGAGGTGAGGTTTCGCCGTGTTGGCCAGGCTGGTCTTGAACTCCTGACCTCAGGTGATCCACCTACCTACCTCGGCCTCCCAAAGTGCTAGGATTACAGTCATGAGCCACTGGGCCCAACCCTTTTCCTGTCTTCTTTTTTGTTATTTTTATGATTCAGTTTTGTCTCCAGTTTGGCTTATTAGCATGGTTGTTTTGCTCTTTGGGGGTTACTCTAGGATTTATGATTATGAAAGTTTAACTTACAACAGTCTACCTTCAAATAGTATTAGACTACTTTACTTATAATGTAAAAATCTAATAGCAGTATACTTCCATTTATCCACTATTGTCCTTTATGCTATTGTTGTACATTTTAACTTTAATATATGTCATAATTCCCCAAATACACTGTCATTAATTTTGCTCAAAACTGTCACGTATCTTTTTTTAAAAGTTGGAATGAGCCGGGCGCGGTGGCTCATGCCTGTAATCCCAGCACTTTGGGAGGCTGAGGTGGGTGAATCACAAGGTCAGGAGTTTGAGACCAGCCTGGCCAACGTGGTGAAACCCCGTCCATACTAAAAATACAAAAATTAGCCAGGTGTAGTGGTGTGCGCCTATAATCCCAGCTACTCAGGAGGCTGAGGCAGGAGAATTGCTTGAACCCAGGAGGTGGTGGTTGCAGTGAGCTGAGACCGCATCATTGCACTCCAAGCTGGGCGACATGACGAGAATCTGTTCCTGCCCCGGCCCCCCAAAAAAACTTGGAATGAAATTTATGTAACACACAATTAACTATTTTAAAGTGAATAATTCAGTGACATTGAGTACATGCCCAGTGTTGTGCAACTACCTCTATCTAGTTCCAAAACATTTTCATCAACCCAAAATAACATTCCATACCCATTAAGCAATTAGTTCCGTTTCCTCACTTCTCCCTGCCCCTGGCATCCACCAATTTGCTTTCTGTCTCTCTGGGTTTACCTATTCCAGATCTTTGTTTTTTTTGTTTGTTTTTGTTTTTGTTTTGAGACGGAGTTTTGCTCTTGTTGCCCAGGCTGGAGTGCAATGGCGCGATCTCAGCTCACCACAACCTCCACCTCCCGGGCTCAAGCGATGCTCCTGCCCCAGCCTCCTGAGTGGCTGGGACTACAAGCATGCGCCACCATGCCCGGCTAACTTCGTATTTTTAGTAGAGACGGGGTTTCTGCCATGTTGGCCAGGGTGGTCTCAAACTCCTGACCTCAGGTGATCCACCCTCCTCGGCCTCCCAAAGTGCTAGGATTACAGGCGTGAGCCACCGCATCCGGCCTCCAGATCTTTCATATGAATGGAATCATACTGAGATTTCTTTGAAATAATAATAAACTGGAATGTAAGTGTTTTGTATTTACCCAGATAGTTATCATTTCTGTCCCTCTTCTTTCCTTTGTGTAGATGGAAGTTTCCACCTCTTATTTTTCTTCCCTCTTTAGAACTTCCTTTAATATTTCTTATAATGTAGTTCTGTTGGCCTTCAATTTGTTCAGCTTTTGTCTGCAGAGATCTTTATTTTATCTTCATTTTCTAAGGATATTTGCTGGATATAGAATTCTAGATATACAGCCTTTTTTTTTCTTCTATAAATACTTTAAAGAGTCTTTCCATTGTCTTCTGACCTGCATTGTTTCTTTTTTCCTTTTTTTGGGGACGGAGTTTCCGTCTTGTTGCCCAGGCTGGAGTGCAGTGGCGCGATCTCAGCTCACTGCAACCTCCACCTCCCGGGTTCAAGTGATTCTCCTGCCTCAGCCTCCTGAATAGCTAGGACTACAGGCAAACGCCACCATGGCCGGCTAATTTTTGTATTTTTAGTAGCGACAGGGTTTC
The DNA here is from genome assembly GCF_000001405.40 of Homo sapiens. Taxonomy (NCBI): domain Eukaryota; kingdom Metazoa; phylum Chordata; class Mammalia; order Primates; family Hominidae; genus Homo; species Homo sapiens. The sequence goes on along the minus strand of NC_000010.11, from coordinate 118,743,549 downwards.
ACCATGTTGGCCAGGCTGGTCTCGAACTCCTGACCTTAGGTGAGCCACTGCACCCGGCCTTATTGTTTCTTTAATAAATGTGTGTATAGTCTTATCTTTGTTTCTCTATATATAATATGCCCCTTTTTTTCCTGGGTACTTTTAAAATTTTTACTTAAGTTTTCCGCAATTTTTTATGTTCTTTTTTAGTGTTTATTTTTTGGATTTGTGGGGTTTTAGAATTTGTCAAATTTGGAAAATTATTCATTATTTTTTGTCAGAACCCCCCTGCCACTAGTTACACATATGTTATAACACTTGTTATTGTACCATGAGTCACTGAGGTTCTGTTCATTTTTTTAAAGATTTTTTTTTTCTTTTTTACTCTCTGTGCTTTAGTTTGGGTAAGTTTTAATGCTATGTCTTCATGCTCACTAATGTTTTCTTTTTTAGTATCTAATCTGCTGTTAATCCTGCTCTTAAATCAGTGAGAGTTCCAACTGTTTTTAATGCAGGCTGACAGTCCAGGTTTCAGTTAACCAAGCAAACTGTTAGAACTGTATCCAGTTTCTTGAAGTAGTATAGTGAATAAAGAATCTTTAGTAAGTGCATTCCTTTTAATGACTTGTTGCGTCTAAAGTTCTTTCTTCATTGTTCAGCACCCTCACAATCCATTCCCACATGTATTCCCAAGTTTCTGCCAGTATAATGTATTAAAGTCTTATAGTTCTTTTGGAATGTAAGCTGTCTCCTATTTATTTAGGTTTGGTACTTGTTCCCTTGGGAAATCTGATTCTAGTTAGAGATCTAGAGACTCTAACTAGAGTTCTGCTTAGAGAGAATCTTTTTTGTGAGGTTTCAGGTAATATCATGGCAGGGTCTTTAATCAAGTAAAGTTAGTCTCATGTTGGGAGGGGGGTGTGTAAGCAGGGTTTCGTGAGGTCAGGGTTTTCAGATTGATCATACTCCACCAAACTGGCCCCATTTCTGCTGGGATTACAGGAGTGAGCCTCTGTTCCCGGCCGAACTTCAGGATCTTATTGGGGATCTTGTCTTGCTATTTTTTGACCTGCATCATATAAAATGTTGTTGATGAAACTGTAAGAGAAAGGCATTTTAATGTTTACTTAAGGCCCAGTCCCAAATCTCTAAAGAAAATGAATACTGTTTATTTACTGTAAACTCTGTAAACCGTAGACCATATGTATTCACATTGTAAACTGTTAAGCACTATATAAAGGTTGATTGTTAATATCCTTTTATGGTATGTCTTGACAGGGCAAGCTGGCTTTCCATTTTTTCTTCCTGCTTTTGTGGACATTCGGTTATTAACCTCTAAAGATAAAGTTGGATAGATGTGTAATATGTAGTTGCAGGTATGCTGATTCATCATCTGAATGGCATTTTATTAAGTGTTTATTGTGTGCCAAAGTAATATTTTAGCCTCTGGTAATGAAGAGACACAGTTGAATGTGGGAGGTGATAGAAAGGTAATTATGATACATTATGATTAAATGCTATAATAAAGCTATGTATTTGGTAGCATTCAGGAAAGAGAGTCTTTATAAAAATGAATAGAAGTTGGCCAGGAGGATAGGGGGTGGGGATGGGGAAGCTGGACTGGAAGAGACTTCCTTGCAGAGGGGCAGCCTGTGCCAAAGACCCAGAATTGAAATTATTTTTGGAATACAGAGTAGGAGGAGAGACTGGCTCATGTTAAACATGGATAGATAGAAAGGGCTAGATAGTGAAGGACCATGTTAGTGGAAGGATTTTCTTCTGTAGTAATGGGAGGTTTTAAGGGAGACATTTGTCTTAGTGTGTTAATTTAGAGCGGATAGAGAGTGGAGGTCTAGGGGCTAGTTAGGGTGTTACAATTTCTGTAATCTAGACAAGAGATGGAGATTGAACAAATACAATTTTAAAAGATAAGAGGTTTCAATTTGGAGATATTTAGGGACTAGAATCTACAAAATTTTGGGGGTGAGGAAAGGAAGATGAAGATTAAAGATTGCTGGTTTGGATGACGGGTAGCTGTCAGTGCCTTTGACCCAGACGTGGAAGGTATAAAGGTGTGAAGTGAGGGGGTGTGTGTGTGTGTGTGTCTGTCTGTCTCTTTTAAGGTGTCTATGGAACAGTCAGGTAGAGAGGTCCAGAAGCAGTTGGTAAATTCTGCATTTTCTCATTTCCTGTGCCTTAGAATATTGGAGATATTCTGAAGCAAAATTTTACCCTGAAACAAAAATTTAATTTCAATAGATTTGCTTTTCCATTTCCGAGGATTTGAGATTCGCCAAACTCTTCGTACTTAAAAAACAAAAACAGTACTTTGCTCTTATTAAAGTAATACAGGTTTATAATTTTAAAACTCAAATTATGCAAAAAGACACATAAAATCAGTGGTTCCTTTCCCTACCCCTTCCCATTCCTGGACCCGTTACTCAAAGTCAGTCATTTAATTACGATTCATTTAGCTGTTTCTTCTGGTATTAGCCACACATTTCAATGTGGTGATATTGTTACTGCTTAATTTATCATTTTTATATTACCTGTTGACTTCCAGGATTTAATTCTCTTATACCTCTAACATACCTTACCTTTCTAATTTTTTTACTATCACAGTTTTGTTTGTTTTTTTTTTTTTTGAGATGGAATCTCACACTGTCGCCCAGGCTGGAGTGCGGTGGCGCGATCTTGGCTCACTGCAAGCTCCGTCTCCCGGGTTCACGCTATTCTCCTGCCTCAGCCTCCTGAGTAGCTAGGACTACAGGCGCCTGCCACCACGCCCGGCTAATTTTTTGTATTTTTAGTAGAGACGGGGTTTCACCGTGTTAGCCAGGATGGTCTCGATCTCCTGACCTCATGATCTGCCCGCCTCAGCCTCCTAAAGTGCTGGGATTACAGGCGTGAGCTGCCGTGCCTGGCCACTATCACAGTTTTAAAAAAATTTTTATTTATTTTGAGACAGAGACTCACTCTGTCTCCCAGGCTGGAGTGCAGTGGCGTGATCTCGGCTCACTGTAGTCTCTGCCTCCTGGGTTCAAGAAATTCTTGTACCTCAGCTTCCTGAGTAGCTGGGATTACAGTCATGTGCCACCATGCCTGGCTAATTTTTGTATTTTTAGTAGAGATGGGGTTTTGCCATGTTGACCAGGCTGGTCTTGAACTCCTGGCCTCAAGCCATCTGCCTGAGTTGGCCTCCCAAAGTGCTGGGATTACAGGTGTGAGCCACTGCAAACGGCCACAATTTGTGGTTTTAATCAGTAAGCCATATTTACATTATAGCTATGTAAATATTCACGGAAGGGCCTAAAGTGTACTGAGATTACATTTTATTTTACATAGAATGTTGTTGTTAGTTGCCTTGTTTGTATTGGCAGAATTTTTGTTGAACTTACTCTTTTTGTTTGTTTGTTTGTTTTCTGAGACAGAGTCCCGCTCTGTCGCCCAGGCTGGAGTGCAGTGGTGTGATCTCAGATCACTACAACCTCCGCCTCCCAAGTTCAAGCGATCCTCCCACCTCAGTCTCCTGAGTAGCTGGGATTATAGGCGCATGCCACCACACCCAGCTAATTTTTTTGTACTTTTAGTAGAGACGGGGTTTCACCATGTTGGCCAGGCTGGTCTCTAACTCCTGACCTCAGGTGATCCATCTGCCTGGGCTTCCCAAAGCGCTGGGATTATAGGCATGAGCCACCGCACCCAGCCAAACATACTCTTAAAACTTTTCAACAGCTTTGTTAGATTCGCCATGTACCTGTCACTGGTGTTTTTGAAATGCTCAAACAAATCAGCTTTTGTTTTTGTCTGTGAAGCTGTTAGTCCTCTTGTTTCTGTTTATTGCTTAGGGCCAGTGCATAGTTGCCACTCAGGGACTTCCCAGATACTTGGAATGATTGCTTGTCTTCCTTTTTATTGATGAATTTCTGAGTATGTATATAGAGCATATCTTCTAGTCATTTCCTGAGAGTGTGTGGATAAAGTTTCAGGTCTTGGCATATCTAAAAATGCTGCTTTCACACTTGATTGATAGTTTGGGTATAGAATTCTTAACGGAAAATAACTTTTCCTTGGCATTTTAAAAGTATTGCTTCATTAACTTTAAGCACGCATATTAAAATGGAGAAGTCAGGTGCCATTCGTTTTTTCCCCTTGAGAAAATTTCTTAGTTCTTTTTTTTATATTAATGTGTTAATATTTCTCTCCCTTTACATTTTCTCTGTTCTGTTTTCTCTGGAATTATTGGTAGTCAAATGTTGAATTTCTGTTTTGATCTTCTAAGTCTGTTAACTGCATTTTGCTACATCCCCTTTCTCATCAAGCTCTGGGAGATTTCCTTGATGTTGTATTTTTAACACTGACCTTTTTTTTTTTTTGAGACGGAGGAGTCTCTGTCACCCAGGCTGGAGTGCAGTGGCATGATCTCGGCTCACTGCAAGCTCCACCTCCCGGGTTCACACCATTCTCTTGCCTCAGCCTCCCGAGTAGCTGGGAATACAGGTGCCCGCCACCATGCCCAGCTATTTTTTTTGTATTTTTAGTACAGACCAGGTTTCACCGTGTTAGCCAGGAGACTCTATCTCCTGACCTCGTGATCCGCCTGCCTTGGCCTCCAAAAGTGCTGGGATTACAGGCGTGAACCACAGCGCCCAGGCTTTTTTTTTTTTTTTTTTTTTTTAAGAGCACTTGGATTACTTCTTTTTTATGACACTGTTTTTAATTTTTATCTTACCTTTCTGAAGATAGTAATTATAGTTTTTAAACAAGTTCTATTCTCTGGATTATCTTTGTTTTTAGCTTTTCAAATTTGTTTTGATCTCTCTTGTCTGAGACTTTCTACAAATCTTTGGTGATTCTTAGTTGTCTATCCATATTTAAAAGTGAAAAAAGATAATTGCTAGCTCTGTGTTTATAATGGGCCTTGTCATATTTAAGTATTGGGCTTCATGTTAGGTTGATTGAATGCAGAGCTGCTATTTTGTTGAGGAACTGCCAGATATTAGTATGTGAATGTCTTTTCTCTGGGACTGTTTAGTTTCTCTAGAGAAGGATCTTCCATTCTGAGAGAATGGCAGAATGGATAGGTGGGGGTGGGGGTAGGGGTGGGGAATAAAGCATATTTTTCCTGGCGCGTAGCATTCTGGAATGAAAGGAGTGGGTCTAGATGTTTGAGCATTTCTTACGCTGACTTCTGCTTAATCTGCCAGTTCTGTGCTTCTCACTCCCTCACAGTCCTGCCCTGAATGTTTCTAGGTCTCAGAGTTCTAAGCCTTTGTCTCTCAGTTTCTCCACAGAATAATCCTTCTCGGTTCTTTTTACCGTTGAGTCTGCAGACTTTTCTATTGCATCTTCCACCCATTTCCAAAAATGCCTGTTCATAGTATTATGTCCTCAAGTCCTGATCTTCTCAGGGGCCTACAGGGCAAGGTTTGTTTACCCACCATTGGTATCCACCTCAGCACCTGCTTCAAGCTACTGCTTCAAGGTTCAGACTCTACTGGGCTTAATGCCAAGGAGAGATTGACTTATTTAAATCTTGGAAGACACCATGAAATTTTAAAACTGTCATAGACCTGCAGTTAGCATAGTTTACACCTATGTAATCTCAGTTGAGCAGATACTTTTCTGTTTTGAATTTTGAGTACTTTGAATTTTATGAGATTTTGGATTAGGTGGAGTTGGAGCTAAAATGGATGTCTTGATAGCTCTTGAACTTTTCGTGTATGCATGTATGTCATAACATGTCCATTTTAGGAACTGTGTCACAGGCTCCTATGTGATGTTGTAATGGTAGAACAGTGTTGTATAGTAACTATTCTAAAGGAACATAGATCTCAATCTGCTGGTAGGCCACTACAGCTAGGTTTTTTTTTTTTTTTTTAAGATAGTAGTGATGAAGGAGGTTTCTACTATTTTATTACATTTCCTCTAATTGAAAAATGTGTAGATTTCTAAGCAGTAAAACAGTAACTGTGTGTTTGCTCTACAAGTTTTACAGTGTTTTGGGGGACGAGGCACTTCATTTGAAGCAAGGCAAAGGAGGTTTTATACGGCTGGTATGTTATAAGGCTTATCTGGACCAAAATGTTGTCTTGTTATGGGGTAGGGAGCATAGAACCCTTAAAGAGTGTGTTAATGAGAACTTAGATAAAATAAAAATAAGACATCAGTGTCATCTGGTTGTTGTCATCTGAATGTAATGAATATACTGAGGAATGACTAACTCATGATCACAGTAGACATTTTAAATTGTCCATAGTGTTTAAATTGAATTATGCAAACCATAAACCCTAAAATTTAGAAACTTCCCAAACAAATACCTAAAGCACACAACTTTTAAGAGGCTTTAACCTACTTTAGAAATAATTGCTGCCCTCTTGTACTGGCAAATCAAAATATACCTGAGTAGATGATACAGGTTTTTTTTTTTTTTTTTCCCTCCTAATAAGGAACAGATATGTTAAAGTACTGTCATGCTTTGCTTAACAACAGGGATACATTCTGAGAATTCTGAGAATTGTTTTGTTAGGCGATTTTGTACACTGTGGGAACATCATAGGGTATACTTACACAAACCTAGGTGGTATAAGCCCACTACACACTTAAGCTATATAAGATATAGCCTATTGCTTTTAGGCTACAAACCTGTATGATATGTACAACATGCTACTGTACTGAATACTGTATGCAACTGTAACATAATGGTATTTGTGTATTTAAACATAGAAAAGGTACAGTAAAAGCATGGTATAAAAGATAAAAAAAATGGTATGCGTGTATAGGGCACCTATCATGATTGGAACTTCCAAGACTGGAAGTTGTGTGGGTGAGTGGCATGAGTGAAAGTGAAGGCCTTTCTGTATATTGCTCTAGACTTTAAAAACATTGTACACTTAGGTTTTACTAAATTTATTTAAAAATTGCTTCTGGCCAGATGCTGTGGCTCACGTGTGTAATCCCAGCACTTCGGGAGGCCAAGACAGGCAGATCACTTGAGCCCAGGAGTTTTAAGACCAGCCTGGGGAACATGGCAAAACCTCATCTGTAGTCCCAGCTACTCTGGAGGTTGAGTTGGGAGGATCACTTGAGCCCCAGAGGGAGAGGTTGCAGTGAGCTGAGATTGCACCACTGTACTCCAGCCTGGGTGACAGAGTGAGAGACCCTGTCTCAAAAAAAAAAAATTATAAATAATAAATCAACCTTAGCTTCCTGTAACTTTTTTACTTTATAAACTTTTTAAGTTTTAAAAAACTTTTCGGCTTCTCTGTAATAACTCTTAGCTTAAAACATAAACACAGTACAACTATACAAAAATATTTTCTTATCCTGATAAAATTTTTTCTGTTTAAAAAAATTTCTGTATGGCTTTTACTTCTTATACTTTCTATGACCATTCCTCTTCTTTATCTACAAGGGCTTCCCTTCCATTCCTCAGGTTATGTTCTTGGCCTTCAGCTGCTCTGAGTCCAACACTTGGAAGAGTTCAGTCGTCCCCCTGTGCTGGAGGGAGCAGAACATTTTGCTGGAACATTCAGGCAGATTTATTAGATTGTTATTCACAGATGAGCATACTCTAGTGACAAAAAGTCATCATTTTTCTTTTAGATAGCATACATTAACTAGCTCGAGTTAAACAGGTAACAAAGGGCTCTTTTCTCCTTGTCTGTTCTGATTATCTAGTTGCAATTAATTAAAAAGTCATTCATAATTTAGCCTTTTAAATTTGGCTTAATTATTTATTTTATAATTGCCATTACTACATTCTTAAAGAGTCTATTCTAAATGAAGGTGGCTTTTTTGGTGGGAAGAAGGGATATGGAAGAGAAGAATTTTAGTGAATCTTTGGTAGGAAGACAGTTCCTAGCTACCTTTTTAACATTTTGTTTGATATATTCACACCTTTATTTGACTCTCCAAGGTGTTGAGAACAGACAAGCCATATATTAGCAATTGAGGAAAGAGGAACACCTAAGTGAACCCTGGCTGTCCAGGGCTGCTGAAGCATTAGAGTGGTTTTCAAACTTTAACAGGCGTAAGAATTATCTGGAGGGCTTGTTAAACAGCTTCCTGGGTTCCACCCACCCCTAGAATTTCTGATTCAGCAGGTCTGTGTTGGGGCCTGACAGTTTGCATTTGCAACAAGTTTCCAGGTGATGCTGCTGCTGCTGCTCTGGATCTCACACTTTTGAGGCACTGATAGAAAGTAATGATCAGTCTCTGCAGTAGACCAAGTATGAATTCATAATGCTTACTATAATTCCTGAATTTATTCTTCCCTTATAAACAAAAAAACCCTTAAAAGGATTATATAGTAGGGCTAACCTGGTTTGCTTTAGCCTATGTGAAATCAAATGTAATTTAAGCTTTAATTGCAAAACAGCTAATAAGTAGTATATCTTTCACTGTTTTTCTGTTCAGCATTTATTTTGACTCACGAAGTTAATTCGCTTTACAGATGTTACTGGGTACCTACCATGTGTCATATACTGTTTAGAGTTGGGGCTCTAGCAGTGAATTCCTTCTCCATGGGGCTTAACGTCTAGTTTGAGGGAGATTGACAATAAACAAATAATATGTCAAGTTATTTGGATTAAAAAAGTGTGAGAGTTGAACATATTTATTCTTGCCTGGTATGAATTATAGACCTCTAATGGTTTCCTGTTTATCAGCAACCTGATAATATTTCCTGAATGAAGATTCCAGCTATTCCATGTGTTTCAGACTTTGTTTCATTTTATCTTAGTAAAGGTCAGTTAAACTACTTTCTCAGTGGGATTTAGACTGTGTGAGCTTATTATCTTAAAAATATGTGTTTCTAGGTTTAAGCCTTGCGGCATGATGTTTTTACATTTTTTTAGTAAGTGTTTTAAAATTTCTTGAACCTCTGTGCCTCTAGAGGGCAACACACATTCTGCTGTTCAATAAAGCCCTCACCACTTTTCTTATTCTTGCACCAGGCCTGCTTTACTTATGTATGTTATTAGCGTGGCTCCTGTAGGTATTTGTGCCTGTAGTGCCTTCTTTAAATAGCATAAAAAGTAGTTCATTATTTTCAAGCTGAAAATCTAACCTAGATGAAGTTTAGTAATTTAATGGTAACTTACTTTTGTTTAGGTTTCATACTTTAATTTTGGCTCTTACTTGCTGATATTGCTCATTACATACAGAAAAGGAATTTAGTTAATTATCTAAAAAGTAAAATTCAAGGAATTCTTTACCTCATTGGAAGTCTGTATATACTCTTTAGCCACGTATAATATACATTGAAAAGACTGGCACAGTACACTGGCACAGCCGCAATATACTGGTGGTGAAATTATGAGTGATTTTTATTTCCTCCTTTTGCTTATGTATTTTCTAATGCAGGCTTCATACTGAACTGTAGAAATCAAGAAATAAAAAGTTGAAAAGTATTGTCTAAATAGGCAGCCTTGCAGATCTCCTAAGATCCTGTCATGCTGCTCTGATCTTAGCATTCTCATTTTAAAGTAGTAAATCAGCTATCTTCTACACATAGCATGAATTTTGGCTACTCTTTTGTGTTTTGTTTTGTTTTTGAGACAGTCTTGCTTTGTTGTCCAGACTGGAGTACAGGGTTATGAACATGGCTCACTGCAACCTTGACCTTTGGGCTTGAAAGATCCTCCTGCCTCAGCCTCCCGAGTAGCTGAGACCACAGGTGTGCATCACCACGCTCGGCTAATTTTTTTTTTTAAGTTTTTGTAGAGGTAAGGTCTTACCATGTTTCCCAGTGTAGTCTTGAACTTCTGGGCTCAGGCGGTGCTCTCGCCTCGGTCTCCCAAAGTGCTGGGATTACAGGCATGAGCCAGTGCGCCTGGCCTACTTTTTCTTTTGGTGAGTGTAAGCTTTTCTATGGGCAAAGTTGAAAGTGATTACATATCTCTTAACAAGAGGATCTAGTTTTTAAGTTCAAGATTACACACACACTCTGAGGCTATATGTGTCAGATGTTAAACTGAACAAATAGCTAGGAGTTTTTGTTTTTTAAACCAAGGATTGCGTTGAGATAAGCAAGTAAATAACAAATATCTTGAAGTTTCCTGGATTGTCATTTTAAGTGTTGACTGCAGATGGTTATGAAGAACCTTCCTGGGAAGAAAGTTATGTTAGCTAGCATATAAGGTTACTGAATTGGCTTTCTATTTACTATTCAGGTAACATAGATGTATATTGTATATAATAAATAATACGTGTGGAAATAGAAACTGCTTTTTTTTTTGTGTGTGGAAATAGGGTTTAAGATTCTCTACTGTGACACATGCCTTTTTCAATTTGGTTTTTAAGTCTCTTTTCAAAGATATTTAAAAGCATCAGCAGTCACTGTTTCTGTAGTGAGTCCCCATTCTGTACTTAGAACTGCAGGACTTTACATTTTGGTTTCTTTTTCCTCTTCTTCATATCTTTGACTTGGTGATTTGCTAAAGTGCGAAGCCTGTGCTTGAGAAGTAGGAGTGCTCCCAGCTGGAGCCATAGCATGTGGTTTATTGAACTAAGCATTTTAGGAGCCCAGAAGATAGGTATGTTAATTACTGGTGTTACTACTTGCAGTTTTCTTTTTGAGCGTGTTATCTAACCTTCAACTCTCAACTTTCGGTGTAGAGAGGTATTTCATGTGGTTTAGGTGGTACACTGATAAGGGATTCTGTAACTCAGAATCACACAGTGAGAATGTAATTTCTTTTTCAGTTTTCTTTGAATCCTAAGGATTACATAAATACAAAGGTCATATTCTAGAGCCTAGTGTGTAACACTTTTCAGTATCAAGAGCAAGACGGTGACCCTGGGAAGCAGCTCTAGGGGGATTGGGGAAGTGAGGCAGGGAAGGTAAGGAAGCCAGTAAGGTAAAGTCACCACTGTAGGCAGCTGGAGCTTAGTACCAGTGGGGAGCTCTGGGAGTCAGTATAGCACAGGGGCCTTAGAGTCGCCTCACCCAAAAGGAGAGGGAGCTACTGGTGGTAATGACACTGAATCCTCAGTAGTCATTGGTTGAAGGCTGCTTTGGGGTTAATTCTCCCACAATTTCTTACCTGCTCCTCCCGCAAGCAGAGCAAGCTCTGGCAGCTGGACAGAACATTGAGAGAAGTAGTCGTAGGGTGTGGATGGGGTAAATGGGTGGGGCACCAACAGTATCTGCTATGCCCGCTGGACAGCTAAGCTTTTCGTGCAGTCTTCCTCATTTTAGTAAACGACAACCCCATCCTTCGGTGCTGAAGCCAAAAACTTTGGAGCCACTCGACCTTTCTTTCACATCTCACATCTAATCTATCAGCAAATCTTGTTGACTCTGTTTTTAAAATATCTTCAAAATCTGATCTCTCCTTATTGTCCTCAGTGCCACCATCTGGCCCAACCCCATATCAGCTCACAGCCTCCAAACTTAGTTTACCCTCAGCACAGCTGCTGGAATGATCCATATAAAACCTAAGCCAGATCATGTCACTCCTCTGCTCAAAACCCTCCAGAGAGGCTTCCACCTTAGAGTAAAAGTCAAAGTCTTTACAATGGCCCATAAGGACCTACATGTCTGGCCTCTTCCTACTGTTATGTTTGCGCACGTGCATGTACGGTTCTTTTTGTCTTTAGCTTTACATTAGTCAAAACACTCCTTTATTCCCCATTCCATTCAGTGTGGGTTATGTGATTCATTTGTAATTCGGTTCATTTTTTGTGTTTTGCATTTCATCTTTACCACTACAGCCTTGTTGATTTTTTAAATTTACATAGTAATTTGATGTACAGTTCTTTTGGTCTTGACAAATGCGTGAAGTGGTGTATCCCCCACCATAGTTTCATGCAAAACAGTTAATTGCCATAAAAATTCCTCCATGCTACTGCTTTATAGATAATCCTTCTCCCCACCTTCCAGCCCCTGTCGACCACTGATCTGTTTTCCTCCCTATAGTTTTGCCTTTATTAGTATCATGTAAATGGGACTCTTAGAATATGTAGCCCTTTGGGTCTGGCTTCTTTCACTTAGCAAAATGGATTTAAGATTATGCCATGTTGTTTTGTGAACATTCCTCAGTAGTTCATTCCTCAGATGTCCTGTAAAATAAAATTAAATAACAGAAGTGGATTGATTTAAAGAAAGTATTGAACAAAAATGATATAGATGGTACATAGAAAAAAATCTTGAACCTGGATGACTAAGGTGTGGAAATCGATAATGTGATAAAAAGATACTGGGAAGGCTTTGCTTTACCTGGTATCTCTGACAGTAATGAGCCTTGAGTTCTTGAGGAAGTCACTTAACCACTCTGCTTCCTAGTCTGGTAAAATAAACAGTGAAATACCTGGTCTCGTTGTTGTTACTCCTGAGGTAACTGTGATTCATGACACAGAATATAGGCAGGTTCTTCTGGTAGCTCTTTTTTTAATATTAACATTTCAGTGCCGTGAAGCAACTGTTACCTGGATTTCAAAGCTGTTAGGATCCACTGTACAAATGCTTTGTGGAAACCTGTAGTGTGGGAGTAAGAGCCTGTCTGTAGGAATGAAGTAAGCCTCAGCGCAGGGTCCCAGTTCACTGACTTCTTTTCTGTTGGGCTTATCCAGTTTAAGATAGTAGCAGCCTGAGTTGGAGCTGTAGTAATGATGAAGAGGTGCTGGTGTTGTTGTAAATCTCGGCAAGTTTTACAGCAACCTCTTTGTGATTGCAGCATTTGGACCTTAATCCTCATAGTCCTGTCCTTAGGCACATTTCCTCGAGGATGTCTACAAAGATTGATTGTTGGTGTTCACGATTTCTCCAAATTTTCCTGTGGTTCATTGATAGGCCATTTTGTCACATAATTGGCAGTGTGTATTTGAGGGTCAGAGCATGTTTGAGACTGCTCCACTAATGACAGAAGCTTACAGGAAACCCAGAAGGAAGCCAGTGATGATTGCTTGTTTGGTTGTTATTTTTAAAGATGGACAGGTTCATACTAACTTCTCTTAAATCCATGATTAATGGCTGCTTAACATCCTTGACCAGGTTGCCTTTTTTGTTTTTAATTGAAATAGGATAGTTAGGTGATAGAGTGTCAGTGTAAAATCAGAAGAGTAAGTGAGAGGAATTTGAGAGTGCAAAATGGCTGTGATTTGTGTTTGCTCCACATGTGGCACGTAGTAATATTTATTTTACTTTTTACTTTTAGTAATGAATGTTATAACTATTGAAGATTATAAGAGCACATACTGGCCAAAATTGGATGGTGCCATAGATCAACTTTTAACTCAGAGTCCTGGTGACTATATCCCCATATCCTATGAACAGATATACAGGTAAGTTAAGATTTAATTTGCTTGGGTTTGAAAGGGTATACTAAGGTTCAAGGCACTTGAATTATGCCTCACACAAACATGTAATGTAGAATGCATAAGATGAGGCTCTGTAAGTGTTTTATGTATTCCACACTTACGGATTGGAGGGTTTGGTTTATACTTTTTGATTCAAAAGTGGTTTTCAGATCATGACAGAGGAAGCCTGCCACCTCCACCATACATAATGCAGACACTGTGGAAGTCAGCAATAAAAGCAAGAATGACTGAAGTATCTGGTGTAAAAATCATATTTTTAGTCTCAGAGGGAGACCTTAATCTGTTGGTGTTTATTGACACACAATTCTAACTCTCTTTGGTTATTTTGTTTCTCAGCTCCTGTTAATGGAAGCAGCAAATTAGGAAGTGGGGTGGGATATGAGATCAGCACAGTGAAAGGAGGAAGTGACAAGTATGTTGTTCCACACAGCTGATGTACAAAGAGGTTGTATTGCAAACACTTCCGTGAGTTAGAAACCTCTCTCTACTGATTATCAACCACTCTCTCTTCCTTATTTTGACATTCATTTAAAAAGAGAGAGAGAACCTGGTTTATAAATAGTTATCATATTCAGACCTTAGATTCTCACCTACTATTAGATTCTCTAGTACTGATTAAATGTGTAATACACTACTTAGAAGGGCATATTTATAGCAGATGGTACTATCTTTTCCATCCGAACACCGATGGGGGAGGATAAAGTTTTTATTTAAAAGTTGTGATTGGTTACTTTTTGAAGGTATGAATTATTGGATCAGTGGTTATATATCAAAAGTGTGCTTTAACCTTGGACTGAGTTAAGTGCTTTATGATTAACTTGGTTTGTGGGGGTTTTTGTTTGTTTTACAGTTGTGTGTATAAATGTGTATGCCAGCAGCACTCGGAACAGATGTATAGTGATCTGATTAAAAAGATAACTAATCACTTAGAGAGAGTCTCAAAGGAGCTGCAGGTAAAGAACTGATTGTATTGATTTTTGCTTCCTTGGGTTTTCCTGACTGGTTGCAGTTAGCTTTTCTAATACACATTTGGAAGCTTGTTAATTTGATTATGATATAAATTTATAAATGTTTTCTAGGTGAATGTTGATCAAATCATGTAATTTTTGGAATAGATTGTTAATTTGAAAATTTGGTATAAATTGTGGAAATTTTTGGATTAAATATATTTCAGACCTTAACTGATTCTATTGATTATCATGTCAACATTTCTTTTATTTAAAACTTTATTTTTTTCTGTCAATGTCAATATTTGGTGACTTTTATGATACAAAAATATGTGCATATTTTAACTTGTTTTGGAACTCGTATTATCATCTTTGAAGAGTGGTTTGCCTACTGATTTATAATACCTTTCAATATAAACAACTGAAGTAAACACTTTATTGATAAACCTCCTGTAAATAGGCATCATCTCAGCTCTAAAATCTGGGGCAGGTTGCAGAAAAACTCCTGTTTAAGGGAGCACTTAGCTTGATCCTCCCCCTGCCCACTTCAGTAAACCTTCAGTGCTTGAAGATCAGGTATTATTAAGTTGGTGCAAAAGGAATTGTGGTTTTTGCCTTTGAAAATAATGACAGAAACCTCTGTTACTTTTGCACCAACCAAATAATCTTTATACCAGGGCTTGATCCCACTTTGCTTTTGGTATAGAAGTAGAAGAATGTCTAGAAAAATCACTCAGCAATCCCAGCACTTTGAGAGGCCGAGACAGGTAGATCACGAAGTCAGGAGATCGAGACCATCCTGGCCAACATGGTGAAACCCCGTCTCTACTAAAATTGCACACTCCTGTAGTCCCAGCTACTCAGGAGACTGAGGCAGGGAAATCGCTTGAACCCGGGAGGCGGAGGTTGCAGTTGGCCGAGATTGCGTCGCTGCACTCCAGCCTGGCGACAGAGCAAGACTCCGTCTCAAAAAAAAAAAAAAAGAAAAGTCACTCAGCAATAGATTACCAGGGTCTATACCACAATTAGGAAGCACCCCAGCAGTTTTGAAATAACCACAGTTTATAGCACATGCTGGGGTGTGCTTTGGGCTTGGATATTGTTCTTCACAACTTGTGGTCTGAGATAGCTTAGTTTTTTTGTGTTTTTTTTCCCCAAACAGTTGTTGCACTAAGTAGCATTTTGTTTTCTGTTTCAAATGATAGAGCTGTGTTTTGTCATAGTCAGATATATACTTTTCTTGTTGTTAGTATAAATTTCTTTCTTCATCTTTTTGCCGCTAACTATAAAATCTTTATTCATTTAACACATATGTTTAGTGCTTAGGCATTGTGTATAAATTGTTGATGAAACCCTAGATCTATGCTTTATAGCTTTTGAGTGATTTGCTTTCTAATTCTTCACTCCACCATCTACCTGAATTTCTACCTGAATCCAGTTTATGGACTTCGGGTCTCGCTGTGGACTCTGTCACACACTTCTGTTCATTTGCCAGTACCCTAGTCAGGTTCATCATCATTTCTCGACTGTTTTACTGAAATGCTTATCTCAACTGCCTTACTTCATTGATACACCTTAATTTAACCAGTTTTTGATTGATGAATATTTAGGTTACTTCCAGTCTTTGGCCATTACTAACAGTGCTGAAGTGAATAGTCAGTCTTGTAAGTAATGTCGTTTACTAAGTCTAAATTGTGGTTCACAGAAGTTGTATCAAGTTGCATTCCCATCAGTTCTGTATATATCACAGTGTCTGTTTTCCCTCACCCTACTAATACAGCCTATTATGAAACCAAATAATTTTTAGTTTTATATTAATATAGTAATGATTCTTATTAATGATTAAAACATAAATCAGAGTGATATTTCTTCTGATGTTAGTGTTTTTTTTTTTTTTAATTTTTTTGAGATGGGGGTCTCGCTCTGTCTCCCAGGCTGGAGTGCAGTGGTACAATCATGGCTTACTGCAGCTTTGACCTCCCTGGGCTCAGGCGATCCTCCCACCCCAGCCTCCCCAGTTGCTGGCACTACAGGTGCATGCCACCATGCCTGGCAAATTTTTTATGTTTTTTGCTTTAGAGATGGGGTTTTGCCGTGTTGCTCATGCTGGTCTCAAACTCCTGGACTCAAGCGATCTGCCAGCCTCGGCCTCCCAAAGTACTAGGATTACAGGTGTGAACCACTGTGCCCAGCGTGATGTTAGTATTTTTTAAAAGGGTGATATATGATATAAAACCAGGGAATTTAGTTTGTTTTTAGAATCAATACATGTCCCACTTAGAGTTCAGCAATATGGTCTTATGAAAAGTCTAGCTTCAAAATGATTCCTTTTATAAGATTATAACGATTGTAACCATTATTAAATAGCAGCGGGGAGTGGTTTAAAACATGGGGATCCAGGGCTCTGTTTCCAGCTCTGTCACTCAGCATTTGTGTGTTTGCCTCTTTATTAAACGTGCTAATATATATCATCTTATAAATTTTCTTGACATTAAAATGAAGTAGATTTACTAGACTATCTCGTTGCTTCACACTAAGGTGTAAGGTATTTTCTCGACATCAAAAGGAAGTAGATTTACTAAAATATCTGTAGTTCTTTACACTAAGGTGTAAGGTATTTTTTCTTCTGCTTCCTGCCTGGCAAATGCTTCTTCATTCTTTTCTTAGGCTTAAGCTCATTTGTGTCCATCTGTGTAAAGCCTTCCTGGAACTCCTGCACTCCTCTCAAAACCGAACAGACTATTGGCATTTCTTCTGTGGATCCATAGCATCTCAGCAATAAGAAGTCTATTAGGGCAGTGATTGTGTTATTGTTTCTGCTTCCCTGTCTGACTACTTCACAGGCCCTTCCTTGAGGGGGAGGGACTCTATCGTGTTTGTCTTTTTATCCTTAGTGTCTGCCACAATTACAACTCAGCAGATGTGTTCTGGCTGAATGCTGAGTAACTAAATGTGACCTGTACTAATGGAAAGAGTAGCATAATTAGCTTCAGATGACCACTACTCCTGTGCTCTCTAGATTTGTAAGCATTTTATTTATTTGTTCAGTGTGATGTGTGTGGCCTGATGTAATCTTTATTTTATAGAGACCTTAAGGCAGTTTTCATGGGGACAGATCAAGAGACGGTGCCAGGCTTTATGAGCCAGAAACATTTTATTTGGATGGAGCATTTTGTTTGCAGCTCTGGTTTTCATAATGAAATATTGTTGTTATGAGCCAAAATAAGAGCGTGGGAGGAGTTGCATTTGGCAGATAATCAGAAATTTAGTGCTGGAGTTGATAAATCAATGATTTGGACCTACAGGGCGTCAGCCTCAGTCAAGGGCATCTTAAAATAGCTGTGGGTTTGTATAGTTTATATGTCAGAGGGACTTATTTATTTTTATCCCAAGGCATATCCTGTTGGGGAGATTGAAGAGTATATAAAATAATGTTCCCATATTCTCCAGTTATTTTTGGTGTTGACGTAAAAACTAGAGAACATGGTTTTTAGAGATTTTAGAATAATTTGTTGAATGTAAATATTTTTTACATGACAGCATAATCTAACTTGCTGCCTCTTTTTTGTTTTTAAACACATTTCTTTCATTTTGGAAAAAATTACTTTACTTCAGGCACTTTAAAGTTTTTTTTGTTGTGTTGTTAAACTAATAAAACAAATAGCTAAGTCCCCTTAGTGTTCTCCTTACTATTATATTTCACTGCATGTGTATCTATACATTTTAACTTACTGCTGGATTGTTCAAAATTGTGAACAGTATCTTTTGCCTTAATTTTTTTAAACCAGGCTCTTTTCTCGTCCTTATTAACTCCGCTCTTCTTATTTATTTATGAGACAGTGTCTCAGTCTGTTACCTAGACTAGAGTGCAGTGGTGTGATGCTGGCTCACTGCAGCCTTGACCTCCTGGGCTCAAATGATCCTCCGGCCTCAGCACCCCAAGTAGCTGGGACTACAGGTGTGCACCACCATGCCTAGCTAATTTTTGTATTTCTTGTAGAGGTGGGGTTTTACCATGTTGCCCAGGCTGGTGTTGAACTTCTGGACTCAAGTGATCTTCCTGCCTTGGCCTCCCAAAGTGCTGGTATTACAGACATGGGACACCACTCCCGGCTGTTCTTTCTTTAAAAGTAATAACGAAGTTCTATTTATTTTTATTTTTCTGTATCTCCAGAGCCTCAAAATGTACATTTCCAATTCTGGTATTTTCCTATACCAGTGAATGGAAATAGATGACTATAGAGAGTAAATTGGTTTACCAATTCAGTAAATAATATTCTGAATAGTTTTGGAAAATTCTATGGAAACATTTAGAAATTACCATATTTTTTGTGAGAGACCAGGACCCTAACATTAGGACCTACACTTGCCTGTTGGATTTGAATTTCATCTTATAGATACCTCATACTGAGGTCTAAATCTAAATTTCTCTTCATTCAAATTAGTTTCTTTCTGAGGCTTGGTATTTCATATTCCTCTTAGCTTTTTCTCTCCTATTTCTGGGTGCTAGTTAAGGTGGATGGAATACTATAATATATCTTGCTCTGTCCTCTTTGATTCCCATTGTTGTCTTCCTCTTCCACGTCATCATTGGCTCATGCCTGCACTAGTGGAATATTCTTTTAATTGGTTTGTCTTCCTGCAGTCTCTTCTTTTGGCTGAACAACCTAAAAACCCTAATTTGATAGACATACTTTCTTGTTCAAAAATCTAAAATACTATTTATTGCTTTCCTTAATTAATCACAGCTGATTTTTTGGTCCGTGTAAAAAAAACTTGAGTGGTTTTATTGGTTGCAGGGGTTCCTAGTGGGAACCCTAACGTATCCTATTTAACTATGACTCTACTGGGTCTGGTAGTGGACATATAATTGATAAGACTAGATAGTGTGGACCACCCCCCCTGCTGAGAGCAATTACAAAAATCAGACCACAGGACTAACAAAGTGAATTATAGGGCCAGGATCTAAGAGAAGAAGGAAACTCAGATAGAGGAACCTAACATTTGAGCCATTTATCTACTGGGGTCACCTATTTATTCTGGAAAAGGAGGCTAATGAGCTGAGAAATTTAATAGAGCTTTGACAACACTTGTGGGGGTTGGGTAATAAATTGGAGTATAAGGCTCATTAAATCTGAAGTACCACATCCCAGGACTAGCAAGAATAAAAAAATAAAGACTAGCCTTCTCATTTGCTAAAGCCTGATTCCTGATTGGATTAAGATGGTCTTGATTCGGCCAGGTGTGGTGGCTCATGCCTGTAATCCCAGCACTTTGGGAGGACAAGGAGGGCAGATCACAAGGTCAGGAGTTAAAGACCAGCCTGGCCAAGATGGTGAAACCCTGTCTCTACTACAAATACAAAAAAATTACCTGGGTGTGGTGGTGGGCGCCTATAATCTCAGCTGCTCAGGAGGCTGAGACAGAGAATTGCTTGAACCCGGGAGGCGGAAGTTGCAGTGGTGCCACTGTACTCCAGCCTGAGCGACAGAGCGAGATTCCGTCTCCCAAAAAGAAAAAAAAATGGTGGTCTTGATTTGCTAGAGCCTCGATTAAGCTTACTAGTAACAAAAGTAAATTCTGGAGAGATACCATTATCCTAGGCATCAGATTGTTTCCATAGTTTTTCATAAGCAGTATCTGGCACTTAATCAGAAATAACTAGTCATAGTAGGAAATGAGGCATCAAACCAGGCAAAATTGTGAAGTACATTTTTAGGCAAGAATTGGGAGAATTCATCACCAGTAGTTTCTTACACAAATAAAAGTGTTTTTCAGATAGAAAGAAAATGTTTCCAGATGAAAACTTGAAGATATGTAGGAATGAAGAAGGGAAAATATGCAAGTGTGGATCAATAATAATGATAATGTCTTCTAGGATATAAGAATATATATATATAATCAAAACTCGTGACAATAATGTGTAAGTTTGAAGGGAGGAGTGAAGGTTTGAAATGTTCTGAAGCCTTGCATTGTCCAGGAAATGGTAAAGCACTACTTTATTTTCAACTATAATGTGACAAGGATACAGTCTGTAGTAAAAAAACATAGTTAACAAGACATAGAGGGGAAAAAATGGAATAATTTTAAAATAAAGAAATCAAGAAAGGATTTTTTAAAAGTACAGAGAACAGATGAGATAAATAGAAAATAGGATAACTTCAGCATGTCTATTATTATGTGAAATGTTAAAGACTAAGCACTACATTAAAAAAAGGAAGACAATTTCAGATTGGTACTGTTCCTTGTGGATCAGGGCTACCCCATGGGCACTGTGTCTAGAGTAGCAGCTCAGAGGCAGTTCTGCACTCATACCTACTTTTAATTATATGCAAATTAAGGGCAGTATGCAGAAATTTCTAGAACGAGGGAGAGGGTGGTAACTTCTGGGTTGTTGGGTTGTTGCCATGGAAAGGGGCAGTAACTTCTGGGTGTTGCCATGGCAATGGTCAACTGACATGGCACACTGGTGGGCATGTCTTATGGGGAGGTGCTTCTGCCCTGACCTGTTTTTAGCTAGTCCTCCGTTTGGTCCTGATGTCCAAGCCCCACCTTTGGAGTAGATTTCTTCCTCCTATTACTAAGTTGAGAACTTTCACCTTTTCATTTAAAGGAATCATTTACAGCTTCTCTTTGGCATATCTGAATTGCCAACATCATCTCTCTTGCTCTTTGGAGCCATTATTAAGTAAAGTAAGGGTTGTTTGAACATTTGCTATGATAATCGTGACAGTTGAACTGATAACCGAGATGGCTAAGTGTCTGACAGATGGATAGTGTCAACAGTGTGCATATGCTGGACAAAGTGCTGGACAAAGTGCTGACAGATATCTCAGGCAGGATGGAGCTGGATGGTGTTATGGTTTCGTCACGTTACTCAGAAAGGCATGCAGTTTAAAATTTAAGAATTGTGGCTGGGTGCGGTGGCTCACACCTGTAATCCCAGCACTTTGGGAGGCTGAGGCGGGCAAGATCACCTGAGGTCGGGAGATCGAGACCAGCCTGACCAACATGGAGAAACCCCATCTCTACTAAAAAAAAAATACAAAATTAGCCGGGCATGGTGGCACATGCCTGTAGTCCCAGCTACTTAGGAGGCTGAGGCAGGAGAATCACTTGAACCTGGGAGGCGGAGGTTGCAGTGAGCCGAGATCGCACCATTGCACTCTAGCCTGGGTGACAAGAGCGAAACTCCGTCTCAAGAAAAAAAAAAAAAAAAAGTTTGTTTCTGGAGTTTTCTGTTTAATATTTTCAGACTGTGGTAACTTAAATCTCAGAAAGGGAAACTGGATAAGGTGGGGGACTACTATCATGGATAGATGGATATAAAATCTTTTAAAACTGTCTTAAATGACACTTCCTCATTTCATTTTTTCTATGTGTATTTCTGAATCCAGAATCCATTGAAACAATTGTGAGGCATTTTCTCCCCAAGTAATGTTGATACATTTATTGTATATGCTAATGTGTTATCTAAAAGAGAGTATATTTTCACCAAATAAAAATATTCTGACATTTTGATGTAGTAGTTTTATAGTCAGTGACCCATTAACAGTTCTTTTGTCAGTGCTTTGGAACTCACACTGTACGTTAGCCCCAGTAAACAGTGTTGACACAGAGATTTGGTTCCTAGGTCAGGACAGTAACATTCAAGTGGGAAGATTAGCGCCGATATTACTAACCTGCATTCAGGGTCCTGTTGAGGAGAGACCACAGAGACAAAGGTGCTGGGAAATGTTGCAATTTTTATCTCAAATAAGGCTGAATTTACAGTAGTTTTAAGTATTTCACTTTTAATTAAAAGGAAGTTAACTGATTACATTTAAACCATTTTAATAAAATTAGAGTGATGTTGATGTCTAACTGTATCTTGGTTTTAAGCAAAATAAGTAAGTTGACTGTCAAATTAATAATGGAAATTAATAGAAACTAAACCATAATCAGCCAACAGTACTTAACTTTGATTCACTATTTATAAACTCCAATTTGCATATAAAATCTTTACTGCCAGATTGCCAATAAACTGAGCTAGTCCCTTGGTAGTTAAAATCAGAGCAAGGATTGCGTTGCTATTTATTTTTTGTCCAGTGGGTGGCAGCATAACTCAACTGGTTATCTTGTGTACGGTCATTTGAAATTTTTTATGTGTTTTAAAGGTTTTAATTTCTAAATCTCTTGTACTACAAAGTGTATTCTAAGAAAACTTTCCTCCAAATACTCTGTTTATTTCTTGCTAAAGTGAATAAGATTTTAGATAATAAGAAAATTGCTTGATATCCTTTCTTCATAGGTTTCAAATAAAATAAATATTGCAACTGGTAAATAGCCCTTTACATGTGTGTTCTACTGAAAATGTTTCTAAGTTATGTGGAGATCTATTTTTTTCCTCTCTACTAGAACTTAAAGCAGTTGTCATGGCAAACCCAGGAATTTGCCAGGGAGACACCCTAACCCTCGATCATTCAATAGGCTCTCATTCAGACCATGATTCTAATAAGTTTACTATCTTCCTTTGAAAGAAAGGATTTTGTTTGTATTTTCATGTGCCTTCATAGGACTTAACATAATACCAGGCCCAAAAATAGAGATCCAGTAAAAAGTACTTGGTATAAGTTGATTACAAAAACATATGCTGGCTTTACCACTGACATTACCAGAGGCATGTGTTTGTTCCAGGTAAAACATCATCCAGAACTTGGAAAATGAGCAGGAGAGTAAAATCACATAAATAATAGCTGTTTGCATTTGTACAGAGTACATTTGCATGGTGTACAGAGTACAATTATGAATTGTATTCTTTTTAAGATATACTTTCTTTGAGACCAAACTGTGTAATTTAAGTTAGAAAAGAAAAGGAAAAAGGTTTCCTTTCCAAAATAATAGCAAATAGGTGTAAGTAGTGTAAGTAAGTTACTGTTTGCTAAGTGTTACATAGAGATAAAGTATGTGGGGAAGTGAGAAGTCAGCCTAGGGTATCTGGCTTCTTTGGATATTTCTCCATTTAGTAATCCTTGAACCTTTTATAGCACCTAGCCAGTTACTTTAAAAGCTAGTATTAGATTACAGATTATTTCATGTAGATAAGCTAAATGAACCCAGGAACACAGAAGCCAGGTTTAATTCAGTTTATTAAGTCCAAATAGTATTTGGAAAATTAAGGAAGTCTTATTTTAGAAATAAATCAAGAAAAAAATTTCATATAATAATAGCTTAAGAAGTAAAAGATCTAAGTGAAAAGAGAAATATCTTCTATCTAAGACTCAATTGACTTTATTGTAGTTTTCAATTGAAAACCATGCTTACAGTTTATATGAGAAGTGTCTAATATGTATATTATAGCTCTTAAATAGCTCCTGAAGATCAGTTACCTTCTATATCACTATTTTTTGGATATTATTCTAATATGGAAATAATATCTGCATAGCAAGAATGAGAATGGAATGTCAGATATGTTTGTCTATTTGGAAAGAAATTCCTTTTTTTTTTTTTGAGACGGAATTTAGCTCTTGTTGCCCAGGCTGGAGTGCAATGGTGCCATCTCGGCTCACCGCAACCTCCGCCTCCAGGATTCAAGCGATTCTCCTGCCTTGGCCCCCTGAGTAGCTGGGATTACAGGCATGTGCCACCACACCCGGCTAATTTTATATTTTTAGTAGAGACGGGATTTCTCCACGTTGGTCAGGCTGGTCTTGAACTCCTGACCTCAGGTAATCTGCCCGCCTTGGCTTCCCAAAGTGCTGGGATTACAGGTGTGAGCCACCGCATCCGGCCAAGAAATTCCATTTTTATGAAGCGTCTTTGTCAGCTTCCAGTGTGTAATGGGTGTTGCTTCTAGGGCCATGACACATCTGTCCATGGCAGTATGGTATTGCTCTGGAACATCATGGAATAAGCTAGACTGAAAGCTTATTACCCATTAGTAGTTTTTGCTATAGTCAGTCATCTAAAGGCAGATTTTTAGAAAAAGAAATGACCAATTTGATTGAGAAAATAGTATTAAGGATCCTTGAGATGGCATCCAGGTGCATTTGTATGGGATACAAAAATGCCAACGTTGTACTTATTATAGGAATAAATGTTAAAGGACTTGGAATAAACTATTTGAGAATTTTTAACATTTCCATTTGACTCTTTTAAAAATAGTTTCCATTTTTCTGCTGAAATTCTCCCATCTTTTTGTGCATGTTATCTGCCTTTTCTACTAGGTCATTGCATATATTAATCATAGTTATTTAAAGTGTCTGTGATAGCTACTTCATGTGGGACATCTCTGTGCATGTTGAATGTTTAATTGTTGACATAATTCTTGACAGTGGGCTGTGTTTTTGTTTTTTTGGTCTTAGTTTTTTATTGAATGTTGGACATTGTATATAAAAAGAACAGTTTAGCTTAAAAAGAACAGTTTCTGCTTAGAAATGGGCATGCCTTGGCCGGGCGCGGTGGCTCACGCCTGTAATCCCAGCACTTTGGGAGGCCGAGGCAGGTGGATCACGAAGTCAGGAGGTCGAGACCATCCTGGCTAACACGGTGAAAACCCGTCTCTACTAAAAATACAAAAAATTAGCCGGGCGTGGTGGCGGGCGCCTATAGGCCCAGGTACTTGGGGCTGAGGCAGGAGAAAGTCGTGAACCCGGGAGGTGGAGCTTGCAGTGAGCCGAGATTGCGCCACTGCACTCCAGCCTGGGCAACAGAGCGAGACTCCCTCTCAAAGAAATAAGAATAATAAATAAAATAAAAGTAAATATCTTCACGGGCCGTGAGGTGTTTGTCTAGCTCCTGTGCTTAACTCTGCTGGTGCAGGTGAAAGCAGCCACACAGATTACATAAACAATGGGCATTGCTGTGTTTCAAAACAACTGTACTTAATCAAAACAGGGTGTAGACAAGATTTGGCCCACAGCCTCTAGTTTGTTGATCTCTGGTTTGGTGTGCAGGTGAGTTCCCTCCCCGACTCTCCCCTTCCCTGTCCTGCCCCCCACACACCCTGTGGCAACCAAATTTTACCTTGTATCTTTGGGGAACCTTGGGAGTAAGCAAGTTTCCTGTGCTTCCATCAGCAGCAGTATATTTTTGCTTCATAACAGTGTGGAAACCTGGGCATGAGTGGATTTTCTACCATCCTGAAAATGGTTGCTGACCTTTGCTTGTCAGGAGGGCTGGAGGATCACCTGCCTGTCTTCCAGTGGTAGACAGTTTTTGCCTAAGGTCAAAGAAGGGTCACCAGGTTGCAGGGTTTCTTACCCCTTCCTTTCAGCAAATGGCTTTTGCTTTGAATCTGGGTAGGTTCTAGGGCACAGGCAGTTTTTGTTCATGTCTTCCATTGGCAGTTAATCACCACCTTTTTTTGTCATGGAGGACCCCATGATGTGTTCATCGGCTTCTTTAGGTATTCCTGCTTCATCCTCAGGTCTTACTAAGCCCGGCACATCTTGCTATGGAGGATGGCCTCTCAGATTTCTTTCACTGCCCCCAGTCCTTCTCTTGATGACCCAGTGGAAACCCATGGAAAAGAGTTGGAGAGGAGGTGCTGGTGCTGACTGCCCTTGTGTTGAAGCCTCCCAGGGATTCTACACTGTTAGTTCACACTTGGCCTTTAATGATTCATTACAATTTCTGTTGTTTGCTTATCTGCTTTTATGACTACCATCACCAACAGAGAAATAGTCCATGTGTCCTTTATTTTTTTTTAGAGGAGCTTGTCACTCTGAAATTCTTCTCACCTAGTTGAACATTGCAGATGTAAGTTAAAGAAACCTTAGGTGTCTGATGAGCTCGAAAAATTATGATTATTTTGGTTAACCAGCTTTTTCTTACCATAAGAGTGGGAGTGATGTTCTTTCACAGCTTTCTGCATTCTAAGCTGAGGGGGAACTTGAGTTATATTTTGATAACTTTATACTCCCTGAATTTGATACTAGTCAAGAAGCCATTAACTTTTAAGAGGAAAAATTCACCTATGTTAATGTTAAAATGTTAGTGCATCATATTTTTACTGATTTCAGTGCAGTTTGCAGCTAAATTGTCCTGCAGTAAATGCCTGTGTTACATGGGTGATTACTGCTCAGTTTTCTCTTGAATCCTGCAGACTTCCTTCCTGTAGAGCTCCTCTCATTTCTTGGAAGAGGCTTAAGGTGTAGGGTTCCTAAATGCTTAACAGGTGGGCCAGCTGTTTACAGACTTCCCTGAAGTTCTCACTAAAAATACACACCTCTGGAAAGTTTCTGAATCAAGACTTTGGAGTGTGGCAAAGGAATCTGCGTCATTACCAGTCCCTTCAGGTGATTCGGAGAGAAGCATTCTTTGAGGTCCACTGGCGTATGGAAATGTACCATTGTTCCTGAACCTAGTCTCTCTTAAGCAGGGAGTGCAGTGTAGCTTATGTTTAAGAATAAGATAGTGCGCTGGGCTCGTTGGCTCACGTCTGTAATCCCAGCACTTTGGGAGGCCGAGGCGGGTGGATCATGAA
The DNA here is from genome assembly GCF_000001405.40 of Homo sapiens. NCBI lineage: Eukaryota > Metazoa > Chordata > Mammalia > Primates > Hominidae > Homo > Homo sapiens. Next base: position 118,716,834 of record NC_000010.11, on the reverse strand, counting down.
GTCAGGAGATCGAGACCACCCTGGCTAACACGGTGAAACCGTGTCTCTAGTAAAAATACAAAAAATTAGGCAGGCGTGGTGGCGGGTGCCTGTAGTCCCAGTTACTCAGGAGGCTGAGGCAGGAGAATGGCGTGAACCTGGGAAGTGGAGCTTGCAGTGAGCCGAGATCGCGCCACTGCACTCCAGCCTGGGTGACAGAGTGAGACTCTGTCTCAAAAAAAAAAAAAAAGAGGTTGTGTTGTTGCTGATGCCACTCAACACATTTGCACAGCTGGAATGCTAGTCTGAATTAGAAGTATCCGTGCAGACCTGGATAACATAAACAGCAAAGCATAGCCTAAGTATCCAGTGACAAGGGACTGATGAAATAGGCAATGATGTGTCCAAACAGTTGTTAAAATTAGGTTATAGAAAGAAATTTGACCTGGGAGAGATGGTGACGATCTATAGTTGGGCGATAAAATCAGGTTACAAAATAAGCCATATTTGTTTAGAAACAGACACATGCACACAGGAAAAAAAAAAAAAATACCAAAATGGTAATAATTTTCTACGAATGTTGGTAGTGGTTATTTTTTTCTTTTTCTTTTTCTTTTTTTTTTTGAGACGGAGTCTTGCTCTGTCGCCCAGGCTGGAGTGCAGTGGCGCAATCTTGGCTTACTGCAAGCTCCACCTCCCAGGTTCATGCCATTCTCCTGCCTCAGCCTCCGGAGTAGCTGGGACTACAGGCGCGTGCCACCACGCCCGGCTAATTTTTAGTATTTTTAGTAGAGACGGGGTTTCACCGTGTTAGGATGGTCTCGACCTCCTGACCTCGTGATCCGCCTGCCTTGGCCTCCCAAAGTGCTGGGATTACAGGTGTGAGCCACCGCGCCCAGCCGGTAGTGGTTATTTTTCCATAGTTGCATTTTAAATTTTTAAAAATTTCAATGAACGTACATTACTTTTACAAAGATACATGTTTTGTCATGTTTAGTAGGTCCTTCTCTTCCATCCCTTCTTGTCTACTTCATTCTAGCATGCAAAAGTCACTTACTTATTTGAAGACAACCAGAATGCTTTTGTGAAGATAAAAGCACATATTCTTAATTTTTTTCATGTTTCATTTCGGTTGGCTGGGGACGAGGATGGGGGTAGGTAGAGGAGGAGGGATATAAATATGAAATTGTAGAACTCGTTTGTATTTTACATCTGCATTGTCCAGTTAGTTATGTGTAACTATTACAATTAAAATGAAGTAAATATTTGGTTCCTTAGTTTAATTAATCATATTCCAAGGCTCAATAGCCAAACGTGGCCAGTGGTTACCATAGTGGACAGTGCAGATTTAGAACATTCCCATCACCACAGAAAGTTCCTTTGGGCAGTACTGACCCACATGATAGTATATTTAAGTCTCTTGACTAGTAAAATTATTTAAACAAATAATCCTCTTCTAAAATTATTAATATACATCAAATTCGGGTGACTGACCAATCAACCTTCCTTGTTTAGCTTTGAAAGTTAAAGATGACAAGCTTTCTTTCCCCTTCCCTTCTGTGAAGGTGTGGTATGTATATCAAATCTGTCTTTTCCTTTCTTGCTGTAAGGCATTTCTCACACTAGGACCATGTATGTGTATATATATATTTTTAGTGGTATTTCGCAGATTTCACTATTTAAACTGGACAACTGAAATTATTTTTAATATAATTATGCATAAGACTATTATCTAGTTCTACCTTTTTTAATTTAAAGGTTGTTTTGAAATTATTGTCTATAACATCTATATGAAGTTACTCAGTGCAACAATCTGGTAACAAAGGATTAGCACGAAGCTATCAATATGACCTCTGATTAAATAAATAGTACATTCAAGCATCTTACAGAAATAGATATTCCTAAAGTGTGTGTGTTTTGAGGACTTCGGAGGGTCCCCAAAAGCCTTTCAGGGGGGTCTGTAAGTAATGATGGATAGACGCTGGTGCCTTAGCATGAATTTTCATTTCCACATGCTTGCGGGGTGAGGAAGCCATTTTCATTAAGAATGTCCCAGATGAAACAGAGAAAATTATTAATTTTATTAAATTGTGACTTTATACTTTAAAAAATATTTTATGTAAAGAAATGGGACACCGCATACCAGAGTACAGTGGTGGTTTTGAGAAAAGGTGCTTATGTGATTGTATGAATTTTGAACTAACCCTGCTTTTCTGCATAGAACGGTATTTTCACTTGAAAAAAAGACTGACAAACTACGGTTAGACTTTGGTATTTGACAGACATTTTCTCAGAAATTAGTGAACTAAGATTGTCACTTCCAGGAAAATGACTGACAGTATTTGTTGCCAATAATGAAACTTGTGCTTTGAAGTGAAAATTAAAATTTTGGAAAATTTATATCTACCACTGTGACCTTGATAGCTTCCCAATACTTAAAAAGATTTCTGATGAGATAGGTGTTAATACTGTCTCATCAGAGATGTATTTTTTTGATACCGTCTAATGAAATCAACATTGGGAAGATCTACATAACTCAGAGAATCAGTATTTTCCAAATGACCAATGTGTGATGTAATAAAATGTATACAGAAAAGATCCATTTAAAGTAGAAGATAGACCCGTGGTTTTTAATGGAATAGAGTACAAAACATTCATTGATCGTTTCAGAAAATAACACATCACAACTGATTTCATTGCAGAAGCAGATATGAGAATCCAGCTGTCTTCTATTAAGCTAGGCTCTAAAGAGACTTGCAAAAATGTAAAAACAGTGACACTCCTCTTACTAAATTTTGTTTTGGTAAATAGTTATTTTTTATAAAAATAAGATGGTGATGAGTTTGTTATTGTCATTTTAGAATGAATTAATAAGTATTTTTAGAACTTAGTTTTAATTTTTATTATGGTAAATACTTACAGATACAACCTGCATATAAACAAAAAGCTTTTTGGAATCTTGAGTTGTTGTTAGAAATGTAAAGGTTTCCAGAGACCAAAAGTTAGCGAGAACCACTGGAATAAAACTGACTACAAGATATACATTGTTAGGGAAAGTTGCAGGTATGTGTGATTATACCTTAGCATTTGTGTATAAAGAACTATAAATGGGACATTTATTTTCTAGTATAGGCATAAAGTTCTTCTGGAAGGATATAAAAAGTATTGGTTGGTTCAGGGAGGAAGGAATGAAAGGAAAACTTACTCTAAACCCATTTGAACTCATTTGAATTTTAAACCAGATGAATACATTACTCATTATTTAAAAAATATTCTCACACAGTTATATTACAAAATTCAGGGAATCCAGATCTGTTAAGAAAAATTGGAGCAAGTTTGGAGTAATGGTGATGGCAGTGGCGGCCCATCTGGAGTGGCCACTGCCATCACGCTGCTGTAGCAGGGAGGCGTCAACAGGTGGGGCTGCATGCTCCATGGAGCCGGCAAGAGCCTCTTCTGAGTTGGGGTGGGAGCACACTGGGTGCTGCTGCAGCCACCCAATCCACAGCTGTGGACTCAGGCATCCCTGCATTCTTGGGGGCCCAGGAAGGACCCCCTGCCCTCGAAGGCTCAGAAGTGTCTGTTACTACTGCCTGGCTTCTCCAAGTTGTCGGCACTGACTCTGATCTTGGAGCAAAGTTGGGGGCGAGCCCAGGTGCTGTCGCAGCCTGGCCAGCTGTGCACACGCTGAGGGCAGTGCTAACACACTAGCCCTCTGCTGCCTCGGCCCCCTCCGGACTTTGGGCACTGACAAGCACAGAAAGGAAGCCAAGGGGTGCTGAGGGCAGCTTGGCGCTGGCCTGCAGGCGCCCCTTGGCACCTACAGCCTGGGCGCCATGAATGGCAGCAGGAGGCAGACAGGTTCCTGGGTGGAAGAGGGCAGGTCCCCAGTGAGGCCTCCACCTTCAAGCTAAGGAGGGCCTGAAGGCTGGGAGCCAGGCTGCCAGTCCTACAGACTGGAGTGGGAACTTGTGGTGCCTTTTCCAGCTTGCCTGTGGCTGGCCATGGACCAGTGGGCACGTACTTCCTCCCCTCTGGGCCCATAAAAGCCCTGGGCTTACCCAGAGTTGAACAGTTGTTGAGATGACCAGCTGCAGAGAGGAGCCACTCACTTTAGGGCCTGTTTTCTGCTGAGAGCTGTGCACACAGTGGGACGACCAGCTGCAGAGAGGAGCTACCCTTTCTGCTAGGAGCTGAACACTTGTCCGGACACCCTGGCTGTGGAAAGGAGCTACTCCCTGCAGCTTTCCTCTGAGCTGTTCTGTTGCTCAGTGAAGCTCCTCTTTGTCTTGCTCCTCCACTTGTCTGCGTACCTTTTCTTCTGGTCACAGGACAAGAACTCAGGACCCACTGAATGGCAAGGCTAAAAGAGTTGTAACACAAACAGGGCTGAGACATGCCACTTGCTTGCCACATTGCGGGTGAAGAGAAGGAAAGAAGAGCTGTGGCCCTTCGGGAAGCCCCAGCCTGGGAGCTCCCTGAGCCAGGGCTGTGACTCCCTCTTTGGGGCCCTTTGGGGCCCTTTGGTTCTTGGAGTTTCAAGCTTCCAGGCACCACCACGTACTGACTTGCCCTTGGCAGCTGTGGGACCCAGGCCAGTAGCATGAGCCGAGCGCAGCCTGCCAGGTCGAGTGGGCAAAATGAGCCCAGTAGGCCTGAGCAAAACTCAGGTAAAGGCGCCACCTGCCAGAGGGGTTTCTGGCCAGAAAAACAACACCCCAAAGATCTTGTAACAATGGTTATTATTTTTCTGGCAGTTTTTTTCTTGTTTTCTTTGGGGAAAAAGCAAAGCTTGCTTGTTCAGGGGTAAAAACTTGAATGTCCAAGCCAAATACTGTCATGTTGAAATAAGGTAAATCAAATAGTTAACAGTTTCCCCAATGGGGCCTAGAGTGTATTGAACTTAAATTTTAAGGAGAAACAATTTGATTAGGTTTTTTTTCTTAAATGACATTTCTAGGTTCCTAGGAAGGAGTTTAGGTTTATTTTAGAAGACTGCTAAAATTTATAGTCCTGTCATTTAAAAGGTTTTGAATAAGGGCTACATGAAATATACTTTTTTACTTTGTAGAAAAAGCTGTGTTCTGACATTTGATTCAGTACAGAAAGTACTTTTTAATACGCATAGTCTTTGAGACTGGGAGTTCTTGAACAAGGAATTCAATTTTATTTATTCTGTCTGCTGTAAATGTACTTTTTGATCAATGTTTATACTTTTAACTTCTGGATAAAGTGATCTTTTGTAAAAACAACATTATTTTAATGCAACAGCTTTTAAGATTTTTTTTCACGTAATACTTCTAAAATTTATTTCTTTGAATGCCGAAATACCATTTTTAGAGTTCTTCAAAGCAGTTTAGGGGAAGATGTTACGTATGATTCCGTTCATTAGTTATAGTTAAAAGTTTGCCTATAACATGGAACCATTTTCACCAAGTTCTTTAGTTAACAAAGAATGCTTTTAAAAATGTTATTAGGCCAGGTGCGGTGGCTCACGGCTGTAATCCCAGCACTTCGGGAGGCCGAAGTGGGTGGATCACTTGAGGTCAGGAGTTCAAGACCAGCCTGGCCAACATGGTGAAACCCTGTCTCTCCTAAAAATACAAAAATTAGCTGGGTGTGGTTGCCCACACCTGTAATCCCAGCTACTCAGGAGGCTGAGACAGAGCAATCCCTTGAACCTGGGAGACGGAGGTTGCAGTGAGCCGAGATGATGCCATTGCACTGCAGCTTGGGTGACAGAGCAAGACTCCATCTCAAAAACAAAAATGTTGTTGGATTTCTTTTGAAGCATTAGACAAATGGGTAGTTAATTCAGAAAGGAGTTTACTTACTAGTTGCATATACATGTGTAATACTTGACATTTTCAAAACACACACTATTTTCTTTGATTTCCTTCACATCTTAGAAGTACCACAGCTAGTATTTTTCCTATTTTGGATATATGGAAATTGAAATTTAGAGGGCAAAATGAATTCCCTAATGTCATACAGCCTTGTTAAGTAGGAATTTAGATTTAAATAATGCTAAATTAGATTTAGAGTCAAAGTTTAGATTTGAACAAGACCCTTTCCTTGCAAAACAATGCATTCTTTATCTACTATGTTCTAGGCACTGTGGTCAGCACCGGAGATATACAGATAAGACACAAATATTGCCCTCCAGGGGTTTGAAGGTAGTGGCAGACTACCCAGTGAGGGAAGTGAGTGCAGTGGGGCCCCACTGAAGGGCCATGTAGTTCAGATATTTTTGAAGGAATGACTAGGAGAAGTTAGCCAGCTTAGTGGGTGCAGAGAGAGATGGTTAGGTAGAAAGAACAGTCAGGGAGGCCTTATGTCTTTTGGGGAGTGCTAGTATTCCCATTGTCAGTCCTGTTCTTTGCTGTGCAACCAGAGGTGTAGACAGTTGTGCCCTACGTTGAGAAGTTTGTGAAAAGGTTTCAGAGTGCCAAAAGAGAATTTAAGTAGGTGTAGAAGGCCTTGGATTGATCATGCTTTGAGTTGTAGGTCTTGGGTTTATTCACTGTAGAACTGTAGACAGGTGACTATTTCTGAGCCCCAATCACCTCATCTGTAAATGGAAATAACATTCAATTTATAGGCAGTTAGAAGGACTAAGAAAAAGAAATGCGCTGGGTGTGGTGGCTCACACCTGTAATCCCAGCCCTTTGGGAGGCTGAGGCAGGAGGGTTGCTTGAGCCCAGGAATTTAAGACCAGTCTGGGCAATATAGCAAGACCCCATTTCTACCAAAAAAAAAAAAAAATCCCAAACAAATTAGGCAGGCCTAGTGCTGCATACCTGTAGTCCCAGCTAGTTGGGAGGTGGCTGAGTTGGGAGAATTGATCAATTGAGCCTGGGAGGTGGAGGCTGCAGTGAGCTGTAATCATGGTACTGCACTCCAGCCTGGAAGACAGAGCAAGACCTTTCTCAAAATGTACAAAAAAAAATAATAATTTAAAAAAAAGAAATGTAAATAAAAGCACCTAGCGTGCACCAGACCTGTAAGTACGATGAATTAGAAAAAATAAAGACAATTCTTTACATATATATAAGCTTCTAAGTAGAACTGAAATATGAGTTGAATCTTATTTGAAAATAGTATCAAAATATTTGGACATTTATGAAACAGCTTAGCTGAAGTGGTCTTATAATTTCATGTTTTAAAATTTAATATTTAGGAATCCTTCCATGTGGCATTTCTTAATATCCTTATTTGAAAGCAAGACTTTATGTGTAAGATATGATTGATAAGCTGTGGGGCTGCCACAAGTTAGTTCTTGTGTAGAATCAGTTTTGTTTGCATTGTGTTTTGTACCATGCTCGTCCCCCAACACTCTGACCCAGGAATGAATTCTTAGTTGGAAGACCTGGATCTATCATTTGGCTAACGGTCTAGTCTTAGACAAATTACTGGCCATTTAGGTGTTTCTTTAGTGTTAAAATGGGACCTAATTAATTTAGCTTTAGAGAATAGAATGAAATCATGCATGGATGCACTTCTGTAAAACACAGTGTCTTCGACTGGGCTGCCACAACAAAATACAGTTGACCCTTGAACAACACGGGTTTGACCTGTGTAGGTCCACTTATCCACGGATTTTCTCCCACCCCTGACACAGCAAGGCCAACCCTTTTCCCACTGTTGGAGATAAGGATGAAAATCTTTATGATGATATACTTCCACTTAATGAATAGATATATTTTTTCTTCTTGATGATTTTGTTAATATTCTCCAGCTTACTTTATTGTAAGAATACAGTATAAATGATACATATACAAAATATGTGTTAACTGATGGTTTATGTTATCAGTGAGACTTCTGGTCAACAGTAGGCAATATTGGTAGTTAAATTTGGGGGGACGTGAAAAGTTATACACAGATTTTTTACTGTGTTTTGGGTGTTGGCTCCCCTAACTCTCCGGTTTTTCAAGGGTCAACTGTACTATAGACTGGGTGGCTTAAACAAAGAAATTTGTTTCTCATGGTGCCGGAGGCTAGGAAGTCCAAGACAAAGGTGCTTCCTATTCGGTTCCTGGTGAGGGCCCTCTTTCTGGCTTGTAAATGGCTGCCTTCTCACTGCAGTCCTCACATGGCCTTTTTTCTGAGCCCTATGGGAGGAGCGAGAACCTGAGCGTTCTGGTGTTTCTTCATCTAGGGACACTAATCCTATAGATCACAGCTCTACCATTGTGACTTCGTGTAGCCTTAATTACTTCCTTATTCCTAGTATGGCAGTACTAGGGGTTTAGGGCTTCAACATAGGAATTTTCGAGGAACACAGTCTATATTCTATTCAGTCTATAACATATAAAAAAGTTGGTAGTGTTCTCTCTTGATGGTTTTATGATTTGGTATTTTGTAAAAGTGAGTTAATAGAGGAATGCATTGTGTTTTACTGCTCTACAGAGCTGAAGGTGTATATGGGTCATTTGTGTCCATGCTTTCTAACTAATATTTATAATTAGCTACAGAAGGGTTTACAACCAAGTTAGCATAGAAATCAGAATATTTCTGTGCTTAAGGTAATTATAAATTTCATTAGCCATTCTAATAGTACATTAAGCCTATACCACTTAGTTGAATATCCTCCCAACTCATTCCAGGTTCAAATATAGTTTGGTTCTATATAGAATATCCATGTAATTCAGTAATAGTTTTTAAAAATCATTTATCGTTGAGTGCATCTTTTTTTTTTTTTTTTTTTTGAGACAGTGTTTCGCTCTGTCACCCAGGCTGGAGTGCAGTGGTATGATCTCGGCTCACTGCAACCTCTGCCTCCAGGTTCAAGTGATTCTCCTGTCTGAGCCTCCCAAGTGGCTAGGATTACAGGCACCTGCCACCCCCACCTGGCTAATTTTTGTATTTTTAGTAGAGACAGGGTTTCACCATGTTGACCAGGCTGGTCTTGAACTCCTGACCTCAAGTGATCCACACACCTTGGCCTCCCAAAATGCTGGGATTACAGGTGTGAGCCACCACGCCCAGCCTTAGTGCACCTTTTTATGCAGTAAAAGAAGAAGCCTTTTAATTAACGTGTTGAGGTTACACAGCTTTTGCAGATGGCTAAACTTCAGTTTTACATAGCAGATTTTGGAACAAAGGTGGAAGTCTTACCTTCAGAGTGTACGTGTCTTCCTTTTTTTTTTTTTTTGTTAATTGTGAATCTCAGTATGAATTTTGAATTCCTTCTGTTTGTGTTTCAAATTATGGTGGAAGGTCTTTCCCTGGTTTCCCAGATTGATCACACTTCTGTTCTTTCTCACAGGCCAGCCCTCCAGATCTCTATATTGAAAGATTTAATATAGCTCTTGGACAATATATGGGAGCATTGCAGAGCATTGTGCCTCTTTTCATATATATGGTAAGTAAGAGCTCCTTCCTCCTTCCCAAATACCTAGGTGTATTGTTGAGAGCACAAATAGATGCAGAGAGTTAAGCATATTCTGTTTTTCTTTTACTACATTTGTGTTAGAAATGGAAATTAAGTTATTTCAGTAATGTGCGATAGTTGTTGACATAGAAGAACTTTAATTATTTCCCCTTTTTCTGCTTTGAAATTCCATAACAATTGCTGAATAGACAAGTAGGCATTAAGATTAGCAGTCACCCACATGAGTACTTATTTTATTTCTGCTATGTGGAAGGCACTGTGTTTGGTTCCAGAAATATAAAGATATGTAAGATTTCTTGTCCTCAGAAAGTAAAATGCCAAGTAAATCATTCCATAAAAATAGAACAGTAAAACATTGCTGCCATTCTGATGATCTGTTTTATTTGGAGAGTTATGCTATGAGTATAATCTGTAGACTGTGACTTTGTTGATCAGCTTCCTCCCTGTTTTAAATATCGAGAGTCATAGAATCTTAATGTTAGTGCTCCTGTTGAATGGAGGAGCCCTTAGAAACCATGATCCCCGTTCTTCTTTATTAGACTAGTGAATGAGATGTTCAGGTTGATCCTACCTTCTGTAGCATGTAGCTTGCTGTATGTGGATAGCAATCTTAAAAATGTTATTTTCCATAAAATGCACTTAACAAAAACAAAACAAAACTACCCCTGTCTTTAATTTAGAAGGCACTTTCCAAAAGACCATGTAGTGCTTCCTGATTTTCATTTACACTTATTTCTTGGTTACTGACAACAATTTTAATAGTACGAGTTTTCTAGTCAATGTAATGCCAAAGAAACTGGTTTTTGCCTTTTACCAAGAAAGAAATGTATAAAAAGCCTTTTCTTTTGGTTTAAGTGCCAAAACTCCTTTATGAATCATGAAACTAAGGAAAAATATTGTTGATGACATTAGGAATAAGTGCATCTAGGATAGCAGAATTAACTTACTGGGAAGAGTGTAAGCCTGGGAGGTAGTAGTTACATTGTATCATTTTGGTGAAATCCTATCATGGGCTATTGATCAGGAGTGTGTTAACTAAATGTCCTGTACTGATAGAGCAAACATTTTATTTCCGTGCGAGCCGACTCCTTATTCTTGCTGTTTAAAGTTTTCAGTAGAGACCAGGTATGGAAGCAGAGCTGAAAGACAGGGCCTATTTGTGGATAAAGGAATTAAGGCTGGGTAAATAGGTTTCTTGACTTGCATGTCTGCCATTTTAATGGCATTTACCAGATAAGCATGTTGGTTAGGTGCGTGAGTAATAAAAACAAAAGTCTAATTTATCATAATTTTGAATCAAAAGGTAAATAGCTAGTTTATTAAAACAAAAATAGTTAAGACAGGAAGGTGATTCACGCTTTTCTGTATTGCCATTGTTGCTTTCTTACACCTTATGGTAGGATCCTGGGGTTTAAGAGGTCTGTGTCAATTAAGAATAAACGAACTTCAAACTTACTCTTTCAGCTAGCAGGATTCAAATAAGGGATCTTAGATTGTAAAGCTTAACTACAGCTTTTCTTATAGATTAAGAGCTTGAATTTGCTTTGTAGTTACTTTTGAGAATTTGTTATGTAAATTGTTTTTATTGTCCAGAAGATAGAAATTCTTTGAACTTTGGTACTGTTTTGTTGGAAAAGTATATTAAAGAAAATAGTTTGAAATGTTAACCTACTAGTGCCATAATAAGCAAAGTTTCTTTTGATATCACAGAAACAAATTTTTTTAAATATTTGTCAAAATTAGTGTCTTTGTTAGAAGTCTGTCTATATGAATATCAAGAAATTGTCATTAAACTAGAAAATAAATTGTAACTAAGGTCTTGCTGAAAGTTACAGAGGTCAAATAAAGACATTTATTTTTGCTTACAATTTTGGAATTTAACATTACTGTACCTGAGACAAAGTTGAAAAGAGGTAGACTAACTTGAGTTTCTAAGTACTTCTGAAGTTTTCATACTATTTCTTTTTAATGGTTTCTAGTTACTTACAAAGAGTAGAAAGGGTACATTAAAATGCTGTGCATTCAGGTCTTAAATGTCAATAGGACAATATACCAGGAGAGAAAAGCACTATAAATGCAGAAAAATTTATTTTGGGAGTTAAACAGTTATATTATTTTTTATTATTGAATATAAACTACAGAGTCTCAAAGAGATGGCTAATTTATTTCAAAGACTTTAAGGTATACTGCCAAATCAACTTTTGCTCTAAATTTTGATTTAAAAATTTCAGTTGTGAAAATAGCTTGAAGTTTTTATTAATTTAAAAAGGGGAAAATACTTAGAAATGAAATGTGGAAGACAGCTAACTTAATCTCTTCTGATAAAATTTATGTAAAAAAAAATAACCAGTAAAACTTATAAAAGATAAATAAGAATGAACTTCAGACTTACTCTGAATTTCAACTATCAGAATTCACGTATGAGGCCCTACTGATGTAGGATTTTTTCTTCTTGGTCACTTTGCAAGCTGGGGACCCCTGGCTGGCAGTGCCCCACCCGGGCCTTGCTCGGCCATGCTGATGTGCCCCAGCTCGCCTGTGTTACAGCTTGTACCCGCATTTGGCAGTTCCCAAGCTCTTATACTGCGCCCAAGAAGAATGAGGATGTGCTGAACATTGGAGGGTGAGGAGGGTGGAGAAGAATTTTATTGAGCAATGAAACAGCTTTCAGTGGAGAGGGGTTGTGGGGGTGCTCCCCCCACCCCCACCTTGTGTCTGAGTCTGAGGCCTTTTATGGACTCAGAATGGGGAGTGCATGCTGATTGGTTTGTGAATATACAAAAAAGGTTAAAGCAAGGACACTACTCAAAGGTGGGCATAACAGTGTAGGAAACCAATTAAGAAAGGGTAGATATATGTAAAATAGGTGAAGGGTGGGGGTCAATCAGAGGGAAGTGTGCCAAACGGGAAGACAAGTTCTCAGTCCTGCCCAAGGATTTGCCTGTAGCTTGGCTTTCAGGCTTTAAACTGTCTTGGGCCTGGAGGTGGGCTTTCACTGGAGAACCACCCCTGTCTGCCTAGGCATTTGACTGCCTTCTGTCTCTATCACCTGATATTAAAATGAATGAGAAGGCTATGGTAATTAATAATGATTGTCATTGGTGGCAGGGATAGACAGATCAAGGGAACAGAGCCCAGAAATAAGCTGAAGTAAATGTAGAAGTTTAGTAGAAAGGTGACATTTCAGATCAGTAAGGAAGGAGTAGATTTTTCCATACCTAATGTTAGGAATTTTTTTTTTTTTTTTCAGTAGCGATGGGATCTTGGTATGTTATCCAGGCTGGTCTGTAACATCCATCCACCTTGGCCTCCCAAAATGCTGGAATTAAAGGCATGAGCCTAAGCACGACCACCTAGCCACTACCTTATTCTTTTTTTTTAAGACGGAGTCTCGCTCTGTCACCCAGGCTGGAAGAAAATATCAGACTATGACAATACAAAATTTGGAAACCTTTGTACAGTAAAATATCATAAGCTAAAAGTAAGTGGGGAAAAAATGCAAAATTGGAAAATATAAGACAAAAGTTTGCTTTCCTTGATAATCAGCTTTCATGAATTGGAAAAAGATAACCCTAAATTTCTGTTGAAAAATGGACAAAGCATATGAACAGACAGTTCATAGAAAAAAAAGATTATAAACATGAAAATATACCCAATATCACAATTTAAGAAATAAAATAACTTTTTTTCCGCTAACTTACTTTAGTTAGTGAAATTGGAAAGGTTTGATCAATATTCAGTTCTGGTGAATCTATAAAGAAACAAGCTTCTCACACTTTTGGTGGAAATGTAAATTGGTAAAGCCTCTTTGGAAGACTATTTCGCATTATTGTTAAGAGTTTAATATGCAAAAATCTGACTCAAGAATTGTATCTCTAGGAATTTATTATACAAATAAACTCATAAATACATACAAATATGTATATAAGAATTATGCAGGTTTTTAAAATAGCAGAACATTGAGGAACATTTGTATTATCAGTAGGGACTATTATTTAAATAATTTATGAAAGACACAGAAAAATATGCAATTAAAAGTAACACAACTCTGTTTTTTTAGAGAAAAATCTTCCAAGATGCAACATTAAATGAAAAAGCAGGGTACAATGCAGTGTTTAATATTTTCACACTAGTATTTTTTTTTTTTAGGGGGAAAAAAGCATATCCATGTATATGCAAGGAACATCCTAGAAAGAATATACAGAAGTTTTCCCAGTGTAGAATGGGACCTTTTGGGAATGGGTCAGAAGGTCTGCATTGAGAGACTTCTCTTTATTGCATACTCTTTTGCATGCTTTCTGTTTTTTAACCATGTGCATCTTATTTTTATATATTTTTTTAAAGAGAGAAACGTGTGTTAAGAATTCAGTGGCTGGGCATAGTGGCTCACATCTGTGATCCCAGCTGCTCAGGTGGCTGAAGTGGGAGGCCAGGTGTTTGAGACCAGCCTGGGCAATTGAAACACTATCTCCAAAAAAAATTTTTTAAATTAAATTAAGAGAGAATCAGTGAGCAACTTAACATTCCTCTATGTATTTTCTACTCTTCTGCATTAACACTTAAATATGAAAAACTTTTTTTGCCAGGCATGGTGGCTCACGCCTGTAATCCCAGCACTTTGGGAGGCAGAGGCTGGCGGATCACCTGAGGTCAGGAGTTTGAGACCAGCCTGACCAATGTGATGAAACCCCATCTCTACTAAAAATACAAAAATTAGCCGGGTGTGGTGGTATACGCCTGTAATCCAAGCTACTCGGGAGGCTGAGACAGGAGAATCATTTGAACCGGGGAAGCAGAGGTTGCAGTGAGTGGAGAGCGTGCCATTGCACTCCAGCCTGGGCAACAAGAACAAAACTCTGTCTCAAAAAAAAAAAAAAGAAAAAAGAAAAACTTTGACTTGCCAGTAATTCTAGTCAGGATTTCAGCTGCAAGAAACAGAAAACATGATTCAAAGTGATTTAAGTAAATAATGAAGAGTATTATCTCTTATAATAAAACTCCAGAAATAAGGCTGTGTCCAGGGTTGGTTGAATCTGTGGTTCAATAGTATTACTAAGGACTTGATTTTTGGTCTCTCTGCTCTCCGTAACATCGGTTTTATCCTGTTCCCTGTCACGGGCGTCTTTGTGAAGAGACCACCAACAGGCTTTTGTGTGAGCAATAAAGCTTTTTAATCACCTGGGTGCAGGTGGGCTGAATCCGAAAAGAATCAGCGAAGGGAGATGAGCTGGGGCAGTTTTATAGGATTTGTGTAGGTAGTGGAAAATTACAGTCAAAGGGGTTGTTCTGTGGTGGGCAGGGGTCACAAGGTGCTCGGCCCAGGAGCTCCGCAGGGAGCTTCTGAGACTCATTGTCCAGGAGAAGGCATTTCACAAGATAATGTCCTCAGTTAAGGCAGAAACCGGCCATTTTCACTTCTTTTGTGATTTTTCAGTTGCGTTAGGCCATCTGGATGTATACATGCAGGCTTGGGCTCAGAGGCCTGACATTCCCCTCATGGTTATAAGATGACTGCAGGAGATTTTTCCCTCACACCACAATTTCTCTAAGTCTGCTTGGGCTGCCTTGAGTGTCTACTTCTGAACCAAAGGTGGTCCCCAGGGAATGCCAGAAGCTGAATGACTTAATCAGTGAAATTGAGTGTGTGCTGGGGAGTCAACGAGTGCATGTCCACAGCCTGCTTTCAACCCAGATCATTGATAAATGGGGTACTTTTCATTAGTGTTTCTCATGTTGTCTTTTGGTGATGTATTTTTAAAGGGTATTCCACACAGTGTGATTCTACAATGTTTGTACATCCCTGTCTAGTTAATGTTGGTATCTCCCAGTGTTCTTTTGAAGATGTATAGTTCAAAACATTTTTTTATGCTTTCCACCCCGTGCCAGAAAGACAAGTAACTAATAGTTGCATGGCTTTTGTTGTTGGATGTTGAGTTTTTCTGCTTTAATTGATGCCTTTATGCATTGTTTTCTAAAATATTTAGTGCTCCAGTTCATTAGACTAATCATTTCCCCAATTAATACACAAAAAAAGATTTTATTTTATTTTTCAGAATAAGTTTTACATCGAAACCAAGCTTAACAGAGACTTAAAAGATGACCTTATAAAGCTGTTTACGGAACATGTTGCAGAAAAGCACATTTACAGCCTAATGCGTAAGTAATTCAGCTTATACGGGTGAGATAACACTAGCAATGATCTTTCCTTTTTCTTTTTTTTTTGGTCTGAGAGCATTGTCACGTAAACCCCAATGTTAACATCTTCTGAACCAGATAGCAGGAAGTGTTGAAGCCCACCTGAGACACTGCAGAATTAAAAATGGGACTTGAAGGTCACCCGGTGAGCTGTGAGCACCTTGACCAGGTCATTGGACAGTGCCCTTGTGTCTGCCCTGAGAACTTGTTGCCCCCTCCCCGCCGCCCCTTTTTCCTGACAGTAGGGAAAGTATTATTAGGAAGTTCACTTCTAACTTTACTACTAGTAACTCTAGAAGGAATACAGTGTTATTTTTTTGAAATGGTAGTACAGAATCCTCTGATTTTTACTCTAGTGCAGAAACTCTTCTCTAGTCTGGTTCTGTCATTTATTCTCTATTTTAGGCAAACGTCTTTGCCTCTTGTGGCCCTGAGTTTTCTCTCCTGTGAATTAGGATTTGTAAAATATTTCATGTGCCTGTGTAGATTATTAAGAACATTAAGCTCAGTTCGTTTCTCCTCTTCCCATTCTTTTTTTTTTTTTTTTTTTGAGACGGAGTCTCGCTCTGTCGCCTAGACTGGAGTGCAGTGGTGTGATCTCGGCTCACTGCAAGCTCTGCCTCTCGGGTTCACGCCATTCTCCTGCCTCAGCCTCCCGAGTAGCTGGGATTACAGGTGCCCGCAACCATGCCTGGTTAATTTTTTCTATTTTTAGTAGAGATGGGGTTTCACCATGTTGGCCAGGATGGTCTCAATCTTTTGACCTCGTGATCCACCCATCTCGGCCTCCCAAAGTGCTGGGATTACAGGCGTGAGCCACTGCACCTGGCCTCTCCTCTTCCCATTCTTGAGTCCTCTTCCCCCTCGCAGTAGGTAGCATCTCATTCTACCTTTCCTGAAAGAATATACTTCTCCAGGTGGAGTTAGGAAGTCCCTGTAACCTAATGTCTCAGTGTCCTCAGCGTCCTTTTAAAGCTCCTATCTTATGTGACACATCAAGTCATTTTTTCGAATGTGGCACATATTTGGGTTGGCAGTATGTATTTTTGCTTTCCTTTGAGCCGTAATTAGCGTTCACCACAATGAACTTTTACCAGAATCTACAAAAGAATTGTTCTAAGCTTGACCATAAACTTTTTTTTTTTCATTTTTGATGCTGAATTAAGTGAAGGAATTATCAAGCATGGGGCAAGTTTAGAAAGGCAGGGTTTTTTTTTCAAAGAATAGTGTAGTTGAAGATAATATACATTTCATTATTATGTTCCCATTTTTTTTTGTAAGGCTGGGAGATGTTTATCAACATCTTTAAACATTGTCTTGGCCGGGCGCAGTGGCTCACGCCTGTAATCCCAGCGCTTTGGGAGGCTGAGGCCGGCGGATCACGAGGTCAGGAGATTGAGATCATCCTGGCTAACACGGTGAAACCCCGTCTCTACTGAAAATACAAAAAAAAATTAGCCGGGCATGGTGGCGGGCGCCTGTAGTCCCAGCTACTTGGGAGGCTGAGGCAGGGGGAATGGCGTGAACCCGGGATGCGGAGCTTGCAGTGAGCCGAGATCGCGTCACTGCACTCCAGCCTGGGCGACAGAGCAAGACTCCTGTCTCAAAAAAAAAAAATTGTCTCATGAGGTATTCCAGGTATTATAACCACTTAAGTATTTCCTGATACTGACATTGTCTTTTTGCTTTCATGACAAGATAGAGCATTTTGAAATCTTGGTAAAATTCTGTAGAGAAATGCTACCATTTGGTAGAAAAAGCCGGTCTAGTTTGTAAATATATTTTTATATTTGCCAGTAATTTGGAAACTAATTTTATTGGACGTATGCAAAGAGAATATTCAAGAGAGAATATAGTAGTCCAGAGCTGGTGAGAGAAAACATAATCATAATCATGTTGTCCGGTTTTCAATAAAAATTACACTTAAAGGTGGATATACCTTTTTATTTCCAAGTAAACAGAAAAGGTCCTTAAGCTTTGGTAAATTGGAAAAAACTGAGTTTATCAGATACTTATTGAGCAGTTGTTAGGCATTGTACTTAGAGAAGTGATAACTGGCCTCATTGGTTTGGGCTTCAGAACAACAAGGGACAATGTTTAACTGTATTATGTGGGTGATCATCAAAAGGTTTTTAAACACACATGCACTGCTTGTATGTGGTAGGACCTATATTTTACAAGTATTTAATTCTCCTAACCCTATAAGATAGGTATAGTCATTACCTCCATTTTATAGATGGAGAAACGGAGACAAAGAGAGGTTAAAGTTTAAACCAGAATAGCACAGCTATTAATGTCGTTTCTACTTACACATTTTTATATTACTTACCCCTTTACTGCAGCAAAAAAATAACTACATTCAATTTCTGTAACTTTCTACAATCTGATCAGTAATTTCCTTCCCGTGGCTTCAGATAGATCTGGAAAACTAGTGTTCCATTTATTATCGGTGTATAACAAATCATCCAAAAATACAGTGGCTTAAAACAACAGTCTTTTATTTTGCTCTGCAGTTTGGGAGGGCTTGGGGTGGGGTAGCTTATCTCTGTTCTGCTCAGCATTGTCTGATGTGGCTCAGCTGGGGGCTGGCACTTTCAGTGTGACTCATTCACGTGGCTGGTAGGTTGGTGCTAGCTTTTGGTTCCTCTGTGTTTCCTTCATGAGTGAGTATCTCAAGATACAGGAAATGGAAATTGCTGGTATCTTAGGTCCTCGGCTCAGAAACTGGCACAGTGCCACTTTTGCTGTATTCTGCTGGGCGAGGGTCACAGAGCCCAAATTCCAGGAGAGGAATGTATCCCACCTCTTGATAAAAGGCATGTCGGCTGGGCGCGATGGCTCACACCTGTAATCCCAGCACTTTGGGAGGCCGAGGCAGGCGGATCACTTGAGGTCAGGAGATCGAGACCAGCCTGGTCAACATGGTGAAACCCTGTCTCTACTAAAAATACAAAAATTAGCCGGGTGTGGTGGCACGTGCCTGTAATCCCAGCTACTTGGGAGGCTGAGGCAGGAGAATCACTTGAACCCAGGAGTCAGAGGTTGCAGTGAGCCAAGATCGCCACTGCACTCCAGCCTGGCTACAGAGTGAGACTCCGTCTCAAAAAAAAAAAAAAAAGCAAAAGAGGTTTGTCAGAAGAATTTGGGAGCCACGTCTTAAAAACAACACAAAAATGTAAAATGAATACTGTCTGTTAATAAAGAATCAGTTCTTGATTGCCCCATATTATTCATTATTAGTATGTTTCATGAATGAAGACAATGACTTCTTACTGGGAATAAAACTAGTTTTCTATCGGCTCCATGGTATAATCATTTTTATGCATATTTGCTTATAAAATAAAGTGGCTTCTATTTTTGGCTGAAAGTAAACTACTAGG
Organism: Homo sapiens; assembly: GCF_000001405.40. NCBI lineage: Eukaryota > Metazoa > Chordata > Mammalia > Primates > Hominidae > Homo > Homo sapiens. Next base: position 118,697,886 of record NC_000010.11, on the reverse strand, counting down.
CTCTATTGTTAAAGTATTTACGTCGTATGTTGGTGATTCTGAGCAAATGTAACAAATGTGTAGCATGGGGTTAATTAATGATAGAAAATTTCCTGGGAAAATATAGTGTGTTGACTTTTGCAGCAGCAGATTTATAGTTCAGTTTGCACAGTGTTCTAAATAGTTACGTTTTAGTTAATTTTCTTAGGCAGTTCTGCCTTTTAGATCAAACCATTGTAGTTTGAAATTTTTTGAAGCCAAGAGTATTTTCAGTTTTATGAATTGCTTTTCACATTAATAAAGGAGAGAGTCTCCTGAGCAAGTGTGTAGCACTGAGGAATACTTGAAAGAGCAGAGGAGCTTGGTTCTGGTCCCAATTCAGGTATCAAAAGGTGTGTGACTTTCAGCAAGACACTTAACCTGTCTAGATTTTAGGATTAGAAGTTATCTATTCTAGTGTTTAAACTATACGGCTTATTGATATCTGTGGGATGATTGTTGCGTATAAGCAAGCATTTCAGTGTTGGTATGGTGAAGTAGAGTACAGAATTTAGAGTGAAACACAAGTTCTCAAACTTCTTCTGCCTCTAGCTAGCTCTGTGACTTCAGATGAATTATTCAGTGATGAGTTTTTATTTTGGCCTCAGTTTCCTCACTTGTTAAAAATAAAAAGGTAGATGATAAAGCTTGTGAGAATTAAATATATGTAAAGTACGTAGCACTTACTAAATGCTCAGTACTCTTTTCTCTCTCAAGTTACCACCCCCAAACTCCCATTTCTTTTTCCTTAAAAGGGGAGATTAACTAGAAAATCTTTTAAGTTTTAAACACTGTTTTCCTAAAATCATTTTAAATTTATTTCAAATTAATTTCTGTACATTTTATGTATATATCTTTGTATTATATTTATCATTTCTTTATCAAATTTGACATAGGGGATTTCAGTTATGGTAGGAGTTGTTTGCAAATGTATATACTTGACCACATAATGAATATGTGGTTGAATACGAAGAGTTAGTGGGAGCAAGGCTAATTGGAGGCCAAAATGGTGAAAAGGTTAGGAAGATGGATTAATAGAGAGAACTTTGAAAACCTAACACTTAGAATTTAAATTTTTAAACACTGCATTTTAAAGCAACATGATTTTCTGAAATGCTTAGCATTTGTCTATGCCAAGCTTGTTCAACCCATGGCCTGCGGGCCGCATGCGGCCTAGTATGGCTTTGAATGCTGCCCAACACAAATTCGTAAACTTTTTTTTTTATTAGATAGTGTCTCGCTGTGTTACCCAAGCTGGAGTGCAGTAGCGGGATCTTGGCTCACTGCAGCCTCCGCCTCCCAGGTTCAAGCAATTCTCTGCCTCAGCCTCCTGAGTAGCTGGGATTACAGGCGCCTGCCGCCACGCCTAGCCAATTTTTTTGTATTTTTAGTAGAGACGGGGGTTTCACCAAGTTGGCCAGGTTGGTCTTGAACTCCTGACCTTGTGTTCCACCTGCCTCAGCCTCCCAAAGTGTTGGGATTACAGGCGTGAGCCACTGTGCCAGCCTGTAAATTTTCTTAAAACGAGTTTTTTTGCAATTTTTTTTTAAGCTCATCAGCTGTCGTTAGTGTATTTTATGTGTGGCCCAAGACAGTTCTTCTTCTAGTGTGGGCCAGGGGAGCCAAAAGACTGGACACCCCTGGTGGTCTGTGCCATTCAAAATTGTAACTATCTACTGATGATAAAATTGGAAGGATAGACTTGAACAGTGAGTGCATCTCTGATGGCCATCATATATATTCAAACATAACTCAAATTGTACGTTTGAGACTGTAAAATCCTTATTGGCCTAGTAAGATGGCATTTCTCTTTTTAGAAAGGCATGAACAGAACAAAATCAGTTTATATGTGATGTTACAAGCCTGGCTGAGGGTAAAATCCTACTAAGTTTTTTGTTGTTATTAGCAAATGCAGCTCTTTGAGATAAATTAAAAATGAATCATTTTAGGTCAGTAGTATCTGTTGTGTTCACTTATCAATGGAATTCACTTGTATTTGTTAGTGATCTTATCTAGAGGAATTATTCTTACTCGTTAAAAACTTCTTAAAAATGTTTGTGTGGCAGTAGATAACCTAAAAGAAAACTGTCTCTGTTGTCATGTTCAGAGTCAGGGTCACCAAAGACATGAAAATGAGAAAGATGAGCCATTATCATCCCTTGCCCTTAGCTCTTGTAAGAAAATAGTAGATGTAGCTATAGCATTTGTGGAAATGAATTTCTGTCTCTGATCACAGTTACCAAATAATTACTAATGGTGTTTTGGGGGAAGGAGAAATGATTGAGGGAGATTATCATATGATACTTTATTCTCCAAATGTAATGGAAGCACTTTCAACTCACTTATAATGTATCATTCATGATACATTATACTAGTGCTTTTAGAAAGCTTTACTTACTTTTCAGAACCTTCATGAATTGATTCATTTCCATTAGTGGCCAGCAGACCTTCACGTATTTTAGCTACTGCAGTGGATTAAAAAAATAAAATCCTTAGTATATAAACATTTGATTGGTTTATTGGACTGTTCCTTTCTTACAATTGTTTATGTTTCAGGAGTCTTTGGGAGAAACAGTAATAGAGAAATCTTGACAGTCAATATGTGTTACATTCTTTTTAACCTGTTTTCTTATTTCAGCTTTACTTTTAGAAGCCCAGTCAACACCATTTCAGGTCACACCTTCAACTATGGCAAATATTGTGAAAGGCCTGTATACCCTCAGACCAGGTAAACATTTCTCATTTCTGTTGGGATTGGAACTGTTTGTTACAGCCTTTTCCAAGAGGGCAGTGGTTCTGTATGTGTTTTGTGAGGCTTAATGGTACTTGGATTTGCTGGAGCAAAAAAATTGAGTAGATACTCATCATTGTGAAATGTAAACTCAGAGCTCAGTTGGAATGTTCTCTGCTAGTGGAAACCAACTAGTGTGGTTTTTGCAGAACCTGTGAGGGAAATACAAGAAATAAATTGTAGGATACACTTTGGATAAAATTGAATCTCATGTTTGGTCTTAGTTTCTTCTTTACTTCCTGCCTCACGCTGCACATACTTACAGACATCCACATTCACAACCCCGTCTTCTTAGGCCTGTTAAGTAACTTGCGAAGAATCTAGAAGTGTTGGTAAAGTTACAGTCATTTTGTAAGGATGTTCTGGGGAGAGAGACAATCACAAGAACCAAAGCAAATACCAAAGATCACTATAGTCAAAAGCATGGTTTTTAAATTCTTAATGTGTCTCTCTATCTTAGAATAAAACATTATAAATTTAAAGGAATCCCAAGGAGCTTTTGTATATATCTTTCTATAAGCCGGAACCTCAAACTTGTCATAGAGTTGTCTAGCAACTTATAAATGTCCATGGGAGAGAGATTACAAAAGTTATCAGGATAGAACGTTGTTCTACAATCTATAAATACAAGGAATGCTTTTTAGATAGTAATTACCTTTTTGTGAAATTCTTTTGTTGTTTGAGGATTAAATGAAATAAAACATGATATAAAGAGCTTAACGCACAGTACCTGATAACATAATAAGCATGCAAACATTCACTGCTGTTATTACTATCCATTTGAGTTTAATGGTTATTTTAATTAATTGATGGCTTGTTTGCTTAATTAAACGACCTGTCAGAATTTAGCAAGCTAAAATGGAAACCAAGTGAAAACTGGTACTGGTAGACTGATTTTAGAAATACCTTCTTAGGCTGGGTGTGGTGGCTCACACCTGTGATCCCCAGCACTTTGGGAGGCCGAGGCGGGCAGATCACGAGGTCAGGAGATCCAGACCATCCTGGCTAACACGGTGAAACCTCGTCTCTACTAAAAATAGAAAAAATTAGCCTGGTATGGTGGCGGGCGCCTGTAGTCCCAGCTACTTCCTGAGCTGATTGTACCACTGCACTCCAGCCTGGGCGATAGAGTGAGACTCCATCAAAACAAAACAAAACCCTTAGGCTACTTTAAATGATTAATGACATCTAGAGTATTCAAATTTATTGTTAAATTTGGATCTAGGGTTTGAGCTTTACTTTCTGTGACTTTTAACAGAAATTACTTGTATAAAGTAGTAAAGATTTTATTGCATATGTCCAATAAACTGATACTTTTCTGTATTTAGTTTCTCAGAATTTTACAGCAGTGTGATGAAGATGGCTCCTGAAATAGTGTGTGTACCAGGTTATGAATGATTTTTTTTCCTTTGAAAGCATCTAAGTGCAGTATGACAAATTCTGCCTCCCAAGTAGGCAGCTTATAAGCACTGGCTTTTATCATACGTAACAAAATTGCAAAATAAAGTTTATCACTAAAGGTAGAAAAGTATTGTGGGTACATGTTTATCTAAATGCTATTTTATCCAGGTTCAAGCTCTTGTAATAGGATTTATACTACTTGTAAGGAGAATTCTATATTTGAGAATTGTCCTTTTGAAAAGGTGAATTTTATCACATACTAACCTTTTGCTGCCCTGCACATTTTCTGAGATACTTGAAAACATATTTTGACATTTACATGTTTTGCCAGTACCCATTATGTTCCTGCTTTATTAAAGCCATTTTATTCACCTGACAGATTAAGATTAGAATATTTTAAAAGTTGAATTTTGAAAGCAAAAGTTTGTTCTACTGCAGTAGTTCGCAAGTGCTGGTCTTTGTATGACTGCATCTGAGTCACTTAAGAAGGCTTTTTAAACTCTAGATTCCTGGGCTGTAATCCTTGGAGATTCTCATGACTTACCATTTTTGGCATCCATTCTTTAGAAATAGTTCCAGCAATCCTATTCTGCCCGTTTTCATTTAATACACACACTTTGTTTCTTCATCTTTATTTTGTGGCAGATGGGTTTGACTTTGCCAGCTGTGACTGATTAGTGGTTCTCTGTAGCACTGTATTGAGACTCTTAGTGAAGCCATATTTGAGCTGGACTGGAAGGAGGGAAGCATTTTGCCACGAGTTTCTCCCAAGGCGTGACTGAATGGATTGGTCCTTGTATCATTTGCAGTGCTTATTTGCCAGCTTTAATTAGCTATTCTCCTGTTAGACGTTTTATTAACTTCTACTTTTTTACTTACCACAGAGCAAATGTTCCACAGCATCAAGCGTGGCTTTTTCTGATTTATAATCATTTACTCAGATTATCGTTTTTAAAGTGATTCAAGAGCATTAATATTTTTATAGTTTTTGACATGTGTAGCCAAAATGTTTTCCAAGAGGAAAAATGTAAAAGGGCTAGATTAAAACAATTCAAAATGAGTAATAGTGTTAATTGAGGACCACCACCAAGGAAGGGAAATACTGGTTTCCCCATGCCCTTGATACAGGTGGGTGTTAATTCTCTTTAATGTTCACTGAATAAAAAGGAGAGAGTATATTTATTTTAGCTTGAATTTTTTTAAATATTAACAGGGCTATTCTGTTTCTATTATTATAGGTTCTTTCACTCATTTATCTGGTCTTACTGATCTGTACATATTCGTTATAATAAAGATACTAATTCATCTTTGTCATATCTGGTGCAAGTGTTTTCTTGTGACTTCTTTGCCTTATTTTCTATAGTCTCCTGAGCTTTTAAAAAATGATTTGATAACCACTTTTTTTTTTACTGTTGTTTATATATATTTGCTGTAATTGAACATGGCTCAAAAAATATTTTCAAAGTACTAACCAGTTACCTCCAGCCCACTTATTAAACGTTCAGTCCCTCCTACCTTTTGTGCTGCCTCTTTTTTTAAATATGTCTACTTATTATTTGTACTGTTCTATTCTTGGGCTATATATTGTTTTAATTAATGGCTAATAAGGCTGATATTTACACCAAGTCCCCTCCCACTCAGAATTGTTTGGTAATCACATTCATGTTTTCCTCCATACTTATAATTTTCTGTAAGATTTGTTCAAAAATTCCCTAGGGGTTTTCACTAAATTCTGTTAAATCAGTAAAGTAAAAATGGCTTTCTTCATACTATAAAATTCTTTTTCTTTTTTTTTTTTTTTTTTTTTTTTGAGACGGAGTCTCGCTCTGTCGCCCAGGCTGGAGTGCAGTGGTGCGATCTCGGCTCACTGCAAGCTCCGCCTCCCAGGTTCACGCCATTCTCCTGCCTCAGCCTCCTGAGTAGCTGGGACTACAGGTGCCCGCCACCGTGTCTGGCTAATTTTTTGTATTTTTAGTAGAGATGGGGTTTCACCATGTTAGCCAGGATGGTCTCGATCTCCTGACCTCGTGATCCACCTGCCTCGGCCTCCCAAAGTGCTAGGATTACAGGTGTGAGCCGCCGCACCCGGCCTGTAAAATTCTTTTTAGAAGGGAAATTTAACTTTGTATGTTCTTTACCAGAATGGGATTGCACTAATTTTTTCCCCTGCTTAAATTTGGCTTACTATATATTTTAAAAGAAAACTTTCCCTTTTCCATTTAATTTGGTGTGTTTATATGATTTCCTTAATGAATTGTTTCCTTTCCTCACAGAGTGGGTTCAGATGGCTCCAACTCTATTTTCTAAATTTATTCCAAACATTCTCCCTCCGGCGGTGGAATCTGAACTTTCTGAATATGCTGCTCAAGATCAGAAATTTCAAAGAGAACTTATACAGAATGGTTTTACAAGGCAAGTTGTTTTTTTTTCCTTTAGTGGTCAAATATGTCCATTTCCCTAGGCCAGTCTGGCTTGACATGGGAGAAATGGTAAGGTTCTGAGAATGGGAGGTAACTGGCCAAGAGTCTTGCTGCTGCAAGAAGACATTAGCTCCTTGTCTGTAGAAATGTTGAAGCTAGGTTTTGATTTTGTGGAAGCTGCTCTTCATTACGTACGTTTTGTTTTTGAGATGGAGTCTTGCTCCGTTTTCTAGGCTGGAATGCAGTGGCACAATCTCGGCTTACCACAACCTCCACCTCCTGGGTTCAAGCAGTTCTCCTGCCTTAGCCTCCCAAGTAGCTGGGATTACAGGCGTGTGCCACCACCACACCTGGCTAATTGTTTTGTATTTTTAGTAGAGATGGGGTTTCACCATGTTGGCCAGGCTGGTTTCAAACTCCTGACCTCAAGTGATCCGCCTGCCTAGGCCTCCCAAAGTGCTGGGATCATAGGCATGAGCCACCATGCCCGGCCCATACATTTTGAAGAAGGGATTTCCCACTGGGTGAGCAGTTAGGTGGGCAAGCTCCAGGAGCTCTTTCAACTTTGATTTTCTTGTATTAGTCCTGTGCATATAGAACTTTTATGATCTGTTATAATGTACTTTTATGACTAACCTAGCATAGAGGCTTTAAATTCTGTATTTCATACTTCCCCTTTTGCCCTAAATTCTAGTGGTTTCTTCTTAAGTAGGGCATCTCTTTATTTACCTTTCTTGGTTTTGATAATTTTTCTAAAGTTTTTGCGCTTAATTAACGTGGTCATATCCCAAAAAATCTTGCAGAGTGCATTTTTCAACTAAAATACATTTTAATACAATTTTTGTGATTCCCCATGAGAAAATAGCCTGTATCAGCAAATCATTTAAGGTCACAGTAATAGCTTCCATTTTTATAATCCTTACTCTTTTTTTTTTTTTTTTTTTTTTTTGAGACGGAGTCTCGCTCTGTCGCCCAGGCCGGACTGCGGACTGCAGTGGCGCAATCTCGGCTCACTGCAAGCTCCGCTTCCCGGGTTCACGCCATTCTCCTGCCTCAGCCTCCCGAGTAGCTGGGACTACAGGCGCCCGCCACCGCGCCCGGCTAATTTTTTGTATTTTTAGTAGAGACGGGGTTTCACCTTGTTAGCCAGGATGGTCTCGATCTCCTGACCTCAAGTGATACACTTGGCCTCCCAAAGTGCTGGGATTACAGGTGTAAGCCACTGCACCCGGCCCAGTATTCTTAAATAAATGCAAAATAATCTGAGTATGATGTTATAGGTTTTTTTCTAGGCTTACCATAATTCTGAAGTCTTTATACTTTCATACATTCATGTTTTATTTGAACATTTGCTCTTAATTTAGGATGAGTTTATACCTTTAAAAAGACAGCCTTCTGAAAACTTTTTTGTGAAGCAGTATAGGAATATAGCTCTTGTGAATTTTGAGCATATTGAGTTTGCCTTCCAGAGCAATGCATGGAATTGCTTAAACGTGCCCATTTTTCTAATCCTAATTTTGGTACTGGAATAAGAGAACAGGGTGCAGGACTGCTTGGTTTATAGTAGCTCTTATGTCAGATTTGCTTGGGATGAGATGAGTAACTGCCTCTGTAAATAACCTCAGGTTGCATTGTGTCTGCACATGAAGGACAAACATGGCACTATTCAGCCACTGGCCAGTTTGGTTATATTCAGGGAAATGTCTTGAATTTTTGGTATAAATAGGAATTTTTGTCTCTAAGTGGAATTATTTTATAAAACTTCTGGCTGGATTTAAATACTAGGCAGTATTCCAAGGGATGATAAAATGTTTTTACAAACTTAATTAGACCATTTTTGTAATTAAACTTTATTATACATGTGCTATGAGGATTAAACTTTGCCTCATAAAAGTATTCTGACAGGTGCTTTGCACAGAGTAAGTCCGCCAAAGTGGACGTTCTCATATGTAATTCTGAGCTTACTCATACTGGCCAGGAAGGACGTGCACATGCCACCTTTGGCAGCTGTGATGGGGAGCCTGCCTCTGCTCTTGTGCATGGACCTTCCACATTCTGTCCTGTCCAACTTAATGCCTTAATTAGGAATAATATTTTAGAAGAAGTGGTGTCTACTGATGCCCCCAGAAAAGGAGAATATAGTACAGCCTGTCTTAAGAATTCTGTTTCTGCCTCTTCTTATCTGAGCAGTCATTTTATGGTTTATGCCTAACCAACCACGTGATTCCTGTTCATTGTTATGGGCACTTTTTCATGTAAGATGAACTTAAGTGATGTAGTGATCCTGAGTAGGCAACAAACAGCTTTAATGTGGATGGCACAGAGTAAGTCTTTGAATTGTTTTAAAATAAAGTGACTGTTGTCAAATACATCCTTTTTTGCAGTTAGTGGATTCTCATTTGAGCTGGAATTTTTGTGAATTGTAATTGTTAGGTGCATGGAAATATAGGGTAGGCTGGAATTAACACATAAGCTAAAAGCAACAGCTTCTTTTTATCTCTTACCTACATAATTGAATTGATTGGCGAGGGGTGGAAGTTTGGTATCTGTTGTCAACGGTAACACTACAGAAGATAACTACTAGATCTAAGTAACCAAGGTAAGAACATAGGTCTTTTAGCTGAGCAGGTGACGCCGAAATTTGGGCTTTTTTATTTTGTAGTAAGGGTTTTGAGAGAGCGTTCCGGACTTAATCTCTTCAGCAGCCTCTTGCATAAATCACATTGATACTCCTTTTCCTGCCTCCAGTTGTTTTCACGTCTGTATTTTTCTCCTGTTATATTTACATGTTCAGTTTTTATTTAACCTTTGAGGAATGGAAATGAAGGTTGTGTCTATAAGTCGAGGTTCCAGATATAAAATTCTGTCTTCCTTTTTGATCATTAACTTGTTTGTTTCAGAATATTTGGTGAATGCAACTGTGATGATACTAGTGTGAATAACAACGGAAGACACTCACTTGGCTTTGGCTAGGTGTAGTGTTGACTACAGAGGTGTTTAAAAAGTGGCCTGAGGGCCGGCCTGTTAGAGCTCTTTTGGCTGTGGAAGCTAATTTGTGCTGAATGTGGTGCCTACAGAAAAACCCTTCAGAGGTCATACAGTGTGTACTCTTTCTGCCGGTCAGTTGAGGCTCCTTACCTAGCTTAGCAAGAGGTTTCTGCCCTGGTCCTCAACATAACCAGAGAAAGTAAATGGGAAACTTTATCTGGAAAATTATTCAAAAGCAGGAAATAAATCACCTTGGTTAGCATTTTAATAATTTATCCATGAGACTATTTACAAGTTACTACTTTGTCAATTCAACAAATATTTATTGTCTATACTCTTCTAGGCAGTGGGGTGAACAACACAGGCCAAGTTCCTGTTTTCATGGAACTTATGTTCTGATGTTGGGAGGCAAATAACAAACAACAAACATGTAAAAAAAAAATAATATTGAGTAGTAAGTCCTATGAGTGGACAGTAAGTAGTAAAGTGCTGACATGCAAGGGACAGCCAGTGAGCCAGGATGGCTGACTTATAGTGAACAGAGGCAGAGAGTGGAGGAAAGTGAGGTGGGAGAGTAGGCTGGAGAATGGGTTGGAATTAATTTTTAACTGTAGTGGGAAACCACTGAAGGGCTTTCATGAGAGGCATGAACTAATCTGTCTTCTACATGAGATCACTCTGGCTCTCATCTGGGTTGATAAATAAGGCTCATGTACTTGTGTAGGGAAGAGAAGACTGTGGCTTGGCTTGGGATCATAGCAGTGGAGTTGATGAGGAGTGATTGGTTTTGGGACAGAATGCCCCAGAATGAGGAAAAGAGAGGATGACCAAGGATTTTGGGTTGAGTGATCAAGCTGGAAGATTGAAGAAGGAATGGGGATGGATTGGAGTCAGCATTGTATTCTGGTCATGGTAAACTTGCCAGTGTATATAAATCATCCAAATGGACATGGTGATGAGGAGTTGGACCTGTAGATCTGAAGCGTAGAGAGGAAGGCAGAGTTGGAGATGTAGATATGGGAGCCTCTGGCCTGTGGAGAGAGTGTATGATCACCATCCTGGACTACACGTGGAGAAGAAAAGATGACCAGCGACAGAGGGCTGGGTAGAGCCAGCAAAGGAGACCTCAAAAGGATGGCAGACAGGGTGAGGTAAGGTCAGGAATGTGTGCTGTGGCATTACTGAAACCTAAAGAGAAAAAAATCGTGTTTCAGGAAGAAATCAACTTATAAATGCTGAGGAAGAAAGGCTAGTAGTGATTATTATTTCTCATTACCTAAGCATTTGAGTCATTTCTGTTATTGTCTGAGAAGCTGGAGACACAAAAATAGGATTTGTAGGTAGCTTAGGGCCTAGTCAGAACCTCTATTTTCTTAACTCTAAAGTGGAATTAGAACTTTCATAGGTGTTTGAGGATGAACTGGTTAATACAGGTAAAGGCTCATGTTCTTCCATCTGCAGAAAGCATAGTGAGGTACATCAGGATTCTAAGATGTTTAATATGTATTTTTAAATAGGTTTGGTTAGAACTGAAATGTCTGCTATACTTTTATTATCAAATATGTTGATCCTTTCCTCCTGTTTTGATGTGAAGTCAGTTTTGTTGACTGCCTCTTCTTATCCCCAGGGGTGACCAGTCCCGGAAGAGAGCTGGGGATGAGTTGGCTTATAGTAAGTAATGATGTTCCTTCCCATCTTGATGGTTCTGTGATGTAAAGCAGCCATATTAATGCACTGTGATAACAGTGCATTGAATTTGATGATACCCATGTTGTTCTCATAAGGCACTGCTTGTAATCAAGGTCAGGATGCTTTGCATGCTGTGGCAGCTCCAGCTGGTAGCGATGGTTCTCAGGGCATTGGAAAGAGGCCACCAGGTTCTTTAGTTTCTACTGGGATGACATCGTAGCCCAGTCCCAGTTCCTTAGGTTCTCAGTCCCCTTTTACTTCCCTCCACCCCACATGGTTTTGAGGATTTTTTTTAAGCCTTTTTTGGGGAGTTGGGAGAGGAGTGAGAAATGTGTGTTGAATAAACAGATTCCTGCTGTTATCAAATGCTGTCTGCTCTTCATACTTTTTCCTATTCTGATGTTTTTTCAGATAGCTCGTCAGCATGTGCAAGTTCCAGGGGGTACAGATAGTGAATGTATTGAATATGCTTTCCTTCCTGAAAAGAGGACACACTGGAGCTGCAGAGACTGTATTCAGAGCACAGTGGGGGCTGCACACACTCAGGAGCTCTGTCACAAAGCTGTTCATGGAAGAGGATGTTGGACTTCTTACTTGGTTTGTAATTTTAAAACAAAAACTAAAAAAAAAAAAAACGTTGCTGCTAGACTTGGGGGTGATTTTGAAATGGGACAATCTTTTAATGAGTTTATCTACAGATTCTGTGAGGAAAAAGCATCTCAGAAAGTGACCATTTCTAAGTGAAATCTGACAGCCAAAATCAGCAGCTTCCTCCAAAAATATAAGAGCAGAAGAATTTTTTTTTTAAGCACTTGTTTTGTTCATTTGTGGACTTGGCATTTTGGTGTATTGGTTTCACATGTCAGGATCTCTTTTGCTTTAAAACCAAGCAGATCATTACAGTACAGTATTTTTCACCCACAACCAAAACAACCCCTTTTAAAAGAGTTGGTCTTTGTTTAGCATTAGAAAGTCTTGTTAAAGGAAAATGCTAACTCTGCTTTTGCTAGAACTTTCCCCCATCAGTTCACAACTTTCTTCTACTCTGTGCCTTGAGCTTTGTGCACTTTGCAACTGTGTGACCATGTTGTCAAACTCCTCCTGGAGAAGTGTATGGTATCTAAACTCACCCACCAAGATGGCAGGTGTGGCCCTGTAGCAGGATGCTAATTAAGTGGGAAAATAGAAACCTTTTGCACATGGGTCGGATTTTCCCCTGGTTCACCAGAGCATATTCATATTAATGTTGGGGACCAACTCTCCTAGAGCATTTCCATTCCCTGTGCCACTTAACACGATGTCTGTCACCAGCTGCTATAGTATTGGCAGTACTCTAGTTTAGGGATGGGCGGTACTTTAGCACGGAAGCTTCCCTTAGTATTATTGAGAGCTACTTCCTGCGATGCTCTAGGAAGCAGATACAGTTATTAAGTCCAAATACACAGTGGTGTGGGGTTCCTGATCACTTCATTTTAAATGAATGAGATAATTACTTAAAAAAAGTCTGTCATTTGAACATTATATTTGAGTGTGATAGGGAAGAAGTAGCACTGCTGTCCTAAGGCTCCCTTCCAGCTGTGGCAAAGCTATATTTCTGTTTCTCCACATCCACAGTGCTTTTTAGTCCATCATAAAAGTTTCTGAAGCTTATTCTAGCTGTTGTTGAAAGCCCAAGAAAAATAGATGTGGCAAGAGAAAAATACTTTTCTTCTCAATTTTGCTTGAATCTTAATTGAGCATAGGCTTCTCTACTAGGCAACATCAGACTAATAGTATTTACCTCTTCAGAGAACTTGAGGGGAAAAGAAACATCCCAGGGATGCTGTCGCATGTCTGCTCTGCAGGTTCTTCATACAGCTGCCTCTGCCAATTCAGTTTATTTTTTGGGGGGAGTGGTGTGGGTGGGAGAGTTAGAAGTGGGATATTGGGAGCAAGTAAGTCACCCAATAATTGAAGTCCTTGATTTGTAAAACTGTTATACAGAGAAGTAAAGATAAAGGTTGTCAGATTTATTTTTTAAAGTACTTAACCAGAGTTCGTGGATTTTGTGGACTTTAATTGGACTCAATTCACTCTGTGAGCATCCTGGATTGCATCGATGAACACTGAATTACTGTAAGAACATAGACAGGCTCTCACTATGACCTGGACAGTTTAAGTTGCTACACTGGTAACATTCTAGTATCAAGGAGAATTCCATTCATCATGACATTCACATTTTACTTTTCTCAATGGAATGCTTGCTTCAGGCTTACCAATCACACCTAGAACTGAAGTCTGAGTGAGTGGTATTAATAATTTTTCTGAAAGGAATAAAATTGGAATGTTTCTAAATGTGGAGAAATTCTTCAGTATCCTAATAATATACCCAAATGCTTTTTCTGGGAGAGAGCATTCTTTTACAAAAGAACTTTCCCTATAAAAGCATCACAGTATAATGTGAATTGGCATTAAAATCTTTGGATGCTTTTGCATTATTAAGTTCATGGAGAAATATATTCTTTTTACTATGTATGTATTAATAAAAAGTGGGCAAAGTAAAGTTTGCAAAATTTAGTTTCTCTAAATTTTTGCACAGTGACTGCAGCTGGCTATGGGTCAGCTCTTAATACAACAAAACCTTGACTGGAAGTCACTATAGAAAGGTTGTACATAGTCTCCCAGTCTACATGTCCTGGCTGTTAATCATCTTGGCCCCTTGAGGCACATCACAGTTTGAAGGACCTGTTTAAGTTGAAATAGACTTTGCTTATTTATTGGGATTCTAAAAAATTCTGAGTGAGTTTGCAGTATGAGAGGAAATAAGATTTCCTCCTCCTTCCTCTCATTTTATATTGACTGTTTGCCAGAAACTGTTTTCTTCTGTTTTCTTATATTTTGTTTTTGAGATGGAGTCTCACTCTCTCACCCAGGCTGGAGTGCAGTGGTGCAATCTCAGCTCACTGCAACCTCTGCCTCCTGGGTTCAAGTGATTCTCCTGCCTCGGCCTCCTGAGTAGCTGGAATTACAGGCACGTGCCACTACGCCCGGCTACTTTTTGTATTTTGTTTTTAGTAGAGACGGGGTTTCACCATGTTGGTCAGGCTGGTCTTGAACTCCTGACCTCAAGTGATCCACCCACCTCGGCCTCCCAAAGTGCTGGGATTATAGGTGTGAGCCACTGCACCTGGCCTTTTTTTTTTTTTTTTTTGTATTCTTGCCAGTACAGTATATGGTTTTTCTACCCCAATTACATACTGGGTTTTGTACCACATCACTAAAGGCCCAAATCATTGAAGATACAAAACCGTACATGCAGGCTGGTTGTCTGGTTAGTCAATGGCTGATTTGCTTCAACTGTCTAGTATGTATGTGCAGCCTGAAACTGGCTCCTTAAAAGGAAAGCCGGGTCAGTCATCTTGAAAAAATGACATGTAAAAGTAAATCGATAATTGTTTTGAGAGACGGTACATGTTTTAAAGGTTGGCCTTAAGCTTCAGTAACATTGTCATTTTGTGACCTTTTGTTGTCACACCTGTACCCTAACCTGACAGGAATTAACTACTGTTTTTTTGTGGGGCAGAAAGCAAAACCTGGTGTTGTGACTTTTATCCTAATGGTTCTTAGGCAAGGTTAGTGAGAAGAAACACAAACCCAGATGCATGCATTGTGCATTATTTTGTAGACAAGCTACTTTTTCTTCTGTCCCTTTAACAAATTTGCAGCAATTACCCTCCCTTTGGGGTCTAGAGTGAAAGCTAATTTGTGGGTAGATGAGATTGCAGAAGAATGGATGTCCATGGCTGTGAACACTGCACACTGCACATCCATCTCCAGTGCTCACACTGTGCAGCTACCACTCCCTGGCTGCGTGCCATGCTGTCGGGTTGCAGATTTGCACACATAAATTCCTCAGGAAGAGTTTGCATGAGCATCACCTCGCAATATTCTGTACTGACCAAACAAGGGATTTGAACGTTTTTCAGCACAAAAGGATAACTTCCGAGTGGTGGTCTGTACGCATACTAGCAAAGGTAATGGTGATCTAGCAAACAAAATTGGTTTCTGCAGTTAGAAGTGAGCAGGAGCACTTGTATTATAGTATTTAAATAATCCTGGTTAATCTCTTTTTAAGCCGAGTAACCCCTCCAGATTTTGCCTTTTTATTATTGAGGCTGGCTTTATTTTCTTCTACTTTTTTTCCCGTTTTATAGCAGTTAATTATTTTTGTGATTATTATGCAAGAAGCATTGCCCTTGAGTTAAACTGTTATTGTTTCATAAGCAGCTATTAAAATAACTGAGCATTGTTTTATGAACATACACTAATCTGAGATACTGAAAAGCTTTGCAACTAAAAAGCAAAACAACCTACATTAGTCATCTAGCCATTGTTTGGATGTTTTGAGTTGATTTTTTATGGTGCCTCTTTTAGCTTGGAATATTACGTTTACTTTAATCCAAGTCTAGGCCTTTTAAAGGGTCCTTAAAATTAAAGTTCAGAATGTGAATCCCTTTGACATCTATTACAGGTTTATAGGACCTTTTTGGTTGTGATTACTGTTTTCAATACGATTGTATAAATGAAGTTAACTTTGTCAGAAGTTAAAATGGAGGTCATAGGAGTTCCTGGAGAAATGGCTCTCCTGTTTCTTTCATTACCCCACTGAAGTTCACCCCAGTTTCTGGCCACAAGAATATGAGAAAGGAACCCTGTTGTTTTCCAAGGGAAATCATTCCTCTCTGTCCCCACTGTTGATTAACTAAAGTCCTGGACACCTTCCTTCCTCCACTGGCCAAGACCCACCTTGACCCACCTTGAACCTCTTTTCAGAGCCGAGTGGCATGAATATGTGTACTGTTTCTGCTTCTGTTGATGGAGTGGCTGTGGGAGAATTAAAGGAAATGCTAATTTGAGCTTCATTCATAGGGGAACCTACTATATATTGCATCCCTGCTGGTTGGAAATTATCTTCATCTCTGGACTGCATTGTTTAGAAAAATGTTAATGGCTTACAATTCTGAGAACTTTATTGTGTGGCTCTGGGGTTAAGAATTCTGTGGTTTGAAAAAAAATAAATATTTTGTATTGATTCTCACGTCATTTCAATGTTGTGACTATGTACTAAATGCACTAAGACTGGGTATTCTCTTAGAAGAGTGCGTTTTGTTAAACAGATGGCAGTTCACTCTCATTAGTTCTATTTGTCAATATTACAGCCACACACTTCAGGATAACTTACTCAAATGTGAAGTCATGGGAAGCTATGGCTAGTAACAGGAATGCTTATGAAAAATTTGGAGGGCAAGCACGAGCAAGAGGCTTTTGCCACTCACTAGCACAGCCAGAGCAAGGATGAAGCAATGAAGTCTTGTTCCTAGTGGTGCTTGTATGTCAGAAGCCATAGTGAGCTCAGCACAGGGCGTTCTGCACATCATCTCTTTAATCCAAGAAAAACAAAATGGCGGATGAAACTCCTATTGACCTGGGATACAAAGCCACTGACTTTGGCTCTTGATCTTTTGGTGGGTTCTGAATCACTCCTTCTGTATTAGGGCATATACTTTCACTCTAAAACATTGTGGTAAATGAAATAAATCTTGTACAGATGTCGTTGGCCTTGTTATGTTATGTTATAAATCCTGTACAGATGTCCTTGGCCTTAATACCTGGTTCACTGGAACTTTGTTATAATATAGAATATTTGATTTTGCTTATAGCATATTAATATTGCCTCCTACATGACAGCCACACTGAGCACACATCTGTTACCACAGTTACTTAGCCTGCAGGGTGAGTGTTGATCTTGACTTCTGCAACCAGTGCTAAAAAACAGTGTGTAACAATATACATATGGTCATATCTATTCTATATTCATATATAGTATGGATACGGATATCAGTATATTTGTAGTTTTTGTTTTTTAAACACTGTACAGTTTCTTCTGTGGACCTTTAATCAACTTTTGGACTTAGGTTGTTTTTTTCTTTGCATTTATTGGTACTATGCTTTTTTATAACCCTTTGTGTTTTCTTGCTATGAAATTAGTGTCATCCCCTAGGTTATTTGTAACCTTACTTTAAGGTTTTAGTTTCTCTTGCTATCTCTGTAGAGGTGTCCTTTCCTACAGTATTGTCAGAATGCCAGTTCTCATCCCTTCCATTTTTTTGACCTCAGCTCTGTTGTGATGTTATCTACTTTTTGGTTATCACATGTGGCAGAATTCAGTGACTCTGACAATTTCCATTTTCACTCCCCTGCCCCACAGTTAAGTAGGGTGTCATTTAAACTCTTTCCCTTTTAGCAGGTTTGTTTTTTACTAAGTACAAACCTTTTCTACTAGAACCAGCTCTGTGTGTGTGTGTGTATATGTGTGAATTTTATTTCTTCGATTGGCCTGTTTCTCAATTATCTAAAATTCTAAAATACCTTGAATATCAAAAAGCATGATAGTAGAATGAATATCACACATATTAATAGAACCTGAGAGCAACTAGCTTAACTAGCTGTAGTCTTGAGTAGGTTTTTTTTTTAATCTGTTTTCCTTTATTAAGCCCTCTCCCTCCCTAAATTGTTAAGCCAGAAGGGCATAACAATTCAAAACTTTCTAGTAATGTACCTACATGTCTAATAGTATACCTCAAAATATGTAAAGAAAAAGTGGCTCACACCTGTAATCCCAACACTGAGAGGCTGAGGTGGGAAGATTGCTTGAAGCCAGGATTTGAGACCAGCCTGGGTAACACAGAACCCCATCTCTACAAAAAAATTTTTTAAATTAGGGCCGAGCATGGTGGCTCACGCCTGTAATCCCAGCCCTTTGGGAGGCTGAGGTGGGCGTATCATTTGAGGTCAGGAGTTCAAGACCAGCCTGGCCAACATGGTGAAATTCCATCTCTACTGAAAATACAAAAATTAGCTGGGCGTGGGGGTACACGACTGTAATCCCAGCTACTCGGGAGGCTGAGGCAGGAAAATCGCCTGAACCCAGGAGGCAGAGGTTTCAGTGAACCAAGATTGCACTATTGTACTCCAGCCTGGGCGACAAGAGTGAAACTATCTCAAGCAAAAAACAAAAAAAGTTGGGCCTGGCACAGTGGCTCTTGCCTGTAATGTCAATACTTTGGGAGGCTGAGGCAGGTGGATCACTTGAGGCCAGGAGCTCGAGACCAGCCTGGCTAACATGGTGAAACCCTGTCTCTACAAAAAATAAAAAATAAAAATAAATTAAAAAAAAATTAGGCATGGTGGCATACACCTGTAATCCCAGCTGCTTGGGTGGCTCAGGCACAAGAACTTGAACCCAGGAAGTGGAGGTTACAGTGGGCTAAGGTCACACCACTGGACTCTGGCCTGAGCAACAGAGCGAGACTCTGTCTCAAAAAAACACAAAAAAAGTTGGGCGTGGTGGTACCTGCTTTTAGTCCTAGTTATTTGGAGGCTAAGGTGTGAGGCAGGAGGATTGCTTGAGCCCAGGAGTTTGAGGCTGCATTGAGCTATGATGATACCACTGCATTTCAGCTAGGATAACAGAGTGAGACCCTGTCGAGAAAAATATTTAAAAAGTTAAAAGAAAACTACAAAAAGGAAAAATGAACACACTACAAAGAGAAATAGGTCAGTCTACCAACATAATGGGCATTTTCAACATACCCCTCTCAGTAATTAATAGATCTTGCAGAGACTAAATTATGAAGATTATTAAGGACATAGAAGATTTAAATAGTACAGCTAATCAATTTGATCTGACAGATACATAACACACACATACATAAAACACATTGTACCCTTCAGTAGGAAAATAAGTTTTTGCAAACCAAGTCTAACAGTGTATTCAAAATGTAACAAATGATGACCAAAATGGATTGGTCTCAGGAATACAAGATTGGCTTTTTAATGTAATTAAGAAATGCTGTTTATAATAGGACAAGAAAAAGTACCTAAGAATAAATTTTAAAATGAGAAAATGATAAAAAAAAAACTTAATGGACCTAAATAAGTGTAGAGAATATAAGGGATAACACTCAATATTATCTAAATCTCAACTTTTTCTCCAAATTGCAATTCCAAAAAAATTCCCAATGATTTTCACTGTGGAACCTGACAATTTGATTCGTCGATATAAATGGAAGAGCAAAGGGCCAAGGATATCCAAGACCTTTCTGAATGGATTGTGAGGGGAACTAGCACTACAAGATTCTAACACTTACTGCCAAAGGTAGTGATTAAAACAATGACTTTGGAGTAGGGAAGAATTTCATCAACAAGATAGAAAATGCAGACTATCAGTAGATAAGTAATTTGGCTACCATTGATTGTAAGTACTTATTACCAAACATGCTGTAGAGTGAAAAGAGAAGCCAAATCTGGAATAAGATACAAATATTCATAATATAACTGCTAAAGAGCACCTGAATGCAAATCAGCAATGAAAACAACTCAGGAGAGACGGACCCCAAACACTAGCAGGCATTTCACAGAAGAAACAGAAATGGCCCATAAATGTGAAAAGATGTTCAGCCTCATTAGTCGTCAGGTAATGCACATTAAAAGCATAGATACCATTTCCTTGCTGACAACTTGGCAGAAATTATGAGAAGTCTGAAAATAACAATCTGAGAGTTTATGACAACAAACCTTCACCTGTTGTTGGCGTGTAAATCTGCACTTCTACTTTGGAGAACAGTATTATCTAATGAAATTGAGCATAGGCACCTCTTAATAGCCCACTATTTATACTTAGAAAAACTCATGTGCATGTGTACCAAGAAACGTATACAGGGATGTTTATAACAGCATTATGTGTAATAATTAAAAGGAATGAAGGAGGGAGCCAAATGCCCATCTAGCATACAGTGAATAAATGAAGTGTATGCTGTGGAATTCTCTAGAGTGGTCAAGGCATCATACCACTGCGGGCTTCAACATGGATGCATCTCAGAAATCATTGAGTGAAGTCAGAATAGAGCCAGCATGGGTACCTTTATGTAAAGTTCAAAATCAGAAAAAACTAAGTATATTGTTTAGGGACTCAGACACAAGTAGTAAAGCTATAAAGGAAAGACAGTTATTAACATTCAGGAACATAGTTTCCTCAGGAGAGGGTGGTGGAGGGGAATGAGAACAGAGGGGAGAACGGGGACTTGGAAGCACTTCATAATATGAACGTTTGGACCATTCTAAACATGCCAGTTCTCTGAGTTAATGTATATTCAGTGTAAAGCCAATTCAGATAACCAACAGTATTTATATAATCTAAAAAACTCATGGAAGTATAAACAGATGAAAATAGGAAAATCCCCATTGAAAGTGAAGAAAATGGAAGGAACTTGCTGTACCAAAAAAAATCACTTTCTAAGTGCAATTAAATTAAAAGACTTATGCCAGGGTAAACAGATAAGTCAATGGAAGGTAATTTAGAAAATAGAAAACTCAAATTTAGAATTTAGAGTACACTAAAGGCGGCTTTTTGAAATCATGCTGTCCATGGTCAATTATTTTATGAAAGGTGCTGGTATAATTAGAGAACATTAAACTGATTCCTATCATACCATTCACCAAGAGAAATTCCAGATTGTGAACTAAAAAAGAAAAAAATGTTGTAAAAACTAGAAAGTAGTATTTTTTCTTGGGATTGGAGAAGTTTTTTCTAAGAATACAAGCAATGAAACCGAAAACCCTATTAAACTCACTCACCTGCCTTTAATGCCGTAGTGTGCACACCCCAGTGTGTGTGTGTGTGTGTGTGTGTGTGTGTGTGTACATAGACATATATATTTTAAAATGTTTAAATTTGAACATATGTTACCAATACATATAAAGCAAAAGTAGAAAATCAAAAAGATGAAGTAAAAATGTTTTAAAATATTGTTTGTGGTATTTGTGGTTAATAAACCTTTGCTCTTTCTAAAAAAATGTTCTTTTAGAGAGAGTCATGATTAAAAATGCTTGTCATTTTTGAAACTCCTAGTTTTAACACTTTATAAAAACAACTTAATGTTCTTAAGGTAAGTTTATTTTCATGCTTGGTTTTAATGACTATTGTAGCTGAATAAGTCACTTCATTAATTAAGATCTGTGGATCCAAATATGGCTGTGCTTACTGAAAATATTTTTGAGTTCCATCCACCAATTTTGCAAAAGTGTGTTGTTGAAATTTTTATAATAAATTTTCATCTTTTCCAATGTCAGTAACTTGTTTTTGCTGAATAATTAGGAGTGTTGCATTTTTATTTTTGCTAACAGATGGGTTCAAAACCTGCTGTAACTTATTTTTGAATTTCATTTCCCAAGTTTAAGTGTACACTTTGAAGAGTTTTTATAGGTGACAATTTTTGGCAACACATTTTCATGAATTCTTGCTCGGTCATCGTTAGTATTAAATGTTATCTTTACCTTGAAGGGTCAGTTTAAATCTGTCCATTTAAAAAAATACTTTCTAGATTGCATATTGATTACAGACACTTGTCACCACAGGAAAGATTGGCACATTCAAGTCTTTTTATCAATTAAAAAAATACCATATTTAAGAATTTTGCTATGAGATAACCGGCAAATTTGAGGGTTTAATTTCCTCATCTCATTATAAACTGTTGTCAAGATGCTTTTGTGTAAGATAATAAAAATCTAAGTCCAGTTGGCTTATGGGGCACACAGATGACAATATTCTGGAAGAGAGTGGTGCCGCTGTTGCTCTCTCTGCAACATGGAGCTCTCAGCACTCCTTGAGGATTCCTCACTGACTGGCATGTGCTGCCTGACCACTTGCCATGCAGCCTGTGTGTCTGTTATGTATTGGTAAGGCTTCTTTACTCTTAAAAACATAACTTCTGTTTTCTTCCTGTACCTCAGTGGATCACCTTGTTCACTTTGGAGATCACTGGCTTAAACAGTGAGGGAGACATCACTTCACAGAAGTCTCAAGGTTGGGCAGTTCCAGGGCTGATAAATACAACAGCTAATTGATGTCCAGGACCTGGATTTCTTCCTGCTTTCTGCTCTGCCAGCCTCATTATGTTCACTTTGTGCTCAGTGTTGCTTCCTTCAAGGTCTTTACTTGACTGCTGCAGTTGTCAGAATGACAACAACCAGTTGAAGCAGAGGGCCTCTGTTCCCCAGCATGTCTCTTTTAAGAGCAGTGTAACTTCCCTGAAGCCACACCAGCGCAGTTCCCTTCGGTTTTCATTGAGGGGCATTGGGATAACTGAGGAGGAGAATGGGACCACCATGGTAGACTTAGACCAAACAGATCTACCCTCCTGGGGCTGGGACCTGGCTCAAGCCCACATTGGGTTAAGGAGGTGGGGCTGTCTGGAAAAAGCTGGGTCTCAGGACGGTGAAAGGCTGCTAGTGACTCTTGGTTACGTGAGTCCACTACGTAGGTCTGTGACAGCTGTCCATTGGGAGCCTTTGGGAGATGGGAAAACCAAACTTTGACTCCACATCAACTTTGTTTTTACACAACATATCTGCTCTTCAGGATTAACCAAGGTGCTTTGCTTTGACAGTCATGGTAGATGATTTCTCCTAGAATCTATAAACAACACAGAATAGTCACCCTCCTGACTAGAATAGCCAGGGAGCTATGATTAAAGAAGACAAAGAGCTTACATTAGCATAGGCGAAAGAAAAAGTCCCTGTCTGAAAAGGAAAATTTTTTCTTGGGTATGTCCAGATTCACCCAAAACAAAGCTAAGCAGGATGGTGGTATGTAACAAGGTGTTAGGAAGTAAAAATAGGGCCTTGCTTGTTGAGATAGTGTTTGGTGAACAATCTTGTCCCTAAGACAGCTCAGACAGCATTGGGGAAAGGAAATAGATGTCATCTGAGCACATGTGACACAGTGACAGCTGCTCTTCACTGGATACCTGTCTGCATGGGAGGTGTTTCACGCACATCTTAGGAGCAATCCAGTGAGGCAGTGACTCGTGGCACTCTACAGATGTATGGTGAGCCGTTCTGAGACGACCCGAGTGACTGCCACTCCCGCATTCACACCCTTAATGTAATCCCCTCAACTTGAGTGTGGGCTGGACCCAGCAACTTGCTTCTGTTGAAAATACTGTGGCCCAGGTGATGGGCTGTCACTTCTGTGATTAGGTTACAGAAGACTCGTCATTTTGCCTGTGTTCTCTCCTCAGCTTTCACTTGACAGGGCCACTGGGCAAGGAACTGAGGGTGGCATCCAGCCAACAGCTACCAAGGAACTGAGGCCTTCAATCTAATAGCCCGAGGGGCTGTAAATCCTGCTGACGGTCCGAGTGAACTTGGAATGGATGTTGGTCCAGTTGAATCTTGAGATGACTGTGGCCCTGGCTGACACCTTGATCACAGCCTAGCGGCAAAGCCTGAGACAGAGAATTCAGCTAAGCTGTGCCCAGACTCCTGACCCAGGGAAACTCTGGAATAACCGTGTGCTGGTTTAAGCCACTAAATTTTGTGAGTAATTTGTTACACAACAATACAACTATTACAAGATGAAACAGCCCAGATGTCAGATTTAAATAACCTGCCCCAAATCACACAATGGAAGATTTGAACCCCCATCTACAAGGTGATTTGCTTTACTGCTCAGTCCTCCCTCTTGGCAGCCTCTGGTACAGGTGAACACTGGACTGTGGGCCTCTGTTAGACCTAGCAGGGCTGTTCTTAAGACCTCACTAATCATACCTCCCCCGGCAGTGGTGGTGAAGCCATCCATGACCATAATAACTTCAGAGAGAGCCTTTTCAGCCGGGGCTTCATGAATAAAGCTCTGCAGAAAAGGGTGTTTGAATAATTTTTGTCACTTTTCCCAAGGATGGTAAACAGCTTTTAGATGCACAGGAGCGAAATTACATATAATGGATGCCTTAGGGCACCAGGGCCGTTTAGCTGGGCAGGGCACCTCAGGCCAGGGCCCAGGAGAGCCCTCATGGGCAGGAGACGTGAAGGTACGTGGAGATTCAGAGGTGAAGGGAACAAGCAAATGGCATTGATCAGGACTTTGGAGGCAGCACAGTGCAATTGAAAGAACAGATGCTTCAGACTTGATACCTTTGGGGCCAGCTGGCTTCAGGCCCTGTTGAGCTGTCTCTCCCTGGGCAGGTCACTCAGCTCTCTGAGCTTCAGTTTACTCCGCTGTGAAACCGTAGTACGCTTTCACTCATGCTTTCAGTTTTTCCCTGGCTAGATGTTTCCCAGCCTTCAGATCTCAGAATAACAGCAGCTACCACTACTGTAACTACTCCCCCGGAGTAGTTACCAAGCGCTTACTGTGCGCCTGGCACTGTACAAAGCACTCTATGCCTATCGTCTCAACTCACAACAGCCTCATTTTCCATTGAGAAAGCTGGAACTCACAGACATGAACAATCACTGGTCCTGAACAATTGCTCACTGTCAGTGGTTGATGTAAGGGCTTCAAGATATAACCATAACACATGGCCTGGCACAGAGCATGTGCCCAGTGAGTGCCCAATTCCTATGGCAGCAGATCAGTCTGCTGCACTGTGGCTCAGCTCCCTGGATGGCAGAAGAGACCAAGGGCCATAACTCGGCCTCCTTATGCCCAAACAGTGTCATTCTCAGCAGAGCCTGTGGACTGTCTGAGGGTCTCTGCTGAGGGTGGCTGTGGGCTGTTAGCAGCGTTCTCTGTTGGATAGGGCTCCCTAAGCTCTGGGTAGCCTCTGGGCCTGCAGACAGAGCCCAGTCTAGTGCCCCAGCATTTGGGAAGTGCAAGGCCAGACTTTTGGGACACATTGTGGGGAAAGGGACCCAACAGGGCTGTCAAGAGCAAGATCTCTCAGCAGGACCACTGACTCCCTAAGCTAAAATAATGATCCAGAAGACACAATTGAGTGGCGCATTAGTCCATTTTCACGCTACTGCCAAAGACTGGGCAATTTACAAAAGAAGTTTAATTGGACTACAGTTCTATGTGGCTGGGGAAGTCTCACAATCATGGTGGAAGGCAAGGAGGAGCACGTCAACGTCTTACATGGATGGCAGCAGGCAAAGAGTTTGTGCAGGGAAACTCTTATTTTTAAAACCATCAGATCTCTGGAGACTCATTCACTATCAGAAGAACAGCGCAGGAAAGACCCGCTCCCCTAATTCAGTCACCTTCCACTGGGTCCCTCCCACAACATGGGGGAATTCAAGATTATATTTGGCTGGGGACACAGCCAGACCATATCAAGTGGCTAATCATCATATGCTGTTCAGAGAGAAGGAGACTCAGGCCAAGGTCAGATATACTCGAGGCGGCTGAATGCTATTGCAGGGAGAGCTCATCCTGGAATCGGATCAGACAGAATTTTGGCTCCGCCATTATTAAGTCACTGAGCCACTCTGACTTCCAGTCTCATCTATTAAAAAAAAAAAAAAAAACTGGCCCATGGTAGTGAACACTGTTGCTTTGGCCTGCTCAGCTGCCATTTGCACTTCTTTATATAATTTTCTTGGGGGAACTGCTTCTGTCTGTTCAACATAGTCCTGGGCGGAGGTAGGTGCAGGGACTGCTGGTGAAGGCGTCCTGCCTTCTTCAGCTAGCAGATGGGAATGTACCTGAGCCAATCAGGCCCCTCTCCTGGAGCTGGAATTATGTATGGGGCAATTTGAAGTCCTCAAAAGGCAGGAGCTGGCCCTTCCCAAGAGCAGAGACACCCGGAGCTGGTGCTGGGGCTGTCTGATCCTTACCCTTCCAAAGGCTGTAGCACCTCAATGGTCTTTCCTTTTCACTGTAAGGGGTGACAGTCAGTGTTTGCCGCTTGCAGCCCACATGCCCTAAGACCCCCAGAGGATCCCCTGTGTGTTCTTGCTTTGCATGTAATCCCTTCCTCATAAGTGAAGTCTTCGTTAGCTGCTTTGAGCATTTCTAAAACAGTGGTAAACAAATGAATACATTTATGAGATGGTGGCTTGCTGGTTTCTTCCCTCTGCATTTTCTCTTTAGGAAAAAAAAGGGGGAGACTGTCTAGGCTGATCCTTAGTCTAGAGTTCCTGGGGTAGAGTGCCCAGGGACACAGTCCCTAAGAGCCTGTGATGGTTAATATTGTCAACTTGATTGGAATGAAGGTTGAAAGTATTGTTCCTGCGGGTGTCTGTGGGGGTGTTGCCAAAGGAGATTAACATTTGAGTTAGTGAACTGGGAGAGGCAGACCCACCCTCAATCTGGGTGGGCACCATCTAATCAGCTGTCAGCACGGCTAGATAAAAGCAGGCCGAAAATGTGGGAGGACTAGACTGGCTGAGTCTTCTGGCCTTCATCTTTCTCCCATGCTGAATGCTGCCTTCTCTCAAACATCAGACTCCAAGTTCTTCAGTTTTTGGACTCTTGAACTTATGCCAGTGGTTTGCCAGGGGCTCTCAGGCCTTCAGCCACTGACTGAAGGCTGCACTGTCGGCTTCCCTACTTGTGAGGTTTTTAGGACGCGGACTGGCTTCCTTGCTTCTCAGATTGCATGCAGATGGCCTATTGTGGGACTTCACCTTGTGATGGTGTGATCCAATACTCCTTAATAAACTCCCTTTCGTATATACATCTGTCCTATTAGTCCTGTCTCTCCAGAGAACCCTAACTAATACAGAGCCCTTGATCCCCGATGACCCACCAGCAGAGAAACCCAGGTGTCCTCTTACACTGACTGGCATCCCGGGGGTCCTTGCCCAGCTCCAAAGTGAGCTGCATGAGCAGGGTCTGGTGAATGAATGCCTCTGCACAGTTGCTGGCACATCTCTCAAAGCCCCGGTCCAAACCTTTTAATGGACTACAAAACACTGCTGGCCGCGTCTCTCCCCCAGCTGACCATTTGTAAATTGCTTTCGCCCTGATGCCTGATGGGGTGAAAAATGCATTTCCCATATCCAGACTGCAGCAGGTGGATTTCTGCCGCCACTGCAGCAGGAGCTCACAGGGCCAGCCTGGCAGCTTTGGCCCTGGCCCTCAGCCTGTGAGAGCACTGGTGGCCTTCTGGGAGTGGGTGGGCAGGTGACGGGCCCTGTTTGGGGACCCTTGCCCACACAC
This sequence comes from Homo sapiens, assembly GCF_000001405.40. NCBI lineage: Eukaryota > Metazoa > Chordata > Mammalia > Primates > Hominidae > Homo > Homo sapiens. The sequence goes on along the minus strand of NC_000010.11, from coordinate 118,670,594 downwards.
CACAGGTTCTAATGGCTGGAATGGGCAGGGGCGAGGGTGGTCCTCTGATCACTGGTCACAGGATCTGCTGGAAGGGAGCCTCCGCTCCCACCCTGCTTCACTGGGTCCTGAGCAGGACACTGAATCTCAGGCCTCAGTTTTTGTTCTCTAAATGAGGCCCCTATTGAGCAGGTCCTTGCTTTGTGCCTGGCATCTTATTTCTCATGTCCCTGGGGTCTGTGCTGCTGCTCCCTCCATTCTCCATGCCAGGTTTGTTGCTGTGTCCTACTAGGGCTATCTGACTCCAGGGGGACATCGGGTACACTGGTGGCACTGCTAGGTGCCCACCCAGATTGAGGGTGGGTCTGCCTTTCCCAGTTCACTAACTCAAATGTTAATCTCCTTTGGCAACACCCCCACCCTGAGGACCCCTATTGTCCTCAGGGCCGTCCCCTCTGACACTGCCAGCAGCTGTTGGGACAGCACCATGGCATCTGCCTTCTTGGAGGGCTGCCGCCTCTCTGTCCCCTTCCTCTGAGTGAGACAGAGAGGAGTGAGAGCTGGATGCTGTCACATCATCTTTCCGGGGTTCAGCATGGGTGCTGGTTAGGAGCACAGGCCTCTAAAACTCTGTCTCTGCCTACAGAAGTCTCCATCCCCCACCCATAAGCTGGGGGTGCCCTCTACTAGAAATGGGTTAGCACTAACATTACAGACAATAATAGTAGCTATGATTATTTAGATGACTTTTCTCTTTAAAGGAAAACAGTTATCACTTAGTAAGTATTGAAAAAAACAGCAGTAATTATTATACTGTCTAGCCAAAGCCTGTTCAAGTTCCCTTTTAACTTTCTCTTCTTTGGGCTAAAATTAGATTTGTGTTTTCTTTTAACTCAATAAACAGTCACTGAGCAGCCTCCACGTATTAGATTAGACGATCTCCATGGTAATCCGGAGCGCCTGCATCTGATTAAATCTGTACCCAGGCCTCCGTCCAAGGCTGCGGTCCCTGAAAGGAAGTCCTTGTGGAAAAACAGTAGCTTTCAATTACCGAGTGTTTCTGTCGTCAGGCTTGCGCTAAGCACTTTATATACAAATTGGCATTTAATGACCAAAACAGTCCCATGGCGGGGCTTCTAATCCTGTTTTACAAATGGGATAAGTGGAGTTCAGAGAAATCCAGTAATTTATCCAGAGTCCCTCAGGTACCAGGGGACAGAGCTGGGTCCAACTCGGGTCTGACCCCGAGGCTGTGCCTTTTTCTCCCAGGCCACGCTGCAGACCCCAGGGAGTGGCACAGTGGGAATGAAACTCTGAGCCACTTCCGCAATTTAGCCTGTTAATAGGAAGCGAACATCTACCCCCAAATGCTGCTCAGACTGGCTCATTTGGCAGCTTCCTCTGATGAGCTGAAATGCTGCTGCTCTGCGGCCACCCTGGGAGTCTCATTCTGGTCTAATGGGCTCTGATGGGCAGTTAGAGATGTGATAGATAAAGCAGAGAATGAGTTAGCACCTAACCACGATGGGGGCAGGCAGCCTCTTCCTAAGCAAAGAGTCCGGTGGGACCGAGAGCTACGTGATGGAAGGGCTCTGTCCCCAACCTGGGAGGGGTTGGGATACTTAGGTCAGGGAGCAGAGTTGGAGCTAGAGTTCCACCCTCCTTCTTCCTCATCTGCTCAGAAACGGAGTGATGAGAACATAAATTCAGCCCCAAGGAGTCAAGAAGGACCTGAGAGGCAAACACTGAACAGCCAGTGCCATCTCATGCCCCACCCCACAGCTACCCCAAGAAGTAGGTACTCTGATTATTCTGTTTTCAGACGAGGAGTTAAGGCTCAGAGAGGTACCCGGAGTTACACAGCCAGTAGGTGGCAGAACCACGATGGCCAGACCCCAATCACAGCCCCACCTGAAACTAGACTCCAGCCTAGGAGCCTTGCTTTCTCCTGAAGACCCCACTGGACTGAGACCCCACCACCTGGAGTGCATCTACTGTGCTGGCTAAAAGAGCTGCTTGCTGGAAGCCCAGGTTCCCTGATGTCCGTCTTGCTGCAGAAGTCCAGAGCCTCATGTCAGCCGCCTCCCACAAATCCAGGTCTGGCCAGTGCCCCTTGCCCCCACTCTCAGCAACAACAGCGTTTCCTAGAGCTGTGCCCCAGGTCCTGATGTTCCCTGGCTGAGGGCCCTTGGCCAACAGACTGCGCTTCTGTTTTCTCCTTGGCAAGAAGAGGGCATCCCTGAACATCAGCGTGCTGAACTGTCACTAAGGGAGCTAGTCAGTAATGCAGCTTTTACCCTCCCCACCCCTCCCTACCTCCCTGAGATTCTGAGTCTGCAGGTCTGGAGCAGGGCCCAGAAACCTGCATTTCAGCCTCATGCTCCAGGTGACTTGGCTGTGCATGGTGGGCCCACCACACGTGGGGACAGGTGGGCTAGATTAGGTCTCAGGTTCTAATTTCTATATTGTATGAAAGTTGTCAATCAAAATGGAATCTCTTGTGTTGAAAACACAAGAGAGCCGGGGAAGTTCATGAAGGAAGTGTTCTCACACTTGGACGCCTTGGATACAAAAAGTATCACAAAAGCCTGCAAACCCACAACCTTGCACAAAGGCTATCACAACCTTACACAACAAATACTTCTGCAAGGACATCTGCCTAGCAACTGCCTGTCCAACCTTGGACTGGCGTCACCCTTGTTATTGATCTTAGTAGCCAAGGACAATTATTTCAAAACAATTATATAATCCTTCTCATTTTACCTTTAAAAACCTTTGTCTTCCTTTGCATGTCTGAATACACACACTGTTTATTATGGCGTGTGTATTCCCATTGCAGTGCTCTATTCCCAAATAACAATTTTCTTTCTTTTTTTTTTGAGACACAGTTTTGCTGTTGTTGCCCAGGCTGGAGTGCAATGGCACAATCTCGACTCACCACAATCTCTGCCTCCTGGGTTCAAGCGATTCTCCTGCCTCAGCCTCCCAAGTAGCTGGGATTACAGGCAGGCACCTCCACCCCGGCTAATTTTGTATTTTTAGCAGAGACAGGGTTTCTCCATGTTGGTCAGGTTGGTCTTGAACTCCTGACCTCAGGTGATCCGCCCGCCTCAGCCTCCCAAAGTGCTGCAATTACAGGCGTGAGCCACCGCACCCGGCCCAAATAACCATTTTCTTTTGGAGAGCCTCTCTTTTATTTAGGTTGACAGTTGGCTGATTGGGGATAATTCTAAAGTCATCTTTCAACTTTTCTCATCTTAGGGCTAAAATTAAAATTCCAGTTTAGTGGGGCCTTGTATTTAATTCTGCCACTACTCCCTGAGCTCCCGTGATGGCATGTGACCTGGAGTGGGAGCTGCTGAGACACACAGTCGGTGGTCCTTGTCCTCCTGGAGGTTCACATAATAGAGTCCTTGGTGGCAACTCAGAGCCCTCGATGTAGGTCCAGAGGTCAGGGACACAGGTCTTTTCTGGAATTCATGCTGCTTTTCCCCATGAGTGCCTCAGCCTCCCGGAGGGATCCTGTCCAGGGCACCCTCTTCTCCGGCCGCAGCTCAGACAGGGACGTCACATCTCGGTGGCTGATTAGTCCTGGGGAACCTGCCATCTGCTGGCCCAGTCAGGGTGGAGAGATTACCTAGCTAGCTGGCCATGTGGTGGGGGGGCTTTGGAATGGAGCCCCTAGAATCCTCTGCAATCAGGGTCTCAGATTAATGGACATAAACAAGATCATTGATTTCCTCAAATAAGTGGATTTTGAATGGCTCCTCTGGTAACCAGGCCTGGTCCCATTCATCATCAGGGGAAGAAGATTCAGCTTGGTGGGATCAGGGTCTTACCCGGAGGTTTTACAATCTGTGAGAATAGGATGTGGCATGAGGAGGGGTGTCATTTACAGGGCTCCACTGGCCCCTTGTATGAGGCTAGGCCCTATGCAGAAGTAAGGCAGATCTGGGGTAGATACTTAGGCTATGAGTGGGCAACGCAGGCCCCAAAGTTCCAGGGCAGTGGGCTGAACAGGAGGGCAGGGCTGATCACCAGGGGCCTTGAATGCCAGAAGCAGTGACTCCCACTCATTTGAGGACAACATGAGGATTGCCCGCGGACCACTGCCCAGGAAGTGTCCTGCTAAGGTGGTTTGAGGGCCTGGTGTGAAGGAGGGCCCTGGCTGGGAGTCAGGAGACTTTGGGCAGGACTCGGGGCCTTTCTGGGTGAGTACCCCATATGCTACCCTCTAATGCAGCCTACTCCTGGGCAACAATGCTGTTGGGCTTGACAGCCTCTCTCTCATTGTCATTTACCTTTGACAAATGGTTCAGAGTCTCCTGGAGTGTAGGACCCTCCAGATGTCAGCTTTATTTTTTTATTTTTACTTATTTAGTTTTTTGAGATGGAGTCTCGCTCTGCTGCCCAGGCTGGAGTGCGATGGCGCGATCTCAGCTCACTGCAACCTCCACCTCCTGGATTCAAGCGATTCTCCTGCCTCAGCCTCCCAGGTAACTGGGACTACAGGTGCCTGCCACCACGCCCGGCGAATTTTTGTATATTTAGTAGAGATGGGGTTTCAACCATGTTGTTCAGGCTGGTCTCGAACTCCTGACCTCATGATCCGCCCGCCTCGGCCTCCCAACATGCTGGGATTACAGGCGTGAGCCACCGCGCCCAGCCTATGTTTTTAATTTTTTTATATTTGAGAGCGAGTCTTGCTTTTGTTGCCCAGGCTGGAGTGCAATAGTATGATCTCAGCTCACTGCAACCTTCACCTCCTGGGTTCAAGCAATTCTCCTGCCTCAGCCTCCTGAGTAGCTAGGATTAGAGGTGCCCGCTGCCACACCCAGCTAATTTTTGTATTTTTAGTAGAGATGAGGTTGCACCATGTTGGCCAGGCTGTTCTCGAACTCCTGACCTTGTGATCCACCTGCCTTGGCCTCCCAAAGTGCTGGGATTACAGGTATGAACCTCCGCGCCCGGCCGGCTTTATTGCCTCTAGAGCTATGCTATCAAAATACGGTAGCCACATGTAGCTGTTGACAATTCATGAAAATTAAATAAAATTCAATTCCTCAGTTGCATTAACTGCATTTCAAGATAATAGCTGTGTGTGGCCAGTGGCTACCATACCGGACAGTACAGCTCTAGAACATTCCCATTTCCACATCAATTTCTATTAGTACAGCTCTAGAGCCTTGATCCAATGATTCTCTCTACTTTTCTGTATTAAGTTTTTCCAAATTAGAAGAAAAAGAGCTTTGTTCCATTATCAGGCAGAAGGCAGGACAAATGCAGTGAACATAATGTCTCCTAAAAATGTCAAAAGGTCCTCAGCCTCCATCAATATTAGAGAAATGCAAATTAACCATCCCAAGATCTATAGTTCGCCTATATGATTGGGAAAAAACAAAGTTTGATGCACACTCTATTGGAGGAACTGTGGGTAGCCCACACCCAGCTGCTCCGAGGTCTCTCCAGAGACACACTGCTGACCTAGTACACAGAATGAGGGCAGAGCGATGCCAAAGCAGCTGGGTGGGAACCAGTCTTCCCAAGTGGAATCCTCCTCCTTATCCTCATGACAGCAGCCACCCTCTCTTGAGCATGATGTGAAGCTCTCTCTTTGCAGGCATGATCTCATTTCACCCTCCCAGTGGCTCTGTGAGGCTCAGCAAGGTTAGACCCTGGTCCAAAGTCACACAGCCAGCAAGCATAGATGCCAACCCATGTGCTCCCACTCTAGAGCTCACAGCCATTGAGTTAGTTGTTTGTGCAACAATTATTTCTTCAGTATTTTGTGCCAGGTACCATCCTTGCAACCAGCGGGGGTCTCTAAAGCTTCCAAGTAGAGATCCAGGGCTGCAGCATCAGTCATACCCCACCCTTCTGGTGCCAGTCCCCTGGGAGGCTGATAGTGTTGGCAGAGAGGTAAATGCCACCACTTCAGCTTGTGGAACACGAGGGATGAACGATCTTCCAAAACCTCCCCTCAGGCCCAGGCAGGTGAAATTGCAAGGGAAGAGCTCATCACTACCTGCAGCTGCCCTCCAAGAAAGGCTGCCAGAGTCAGGAAAACCAGCAAGCGGGGCGGTGGTCTGGCTCCTGCAGAGAGGAGGGCGTGGCTTCTCAGCCATGCCTGTTGAGGATTCTAGGTCTCCCTGGCATGATTCAGGCTCTTGCTAGTGGGGCTACCTAGTACTCACAGGGGCCTAATCTGATGCTTCCATCCTACCCCCAGAACCCCAGAATCTGCTCCTTCTTGCCGAGCTCAGAGATGCAGAACACCCTCCTTGGGGTGCCAGGAGACAGGTGTTCCCCAGAGCAGGTTTTTCCAACTCAGCCTCTTCCCATCTCTCCCTTTCCATTGAAGGATTCTTAGCTGCCATTCAGAACAGAGACTATCATGAAGTCCGTAGCCACCAGGCACATGGAAATATTTAATTAACATTACGTTAGACTTCATGAACCCCCACCCCATGCTCAGGACAGGTGAGTACAGGCAGTGTCTGGTCATTTCCATTTCCCCATCTCTTTTCTGGGAGACCTGTAGTCCAGAGAACAGGATCTCAAAGTGAGGTCTTTTCACATACAAATGGCGAAACTGAAGCTAGAGCAGAAAAGTGACTAGCTCAGGATTACATAGCAGCCCAGTGAGAGAATCAGGCTTCCTGATTCCTTGTCTAGAATGATTCTCTGGAACTCAAGGTAGAGATGATCTGGGGCTTGAGTTACTATCTGGACCAGGGAGAATTAGAGGTCTGCTGAGAAGTCTGCAGAACTCTGACACAGGAGAAAGTGGAGGAAATTGATCAATAGCAATCAGTTTCTACTGCTCAGCAATCAAAGGATAAGAGAGATCTTATCAACTGTCGGAAGATGAGGCCCCTGCCTGCAAATCTGTGCATAGATGTTCACACTGCATCTCCAGGGTGATTTGCTACATTATTTTTTTGTTTAATCTTTTGTACAGAAATCATTCACGTAGTTTCAAATTTTAAAAGTATAAAAAAGGATATAGGGAAAATTCTCATCCTACCTCTGTCTCTCATCTGTCCAGAATCTTACCTTTCTTTTGCCCACAGGCAACCAATCACGTTAAATAGCCTCTTGTATCCTTCCAGATTATACTTACGTAAAAATACAATGTGCAAATACAAATGTAAATCCTAACTTATCCCCCTCTATAGACTGTCCTTCACTTTGCTTGGACATTTCTTCCCTGCAGTGCAGAGAGCATGTCATTCCTTTTCTCAGCTGCATAGTAGTCCGTTGCACTGATGTATTCAACTAGTGCCCTATTAATGACCATTTAGGTGGTTTCTGATCTTTGGCCAATGTAGGTATCCTGTAATGAAAATTCTGTGTATATGCCATGTGGAACATGAGCCAGTTGATCTCTAGGATTAATTCCCAAAAGTGGAATCTTAGAGTAAAATAACATATGAATCTAAGATTTGGCTTGTGATTGCCAAATTGCCCTCCTTAGAAGCAATATCAATCAATTTAGACTTCCACTGCTATGTACAAGAGGGCCTGTTCTACCCAAAACCCACCAACAGTGTGTGTTATTAAACTTTCATGTTGGAGGAAGGTGGTGGGGGGGAAATGGCAGAGAGGAGGCAGGATTAACTTGCAGCTCCCACCCAGACAGACAGAGCAGTGTGTGGACACTCATATCATGAACCTTTGCTCCAAGAACTACCACAGGAACATACCAGGAAAGCCGAGAGAACCCACAGTCTGCTTGCTTTCTCAGCTGCCAGGTTTGTGGCCTGGGGCAAGTTCTCAGCCCTGCTCATTGGCTGCCTGGAAATAAATTCAGTGCTGGTTGGGGGACACAGTGGGAGTGAGACCAGCCTTTTGGGCTGTGGGCTGCATGGGAGCTGGATGAGGCATGTGGCTGCTGGCTTTCCCTCCCTTCCCTGGCAACCTGTGTGATGCAGCAGAGGCGGCCATAATTGCCCTGGGAACATCATTCCATTGGCCTAGGAACCACACCCCATCCCCCACAGCAGCCACAGCAAACCCTGCCCAAGGAGTGTCTGAGCTCAGACACACCTAACCCTGCCCCAACCTGATGGTCTTTCTCTACCTGCCCTGGTAGCCAAAGATAAAGGACATAAACTCTTGGGAGCTCTATGGCCCTGCCTACCGCCTGAGAAACCTGAAGCTTGTATCCTCCCCATAAACCACAGCTGATGAGCTCTTGAAAGCACTACCTCCTGGCTGGAGGCCAACCAACATAAAACCAGCACACTAAACAAAAATAAAGCCAAGGATCTTCAGAGCCTACTTCACTTCCTGGCTACCTCCACTGGAGCAAGTGTTGGTATATCCATGGCTATATCCAACCTGAAGACGGATCCCATCACAGGACTCTTTGCAGACACTCCCCAGTACCGGCCCAGAACCCAGTAGCTCCTCTGGGTGGTTAGATCCAGAAGAGAAATAACAATCACTGCAGCTTGGCTCTCAGGAAGCCCCATCCCTAGGGGAAGGGGGAGAACACCACATCAAGTGAGCACCCTGTGGGACACAAGAATCTGAACAGCAGCCCTTGAGTTCCAGATTTTCCCTCTGACACAGTCTTACCCAAATGAGAAGGAACCAGAAAAACAATTCTGGTAATACGACAAAACAGTGTTCTTTAACACCTCCAAAAGATCACACTAGCTCACCAGCAATGGGTCCAAACCAAGAAGAAATCTCTGAATTGCCAGAAAAAGAATTCAGAAGGTTGATCATTAAACTAATCAAGGAGGCATCAGAGAGGGGTGAAGTCCAACTTAAATTAAAAAAAAAATGACACAGAATATGAATGGAAAAATCTCCAGTGAGATAGATAGCATAAATAAATAATCACAACTTCTGGAAATGGACTCCACTTAAAGAAATGCAAAATGCACTGGAAAGTCTCTGCAATAGAATCCAACAAGTAGAAGAAACAACTTCAGAGCTCAAAGAAGATTTTCAAATTAACGCAATCAGACAAAGACAAAGAAAAAAAGAATAATAATAATTAAAAAATGAACAAGGCCTCCAAGAAATTTGGGATTATGTTAAACAGCCAAACCTAAGAATATGTGGTGTTCCTGAGGAAGAAGGGAAATCTAAAAGTTTGGAAATCATATTTGATGGAATAATTGAGGAAAACTTCCCTGGCCTTGTTAGAGATCTAGACATCCAAATACAAGAAGCTTAAAGTACACCTGGGAAATTCATTGCAAAAAGATCATCACCCAGGTACACAGTCATCAAGTTATCTAAAGTCGAGATGACGGAAAGAATCTTAAGAGCTGTGAGGCAAAAGCATCAGGTAATTTATAAAGGAAAACCTATCAGATTACAGCGGACTTCACAGCAAAAACCCTACAAGCTAGAAGGGATTGGGGTCCTATCTTTAGCCTCCTGAAACAAAACAATTGTCAGCCAAGAATTTTGTATCCAGTGAAACTAAGCTTCATAAAGGAAGGAAAGATACAAATGCTGACAGAAGTTGCCACCACCAACCCAGCACTACAAGAACTGCTAAAAGGAGCTCTAAATCTTGAAAGAAATCCTCAAAATACACCAAAATAGAATCTCCTTAAAGCATAAATCTTACAGGCCCTATAAAACACATAACATAATGAAAAAAAATCCAAAGTATTCAGGCAACAAATAGCATGATGAATAGAAAAGTACCTCACATCTCAATACTAACATTGAATGTAAATGGTGTAAATGCTCCACTTAAAAGATACAGAATGGCAGAATGGATGAGAATTCACCAAGTATCTGCTGTCTTCAAGAGACTCACCTGACACATAAGGATTCACATAAACTTAAGATAAAGGAGTGGAAAAAGATATTCCATGCAAATGAACACCAAAAGTGAGCATAGCTATTCTTGGATCAGACAAAACAAACTTTAAAGCAACAGCAGTTAAAAAAGACAAAGAAGAACATTATATAATTATAAAAGGACTAGTGCAACAGGATAATATCACATTCCTAAGTATATATGCACCTAACCCTGGAGCTCCCAACTTTTTATTTTTTATTTTTTATTTTATTTTATTTTTTTGAGATGAAGTCTTGCTGTCACCCATGCTGGAGTGCAGTGGTGTGATCTCGGCTCACTACAACCTCCATCTCCCGGGTTCAAGTGATTCTCCTGCCTCAGCCTCCCGAGTAGCTGGGATTATAGGCAACTGCCACCACGCCCAGCTAATTTTTTGTAGTTTTGTAGAGACGGGGTTTCACTGTGTTAGCCAGGATGGTCTTGATCTCCTGACCTTGTGATCTGCCCATCTCGGCCTCCCAAAGTGCTGGGATTAAAGACATGAGCCACCGTGCCCAGCTGGAGCTCCCAAATTTTTAAAACCATTACTAATAGACCTAAGAAATGAGATAGAGAGCAACACAATAATAGTGGGGGAATGCAATTCAGTACACCACTGACAGCACTAGGCAGGTCATTAAGACAGAAAGTCAACAAAGAAACAATGCTCTTAAACTATACCCTAGAACAAATGGAATTAACAGATATTTACAGAACATTCTACCAACAACTGCAGTATATACATTGTTTTCTTCAGCACATGGAACATTCTCCAAGATAGACCATATGATAGGCCACAAACAAGTCTCAACAAATTTAAGAAATTGGAATTACATCAAGTACTTTCTCACACCACAGTGGAATTGGGAATCAATTCCAAAAGGAACCCTCAAAACCATGCAAATACATGGAAATTAAATGACCTGCACCTGAATGATCATTGTATCAACAATGAAATGAAGATGGAAATTTAAAGATTCTTTGAACTGAACAGTAATAGTGACACAATCTATCAGAACTCTGGGATACAGCAAAAGCAGTGCTAAGAGGAAAGTTTATAGCATTAAATGCCCACATCAAAAAGTCACAAAAAGTTACATCAAAAAATAGACAATCTAAGGTCACACCTCAGGGAACTATAGAAACAAAAACCAAACCCAAACCCAGCAGAAGAAAAGAAACAACTAAGATCAGAGCAGAACTAAATGAAATTAAAACAAACAGATTTCAGGATCGTGGCAGATGGGAGGCAGGTCTAGATTGCAGCTCCGGACAGAGCAGCATGCGGAGGCTTGCACTGAATTTTAGCTCCAGATTGACTGCAAGAACAAACCAGCAATCCTGAGAGGACCCACAGACCTTCTGAAGAAAGCAGACTGCTCCTGCAGGACCCATGGAGACACTGCAAATACTGAGAGTGCCCCAACTGTGGAAGTGGGAAAGGGAGACCCTCCTCTCCCAAACACAACTCCTCAACTGGAGAAGCCGAAGATCTGTTGGCAGGAGAAGTTTCCAACTTTACCTGGAGCTAAATCAAGTTAGAGAACCGAGCCAAGTGAAATACAGGGGTAGAGGAAGCCACAGAAAGGCCCTGGGAGCTTGCTGGGTCCCCAAGCAGCTCATCCCTGCTGGCACCACAGGGATCCATCAGGAGGGTGGCCAGAGGAGCAGGGGGTGAAACTCCACGGGGTGAAACTCCACAGGGTGAAGGAATTCTTTGGCTGAACTTTGTAACCATTTGAACCAGGCGAGAAGCCTCCTTGCCAGAACTGGAGGAAGGGTGTGAATCCTGCTTGCAGACCTCACAGGCAGGGGAAGAACTAAAGTCCTTTTCTTTCGCAGCTGGGAGGCAGAAAGCCTTGGGCAAGTTTTCAAGCCCATCTTGCCCTCTGCTTAGAAATAGACTCAGGGCTATTGCTGTGGGGGCACAGTGGGAGTGAGACCAGCCCTTCAGTTTGTGTGGGAGCTGGGTGAGGCCTGTGACTGCTGGCTTTCCCCCACTTCCCTGACAACCTGCATCACTCAGCAGAGGTAGCCATAATCCTCTGAGGTACACAACTCCAGTGACCTGGGAATCTCACTCCCATCTCCCACAGCAGCTGCAGCAAGACCTGCCTGAGGAGAGTCTGAGCTTAGACATGCCTATCTCCAACCCACCCGATGGTCCTTCCCTATCCACCTTGGTAGGGAAAGACAAAGGGCATATAATCTTGGGAGTTCTAGGGCTTCACCCACTGCCAGTCCCTCTCCACACTACTACAGCTGATGCTTTCTGGAAAGCTTCACCTCCTGGCAGGAGGCCAACCAGCACAAAAATAGAGCATTAAACCACCAAAGCTAAGGACCCTCATGGAGTCCATTGCACACTCTGCCACCTCCATCAGAACAGGCACTGGTGGCTGAGACCCTTAGACAGTTCACATCACGGGACTCTGTGCAGACAACCCCCAGTACCAGCCCAGAGCCCAATAGACTAGCTGGGTGGCTAGACCCAGAAGAGAGATAACAATCACTGCAGTTCAGCTCACAGGAAGCCACATCCACAGGAAAAGGGGGAGAGTCTACAGCAAAGGAACACCCCATGGTACAAAAAAATCTGAACAGCAGCCTTCAGCCCTAGACCTTCCCTCTGACAGAGCCTACCCAAATGAGAAGGAACCAGAAAACCAACCCTGGTAATACGACAAAACAAGGCTTGTCAACGCCCCCTAAAAATCACATTAGTTCACCAGCAATGGATCCAAACCAAGAAGAAATCCCTGATTTACCTGAAAAAGAATTCCAGAGGTTAGTTATTAAGCTAATTAAGGAGGGACCAGAGAAAAGCGAAGCCCAATGCCAGGAAATCCAAAAAATGATATAGGAAGTGAAGGGAGAAATATTCAAGGAAATAGATAGCTTAAAGAAAAAACAATAAAAAATTAAGGAAACTTTGGACACATTTTTAGAAATGCAAAATGCTCTGGAAAGTCTCAGCAATAGAATTGAACAAGTAGAAGAAAGAAATTCAGAGCTTGAAGACAAGGTCTTCGAATTAACCCAATCCAACAAAGACAAAGAAAAAAGAATAAGAAAATATGAACAAAGCCTCCAAGAAGTCTGAGATTATGTCAAATAACCAAACCTAAGAATAATCAACATCCCTGAGGAAAAAGACAATTCTAAAAGCTTGGAAAACATATTTGGGAGAATAATCGAAGAAAACTTCCCCGGCCTTGCTAGAGACCTAGACATGCGATACAAGAAACACAAAGAACACCTGGGAAATTCATTGCACATTGTCATCAGGTTATCCAAAGTTAAGGTGAAGGAAATAATCTTAAGAGCTGTGAGACAGAAGCACCAGGTAGCCTATAAAGGAAAATCTATTAGATTAACAGCAGATTTCTCAGCAGAAACCCAACAAGCTAGAAGGGACTGGAGCCATATCTTTAGCCTCCTCAAACAAAACAATTATCAGCCAAGAATTTTGTATCCAGCGAAACTAAACATCATATATGAAGGAAATATACAGTCATTTTTAGACAAACAAATGCTGAGAGAATTTGCCATTACCAAGCCACCACTACAAGAACTGCTAAAAGGAGCTCTAAATCTTGAAACAAATCCTGGAAACACATCAAAACAGAGCCTCTTTAAAGCACAAATCACACAGGAACTATAAACAAAAATACAAATTAAAAAGCAAAAACAAAAAAACCCAAAGTACACAGGCAATAAAGAGCATGACGAATGCAACAGTACCTCACATTTCAATACTAACATTGAATGTAAATGGCCTAAATACAGAACCTCAGAATGGATAAGAACTCACCAACAAACTGTCTGCTGCCTTCAGGAGACTCACCTAACACATAAGGACTCACATAAACTTAAAGTAAAGGCGTGGAAAAAGGCAATTCATGCAAATGGACAACAAGAGCAAGCAGGGGTAACTATTCTTAGACAAAACAAACTAAAGCAACAGCAGTTAAAAGAGACAAAGAGGGACATTACATAACGGTAAAAGGCCTTGTCCAACAGGAAAATATCACAATCCTAAACATATATACGTACCTAACACTGGAGATCCCAAATTTATAAAACAATTACTAATAGACCTAAGAAATGAGATAGCAACACAATGGTAGTGGGGGATTTCAATACTCCACTGACAGCTCTAGACAGGTCATCAAGACAGAAAGTCAACGAGAAACAATGGATTTAAACTATACCTTGGAACAAATGAACTTAACAGATATATACAGAACATTTCATCCAACAACTGCAGAATATACATTCTATTCAACAACACATGGAACTTTCTCCAAGATAGACCATATGATAGGCCATAAAATGAGCTTTAATAAATTTAAGAAAATTGAAATTATATCAAGTACTCTTTCAGACCACAGTGGAATAAAACCAGAAATCAACTCCAAAAGGAACCTTCAAAACCATGCAAATATATGGAAATTAAATAACCTGTTCCTGAATAAGCACTGGGTCAAAAACAAAATCAAGATGGAAATTAATTCTTAAAACTGAATTACAATAATGACACAACCTATCAAAACCTCTGGGATACAGCTAAGGCGGTGCTAAGAGGAAAGTTCACAGCCCTAAATGCCTACATCAAAGTCTGAAAGAGCACAAACAGACAATCCCAAGTCACACTTCAAGGAACTAGAGAAACAAGAACAAGCCAAACCCAAACCCAAACCAAGCAGAAGAAAAGAAATAACCAAGATCAGAGAAGAACTAAATGAAAATGAAACAAAATAAATACAAAAGATAAATGAAACAAAACTGGTTCTTTGAAAAGATAAATAAAATTTATAGACTGTTAGCAAGACTAACCAAGAAAAGAAGAGAGAAAGTCCAAATAACCTCACTGAGTAAAGAAACAGGAGATATTACAACTGACACCACTGAAATACGAAAGATCATTCAAGGCTACTATGAACACCTTTATGCACATAAACTAGAAAACCTAGAAGAGATGGAAAAATTCCTAGAAAAATACAACACTCCTAGCTTAAATCAGGGAGAACTAGATACCCTGAACAGACCAATAACAAACACTGAGATTGAAATGGTAATTAAAAAATTACCAACAACAAAAAAGTCCAGGACCAGATGGATTCACAGCAGAATTCTACCAAACATTCAAAGAATTGGTACTGATCCCTTTGACACCTTTCCACAAGATAGAGAAAAAAGGAACCCTCCCTAATTCATTCTGTGAAGCCAGCATCACCCTAATACCAAAACCAGGAAAGGACACAACCAAAAAAGAAAACTACAGACCGATATCCTTGATGAACATAGATGCTAAAATCCTTAACAAAATACTAGCTAACCAAATCCAACAACATATCAAAAAGATAATCCACCATGATCAAGTGGGTTTCATACCAGGGATGCAGGGATGGTTTAACATACGCAAGTCAATAAATGTGATACACCACATAAACAGAATTAAAAACAAAAATCACATGATCATCTCAATAGATGTAGAAAATGCATTTGACAAAATCCAGCATCTCTTTGTGATTAAAACCTTGCAAAATTGGCATACAAGGGACATACCTTAAGGCAATAAAAACCATCTATGACAAACCCACAGCCAACATAATACTGAATGGGGAAAAGTTGAAAGAATTCCCTTTGAGAACGGGAACAAGACAAGGATGCCCACTCTCACCACTCCTCTTCAACATAGTACTGGAAGTCCTAGCCACAGCAATCAGACAAGAGAAAGAAAGGGCATCCAAATTGGTAAAGAGGAAGTCAAACTGTTCCTGTTTGTTGACAATATGATCATTTACCTTGAAAACCCTAAGGACTCCTCCAGAAAGCTCCTAGAACTGATAAAAGAATTCAGCAAAGTTTCTGGATACAAGATTAATGTACACAAATCAGTAGCTCTTCTATACACCAACAGCGACCGCGCGGAGAATCAAATCAAGAACTCAACCCCTTTTACAATAGCTGCAAAACAACAACAACAACAACAACAACAACAAAACCACCAAAACCAAAACCAAAAAAAACTTAGGAATATACCCAACAAAGGAGTCGAAAGACCTCTACAAGGAAAACTATAAAACACTACTGAAAGAAATCATAGATGACACAAACAAATGGAAACACATCCCATGCTCATGGATGGGTGGAATCAATATTGTGAAACTGACCATACTGCCAAAAGCAGTATACAAATTCAACGCAATCCCCATCAAAATACCACCATCATTCTTCACAGAGTTAGAAAAAACAATTCAAAATTCATATGGAACTAAAAAAGAGCCCACGTAGCCAAAGCAAGACTAAGCAAAATAAACAAATTTGGAGACATCACACTACCTGATTTCAAACTATACTATAAGGCCATAGTCACCAAAACAGCATGGTACTGGTATAAAAATAGGCACATAGACCAATGGAACAGAACAGAGAACCCAGAAATAAACCCAAATACTTACAGCCAACTGATCTTCAACAAAGCAAACAAAAACAAAGTGGAGAAAGGACATCCTTTTCAACAAATGGTGCTGGGATAATTGGCAAGCCACATGTAGAAGAATGAAACTGGATCCTCATCTCTCACCTTATACAAAAATCAACTTAAGATAGATTAAGGACTTAAACCTAAGACCTGAAACTATGAAAACTCTAGAAGATAACATTGGAAAAACCTTTCTAGACATTGGCTTATGCAAGGATTTCATGACCAAGAACCCAAAAGCATATGCAATAAAAACAAAGAAATAGGAGCTAATTAAAAAGTTTTTGTACAGCAAAAGGAACAGTCAGCAGAGTAAACAGACAACCCACAGAATGGGAGCAAATCCTCACAATCTGTACATCTGACAAAGGACTAATATCCAGAATCTACAACGAACTCAAATCAGTAAGAAAAAACAACCCCATCAAAAAGTGGGCTAAGGACATGAATAGACAGTTCTCAAAAGAAGATATACAATGGTCGACAAACATGAAAAAATGCTCAACATCACTAATGATCAGGCAAATGCAAATCAAAACCACAATGCAATACCAAGTTACTCCTGCAAGAATGGCCATAAGCGATCAGAAAACAGTAGAAGTTGGCATGGATGTGGTGATCAGAGAACACCTCTACACTGCTGGTGGGAATGTAAACTAGTGTAGCTGCTATGGAAAACAGTGTGGAGATTCCTTAAAGAACTAAAATTAGAACTACCATTTGATCCAGCAATCCCACTACTGGGTATCTACCCAGAGGAAAAGAAGTTATTATTTGAAAAAGATATTTGCACACACATGTTTATAGCAGCACAATTCACAACTGCAAAATCGTGGAACCAACCCAAATGCCCATCAATCAATGAGTGGATCAAGACTTTGGTATATATATATACATGATGGAATACTATTCAGCCATAAAAAGGAATGAATTAACAGCATTTGCAGTGACCTGGATGAGACTGGAGACTATTATTCTAAGTGAAGTAACTCAGGAATAGAAAATCAAACAACATATGTTCTCACTGATATGTGGGAGTTAAGCTATGAGGACACAAAGGAATAAGAATGATACAATTGACTTTGGGGACTTGAGGGGAAGAGTGGGAGGGGGACAAGGGACAAAAGACTACAAATATGGTGCAGTGCATACAGCTCAGGTGATGGGTGCACCAACATCTCACAAATCACCACTAAAGAACTTACTCATGTAACCAAATACCACCTGTACCCCAATAACTTATGGAAAAATAAAAATGTAAAATTTTTTTGAAAGAAAAGAATGTAGATACCTAGAACTTGTCCTGCAAAATCTGATTTGTAGATCTAGTATGGGACAGGAATCTGCATTTTGTCAAACAAAAAATCATTTATTAGCAAAAGAGAAACAAAAAACAATACAAAAGATAAATGAAACAAAAAGCTGGTTGTTTGAAAAGATCAATACAATTGATAGATCATTAGCAAGATTAACCAAGAAAAGAGAGAAGATCCAAATAAGCTCAATTAGAAACAAAATGGGAAGTTGGTGTGCATCCCACCTTCTAAGTGAAGATATGCCAGATGATTTGGTGGCTGGCAAGATGGTCAAATAGGAACAGCTCCGGTCTGCAGCTCCCAGTGAGATCAACACAGAAGGTGGGTGATTTCTGCATTTCCAACTGAGGTACCTGGCTCATCTCACTGGGACTGGTTAGACAGTGGATGCAGCCCATGGAGGACAAGCCAAAGCAGGGTGGGGCGTTGCCTCACCTGGGAAGTGCACAGGGTCGGGAAACTCCCTCCCCTAGCCAAGGGAAGCCGTGAGGGACTGTGCCGTGAGGAATTGTGCATTCCAGCCCAGATACTATGCTTTTCCCATGCTCTTTGCAACCTGCAGACCAGGAGATTCCCTTGGTTGCCTACACCACCAGGGCTCTGGGTTTCAAGCACAAAACTGGGTGGCCATTTGGGCAGACACCGAGCTAGCTGCAGGAGTTTTTTTTTTTCATACCCCAGTGGTGCCTGGAACACCAGCAAGATAGAATGGTTCACTCCCCTGGAAATGGGGCTAAAGCCAGGGGAGCCACCTGGTCTAGTTCAGTGGATTCCACCCCTATGGAGCCCAGCAAGCTAAGATCCACTGGCTTGAAATTCTTGCTGCCAGAACAGCAGTCTGAAGTCGACCTGGGATGCTCAAGCTTGGAAGAGGGAGGGGCGTCCACCATTACTGAGGCTTGAGTAGGTGGTTTTCCCCTCACAGTGTGAACAGAGCTGCCAGGAATTTCAAACTGGGCAGAGCCCACCACAGTGCTGCAAAGCTGCTCTAGCCAGACTGCCTCTCTAGATTCCTCCTCTCTGGGCAGGGCATCTCTGAAAGAAAGGCAGCAGCCCCCGTCAGGGACCTATAGATAAAACTCCCATCTCCCTGGGACAAAGCATCTGGGGGAAAGGGCAGCTGTGGGTGCAGCTTCAGCAGGCTTAAACATTCCTGCCTGCCAGCTCTGAAGAGAGCAGTGAATCTCCCAGCACAGCGCTCAAGCTCTGCTGAGGGACAGACTGCCTCCTCAAGTGGGTCCCTAACCCCTGTGCCTCCTGACTGGGAGACACCTCCCAGCTGGGGTTGACAGACACCTCATACAGGAGAGCTCCAGCTGGTATCTGGTGGGTGCCCCTCTGGGACAAAGCTTCCAGAGGAAAGAACAGGCAGCAATCTTTGCTGTTCTGAAGCCTCCACTAGTGATACCCAGGCAAACAGGGCCTGGAGTGGACCTTCAGCAAACTCCGGCAGACCTGCAGCAGAGGGGCCTATTAGAAGGAAAACTAACAAACAGAAAGGAATAGTATCAACATCAACAAAAAGGACATCCACACAAAAACCCCATCCGAAGGTCACCAACATCAAAGACCAAAGTTAGATAAATCCACAAAGATGAGGAAAAACCAGCACCAAAAGGCTGAAAATTCCAAAAACCAGAACACCTCTTCTCCAAAGGATCACAACTCCTCACCAGCAAGGGAACAAATCTGGATAGAGAATGAGTTTGACAAATTGACAGAAGCAGGCTTCAGAAGGTTGGTAATAACAAACTCCTCTGAGGTAAAGGAGCATGTTCTAACCCAATGCAAGGAAGCTAAGAACCTTGAAAAAAGGTTAGAGGAATTGCTAACTAGAATAACTAGTTTAGAGAAGAACATAAATTACTTGATGGAGCTGAAAAACACAGCACAAGAACTTCATAAAGCATACACAAGTATCAATAGCCAAATCGATAAAGTGGAAGACAGGATATCAGAGATTGAAGATCAACTTAATGAAATAAAATGTGAAGACAAGATTAGAGAAAAAAGAATGACAAGGAATGAACAAAGCCTCTAAGAAATATAGGACTATGTGAAAAGACCAAACCAAAGTTTGATTGGTATACATGAAATGAAATGGAACCAAGCTGGAAAACACTCTTCAAGACATTATCCAGGAGAACTTCACCAACCTAGCAATTCAGGCCAACACTGAAATTAAGGAAATAAAGGGACCACCACAAAGGTACTTCTCGAGAAGAGCAACCCCAAGACACATAATTGTCAGATTCACCAAGGTTGAAATGAAGGAAAAAATGTTAAGGGCAGCCAGAGAGAAAGGTCGGGTTACCCACAAAGGGAAGCCCATCAGACTAACAGCTGATCTCTTGGCAGAAACTCTGCAAGCCAGAAGAGAGTGGGGGCCAATATTCAACATTCTTAAAAGAATTTTCAACCCAGAATTTCATATCCAGCCAAACTAAGCTTCCTAAGCAAAGGAGAAATAAAATCCTTTACAGACAAGCAAATGCTGAGAGATTTTGTTACCACCAGGTCTGCCTTACAAGAGCTCCTGAAGGAAGCAGTAAATATGGAAAGGAAAAACTGGTACCAGCCACTGCAAAAACATACCAAATTGTAAAGACTATCAGCACTATGAAGAAACTGCATCAACTAATGGGCAAAATAACCAGCTAGCATCATAATGTCAGGATCAAATTCACACATAACAATATTAACCTTAAATGTAAATGGGCTAAATGCCCCAATTAAAAGACACAGACTGGCAATCTGGATAAAGGGTCAAGACCCATCAGTGTGCTGTATTCAGGAGACCCATCTCACATGCAAAGATACACATAGGCTCAAAATAAAGGAATGGAGGAATATTTACCAAGCAAATGGAAAGAAAAAAAAGCAGGGGTTGCAATCCTAGACTCTGATAAAACAGACTTTAAACCAACAAAGATAAAAAAAGACAAACAAGGGCATTACATAATGGTAAAGGGATCAATGCAACAAGAAGAGCTAACTATCCTAAATATATATGTACCCAATACAGGAGCACCCAGATTTATAAAGCAAGTTCTTAGAGACCTACAGAGAGACTTAGGCTCCCACACAATAATTGTGGGAGACTTTAACACCACACTGTCAATATTAGACAGATCAACGAGACAGAAAATTAACAAGAATATTCAGGACTTGAACTCAGCTCTGGACCAAGCAGACCTAATAGACATCTACAGAACTCTCCACCCCAAATCAACAGAATATACATTCTTTTCAGCACCATATTGTACTTATTCTAAAATTGACCACATAATTGGAAGTAAAACACTCCTCAGCAAATGCAAAAGAACAGAAGTCATAACAAACAATCTCTCAGACCACAGTGCAATCAAATTAGAACTCAGGATTAAGAAACTCACTCAAAACCACACAACTACATGGAAACTGAACAATCTGCTCCTGAATGACTACTGGGTGAATAACAAAATTAAGACAGAAATAAATAAGTTCTTTGAAACCAATGAGAACAAAGACACAACATACCAGAATCTCTGGGACATATTTAAAGCAGTGTGTAGAGGGAAGTTTATAGCACTAAATGCCCACAAGAGAAAGCAGGAAAGATCTAAAATCAATACCCTAATATCACAATTAAAAGAACTACAGATGTAAGAGCAAACAAATTCAAAAGCTAGCAGAAGACAAGAAATAACTAAGACCAGAGCAGAACTGAAGAAGATAGAGACACAAAAAAACTCTTCAAAAAAATAGATGAATCCAGGAGCTGGTTTTTTGAAAAGATCAACAAAATAGACCAGTAGCAAGACCAATAAAGAAGAAAAGAGAGAAGAATCAAATAGACACAATAAAAAATTATAAAGGGGATGTCACCACCAATCCCACAGAAATACCAACTACCATCAGAAAATACTATAAACACCTCTACGCAAATAAACTAGAAAATCTAGAAGAAATGGATAAATTCCTGGACACATACACCCTCCCAAGACTAAACCAGGAAGAAGTCCAATCCCTGAATAGACCAATAACAAGTTCTGAAATTGAGGCAGTAATTAATAGCCTACCAATCAAAAACAGCCCAGGACCAGATGGATTCACAGCTGAATTCTACCAGAGGTACAAAGAGGAGCTGGTACCATTCCTTCTGAAACTATTCCAAACAATCGAAAAACAGGGACTCGTCCCTAACTCATTTTATGAGGCCAGCATCATCCTGATACCAAAACCTGGCAGAGAAATAACAAAAAAAGAAAATTTCAGGCCAATATCCCTGATGAACATTGATGCAAAAATCCTCAATAAAATACTGGCAAACCAAATCCAGCAACACATCAAAAAGCTTATCCACCACGATCAACTTGGCTTCATCCCTGGATGCAAGGCTGGTTCAACATATGCAAATCAATAAACGTAATCCATCACATAAATAGAACCAATGACAAAAACCACATGATTATCTCAATAGATACAGAAAAGGGCTTTTATAAAATTCAACAGCCCTTCAAGCTAAAAACTCTCAATAAACTAGGCATTGATGGAATAATAAGGGCTATTTATGACAAACCCACAGCCAATATGACACTAAATGAGCAAAAGCTGGAAGCCTTCCCTTTGAAAACTGGCACAAGACAAGGATGCTCTCTCCCACCA
This sequence comes from Homo sapiens, assembly GCF_000001405.40. Classification (NCBI taxonomy): domain Eukaryota; kingdom Metazoa; phylum Chordata; class Mammalia; order Primates; family Hominidae; genus Homo; species Homo sapiens. The sequence goes on along the minus strand of NC_000010.11, from coordinate 118,648,348 downwards.
CTCCTATTCAACATAGTATCGGAAGTTCTGGCCAGGGCAATCAAGCAAGATAAAGAAATAAAGGCTATTCAAATAGGAAGAGAGGAAGTAAAATTGTCTCTATTTGCAGATGATATGATTGTATATTTAGAAAATCCCATCTCTCAGCCCAAAATCTCCTTAAGCTGTCAAGAAACTTCAGCAAAGTCTCAGGATACAAAACCAATGTGCAAAAATCACAAGTATTCCTATACACCAATAATAGCCAAATCATGAGAACTCCCATTCACAATTGCTATGAAGAGAATAAAATACCTAGGAATCCAACTTACAAGGGATGTGAAGGACCTCTTCAAGAAGAACTACAAACCACTGCTGAAGGAAATAAGAGAGGACACAAACAAATGGAAAAACATTCCATGCTCATGGATAGGAAGAATCAATATCGTGAAAATGGCCATACTGCCCAAAGTAATTTATAGATTCAATGCTATCCCCATCAAGCTACCATTGACTTTCTTCACAGAATTAGAAAAAACTACTTTAAATTTCATATGGAACCAAAAAAGAGCCCATAAAGCCAAGACAATCCTAAGCAAAAAGAACAAAGGTGGAGGCATCACACTACCTGACTTCAAACTATGCTACAAAGGCTACAGTAACCAAAACAACATGGTACTGGCACCAAAACATATATAGACCAATGGAACAGAACAGAGGCCTCAGAAATAATGCTACACATCTACAACCATCTGATCTTTGACGAACCTGACAAAAACTAGCAATGGGGAAAGGATTCCCTATTTAATAAGTGGTGTTGGGAAAACTGGCTAGCCATATGCAGAAAACTGAAACTGGACCCCTTCCTTACACCTTATACAAAAATTAACTCAAGATGGATTAAAGACTTAAACATAAGACCTAAAACCATAAAAACCCTAGAAGAAAACCTGTGCAATACCATTCAGGAACATAAGGCATGGGCAAAGCCTTCATGACTAAAACACCAAAAGCAATGGTAACAAAAGCCAAAATTGACAAACGGGATCTAATTAAACTAGAGCTTCTACATAGCAAAAGAAACTATCATCAGAGTGAACAGGCAACCTACAGAATGGGAGAAAATTTTTGCAATCTATCCATCTGACAAAGGGCTAATATCCAGAATCTACAAAGAATTTAAACAAATTTACAAGAAAAAAAAACCATCAAAAAGTGGGCAAAGGATATGAACAGAGACTTCTCAAAAGAAGACATTTATGTGGCCAAAAAACATTTGAAAAAAAGCTCATCACTGGTCATTAGAGATGTGCAAATCAAAACCACAGTGAGATACCATCTCACGCCCATTAGAATGGTGATCATTAAACAGTCAGGAAACATCAGATGCTGGAGAGGATGTGGAGAAATAGGAATGCTTTTACACTGTTGGTGGGAGTGTAAATTACTTCATTATGGAAGACAGTGTGGCGATTCCTCAAGGATCTAGAACCAGAAATACCATTTGACCCAGCACTGACATTACTGGGTATATAACCAAAGGATTATAAATCATTCTACTATAAAGATACATGCACACATATGTTTATTGCAGCACTATTCACAATAGCAAAGACTTGAAACCAACACAAATGCCCATCAATGATAGCCTGGATAAAGAAAATGTGGCACATATACATCATGGAATGCCATGCAGCCATAAAAAGGGATGCATTCATGTCCTTTGTAGGGATACGGATGAAGTTGGAAACCATCATTCTCAGCAAAGTAACACAGGAACAGAAAACCAAACACTGCATGTTCTCACTCATAAGTGGGAGTTGAACAATGAGAACACATGGACACAGGGAGGGGAACATCACACACCAGGGCCTGTTGTAGGGTGGGGGGATGGGGGAAGGATAGCATTAGGAGAAATACCTAATGTAGATGATGAGTTGATGGGTGCAGCAAACCACCATGGCACATGTATACCTATGTAACAAACCTGCACGTTCTGCACGTGTATCCCAGAACTTAAAGTATAATTAAAAAAAAAATGGAAGAGATTACAAGCAATACCACAGAAATACAAAAGATCATTCAAGGCTACTATGAACACCTTTACACACATTAACTAGAAAACATAGAGGAGATGGATAAATTCCTGGAAATATACAACATTTGTAGATTAAACAGGAAGAAATAGAAACTCTGAACAGACCAATAACAAGCAGTGAGATTGAAATAATTCAAATGTTACCAACAAAAAAAGTCCAGGACCAGATAGATTCACAGCTGAATTCTATCAGGCATTCAAAGAAGAATTGGTACCAATCCTACTGACACTATTCCATGAGATAGAGAAAGAGGGAATCCTCCCTAAATCATTCTATGAAGCCAATATCACCCTAATACCAAAACCAGGAAAGGATATAACAAAAAAAGAAAACCACAGACTAATATCTGTATCACAGATGCAAAAATCCTCAACAAAATACTAACGGAATCCAACAGCATATCAAAAGGATAATCCACCATGATTAAGTGGGTTTCATAACAAGGGTGCAGGGATGATTCAACATCTGCAAGTCAATAAATGTGATACACCATATAAACAGAATTAAAAAGAAAAATCACATGATCTCAATAGATGCAGAAAAAACATTTGACAAAATCCAGCATCACTTTATGATTGAAACTGTTAGCAAAATTGCATAAAAGGGACATAGCTTAAGGTAATAAAAGCCATCTATGACAAACCCACAGCCAACATTATACTGAATAAAGAAAAGTTGAAAGCATTCCCACTGAGAACTGGAACAGGACAAGGATGCCCACTTTCAGCACTTCTATTCAACATAGTACTGGAAGTTCTAGCCAGAACAAACAGACAAGAGAAAGAAAGGGCATCCAAGTGGGTAAAGACAAAGTCAAACTGTTGCTGTTTGCTGATGACATGATCGTATACCTAGAAAACCCTAAAGACTCATCCAAAAAGCTCCTAAAACTGGTAAATGAATTCTGCCCAATTTCAGAATACAAAATTAATATACACAAATCAGTAGCTGTGTTTTACACCAACAGTGACCAAGCTGAGAATCAAATCAAGAACTCAGCCCTTTTTACAATAGCTGCAAGAAAATAAAATATCGAGAAATATACTTAACCAAGGAGGTAAAAGACCTCTATAGGGAAAAGTACAAAACATTGCTGAAAGAAATTGACACATGATGTTTTTCCATTGACACAAACAAATGGACATACATCCTATGCTAATGAACGGGTAGAATTAATATTGTGAAAATAACCATACTGCCAAAAACATTCTAAAAATTCAATGCAAATTCTCAAAATAGCACCATCATTCTTCACAGAACTAGAAAAAACAATCCTAATTGCATATGCAACCAAAAAAAGAGTCCACATAGTCAAAGCAAGACTAAGCAAAAAGAACACATCTGGAGGCATCACATTAGCTGACTTCAAACTATACTATAAGGCCATAATCACCAAAATACATCCTGGTATTGGTATAAAAATGGGCATAGAGGCCAATGTAACAGAATAGAGAACTCAGATATAAAGCTAAATACTTACAATCAACTGATCTTCAACTAAGCAAACAAAAACAAAGTGGGGGAAGGACACCCTATTCTACAAATGGTGCTGGGATAATTGGCAAGCCACATGTAGAAGAATGAAACTGGATCCTCATCTCTCACCTTATGCAAAAAGCAACTCAAAATCGATCAAAGACTTAAATCTAAGACCTGAAACCATAAAAATTCTAAAACATCAGAAAAACCCTTCTATTCCAAAAAATAAATAAAAAAGCAGTCGTTAATGGTCAGGGGCACATCCCTCCCACTTTCATCGGTTCCTAGCCCACAAAGGGAAAGTGAGATCTTCCAGTTAGGAGCAATTTGGTGAAAGGAGCGGCTAGAGCTGGAATAACTGTCTGCATGGCTGCACTATGGTATCAGAGTGAAGAAAAGAAGTCAGGATAGTGTGGAGGGCACAGTTGCAAGTTGAGTCTTTCCATGAGACAATGTGGGGAGAATTCTCCCTACTAGATTTAGATAGATCAATGTGCCAAAGTTAAAGAAAAAAAAATCCAAATAATCAGCAGTTCAAACACTATTGAATTTCAAACTTCTCCCACCAAGATAGCTCAAACAGCAGTGACAATCTAGATCTTTCCAGGAAGTGAAGGTAGAGCCCCTGGCATTCCTCCTGAGAGCCCTGTGTTAGGCCCTAGAAGTATCTGCTGCTGCTGCAGTTGCTGCTGTTGCTCCATTTGCAACTTCTCAGTCTCAAAGACAAGGGGAAGAACCAGGATCATAAAGGAAGTGGTCCCAGTCCACAAGGCTGCCCTGGAAAACCTGTACATTTTTTGAGCCACAAAGAGGAAGAGATCAGAAGTGGCTCCAGCCACGGACCGGACCCTCTCCGGAAACATCTCCGTCAGGCCCCATAGTCTCTCTGACAGGGTCTCCTCTAGCTCCTCATCGTCATCCTCCTCCAGCTCCTCCTCAGTCTTCACGGCTTTGCCTTTTGGGAGCAATTCATCCGGGGACGTCTGGGGATGGGGGTTCCCCTGCACCGACAGCAGCCACGGTGACAGCTATGTAGTCATGTAGTCTGTATTTTTAAAAGCCCCAAGGTAATTCTGATGTAGGCTGGAGCTTGAGAAGCAGAGCTTGAAGAGCATTCAGAATCTTGGCTTTGAGTCAAGGATGGAGGCTCTAAGCTCCTACTCTATCCCCTGGTCCTCATTACAGCCCCTTCTTCTAGCCCCAGCAGCCTCCCTCTTGCCCCGGCTGCCCTGTGATCTTTGCTTGGACAGGGCTCTCTTGCCCAGACCAATTGCCCTGAGATGGTCCAAGAAGTAAGTGGTCAGTGAAGGCTGGCCCTGCCTCTGTCCCCACTGGGTCGCTTCTGCGACTGTTATCCTCCCAGTGGTTAGCCCCATGCAAAGTATGAACTGACACGCCACTCAGTTGCTTTGAAAGGGATGCATCTCCCTGGCTGTCGGCTTGTGACTGTCAGCTTTAGGTGACAGAAATCAGGCTCCAGTGAGAGCATCTGCCAGAGCTTGGAAATTCAAGGTCCCCAAGGGAATGAAAGAAGAGGGAGAAGATGAAGACATTTAGACAAGCGTGGCTGCTGGCCCTCCCAGCAGTCAGGCCCTGCATCCACACTGACATCACCTGAGGAACTTCACAACACCTGGGCACCTGGATGGACCTCACCCCAGGCCAACAGAGAACCCCTGGAGTGGGGGCCTGAATGCTGACCATTTCTCAAGAGCTAGGGTGATGCAAATGTGATTGCTTTAACTTAGCACTTCTCAAACTTGAAGGACAGTAGGGATCTCTGGAGATCTTGTTAAAATGCAGGGCCTGATTCAGTGGGTCTGGGGTGGAGACCACATTTCTGCATTCTAACAAAACTCACCAATTACTTTGCCAAATGACCATTTTGTCTATGTAACCAGATTTCTTGCTTGATTTGGTAAGCACAATATTTAGATTTTTAAAGGGAAATTCATGCTTGCTTAAGAAACTTTACTAGCAGAAAGTCAATTGCCAGCAATTCATTTGAGAATTTGAGTTTATGCTAACTTTTCATGTAAGATATTTACGTGAAAGTTTACATGTAAGATATTTCAATTCAGCCGGCCAGCCCTTGAGGGGGAGCATGACCACATAGGTAGGTCTTTGGGTGGGGCCCCAACTGTCCCAGAACCTCCCAAATTCATCAGGCTCTGCCGTCACCTCTTTTACATTTGGAGGATCTGCTGCTGAAAGTGTTTGAAAACTAGATCTTTGTATCCATATGGTGCATTTGACATTTGGGAAACGTGAGGCTCAGAGAAGTTAAGCATGTTCCCTGAGGTTGCACAGCCTAGGCCATCAGCCCAGAGAGATGCTGTAGACCCTGTGGTGCCAACTCAGGCAGACCCAAGCCCATGGCTCAGCAGCCCCTGATGCCCCAGGCTCACCTTCCTGGTGGTGGGATTGCCCAGCTGACAGCCCAGAAGGTGCCCAGACTGAAGGCAGTGCCTGGAGGAGTTTGGAGTCAGCACCCTCAATTCCCCCTACAACCCTAGTTCCATGGACTGTCTCCCTCTGAGGCTTCTCTGGTCCCATCTCCCTTCCTCTTAGCAGTGGCAACAAAGGCTACTTATTTAATCTTAGGTTCACTGAGGGCTTTAGAGGCCAGAGAACAGATGCCTGTGCCTGCCAGTCATCTTCCACCTTGTTCTGGAAAGGGGCAATCCTCCTGTGGCCATGAATGACCATTGTGTTGGAACCAAGGTAGCAGCAACATCATCAAAGCTGCAGTGAAGGCAGCAGCTGAGAATACCAGGTATGAGCAACTCAGCCCTCACCTGGAGGACAAGCATGCACTCCTGTAAGGCTGGACTGTCCCTACCTTTTCCTGGGGGAAGCCAACTTAGCAGGGGCAGGAAGTATCCTGCAGTGGGGAGGGAAAGAGAAGGGAGAGAAGGGAAGGGGTATGGGGATGAAATGCCTATCCCAGAGCCCATTTGCAGTAACTGACTGGTGAGACTCAAACACTGCCCCAGAAACCAGGAGGAGGATTAGCTCTGCAGCCTTCCCAAGCACGTGTAGATCCCCAGTGCTACTTGTGACCTATTAGACCTATCTATTATAGAGCTTGAGGGTAGGACATGCCTTCAGAAGTTCATCTGCCTAAGCTTCTGCCTTTAGGCGGGCTGGTGACTTTCATGTTCGTTGCACAGATGAGGCAATTGAACCCTGAGAGGTGAGTCAGTGGAGGAAGAAAGCCCTGAACCTGGCCCCCCTGTCTTCTGATTCAGGGATGGACTGTGTCCCCAGGTGTCTTTCCCATATGACCTTTCCTCCCTTCCTCTGGTCTCCCAGTGGGGAACGGGCTGGACAGGACAGGTGTTAAGGGCTAAATAAAGCCAAGGAAATTGGAGTGGAAATGACCAGGAACCTTCTGTGGGGGATTTTGAGGGTAGAGCAACTGCTGGGGTATGGGGCTGAACTCAGGCCTGCAGGGTTGGAGAGCTCCTGCTGAGGAGATTTAGCTGAGGGCTCCCAGCAGCCTCGGGGGTGAGCAGGGGCAGGCATGATCCCAGCCCAGCTGTGGGAGGCTGGGAACCTTTCAGGTGGGCACTCTTGTCTTGGCATGAGGCCTCAAGGGATGCACAAAGACCCATACCAGACAAAGCTAGCTGATGCTGCTGTGCCCTCTGAGGGTTTACAGTATGGGTGGGGACTCCTCCCTGCCATGACCATTAGACCCAATGTGTTGTGGGAAGTCAGGGACCCTGAACGGAGGGACCAGCTGAAGCCATGGCAGAAGAATGTGGATTGTGAAGATTTCATGGACATTTATTAGTTCCCCAAATGAATACTTTTATGATTTCTTACACCTGTCTTTACTGCAATCTCTAAACAGAAATTGTGAAGATTTCATGGACACTTATCACTTCCGCAATCGATACCCTTGTGATTTCCTATGCCTGTCTTTACTCTCTTAATCCTGTCATCTCGTAAACTGAGGAGGATGTATGTCACCTCAGGACCCTGTGATGATTGCGTTAACTCCACAAATTGTAGAGCATGTGTGTTTGAACAACATGAAATCTTGGCACCTTGAAAAAAGAACAGGATAACAGCAATGTTCAGGGAACAAGAGAGATAACCTTAAACTCTGACCACCACTGAGCCAGACGGAACAGAGCCATATTTCTCTTATTTCAAAAGCAAATGGGAGAAATATCGCTGAATTCTTTTTCTCAGCAAGGAACATCCCTGAGAAAGAGAATGTGCCCCTGAGGGTAGGCCTCTAAAATGGCCCCCTTGGGTGTGGCCGTCTTCTATGGTCGAAACTGTAGGGATGAAATAAGCCCCAGTCTCCCATAGCGTTCCCAGGCTTATTAGGACGAGGAAATTCCCACCTAATAAATTTTGGTCAGACCGGTTGCTCTCAAACCCTGTCTCCTGATAAGATGTTATCAATGACAATGGTGCCTGAAACTTCATTAGCAATTTTAATTTTGCCCCGGTCCTGTGGTCCTGTGATCTCCCTCTGCCTCCATTTGCCTTGTGATATTCTATTACCTTGTGAAGCACGTGATCTCTGTGACCCACACCCTATTCGTACACTCCCTCCCCTTTTGAAAATCACTAATAAAAACTTGCTGGTTTCACGGCTCAGGGGGCATCACTGAACCCACCGACATGTGATGTCTCCCCCAGATGCCCAGCTTTAAAATTTCTCTCTTTTGTACTCTGTCCCTTTATTTCTCAACCCGGCCGATGCTTAGGGAAAATAGAAAAGAACCTACGTGACTATCGGGGGCAGGTTCCCTGATACCAATCAAAACATCAGATGCAGGTGGTACCAGAGCAGTGTCCAGCTGCAGGTCCTGCACGTTCCCACTCCAGTGGGATGCCTCCACCTTTGCCCTTTGGGGTCTTTGACACTCTACCCTTCTGTTGAGGCACGAGTATGGTGCTCAGGAGTAGGTGCACTGGGGTCCAAGTTCACCTCCACCACTTCCTAGCTGGGCAATTCACTGACAGCAGTATCTGAAGAACCAGGAATGGCCAGGCTCAGTCTCCAAAGGTCCTGCGAGGCAGAACCCACATCCCTGACAGTTCTGTAGGCAAAGAAATGGAGGTACTGTCATGTTCCCCCATCCCTACCCTGGGACATCTCGCTTTTCTCATGTGTGGGACAGGCATAGCATTAGGACCTACCACTCAGAGATAAACTGAGCATTTGGTGAGATGGTCCACAGAAAGGATGCAGTCTGATGAAGCCCCACTGTTCTGTAAGTGATTCTTTGTCATCGTCATTGTCTTTGGGATGGGGAGGAATGGGAGATCTTAGAGGAAGCATCACTGGGGGAGGGAAGAAGAGCTGAGGAGAAGAGGTCCAGCTGCCTACCCCCAAGAACTACAGGGAGGAAGAAACGGAGGCAGGTCATCAATCTCCAGTTGGAAAGTGGTTAGGGCCAGCTGCAAGAAGGATGAGGGACTCTGCTGGGGTCAGGAGAGGGTTGCCCAGCAGGGTAGCAGGTGATCTGTCTCAAGATTTTCCAACCAGCCCTGCCCGCCTGTCTCCAAAACCCCCTCATTTTATAGAGACCCCTGTAGGTTTCCTGTACCCAGCCAGGGCCAGGTACAAGCACCAGGACTGTGAAAGCACATGGTCTGAACAGCTCAGCAGACCTGCCTCAGCATGTGGCTGATTTTTGTCAACAGCTCTAGTGATTGGAGCTGTGCCTTTCTCGTCCTCTAACTGGAAGTGGGATTTTTCTATTTCTGAAAGGACTGGGCCAGGGAGGAAGGTCACAGCGTGGACAGCACCCAGCCAGCCTGGGTGGCAGTGAAAATGTTTTCTCTGTCCTAATTTGAAAAACCGACTGAAAAACAGACCTCCTGGCTGACTCAGGGCCATTATCACTAATTACATTCATGAGGCACTAACCTCTGCCTAGAAAACTTCCGATGGCAGCAACTCCGAGAGCAACCTGCACGTTGAGGGAGGGAGAGAAGCGGTCTTGCTGCAGACCTGCTTGTGTCTCAGAGGCTACATTTTTCTGGGAGGGGGCACGGGCTCAGGGGAAGGAAGCCCCTGACCACACTGCAAGGAGGCGCGTGAGAGAGGGGTCTTATCCCAGGGTTAGGGGAACATGACTATGTCTTCATCTCTGCAGAGCTGTCAGAGATGTGGATTCTGCTTCGTAGGATCTTTGGAGACTGAGCCTTCCTACTCTTGGTTCTCAGGATGCTGCTCTCATGAAGTTTCTTTTCTTCTCTTTTCGAGATTGGATCTCACTGTCACCGAGGCTGGAGTGCAGTGGTGTGATTTTGGCTCACTGCAGCCTCAACCTCTAAGGCTCAAGCAATCCTCTCACCTCAGCCTCCCAAGTAGCTGGGACTACAGGTGCATTCCATCATGCCTGGCTAATTTTTTGGTAATTTTTGTAGAGACAGGGTTTTGCCATGTTGCCCAGGCTCGTCTGGAACTCCTTGGCTCAAGTGATCCATCTGCCTCGGCCTCCTAAAATGCTGGGATTACAGACATGAACCACTGTGCCCAGCCCTCAGGAAGTTTCTGTTCTAAGGCAGAACACATTGATTTGGACACACATTAAAAGCCTCAATTTCAGAAATATTCAGTATAAGCTGAATGTAGTTGTTCAAAATAACAAGGTAGCACTGATATGAAAGAACCCAAAAAGATATCTACCATATTCTACTAGGTGAAAAAGCAGTTTATTAAATAGTGTGTAGAGTATGTGTTGATGAGTTCCAGCTGCTGTACCCAAGACTGGATGGCTTAAACAGATGTTTATTTCCTCATAGTTCTGAGGTTGGGAAGTCCAACATCAAGGTGCCAAAGGGTTGTTTCTGGTGAGGGCTCTCTTTCTGCCTTGCAAACAGCCACCTTCTTGCTCTGTGTTCACATGGCCTTTTCCATGTGTGCAAAGTGAGACTGCTGGTGTCTCTTTTCTTATAGAGGCACCCATTTTACAGGATTAGGGCTCTATTCAATGATCTTATGACCTCATTTAACCTGAATTGTCTTCCTAATTACCTCCGTAAAGGTTCTATCTTCAAATACAGTCACATTGGGGGTTACAGCTTCAACATATGAATTTGAAAGGGAAGGGGGAAAGGACAGTTTGGTCCATAACAGAGTATGATCTTGTTTGGGTAAAAAGGTATATATATGTGTAACAGATTTGTTGTCATTGTTGCTTTTTATAACAACTGTGTTTTCAGAAGGGTGACTCTGGTCAGATGGAGCCTGCTTTGTTCTGCTGATCCCTGGAGGGAGCTCCAGGTTGAGGGTGAAGCTGGAAGCATCACCTCTCCTTGCCTGATGCGGGGTGGGCTGGCTTGGAGCTGCCAGAGCAGTCTAGGAGTCAGGGAGGAGTGACCACAACATTGGCAGTGGGACTCCCATGTATTCAGGAAAGTCAAAATGCCTGAGAGGATTTCCTATGGACAGTGGCAAGACAGCTGAGTTCTATGCATGGGGAATTAGGGGGAGAAACAGACACAGCACATGGGGTGCAGGGTCCACAGCTGAGCGGACCAGGGAGCAGAGGAGGCCCCTAGGAACCAGCAGGAACTGGGGACTGTGGTGGGCTATGAATTGGCAGTCTTACCAACCGCATCTGGATCTCTGAGGAGCAAGGGGCCCCAGTATATATTAAGTATTTTAGTATTAGAAAAAGATCTAAGAGAAGGAAGACCATAAATATTTTAACAAGTGCTTTGATATGTGTGAGATGGTAGAGAGAATAGAAGAGACTGGAGTCAGAATTATTTCCTTCTTTGTAAGTTGATGTGTTATCTGATTTTTTATGAGCATACATTTCTTATATAATCATAAAAACAACGGCTGGGCGCAGTGGCTCACACCTGTAATCCCAGCACTTTGGGAGGCTGAGGTGGGTGGATCACTTGAGGCCAGGAATTTAAGACCAGCCTAGTCAACATGACAAAACCCTGTCTCTACTAAAAATACAAAAATTAGCTGGGCATGGTGATGCACGCCTGTAGTCCCAGTGACTGAGTCATGAGACTCGCTTGGACCCAGGAGGCAGCAGTTGCAGTGAGCTGAGATCATGCCACTGCACTCCAGCCTGGGCAACAGAGTGAGGCTCTGTCTCAAAAACAAAAACAAAAAACAAAAAAACATAATGGCTCAATTTTCCTTTAATACATCAAGTACATAAGCTGAATTCAGCAATTAGCTATTGCTATTATCTGCATGTTTCTGTAGCCCTAAAATTCAAATGTTGAAAGCCTAACCCCCAAGGTGATGGCATGTACAGGTGGGGCCTTTGGGAGGTGATTAGGTCATGAGGGTGGAGCCCTCATGAATGGCATTAATGCCCTGATCAAAGAGCTTGCTTGCTCCTTCCACTATGTGAGGACACAGAGAGAAGGTGCCATCTCTCACCCAGAAAGCAGACCCTCCCCAGACACTGAATCTGCGGGCAGCTTGATCTTGGGCTTCCTAGTTTCTAGAACTGTGAGAAATAAACTTGTTATTTATAAGCTGCCCAGTTTCTGGTATTTTATTATAGCAGTCTGAAAAAAACCAAGATTGCTATTAAGTGTCCGCTATGTGCTAGGCTTTGTTGTAGACACAGAGATAAACCAGACAGACAACCTTGCTTATGAGCTTAGATTCTAGTGGGAGAGGCAGACAGCAGGCAAGTGAGTTCATGATATAATGCAACATAGAGACTAGTACTCTAAGGGAAAGAAAGCCGAGGAGCTGAGTTGGGGAAGCAAGCAGAAACAGAATAGAGACCTGGGAGCTCCAGGGGGAGGGGAGAGCCAGGCAAAGTCCTGAGGCTGGGGTGGCAGATGGGGGAGCAGCAGGGCCCTTGTGCAGCTGAAGCAGAGTGAGCAGAGGCAGAGTAGGCGCTCACTCACCAACCAGCTTCTCAGCCCTGGGGCCACAGTCCTCAGGGGGTCCCTGTGCAAAGGTGGCCCCTGCTGAGAGATGTTAGTGCTGCCTACCACAGGTTGGGGAGCTTGAACAACAGATGTTTATTTTCTCACAGTTCTGGAGTCTGGAGGTCTAAGATCAAGGTTTCTGGTGAGGACTCATTTTCTGGCTTGCAGACTGCTGCCTTCTTACTGGGTGCTCATAGAACATTTCCTCAATGTGTGTGTGTGTGCTGAGCAAGTGAGACAGAAATTTGGAGCTCTTGGTGTCTTTTCTTACAAGGAAACAAATGCTATCAGATCAGGGCCCTACCCTTATGCTTTTATTTTAATTACTCCCTTAGAGGTGCCATCTCCAAATATGACCACACTGGGGGTTAGGGCTTCAATATATGAATCAGAAGGATTCTATTGTAATCTCCTATAATAGGAGCAAACCCTAGACCAGAGCCTTGGGCTCCAAGCAGCTCCTCTATCAATAAGTTGGGTCATTTGGGTAAAGTGAATCAGTTTTCCCTCCTATAGTCTGGGGGAGATTGTACCTATGCCTCCGTCTTCCAGGGCTGTTGCAAAGACGAAGAGGATGGCCATGAAACTGTGAGACAGCCTTGTAGGCTGTGAGGTGCCCCACAGTGAGAGGCCTCATTATAAGAAAGAAGGATTAGAAACAATACTATGGAATCCTTGGCCTCAGGGTCACCTTGGGTCAGGAGAGGGTATTTACAGAGGGCCCTAGGGCTCAAGGTATCAGGTATATCTGCACAGACCAGGGGCACATCTGCACAGACCAGGGGCACAAACACAAATGCCTAGAAGGCTGGGCTGGTCCCATAAGTCAGGGGGGTGGGCGTGAGTAGGATTAGAGGTTGCTACGGGGACAAGGGACCCTGGAGCTTGCCAGGGAAGTCCGTGTTTTCTAAGTTTTGAAGTTATCAGGACAAGTTGAAAATTAAACTTGTTCTTCTAGCAGCCAATTAAAGAACTTAAAACACCAGCAAACCAAAGCAAGCCCAATTTAGCCCAGAGCCCAGCAGTTTCTGATCTAGGCTGTTGGCATTGTTGGTGGGATGGGTGGGGGGAATGAGCTTGGGAAGGATGAAGGGTCTGGAGAGAGATGGGGTTGGGTGGATCTGGTTGGGTTCTCCTGGCATCTAGCAGGTGGAGGCCCCAGATGCTGCTAAACATACTACAATGCACAGGACACCCCACAACAAAAAATTTAACCAGCCCAAAATATCAATAGTGCTGAAGGTAGGAAACCCTGGTGTATGTTGGGCTGGATGATTCTTGCTTGCTCTGATTGCGCTGTGTATTGCAGGGCGCATGCCCACACCACCCCACCCCCAAACACACATATGCCTTTAACTCAGAGCTAGTCGATAGGAGATTGTCTCTTAATATCTAGCCTGGTGCCACCTCTTCATCTGAAACACATTCAGACCAGTTCCAAGCTGCCTGCTCTTGTTTCAGAAGGCTACTCTTGGATGGAAGAGTCCTGCTGCAAGTCTTGCTGCCTTTCTGTTCCCCCTGCTGTTTATTCCTAGTCTTCCTGAGGGAAAAGTGCAGCTGAAATATTGGCTGTTATCACGGTGAAAAGATTAGCATGGGATTGTAGCTGAAATGTTTTAGCCCAGGTGTGATCAACTGGGCTCTTCAGGAGAGAAACAAGCTCATGTCATCTGTGCTGAATGCTCCCCATTTGGAACTCAGTTTCCTGTCCCCCGTCCCCTCCCCACTTGCCACCAGGATGGACAGAGGGAGCCTTCTCTCTCTGCAAAGGGAGAGCAGAAAGGCAGATGCACACAGGCGTGTCTCGGGTGCAGGGTCCTTAACAGCTTCCAGGGCTACTTCTCCACGAACCAAGGCTCTCAGGAGTGTGTCTGCCATTTATTATTTGATTAGTCTCTCCAAGGGCATCTTAATTCTTCCTTCCCAGGCACGTACTCCAGCCAGATGGTTTGAGAAATTACGTCTCTGGGCTTGCTATAATAAGGCAATCACTTGAGCAGCATCCCATAGCACAGCACCAAGTCCTGAGCTTTGTCATGGCCTTAATTTCCATCTGGGGTGAGAAAGCACGGAAATTTTGAAAAGCTGCAGTTTTCAGATGACCTGTGTACAGAGATAAAACTCAGGAGGGGGCCTTGACTCTGCGGGTGATGTTTGTCCTGTTCGCCCTTCTTAGGTCTTTGGAGATTTAGGAATGGTGAGTGGGATAAGCACGGGCTTTGGGGCCCAAGGAACGAAGCTGGAATCCCAGTTCTGTACTAAGTGTGTGGCCCTAGGAAAATTATTTAATCTCTCTGGGACTCAGTTTCCTTATCGGTAAAATGGGTGGGATTATAACCATCCTTAAAGTTTGGTGGACATTTGCTCTTTGTTGGCTGCTCATCAACTCTTCTCCCTTTTTAACAGTTCCTTGATTTCCTTTTGGGGAATTACCTTCTCCACTGTGTATAATCCCAGAGGGACTTGTAGAGGGTGGGTCAATCAGAGTGGATCCAGGGACATCCCAAGAATGACCCGTGCTCCTCATTCTGACAGGCAGACCCTGGCAAGACTCCTGAGAGATGTTATTCCTTAGAACTTGGGATCTGCCCAGCTTCCAGGTCCTCTTCTGATCCATTTCTCCAGTCTTCTTGTCACTTCCATGAGCCTAACCAATAACCTTCTGATAGACCCCTTTTTGTTTACATTCTCCAGCGTTAGTTTCTCTTGCTTGCAACCAAGGAGCCCTAAGTCACCCACAGGCTTGTTGGGAGACAGCAGAGAGTGAATCTGTTGTGTGAGTGTGTGTCTGCCTCAGAGCCTGGTATACATGGGCATTCATCCAATGGGATTTTCTCCCAGTCTCTGCCTAGGAGATCAGAGTTTATGAAAGTGGAGGAGATAGCCTGAGATAAGCAACCAGGACAAGGTCAGGCTCACCAGAAAGAGTCGAGGCTCTGTCTCCTGTGAGGACTCTACTTCCCTGCTTTAGTTCATGTGTTCTCCTTGGAGAGAACAACTGCCTTGCTCTCTGGGATACTTTTCTCATTGCCCTCTGACTCCTTAGGGTGAGGGGGAAAAGTTCAGAGGAGGGATTGGAGGGGACCACTAATCCTGAGAATGGGGGCAGCCAGGCTCTGGTGGAGGGTACCTGTCCACGTCCCTGCCAGTCTGCTGAGCCTGTCTACCTGCCCTCCAGAGCAGCAGAGCTGGGATGTTTTTAGATTGCATCACCAAATGCAGAGATGAGCTGCTTGAAGCCCCATCAATTTGCCTAAACCTTGGCCCTGGCAAATCCTGCCTCTCCCACTAGACAACAATCATAGCATCCAAACAGGTCAGTAAGAAACAAATGTGCATTGAGTGGCATTAAATGTGCAAAACCACTTCAGAATCACCCACTCTCTTTTCTTAAAAAAATCTATTTTGTGAGAAATTAAATTGCATGGAAAAGTACTTGTCTTAGTCTGTTTAGTGTTGCCATAATGGAATATCTGAGGCTGGGCCATTTATAAAGAAAAGGGGTTTCTTTGGCTCATGGTTCTGCAGGCCATACAAGCAGCATGGCACTGGCATTGATTCAGCTTCTGATAAGTACCTCAGGCTGCTTCCACTCATGGAAGAAGGTGAAGGGAAGTGGGCATGTGCAGAGCTCACGTGGCAAGAGGGGAAGCAAGAGAGCGAGGGGGAGGTACCATGCTCTTTTCAACAACCAGCTCTTGTGGAGATAATGAGAACTCACTCATTATCTCAAGGGCAGCACTAAGCCATTCATGAGGGATCCACCCCCCTGACCCAAACACCTCCCATTAGGCCCCACCTTCAACACTGGGGATCAAATTTCAGCATGAGCTTTTGGGGGAGCAAAAATCTAAACCACCAACCAAAGTACAAAAAGAATATAACCAAGACATTGTCACCACTTAAATTAGTAGCTGTTAACATCCTATTTTCTTCCATACTTAAATAAATAAGCATTAGCAATGGAGGTACAGTCCTGTTAAGCTATGTTGACCAATCCCATTTCACTCCCCACAACCATCCCGAGTTAACCTGTAGCAGGAGGTTACTGTGGATGCTTCCAGTCTGCAATAAGTACACACATGCTTCCATGTCCTTGAGCAGGATTCATACGTGTGTTTTCAAAATTGACACAAATGGCATTGTTCTAGACACATTTGTCATCTTGCTTTTCCCATCCAACATTGTTTTTGAAATCTGTGTTGACATATATGATCTGGACACACACATATACTTCCGTTTAACTGTGAAGTATTACATGCTGTGTACCCACCACTTTACAATGACTGCTGGACATCCGGGTGGGAATTTCTCCCTAACTCTGGTGGCTGTGCCTGTGCCTGCCTCCCTGAGGCTGTGTGTGAGTCTCTCAAAAGGAGACTGGGTGTGCATTTTCAGCTTTACCAGGTCCTGCCAAAGGGCCTGTTTCACTCCCTCCAGTGCGGCTTTCCCCTGCTGCCCCTGTACATCTTACAGGGGCCTCCTCTTCTCTGATGATGGGTGTGTGATGGTTTAATACTGAGTGTCAATTTGATTGGATTGAGGGATACAAAGCATTAATCCGGGGTGTGTCTGTATGGGTGTTGCCAAAAGAGATTAACATTTGAGTCAGTGGACTGGGGAAGGCAGATCCACCCTTAATCTGATGGGCACAATCTAGTCATCTTACAGCAAATATAAAGCAGGCAGAAAAAAAACATGGAAAGGAGAGATGGCCCTAACTTCCCAGCCTACATCTTTCTCTTGTGCTGGATGCTTCCTGCCCTTGAACATCGGACTCCAAGTTCTTCAGTTTTGGGACTCAGACTGGCTCCCCTTGCTCCTCAGCTTGCAGACGGCCTATTGTGGGACCTTGTGATCATGTAAATTTATACTTAATAAACTCCCATATATATATGTGTGTGTGTGCGTGTGTGTGTGTGTGTGTATATATATATATATACACACACACACACACGCACACACACACATATATCTCCTATTAGTTCTGTCCCTCTAAGAGAACCCTAATACAGGTGGCCACTCCCATCTTCCTGGTTTCTCTCCTTCCCTGCTCCTTTTCCTTTCATGCTTGCTTTACTGGCTTTTCTTCCTCCCCTCCTCCCTACTTGGGGCATTCACCTAGAGCTCTCCTCCAGCCTCTCTAGCTTTTGTTCATGGCAGGAGCCTCATGGTCCCAGAGTGAGGCAGGTGTAGCTGAGATGTGTCTCACCTGGCCAGCACAATGTTCTTGAATCATTTTGAATCTCCCTCAGGTACCACACCCACTGTTTTATACCAGCCACATTGGCACTCGTAGTAGAGATGGTAGGTGGGTTCACTCAGCATCCATTCCAACCCACTTCTAGGATACCCTCCTCTCTGGTAGAGGCTGGGAAGCTAAGATCTGCCTGTCCCAAGCTCCTTGCAGGAATGGCTCTGGATGGGATTCAGATTTATCAATCAGATGCACTTGCTTGGGACATGAATTCAGAACTAAGTGGGGAGGTTTGCAGCACCTATTTTCCGTGCTGGATTCCAACAGGCACAACATGACTCTGGAGCCAACAGCCCTAGGAGCAGCTTCCTGAACCCTGGCCACCAGAGGTGGAGACCTCCAGCCAGTAGCTATTTGGTACCTCCTCAGCTTTTTGATTATAGCAGAAGTGTCAATTCCCTTCCTTTGGCGGAGCAGTTCTGTGATGTTTTTTAGGAATCTCCTCTCAGCCTACAGACTATTTATTCCTCCATCCCTTCCAATGCCCCTGTAAGTACCCAATTCCCTGACTTAAATTCACTTCTCCTTAAACTAGCTAGATAAAGGGGAACTGAGCTGCAATTGAAACCTGACCAATAGAGTCCCTGATGGAGTGGAGTGTTTGATCCCTGATTTATTCCCTTCCTTCCTCTGAGAGCATATTCTGACTTCAATTTCATTTACTCAATTATTGAATCATCCACAAATATGATTAAGCCTCTACTAGATGCTTATCGCTGGGCTGAACAGGGGAGAAATGATGATGAAATAAGATGGTACCAACCAGCGACCCTATTCCAGTCTTTGGAAACACCATTCTCCCCGTCTTCTAAACTAGAAACCACACAACCACACATAAGCCTCTTTTTACCTGCCCACTGCCCATCTGCATGGCAGCTCTAAGTTCTGGCATCATTGTGAGCCCTGAGGCCCCACCATATCCAAGCATATCTCTGTGTAGACAAAATGACAGACAAGCTGTAAGGAAGGAGGTTATTACTGAGAAGGTCACCTGTGTTTTTGAAGTTTCCAAAGGGCAACATTAGCATTAGCCTCACCGGTGCAATGTATTTGGGAGCCCAGAGATTTGGGTTTATGAGAACTGTTAAATTGCCACTTCTTCCCAAGACAAAGTACCTCATCAACTTGGCTGAAACAGCTGCTTTCACAACAGCCAAACTGGAATCACATCTGGGAAGGTTTTAACCAAACAGACAATTTGTTTTTGTATAAAAGGATGTGCTAAACACTGAGATCTGTCACGCACCAAGAGGGAGTGGAAAAAACAACCCATGAATATCTTTTAATTAAATGACTCAGGGCAGCTGCAGGGACATACATACTTTTCCTTTTTTAGAATTGGCAAGGAGCTTATGAATTATTTAATATAGACTTCAAGAGAAGGAATATTGCCAGAGATAAAGAGGGACTTTTCGTAGTGATAAAAAGGGCCAATTCATCAGAAGACATAACATTCCTAATTGCACAGGCACCTAGTAACAGAGTTTCAAAAAATAAGAAGCAAAAATTGACCACACTAAAGGTAGAAGCAGACAGATCTGTCATAGGGAATCTTATTATCTTGCTCTCAGTAATTGGTAGCACAAAGGATCTCTGATAGGCCAAGGATCTGGAAGATCTGAACAGCGCTATGGACCCACTTGGCCCAGCTGACACTTACAGACCCTCCACTCAGTGACAGCAGGACACATCCATTTCCCATGCAAATGGAACATTCAACAAGGTAGACCATGTGCTGGACCACAAAATAAATCTCAAATTTCCAAAGGTTAAAATCATATACAGTATGTTCCCAAACCAAAATGGAATTACACTTTAAATTAAAAAATATCTAGAAAATCCCCCAGATATTTGGGAATCAAGCAATACAATTTTAAACAATCCATTTGTCTAAGAAGAAATCACAAGGGAAATCAAAAAGTATCCCAAACTGAATAATAGTGTTCCCTTTCTCCTTCAGAAGTAGAATGACCAACTGTCCCTGTCTGCCCAGGCCTATGCCAGTTTTGTTACTGTAAGTCCCTTGTCCTGAGAAACTTCTCAGTTCTGGGCAAACCACAATGGTTGGTCACCCTATGAAATGTTTTGGTTTGGACTCTAAGTTGTGTGGTATAGGACCTAGGTATAGGACTTCTTTTTATGGGGTCAGCATCTGTGGTATAATCAAAAGATGTGGGCTCCAATCCAAGCTTTGCCATTTATTAACTGTGTGACCTTGGGCAAGTTACTTCATCTATCTGGACCCCAGCTGTGCCACCTTCCAAATAGGGGCTACTGTTATCTACCTTGCAAGGTTCCTCCCCCCTCCCCAAGATGGAATCTCACTCTCCTTCCCAGGCTGGCATGCAGTGGTATGATCTTGGCTCGCTACAACCTCTGCCTCCTGGGTCCAAGTGATTCTTCTGCCTCAGCCCTCTGAGTAGCTGGGATTACAGGCGTGTGCCACCATGCCCAGCTAATTTTTGTATTTTAGGCAGAGATGGGGTTTTGCCATGTTGGCCAGGCTGGTCTTGAACTCCTGACCTCAGGTGACTCACCTGCCTCAGCCTCCCAAAATGCTGGGATTACAGGCATGAGCCACCATGCCCGGTCAAGTTTGTTTTTGTCTTTTTAAAGATGGAGTCTCACTCTGTCACCCAGGCTGGAGTGCAGTGGTGTGATCTCAGCTTACTGCAAACTCCACCTCCCAGGTTCAAGCAATTTTCCTGCCTCAGCCTCCCAAGTAGCTGGGATTATAGGTGCCCACCACCACACACAATTAATTTTTGTATTTCTGGTAGAGATGACTGGTCTCGAACTCCTGACCTCAGGTTAATTTGCCTCCCTTGACCTCCCAAAGTGTTGGGATTACAGGCATGAGCCAACGTGCCTGGACCCTTGCAGGGTTTTTTTTTTTTTTTTTTTAACGAATGATGTGATCAGACTGCCTGGCACAAAAGTGCTTAATAAACAATATCTATGATGATGATGATACCAGCTTGTTTAAAACAGATGTTTTGCTTATTCAGCTACAAGATAGGAAAGGGTCCTGGAAATAGGTCATTCCAAAAGCCCATTTAACCTTCTCATCATCATAAAAACAGCTCATATTCACAGAGAGTTTGCCATGAGTGCTCACTGTGCTAATGGCTTTTTGTGCATTTAAGAGGAAACTAAGTCTCAGAGAAGGGCAGTGATTTCCCCATAGTCACACAGCAAGTCAGAAGTAGATGTGGCATCAGCTTCCAGGTCTCTTTAGTTGAAGGATCTTTCCACAGTATTTTGTTGCGGGGGGTGGGGGAGAGTCTCCTCCTAGTTTTGGAGGGGCATCAGAAAGCAGAGAACCAAGGGGGTTGGGCAGGTCCCAGTAGCCCCTGCCTTTCCAAGTTTTCCCTGCTGCATGTTTGGAAATGGGACCAGGCTGCCCAGCCACTCCCACCGAGCCCAGCCAAACCCTGGGGAGGCCCAGGAGTGGGATGGCGGTGGGGTCTACACTGGTCACAGAGCTGCTGTCACCAGCAGGAGGCGCTCTTCCTGATCCAGTGCAGCTGACTCAAGCTCTGAGCCTGCTCCTCTCTCAGTGGCCCTGTGGCTCAGAAATTCCTTCTTGCTATAGCCAGGGGGAGGGAGCAGGGCCCCATTGACCTCCAGCTGGGTCTTTTGTGACCTCCTTTCTCCCTTCCATCTGGGATTTTGCATGGGGTTGAGATGAAGCCGTCCCCCACTCGCCCCCCAAAAAGCTGTCGAGACCCCAAGCATGGAATTAAAGGAACATCTTGAGTTCCATCTAGGGAAATTCCAGGCACCTACCTAGCTTGCTCTGAGAAGTAAATAAGCAACCTGATAGGCAAGAAGGTAATAGTAGCTTAGAACAATAGCCAAGGAAGCTGAAATCACAGGCTGTTTGGTTCCCTATAGAAACCAAAGGCAACATCTTACTATATGTCCCCAAGTTGTTTCTCAGAAACCTGGACCCCCACCAGACTGGCTCGTAGACCTCAGATAAAGGGGAACTGAGGACTGACCTCAGACCACTGTTCTTTCTTCTAAATTTCTTCCTGAGGGGTCTAGAGGAAGTCACACCCAGGAGCCGGAGCTAACATTTTCTGCTAACCTCCAGTTTTTATTTTGTTATTATTTTTTGAGATGGAGCCTTGCTCCATTGCCCAGGCTGGAGTGCAGTGGCGTGATCTCAGTTCACTGCAACCTCTGCCTCCCGGGTTCAAGCAATTCTCCTGCCTCAGCCTCCCAAGTAGTGGGACTACAGGCATGTGCCACCACGCCTGGCTAATTTTTGTATTTTTAGTAGAGACGGGGTTTCGCCATGTTGACCAGGCTGGTCTCAAACTCCTGACCTCAAGTGATCCACCTGCCTCAGCCTCCCGAAGTGCTGGGATTACAGGTGTGAGCCACCATGGCCAGCCTGACCCCCAGTTTTTAAATAAAGCTTCTCTTCCTTAACCAATTGCAAATCAGAAAATCTTTGAATCTACCTATTAACATGTAAGCCGCCATGTCAAGATATCCTACCCTTTTAGGCCAAAACCAATGTGTAAACTTCATCTACTGATTTACAATTTTGCCTGTAATTTCTGCTTTCCTGAAGCTGATCCCTGCCTTTAAAAATTCTTACCTGCAAACCATCAGTGAGGTCAGGATTATTTGCTAGTCACCAAGTAAGGAAGAGAGGAAGGCATTTTTGCCAGGCACCAAGTAAGGAAAATCGGGCAATGCTGCCCGGCAAATAAATGCCTTCCTGTCTTCTGCTGCAAACCTCAGTGTGGATGTTCTATCCTTACTCTACCTGGCATGCGGACCCCAGGTTGGTTCAATAACAGGGTCTTTATTCAGCTGTCTTGGCCAAAGAGCCCAGTGTTGGCCACGTGAAGATAATTGTGTTTCTAGAGAGTCCTTATTGTGGTGGGGAAAAAACAGTTCAAGTGAGCTCAGGTCACTCTGACCCTGCAGGGGAGGCGTCTCCTTGGAAGCAGAGCTCTGATTTTCTGCTTTGTTTTCTCACTGAAAGGGCACAGTGCAAGATGCAGGGCTTGTTTCTCTGGTAGAAATGTGATTGTCCTTCTCACACTTTGCTGGGTGGCAAGAGGCTTTGTTAGTGTTACAGGAAAGGGGTCTAGATCCAGACCCCAAGAGTGTTCTTGGATCTCACACAAGAATGAATTCAGAGTGAGTCCACAGGACAAAGCAAAAGCAAGTTTATTAAGAAAGTTAAGTGGTGAAAGAACAGCTACTCCATAGAGTAGGGCGTTCCCGAAAGTAAGAGGAGGAATGTGTCCAACCTAGGTACAATACTTTATAAGTATATAGGATAAAAAAAGATAATGGGGAGATGTGCTCTCCTACAAGGGTCTGTGATAAAGGATTAGTTTTCTTAATTACTATATTTTGCAAGAATCAATATTATCTTTAAAGGGAAATTAGGACTTCTTCTGTTAAGAGACTGGGATATCAGAACACTCCTAAGTCTGGGTCTGTTTAGTAAATGTTATCAATCTGTTCACTTAACCATAAACATCTAGAGGCTAGGAATAATACCTTTCTGGGAATGCAGCCCAGCAAGCCCCAGCCTCATTTTTCCTAGCCCTCACTCAAGATGGAGTCGCTCTGGTTCTAATGCCTCTGACATGAGTACCTCTTTTTATTTTTTGTGGAATGGGCTCCATCCCCAAAGTCCACGTGTCCCAACTGCTCCCAGGGTGCAGAAGTCCCTGGGACACGTGCTTGGCAGGCGATCCATGGCTTTAATCTTCCATCTGTACTGGAAAGCACCCACCAAGCCGATTCATTAATCCACACTGGGCATCTCCAGCTGGTTGGATGACAGCAACTCAAACACAGCCCATCCCAAAGTGAAACAATCATCTTCCCCTAAGCAAATTTCTCCTTTCATCACACAAGCCAGAGCCCCTGGAATCTACCTCTTAGCCTTTTCCCTTCCTCTAGGTCATAACTTATTTTCTCAGCCTGAGTGAGTGCAACTGATCAGGAGGATATCCATGATACGGGATGATAGGAAACGTATAACTATTAGCTAATATTAAATACAAACTCCTAGGAGCTCAGCTGATAAACTCAGGAGAAATGTGGTGGTCCAGCCAGACTTTCAGGAGAGAAAGAATTGGAGAAGGAGAGGAACACACACACAACAAAAGAGAGACAAGGAAAACGGAGAACTGGGCCTTAACTCCAAGATGCATTTGAATTGGATGCATTTGCGTTTCTGAAATTGCTTGGGTGGGAGCCATAGAGACAAACTCCGGCAGTTAAGAAAAAACTGTTGAGCTGCCAGCTGTTGAGGGGGTTAATTAGGACACAGAACCAAACCAAAAGTAACAATCAAGCCTTTCCTCATATACTGTGATAGAGCAAGCAAGCGAGGAGCCAAAAAGAGGAAGGCACCACTCCTCATGGTTTCCCCCTAGAAAGGCACTGGGCAATGATGGGGTGGCATCCAATCAGATGCAGTGCAGACAGGGGCAACTGCCTTACAGCTCAGGAGCCCCTAACAAAAAGGCTCCTTGAATTAGTTCGTTTTAACACTGCTATAAAGACACACCTGAGACTGGATAATTTGTTACTTTTCCAATTACTTTCAATGGCAAACATCACAATTACTTTGGTACCAACCTAATATAAAGAAAAGAGGTTTAATTGACTCACAGTTCTGCAGGGCTGGGGAGACCTCAGGAAACTTACAATCATGGCAGAAGGCAAAGGGGAAAACAGACACTTCCTTCACAAGATGGCGAGAGAGTGAGAAGAGGGTAGGGAAAGCTGCCATTTATAAAACCATCAGATCTCGTGAGGACTCACTCACCATCACGAGAACAGCAAGGGGGAAATCCGCCCGCGTGATCCAATCACTTCCCACCAGGCCCCTCCTCCAACACTGGGGATTACAATTCAACATGAAATTTGGGCAGGGACACAGAGCCAAACCATATCGCTCTTGCCTTTATAGATCCAGGGGTCTTGGAGAGAAAAAGTATAGAGTCGGAGTGGAGAAACGGTCTCAGCTGAGGCCCCTTGATAAGGAGGGTTCTCAGTGGAGGAGCATTAAGGGTGTAGGCATGGAGACATTGAATTCATCCGTGCAAACATTGAGATATTTGCACCCAAACTTACTGTAGTTGTGACGTTGAATTTTGTTTTATTTCATGTTTTAGTGTGGTTATCAAAACTCTTGGGGATGAGATAAAAACAATAGTTATTATTTGTAATGACACTGGGAAATATCTGAATGTAAGCTGACCACAGAATTGGAACTGAAATGTCATAACTGGGTTGTGTCTTTGCCTTTTGTGGATTGATTCTTGAGGGACACAGCATAGTCAATATGGAAGATATATGAGCAATGGAAGTTGTTCTATGTAAACTCGTTGGGTGGAAGTTTTGAAATTGTCTTACCTGGCACATGTGTAATTTGTGGTAGAATAATTGATATGACAAAACTTCTCAAATCTCAGTGCCTTAATACAGTCAAATTGTATTTCTTGCTCATGTCACGGTTCAGTGTGGCTTAAGTAGTGGTCACTGGGAAGTGGGGACAAGGTTTAGTCTGCTCTGCACTGTCATTAAGGGGCCCAGGTTTCTTCCAAGATGTGAGTCTTTGCTCCTCTAAGGTTTTGTCCTCTTTCCTTTCAGCAAGCAGAAGGGAAAAGGTCATGAAGGAGGTTTTTTAGGGGAGAAGATCATGAAGTGGTGTCCACCAATCCCACCCTCATTCCCTTGGCCAGTACTTAGTCACATGTGCCCCCTAACTGCACAGAAGGCTGAGAAATACAGCCTGGCTCATGTTCAGGAGAAAAACGAAACAGAGTTTGGTGAAGACGGAACAGTCTCTGCCACAGCACATTTCTGATTTTTTTTTTTTTTTTTTGAGACAGAGTCTTGCTCTCTCACCCAGGCTGGAGTGCAGTGGCACGACCTCCACTCACTACAACTTCCACCTCCCGGGTTCAAGCGATTCTCCTGCCTCAGCCTCCCGAGTAGCTGAGATTACAGGTGTGTGCCACCATGCCTGGCTAATTTTGTATTTTTAGTAGAGATGGGGTTTCACTATGTTGGCCAGTCTGGTCTCGAACTCCTGACCTCAGGTGATCTTCCCGCCTCGGCCTTCCAAAGTGCTGGGATTACAGGTGTGAGCCATCGTGCCCAGCCACCACAGCATGTTTCTTAGGTAAGTGGATATTAATTTGATTCTCCTTTTTTTTTTTTTTTTGAGACAGGGTCTCACTCTTTCTCCCAGGCTAGAGTACAGTGGCACGATCTCCGCTCACTGCAACCTCTGCCTCCTGGGTTCATGCCATTCTCCTGCCTCAGCCTCCCGAGTAGCTGGTACTACAGGTGCCCGCCGCTACACCCGGCTAATTTTTTGTATTTTTAGTAGAGACGGGGTTTCACCATGTTAGCCAGGATGGTCTCGATCTCCTGACCTCGTGATCCGCCCGCCTCGGCCTCCCAAAGTGCTGGGATTACAGGCATGAGCCACTATGCCTGGCCTTATTCTCCTTTTTTGATAGTCTCAGTGAGTATAAGGAATTATGGGGCAACAACACTAAGGTAATACGTGTGTATCCATGTTCCTCTGAGAAACTAGAGCTCAACTCTAAAGATGCCTGGGATAGGGAAATGAATATTGACAAAGGTGAAGAAACAATTTCAGGAATAGAAAACAAATTCAAATATGGAGCTCAAGTGGAGAAAATCAGAGAAGAGTTTCCAGCAAAACTTCAAGAGCTAATATCTTCTGTGGCACTCTCCCTTTCATTTTTATCTTTTGCAGGTGTATGAGTTTTTTTTTTTTCAATGACACTGGGTGCTCTATGTTGAGGGCTCTTTGATGTTTCCCCGGGGAGAGATTTGAGTTTCTCTTTTCAGCTGGTTAGTTCTCAAATGATGCCCTCGGGCAGGTCATGTCTACATCTACACAGTTTGAAGTAAATTCCAGGAAGCTGAGCCAAAAGTTAAAAACAGACAAGGAAATGGGAACTTACAATTCTTGAAGGAAACAGTTATTTAAACACAAGCTCTGTGTGTTTAGCCAGGAGAGGAACGGACTGTTCTTATGGGGAAGGTGGATTATTTTTAACAGGGTGGTACCAATGTATACAGATACACGTGAAAGGAGGAGGGTTGTGAGTAATGTGTCTGGTGCATGCTGTGAGCTCGCTGGCGGCCGGGGTTGGTGACTGGTGACTGACAGGGCTGCAGGATGTCATCAGGGCCCCAGCCATGTGGGAACTGTTATGGGACAGCTGGTCCAGAAGTGGGTGTGGGCTGGATCTCATCTAGTTCTGAACATGGCTGTAAGAGAAGGAAGGTTGTGTCCTAAGTGGGAAATAGAAGCCCATCTTGCTGTTCAACTGGAAGTTGAAGCAGTGGCCCTGGGGACAGATCTCAGATCCCTTCGGGAAGGTATGATGGCCATGTCCACAAGTTGCTGCGTGGAAGCCCCTTGGTTTCGACGTCTGTTTGCAACTGGGTCTGTTGAAATGCATGTGCCCACATCTGCATTCCCACCTTCAGGGTACTAGGGTAGCCCCAGAGGAAGGAAGTGAGGGATGGGTCATCTGAGAAGCCTCCCCTTGTGCTGTGGCCAATTGCAAGGATGGAGAGAGCTCTATGTAGACGAGCCAACAAGTCACAGAGTGTTCCTGAAGTACATTGTATCTGTTCCTGCCCAAGAAACAGGTGCTTTTAAGGACATCCCTCTTGACATCCAAAAGGCCCTGAAATGCAGTGAATAAAAAAAGGAACTTTGCCTTCATCTGGAAAGCAGCCTACCTACACAATGGGCAACTCAGCACTTATAAAGCCATGGTGAAAGATGGCAGGGGCATGAGCTACCGGAACAAAGGGACAGAGAAGCAAGTCAAAGCCCTTTATGTGCAGTGGTGGAAAAAAAAAGCATCTGGATATAGCAATTGGGCTGGAAGAGGCTTGGGGGTCCATTATATGGCATAATAAGAGAAATTACATCAGTGGGATTCTCATTATTGTTTTATTGGTATTATATTAGGGCAGAGCAATATGAGGGAAAAATGCAGCTAAAAGGATGGATGGGAGAAATAATCACATCTGACTCTTTTTTGAGACAGATAGTTTAGAATGCCACTTGTCAAAAGTGCAAGGGGGTTGGGCAGAGTGATTGATGTCGGAAGGGACATGGATCTCAGATTTAGGAGGAGGGGAAATGCATCAAGTTTGCCAGTAGACATAGGAGCTAAAGGAGCAGATTCAGAAGGAAGGTGCTGGCTCTGCAGACCTTGAGGGGAAGGAATGAGGCAAATTGGAGGAAGTGGGGGAAACGCGAGGAGGCAGCCCAGGTGGGGTGGTGGCTGGGGACGTGGTGGACATCAGACAAAGTCTCAGAGTCACATGGCCCTGTTAAGGCACATGCCACTCTGCATTGTCCTGGCAACAGGTCCCCATTTTACCACCCTGGCATTAAAACAAAGATAAGCCAAGGCAGGGAGGTAGGTGAACTGTAATCAGAGGCAGGGCCCATGTGGTGTGGGTGGCTCCACTTTGTGGGGACTACCTGGGCACAGGAATTTGGGATGTGTGATAGACAAAGAATGTGTCATGAAGTCCGTGTGTCCAGAAAAGAGAGAGAGCGCCTCCTGGGAGCTGCTGGCCTGGGGTTCTCCTATCGGCTCTGATAGAGGCCTTGGAATAAATATCCAGGTTGTCTGGCCATGCCTGCTACCTAGTGTGTTTGGAAGGAAATCTAGCATTTGAGGAACCCAGGCTGGGCACAGGTAGGCATGTGCTCTCTAAGGTAGCCTGTGAAACCATCCAGAAGGCTGCTCTCTCCCACTGCCCAGAAGTTTGACCCACCCAGAGATGGGAAGTGGGGTGGTCCAGGGAGTTAGCAATGCTCCTCTGTGTCACTTCTCTCCACCCTGTTTGGGCTCTCCACCCTGTCACCTGGACCTCTGCAGCAGCCTCCCACAGGGCACCCTCGTTCCTGCCTTTCCCCACTGCAATTCACCCTCCAGACTCCTGCCTGAAGAAACTCTACTTTCCTGTGTAAGACTCACCAATGGGTCCTGGTTCTTAGAGAATAAAGCGCAAACTCCTTAGCGTGGTTACAGGTTCCTTCCAGATCTGGCCCTGCCTCCCCAGCCTGCCTTCTCTGGGCGTCTGAGTCTCCCCACTGCCAACTCCACTTAGCAGCTGGTGCCTCTGGTACTTCTGGTCTGGCATTTTCTTTCTTTCTTTTGTTTTTTTTCTGAGACAGAGTCTCGCTCTGTCGCCCAGGCTGGCACGATCTCCGCTCACCGCAAGCTCCGCCTCCCAGGTTCACGCCATTCTCCTGCCTCAGCCTCTCGAGTAGCTGGGACTACAGGCGCCTGCCACCATGTCCGGCTAATTTTTTGTATTTTTAGTAGAGATGGGGTTTCGCTGTGTTAGCCAGGATGGTCTCGATCTCCTGACCTCGTGATCCGCCCGCCTCGGCCTCCCAAAGTGCTGGGATTACAGGCGTGAGCCACCGCACCCAGCTGGCATTTTCTTTCTTATCTTCTGAGACTCACTCCAAGCACAACCTGACCCATCCCCTCAGGTTGGAACTGGCCACCCCTTCCTTTGGGCAGGACAAGGATGCAGGTGGGCTTCAGGAAGAGCAGGATCCAGGTGCTGGGACTCTGCCAGGACTCTCTTGCTCTGTGCTCTTTGCTGCTCTCTGCCAGTCAGCTCCTTTCTCTCCCTGAAGATGGGGGCTTATTTCACCTCTGAGAAACAAGCCTGCCTACTGTTCCCTGTCTTACTTCTTCTCAAGGATTATAACTTAGGGAAGGCTCATTCTCTTTCTCAATCTCAATTTGAAAAGTCTTAGGGAAGAATTCTGATTGGCCTTGCTTGGGTCAGCTGCCCACCTCTGACTCAATCAACTGTGGTCATGGGCAAAGGCCATTATTATTAATAATGTTGCCTGGCTGGGCACAGTGGCTCATGCCTGTAATCCCAGTGCTTTGGGAGGCTGAGGCAGGAGGACTGCTTGAGCCCAGGAGTTTGAGATCAACCTGGGCAAAATAATGAGATGTTGTCATTGCCACTAAAAATAAAAAAATTAGCTAGGCATGGTGGCATGTACCTGTAGTCCTAGCTACTCAGGATGCTGAGGTGGGAGGATTGCTTGATCCCAGGAGTTCGAGGCTGCAGTGAGTTAAGATCATGCATCTGCACTCCAGTCTGGCAACAGTGTGAGACCGTGTCTCCGAAATACATATACACATACATACATAAAAATAAAAAAATTAATAATGTTGTCTAAATATGAGTTAGCTTTCTTACTAACTACTCCTCACAGAGTTCCTACTGGACTGGTAGCCAACCCAAACCCTCATGTCACGATAACTTTTCCACATTACCTGCCACCAGGTTAATTCATAGAAAATCAAATAAGCTGAATGCTCAACTATCAACTCACCACATTTACTAACAATAAAATAAAATAAACCTGGGTAGTTTTAATTTACTGGTTTTCCCTTTGTCTTCATAGCAGTATTTTAAGAAATATTCAGTCTTTCCCCTGGCTCCCTGTTGCCAAAACCAGAGGCTGAAAACAGTAAACGATGATGGGGGCAGAGAGAGGAGAGTCCCAGAGGAGCAAGCAGGAAAACTGGGAAACAGGAACATATTTATAAGAAATACTCATAAGACTAGAGCCCTAGGATGATCTATTTGTTGAATATAATTAATTCATCTGAAAGTAGAGTCAAGAAAATATATTCATAAAGAATATTTCTGAGTATAAACAATTCTTTTGGCTACATTCTTTGTATGAATAAACAATAGGTTTGCAGAAATCTTTGTATTCAAGATAATCTTATTAATATATTTTTCTTGGGCCCCTGAATCTTTCCTCTCTCTGCACCTAAGTCTTATTAACTGCTATTCTTTTGTTTCTTTTTAACTTAAACAGCCTCAGTGCCTTCAACTTTTCCTCCTAGATGTGGCTTCTAGGTCTTTCCTCAGCTTGCATGTTTTCTTGTCTCATATATATATGCAAATATATATATTTATAAATATATATTAAAATATATTTATGAGCCCTATGCAAATAAATGGGATAATGGAACAGACATCTCCTTAAACTCATAACCTGCACTTCTATTAATCATTATTATTACTAATGTTGTCTAACTTCATGCTAGCCTTCTGAATAAGGACCCCTCACAGTGCGTTCCTACTGAGCTTCTAGCCAGATAACCTTGTCTACACACCTTGTCTACATAACTTTCCCCTGGCCTGGAGGAAGGATTTTTGAAAAGTGAAAATGAGACCCCATCTGTGTATTCTAAGCCCTTATTTGTGAGTGGGAAACAAGGACCTAAGATTTGCCATCATTTGAAAATGAGAATTTGAGACTGGGTGCGGTGGCTCACGCCTGTAATCCCAGCACTTTTGGGAGGCCAAGGTGGGCAGATCACTTGAGGTCAGGAGTTTGAGACCAGCCTGGCCAACATGGTGAAACCCTGGCTCTACTAAAAATGTAGCAAATCAGCCAGGCATGGTGGCATGTGTCTGTAGTCCCAGCTACTCGGGAGGCTGAGGTGGGAGAGTCACTTGAACTGGGGAGGTGGAGGTTGTAGTGAGCCGAGATTGTGCCGCTGGACTCCAGCATGGGTGACAGAATGAAACTCTGTCTCAAAAAAAAAAAAAAAAAAAAAAAAGAAAGAAAGAAAGAAAAGAAAAAAAAAGAGTATTTGTATTACTGAAGTTTTAAAATGGTTTTGGAATTATCAGTTACTTTTTTTCTTTTTTGAGACAGGGTCTCACTCTGTTTCCCAGGCTGGAGTGCAGTGGCGTGATCTCACCTCATTGCAACCTCTGCCTCCTGGGTTCAAGTGATCTTCTTGCCTCAGCCTCCTGAGTACCTGGGACTACAGGTGTGTGCCACCACCATCGGCTAATTTTTGTATTTTTAGTAGAGACGGGGTTTCACCATGTTGACCAGGCTGGTCTCAAACTCCTGGCCTCAAGTGATCTGCCAGCCTGGGCCTCCCAAAGTGCTGGGATTACAGGCGTGAGCCACCGTGCCCAGCCTGTCAGGTACTTTTATACAGTTTGGCAGTAGTCGCAATGTTGCTAGCATGGGCTTGATATCCATTTTATGTAAGTCCCAGCAACACCATGTCTTGATGGCACGAATCTGTGTGCGTGTGGGATTATTCACTGCATTTCTGCAATTCCCCTGTTTATTCAGTTACATCATGGATTCATTGAAGTCCTCTATGGCAAATTCTGTGACTTAATTAGATTGTTATTTAACCACAGAAAAGGAAAGAGTATTATATATCTAGACAATGTTTTCACCTGAACTTGAAAGCATTTCCCATCAGAGTCTAGGATTGGCGTGTGCTTTCACTAATGCTTTCAATCTGCTTAATTCATTCCAACTTTCGTTGCTGCAGGCACATGTCAAAATTAGCTTTCAAATACTGATTTAATCTCTGGCATAATTACATTGCTGTGCACCCCTGAGGCTTTTAATTCTTGAGTGTATGCTAAAAAGTGACAAAGCTTCAGGAAATTAAAAAAAAATGTATTTAATTTTCTAAAAGAAGCCTAGTGGTAGGAGGAGGAACTATGCACGGATTGAGTTACGTGGAGGTAGCTGATCATTTGAGCAAGTGGCTGACGCACAACTGAGCCACCAAAGAAGCTTCAGTCTCCCCAGCTCAGCAGATCTGGTTA
This sequence comes from Homo sapiens, assembly GCF_000001405.40. Taxonomy (NCBI): domain Eukaryota; kingdom Metazoa; phylum Chordata; class Mammalia; order Primates; family Hominidae; genus Homo; species Homo sapiens. The sequence goes on along the minus strand of NC_000010.11, from coordinate 118,615,936 downwards.
CAAGCACATCAGCTGGGCTCTTAAGGGAGGATAGGAAGAATATTAGAAGCCAATCTTTGAGTCTCTGCCTCTCCAACGCCAAGGATCTTCATCTGTGAAATGTGGATAATGACAGCTAACACTTACTGAGAGTTTACTGTGGGGAGCTGCTGTTCTAAGCACTTTAGTCATTTAGGATCTTTGAGTCAGGCATAATGTTGGGAACAAGCCCCCCAAAATCTAGCCATAAACTGGCCCCAAAACTGGCCATAAACAAAATCTCTGCAGCACTGTGACACGTTCATGATGGCCATAACGCCCATGCTGGAAGGTGGTGGGCTTACCGGAATGAGGGCAAGGAACACCTGGCCAGCCCAGGGCGAAAAACCGCTTAAAGGCATTCTTAAGCCACAAACAATAGCGTGAGCGATCTGTGCCTTAAGGACATGCTCCTGCTGCAGTTAACTAGCCCAACCTATTCCTTTAATTCAGCCCATCCCTTCATTTCCCCTAAGGGATACTTTTAGTCAATTTAATACCTATAGAAATAATGCTAATGACTGGCTTGCTGTTAATAAATACGTGGGTAAAACTCTGTTGGCGCTCTCAGCTCTGAAGGCTATGAGACCCCGATTTCCCACTTCACACCTCTATATTTCTGTGTGTGTGTTTAATTCCTCTAGTGCTGCTGGGTTAGGGTATCCCCAACCAAGCTGGTCTCGGCAAGTGGTGTCCATCGTGGGGGCTTGAATCCAGGTCAAAGGGTTGCCGGAGCGACGGTTGGAGAATGTGGAACTAGCTAGAGGACACCTGAGTACTCTTAAAGCAATCCCCGCGATGAGTAAGAAGGGGAGCTTGGAAGCGTTAGGGTGACAATGGGACAAGTGTGGGGTCTGGTTCGTTCCACCTTGGAACTTTTTCACACTGCTGATGAGGAGGAAGGAGAGTATAGCGAAGTAACAGAAGAGGTTACAGAGCATGTTTATTCACCAGCTAATGCTAAAGTGGCAAAGGAAGGAGAGGTTCATCCCTACCCTTCTGCACCCCTCATTATTATTTTGAAGAAAAAGACCCTCCAGATCTTTCTTTTCTGGAGGACACTGGGCTAAAAGTAGTTGCCCCAGTGACTGTTCGAGCAGCACCTCGATCGACCACTCTTAGTTCTATTCAGGCAGGAATTCAGCAAGCTAGATGAGAGGGTGATTTAGAGACTTGGCAGTTCCCTGTTAGAATACACGCCCCAGATCAACAGGGAAATATTATAGCTACATTTGAGCCTTTTCCTTTTAAATTACTCAAAGAATTTTAAAAAGCTATAAATCAGTATGGACCAGGTTCTCCTTTTGTAATAGGACTGTTAAAGAACGTTGCTGTTTCCAGTCGGATGATTTCTACTGACTGGGATGCTCTTACTCAAGCTTGTCTAATTCCTGCTCAGTTCTTACAGTTTAAAACTTGGTGGGCAGATGAAGCTTCCATTCAGGCTGCTCGCAATGCCCAGACCCAACCTCGAATTAATATAACTGCAGACCAACTTTTGGGGGTTGGCAGCTGGACTGGTTTACATGCACAACTCATCATGCAGGATGATGCCATAGAACAGCTTAGGGGAGTGTGCATTAGAGCTTGGGAAAAAAAATCACTTCAGGTGGAGAACAATACCCTTCCTTTAGTGCTATAAAACAGGGACCCAAAGAACCATATGTTGATTTTATAGCTCGGTTACAGGAGTCTCTTAAAAAGGTGATTGCAGATTCGGCTGCTCAGCATATAGTGTTGCAGTTATTAGCTTTCGACAATGCTAATCCCAATTGCCAGCCTGCTCTGTGACCTATCAAAGGGAAAGCACATTTAGTTGATTATATCAAGGCCTGTGATGGTATCGGAGGTAATCTGCATAAAGCTAGTCTGCTAGCACAGGCAGTGGCAGGACTGAGAGTGGATAAAGGAAATACTCCATTTCCTGGAGCTTGTTTTAACTGTGGGAAGCATGGTCATACTAAAAAAGAATGTGGAAAAAATCAGTGAGTCAGGTCACCAGATAGGGGAAAAAAGAAAACTGTTGATCCTGAAATATGTCCAAAATGTAAAAAAGGAAAACATTGGGCTAATCAGTGTCCCTCTAAGTTTGATAAAGATGGGGACCCGATTTCAGGAAACACCATGAAGTGCCCATCGCGGGCCCCGTTCTAAACCAGGGCATTTCCAGCTCAGGCCATTCCCTCCCCCCTGTACAATATCTGTCCCCTGCCACAGCTGGTAGTGCCGCAGTAGATTTATGCTGCACAAAAGCTGTGAGCCTTCTGCCTGGGGAACCCCCACAAAAGGTCCCAACAGGAGTCTGTGGACCCTTGCCAGCGGGGACAATTGGATTACTTTTAGGAAGGTCTAGTTTAGGTTTAAAAGGGGTACAAATACATGCAGGAGTCATTGATTCATATTACAATGGGGAAATTCAAATTGTTATATCTACTTCTGTTCCCTGGAAAGCAGAGCCAGGAGAGCGCCTAATAGCACAGCTCCTGATTATGCCGTATGTGGGAATGGGAAAAAGTGAAATTAAATGAACAGGAGGATTTGGAAGCACAACTAAACAAGGCAAAGCAGCTTATTGGGTAAATCAAATTACTGATAAATGCCCTACCTGTGAAATAACTATTCAGGGAAAGAAATTTAAAGGTTTGGTAGATGCAGGAGCAGACATTTCAATCATTTCTCTACAGCACTGGCCATCTGTATGGCCAATTCAACCCCCTCAATTTAACATAGTTGGAGTTGGTAAAGCCCCTGAAGTATGTCAAAGTAGTTATATTTTGCACTGTGAAGAGCCTGATGGACAATCTGGGACTATCCAACCAATTATAACTTCTGTACCTATACATTTATGTGGAAGAGATTTATTACAACAATGGGGAGCACAAGTTCTAATTCCAGAACAATTACATAGCCCTCAAAGTCAACATAGGATGCATAAAATGGGGTATGTCCCTGGTATGGGACTAGAAAAAAGTTTGCAAGATTTGAAAGAACTGCTTCAAGCGGAAAGACAAAGTTCCCGCCAAAGATTAGGAAATAATGTTTGATGGCGGCCATTGTTAAGCCTCCAGAACCTATACCTTTAAAATGGTTCACAGATAAGCCAATTTGGATAGAACAATGGCCGCTAAGTAAAGAGAAACTGGAGGCTTTAGAGAAATTAGTTACCGAACAATTAGAAAATGGGCACATAGCTCCAACGTTTCCCCCTTGGAATTATCCAGTTTTCATAATTAAGAAAAAATCAGGTAAATGGAGAATGTTAACTGACTTAAGAGCCATCAGTTCAGTTATACGACCTATGGGAGCATTACAGCCAGGATTGCCTTCTCCTGCTATAATTCCAAAAAATTGGCCTTTAATAGTCATAGATTTAAAAGACTGTTTTTTTACTATCCCTTTAGCTGAGCAAGACTTTGAATGGTTTGCATTTACAATTCCTGCAGTAAACAACCTGCAGCCTGCTAAGTGTTTTCACTGTTTTACAGATAGGCCTAGTAATGGTAAAAATTACTATGCCCATTTTAGAGCTGGGAAAACTAAGGCCACTGAAAAGTAATGTAACAGCCCAAAGCCACCATCTGGGAAGTGGTGGAGCCTGGATTTGAACCCAGCAGTCTGGTTCCATAATCCACACTCTTAACCCCACACTGTATGGCATGGGAAAGCTGCTGCCCCTTCTGTCTTATGTAGGAATCAAATGTATGTGTGAGTCTTTTTGTGCTGAGTGAAAGGCTTTGCAAGCTCAGAAGTTCCATTGTGCTTTTAGAACCACCCAGTGTCCTGAAGTCTCATGCCTTTCCATGAGGAGTTGAGTGAAGGGGCTGAAGGACCCTCAGCCTCAGCGTGTGCTCAGATTTGCCGCTCTAGCAGAGGATCTTTGAGGAATCATTCCATCTTTCTGAGGCTCAGTTTCTAAGTCTATAAAAGTCAGTGAATGCTGGGAGCACCAAGAAAAACTGTAGGGGGCCACTAATAGTTGCTGACATTTATTGAGCACTAACTACGTGCAGGGACCTGCAGGAAGCCCTTTAATGAGGTATGTCATCAGGCACACCTGATGGTGATGAGGCTCATTAGGCTCAGAGATTCACCCAACATCACCTAGGAAGTGTTAGGATGTTACAGTCCATGTCCTTGACCCCTGGCCTGCTGCTCTCACTACAGACCTCCAGAGGAAGTGGTTTCCAAGTGTCTCTGCTCCCTGTCCATGGAACCTTCTTCGTAGCTACCATTTGGTGTCCACCCAGTTCCCCCAGTGTTTCCTTGAATGTGCATTTGGACACAATGAACTTGTTCCCAAGTACACAGGGTCTCCTTAGTCATCCCTCTCCCAGGCCTGCCCCATGTCTTCCCTTACACTTCAACTTTCAGAGCAGTTGCTTTTGAGGGGGTGACAGTGAGAGTATTTTTCCTACTCTTTCCCTTTCCCCTAGCTCTGTCTCTGGGTTTGGTCCTGAAACTCTGTATGGGGTTGGATGTTTGGGGTCTGTGATCCTGAGCGACCAAGCTTAGGGGGAGCTTAGGACACCAGACCTCTCTTGGCACAAAGAATAATGAACAGGGCAGGCCACAGGACTGTGCGGCAGAAAATGCGGGTTACACTCAGGGAATTATTTCAGAGAATGTGGCTGCATTAATGCTGCTAGCCCACATCTCAAGACTCTGGGGATGGCAGGGAGTAAGTGGGGCCCAATGCAGCGAGATAACCTGCCAGCCACAGGCTCAATGACTGCTCATAGGCCCCATCTCACTCTTAGTGTTGCAGGGAAACAAAAACCCACCTGCTCTTTGCTCTAAGTCAGATGCTTCTGCAGTGGAGTCTGCTTGGGCTCAAAGGCCATTTTAAGTGGAAAGGATGGTGAACAGACATTGTACAAATCAATTCTTTCTCCTATAAAATCAATGCTTTTCTTTCAAGGAGTTGAAAGAAGAAAGCAAATGCTGAATTTATGAAGCAGACATGATACTGTCTCATTCTACCTCCAGGGAAAACTGTTTTTCTCTTCTCCTCCCAGCTGGCTGGAACGAACATCATGTCTTATAGGAATACTGTTGCTCACGCCTGGCTTCAACCAATTCTGGAAGTTGTCAAGCCTCCTTCATCTAGATTTAATTTAACCAGAAGCCACAGAGTGCTGTGGGGAACAGGAGACTGCTAAATTTCCTCCCTGGCTGGTCTCATGGGGGCAATTAATCCAAATAAATAAAACCCAAGAGAAAGACAAACATTAAATGAGAGCCAGACCACAGGACAGGAGAGGCATCAGGCTTTGGAGGAGTTGGGAAGAGGAAGAGGTCAGTGTGGGCTTGAAATGGTCCATTTTTTTCCCTTGGTTTTATAAAGGAAACAGGATTTTAAAAGATAAAAATGATTGAGGATGCCCTTGGCTTATGGGGAGTGAGCACAGCCTAGGGAAAGTCACTGAGTTGGGAATGAACAAAGCTGACCTCTGGCACGGAGCTCTTTCCTCTTTTTTTATTCTTATATGTCTGCAGCCAGCATGGTTTTCTAATTTGAATAAAAGAGACATGTCGTAAAGGTCAGGGACACCATTTGGAATCTCTTACTCTTTCAGGTGCCCATCAGTGTCACAAGAACACCCTAAGTACAGCTGAAAAGGTCCCTGAGTGTGAGTTCTGGAGAGCTGGGGCCTTGGCCTCGCTTTGCTACTGAATAGCTGAATGACCTTGGCCTGTCCTTCAGCCTGGCCTCAGCCTCCTCCTCTGTAAAAATTTCTTTTGCCTTCCAGTTTGGTTATCTTTCTCCCTGGGCTCCTTGGGAAGCCCCTGGGTGCCAGGGATGAATTCCTTAGCAGCCAGGGCCCCATGGCATCCAGGTGTGGTGAGATGGAGCCAGTGATGTGATGGCATCCTGTTGTCAATAGTTAGCTCTTCACCACCTTCTCCAACCAGAAGCACTTGGACTGTTCACAAAACTGGAGTTTCAGTCTGAAATTACTCGGTCCCGAGGACAGCACCTGCTCTCACCCAGGCCCACCTGGGTGCCAGACTCAGCACTTGCTGCATCCAGGCCTCACTCAACCCAGTAGCAAATGGCAAAGACATTAGTGAAAGGTACAGGCTTACCAAAGGTTATGCAGGAGACGGAGGAGACAAACCTCCCTCATGACATCTCTGTTCTTGCCCCACAAGACTTCATCCATCTGTCCATCTGTCTATCTGTTCATCTACTCCCATATATTCATCCTATTTCCTATCTAGGGTAACTTCTCTCCCTCCCTCCCTCCCTTCTTTTTCCTCCTCCTCCTCCTCCTTCTTCTTCTTCTCTCTCTCTCTCTCTCTCCTTCTTTTTCTCTCTCTCTCTGTCTCTCTTTCTGTCTTTATTGAGCAAGCAATTAATTATTTTTAGGGGAGCCTCTCTCCTTAAAATGCAGACTGATTATAAATAATAAATCATTTCCAATAGGTGAGAAAAACAGAGTGGAGATGAAGCAGGACTAGAGAAATAACAGGAAGGCAAGAGTGCATCTTGTTTCCAAATATGTGCTTTGAAACCCTCTGTGCTCACATGAAATGTCCACACATGGGGCTTTGAGAGCCCTCAGCACTAAGTGGCAGGTGCAGTCAGTTGCATGATTCCCAGCCTGTAGTCAGTTGCATGATTCCCAGCCTGTGCATTCACTTAGGGGAAGTGTAATTGATGGCAGTGGGAGGCAGACTGTTTCTTAGGAGGGAATGGATGGGTCCCTGGTGAAACCCCACCTTCAAGCCAGGAACGTAGGGAAGCCTGGGGAACAGGCTGCCAATTCTAGGTGAAGTCTGTGACCTGGAATGAGAACCTGTCTGATGCCTTTTGGCCAATCAAGTGGTACTTTTCCCTGGCCTGCCCATAGACCAATCAGCACACACTTTCTCCATTCTGAGCCCATAAAACCACCAGACTCAGCCAGACTCAGACACTTGTCCGACTACCTGCCTGCAGATAGGAGCTACTCATTTCAGGTCTCCTCTCCACTGACAGCTGTTGGGTTGATCAACAAAGCTCTTCTCCACCTTGCTCACCCTCCAGTTGTCCATGTAACCTCATTCTTCCTGGACATGGGACAAGAACTTAGGACCCACTGAATGGCAGGAGTGAAAGGAGCTGTAGCACTTTCCTGGCTGGGTTGCCGAGTTGTGGGTGGGAGCTAAAGGGCTGTAACACATTCCTGGCTGAGCTGCAGGTGGTGACATGTTCCTGGACTGTGGGAGTAAAGAGTGGCAACCCTTCTGGGGGCCCAGACCTTGGGATTCCCTGAACCAGAGCTATAACACTATAGCCCTCCCATCCTCTCCTGGCACTGGGTGGCTGCCCCATGTGAAAGGAAGCAGCAGTGGGGCTGGGCCAGTTCAGCAGCCATGGACTGGAGTGGGGAGGCAGGACAGAAAGAGCTATGCCACAAACAGGCTGAAACATGCCTTTTGAAACATGGCCCCTGGTCACCACACTGTGGGTGATGAGAAAGAGACAAGCTGTGGTCCTTCTGGGAGCCCAGAACTCGGGGTTCCCCAAGCCAGGGCTGTGATATGCTGTAACACCCTCTTTGAGGCTACGCAGTTCCTGGCATCTCCAGGCTTTTCAGCACCACCGTGTTCCCCTCATCCAGATGCTGGTGCCCACAGCAGAAGCTGCCATGGTACATCTGGTCCAGCTGCAGCCTCACACAGAGCCGGTGCCTGTGCTGGTGCCTGGAGCCACCCACTGTGCTGCAGCAGCCAGGGTGCCTGGCTGTGTGCAGTGGCCTGACCCCGCGCTCACTTGCTCACACACCCCTTGCTGCTCTGCACCTGGCTTGGCACCTGGCTCACTGTGGGATCTGAGCCAGTAGTATGAGCCAAGTGCAGCCTGCTGGGCCAAGTGGGTGGAACAAGCCCAGCAGGCATGAGCAAAACTCAAGCAGAGGTGCCACCAGCCACAGAGGTTTCTGGCTGACAAAGTGACACCTGAAAGATCCTGTGACACAATGTGTCAGATGACTAGCTGTCTCCAGTAGTCACTCTCTCTGTCTTTATAAGCAACAGAATTGTATTGCTTGGCTGTGTTCTCAAGCCTCCCTTGCAGCAAGGGATGGCTGTGGAGGTTTTGGGGAGAAGGAGTGTCTTACTCCTGGGTCTTTCCATGGTAAAGATTGGGCATGTGCTTCCCTGGTCATTTACATCCTTCCTTCTGATGAGCGAGTGCAGAGAACTAGACCCAAAGGTGAAAACCACACATGGAAGAAAACCACACATAGCTCCCACCAGTCCTGGACACCTGTTGCTGGGCTACTTTAAGAAGGAAAATAAATGTTTCTCTTGGGGCCTACATGAGGGTGGACAGGGAGAGGAGGGAGAGGACCAAAAAACTATTGGGTATTATGCTTATTACCTGGGTGACAAAATAATCTGTACACCAAACCCCCACAACACTCAATTTACCTATATAACAAACCTGCTCATGTACCTCTGAACCTAAAATAAATGTTAAAAAACAAACAAAACAAAAAAAGAAATGTTTCTCTTATTGAAGCTACTCTGTATTTGGGGTCTCTTAGAAAAGCAGCTTAGCCTGAATATAAATGCAACAACTGCTCTTGTACTAAGAGAGTGAGACGCTATCTCTTCAATTCATCCTTTCCACACTGATTTGAAGTGTCACCTTTATCACAGGCTTTGCTGTTTTCTCTGGAATACAAAGCATCAGTTAGAAGCAGTGAACTAGAAATACACGTTCCCAAATAGATAGACCTTAAAAGCATAGTACTGAATGAAAAAACGATTACCCACAACAAGATTTATGGCACAGTAACATCCGTGTAAATTAAGCCTCTCTCCAAACCCACACTATTTTATTTCTAAGATATACACATTTATTCAAGGGCACATATGAAATCATTAGAGTCAGTGTCCAAGGAGAGGGATAAAGGAGGAAAAAATAGACATTTACAAGAGAAGGGCTTTGCTCATATGATGATAATGGGCATACACTGAGGAGTAGGGCTAACTCCCCACCTGAAGTTAACACACACACACACACACACACACACACACACACACACACAAATATGCACCCCCACCCCCGAATACATGCACACCCACACTGTGAAGAACAGGAGTCGGGGGGATTTGGGTGACCAAAACGCTATCTGGAGCCCATGGCCAGGGTGAGGCATTTCCATCAGACAAATCAAGATGAGGTTGGGCACATCCGAGACAGATCCTTTCAGGGTCTGATTTTGGCCTGAGCTTCATAGAGAGGTTTTCTTAAATGATACTGGAGTGTCTGCTTAGATGCACTGACTCAGATGCCAAATGAGGGTGGCAATTCTGGGCACCCAACTGGAGGCAAGATGAAGAAGCTTCTGGCACAACACTTCTGAAACGGAAATGTGGGCATCCATCACCTGGGATCTTGTTAAAATGCAGATCCTGATTCAGGAGGTCTGGGCTGGACCTAGCTTCTCATTTTTCTCCAAATCCCAGATGCTGCTGCTGCTGCCCTACGAATCACACCTCGGGCGGTGAGCCCCTAAAATATCTAAATGCATTTTTGGTAGGCCAGTAAATAGAATTAAGAAAAAATAAAAGGAAGAAATGGAATCAAGAAGCTCTTGAGGTCCTAGCATTTTCCTAGGATTGTCAGCTGCTGAAACCCTTGATTTATGACTAGACAGTTTCCAGAACGCGTTTAATTGCTTTATATCCTCTGTGTTTTCTTTATCATTAATGAAGATACTTGCATAAGAAACATCTCAGGGAACTCTCTAGCTGTTTAATTTTGTGGATTTGATGTAAGAAAAAGCCCCACCACATCCGTTAATTATGTTCATGAAATTTGCCATATGAGAAAAAAGTAGCTGGGGAAGCTGGTAGAAAGACTGTTATAAATTAAAAAAGAAAATCTTACATGAAAAAGCATCACTGTAGCAAACAGAGCCTTCGCGTGGCTGGGAAATGGTTGAAGAGTGTGAGTTAGTAATTGCTTTGATTGGATCGAGTGAATCATAGGAATCGAACAAACACCACTTACTAAACTCAGAAGACTGCCAACGATTGCTCAGGCTGACTTGCCTCACGGTGCTTACAGCTCGAGAGTGGAAACATTGCTGGGAGTACGCGTGAACGAAATGATTTCCTCTGGGATTCTTCCCTCAGTGAATTGTGAATCCAAGGGCTTAAAGTTCTTTCTTAGATATGTAGGAAGGCCAGACCTGTGGAGAAAAAGCTAAAGTGAGTCTGAGGAGGATGTCTGAGGATGTCATATAGATATACAGCTTTTTAAAAGGTGGAAGTGGGGCAAGGTGTCATTCAGGTGTGTGCAGAGAAGTGGTGTCATCTAGGTGTGTGGATACTAGACAGGAATATCTCAGAACCACAGTCTCTGACTCCTGGGCTGTCAGAGCTTATAGAGACCTTAGGGATTGTCTAGTTCCCTTTCCCCAATATGATTTTAGAGATAAGGGAACGGAGATGCTGAGTCAGGCAGGGCTTGCTCTGGGTGACTTGGATAGTTACTCTCAATGTGGGGATTTGCACACTGGTGTCCTGGCTTGCAGGCCTGATAACACTACTGTCTCCCTTTATGTCTCTTCAAGCTGTCTTTCTTCCAGTTCATTCCCTAGCCTACTCCTGCAGGAGCCTGGCTGGAGTCTTAGTAAGCCAAGCTGATCCAGGGGGCCAGTGACTTCAACTATGGCCTCAGATACTTTATTGGCCATGGAATTCTGAGCTTCAGTGAAGTCTCCCATGGGCATCTAAATTTAAAAAAAAAGATTAAAATAGAGCTGCCTCCGCTGAGCTCAGAACCAGGTGGATAGCAGTGCAATGGTCAATGCAGATGCCAGATGGTTTTTACCATCCATAAAAGCCATTTCTGGTTGTTAATGAAGGAGGGTGAGAAGCAAAATGAGAACGCAAATTGCTTTGTCCCTGTCTTTGGAAAGAATGTAATACAAATGGTTTTCAAGTGTTTTGCTTCGTTCTCTGTGTTTATTTAATTATGTACTTGTGTATATCATCTACCCCTAATAGACTAAGCTGAGATACATCACTGATGCTGCTAATATTTTAATATCTGAGTATGGGTAAGAGACCAATAGAAAGTTAAAAAATGAAGGCCTGCTAAGATCCTGAATCAAGCAGGTTGGTCAATTATCTATTTTAATGGGGGACGTCGGGTTCTACTGGGTGACCCAATGTCTCTCCCAGGAGAATTCATCCTTTCCAGTAGCTTCCATGAAGCCCTGGTTGACAGTGGATTGTGTAAGGACAATGACAGCTTGCTGTGCCCATGGGAGCTCTGAACAAGTGTGGATGCTCACCAGGAGAAAGGGGAACATGCAGGGAAGACCAAGTTTGGGGGACATGAGGGCCTTTCCTGGCATTGGTAAAGAATGCTGTTTAGTTCAACAGCAGTGTCCCTTTCCACATTTGCCTGTTATAAGAACTCATGCAATATTTAGTGAGCTCTTACAATTCATTAAGCAAAAGAGAGTCCCCTGCAGTACCGGTGAGGGTAAATTGGATCATATCTTGTGACTCATAGATTTCCCTTTGCTGAGTGACTCCCTGGAGAAACCTCCCCAAGGAAGCATATAGGAACATGTCTATTGTAGTGAGGCTTGTAATAGCAAACTGTTGCAAACAATCTAAATGTCCATCAACACGACTTCTTTCCCATCGGTTCAGATACATGTATGTAAATGCACAGGGAAAGGTCTAGAAAGGCAGGTGTAACCACCGAGGGAGAGATGGAGATTGAGGGTGAAAGTCAAAGGGAACTTCAGGCTTATCTGCTTTTTATTAAACAGGAGAATGTGTTCACGTGCTGCTTATATCATCAAAAATCATTTTTTTTAAAAAAGGTAGAATCTAGAGAATGCACCGAGCAGGTACAATACTGTTTTCTTCCTGCATCTATCATGCAAAGAGAAAGGGAGGGAAGGCTGAGATCAGCTGTTGGGCTCTCTGGGCAGGAGGGCAGGCTGGGTTTGCATCTGCTCTGTGCCCCTGGCTGATATTCCAGTCATTTGAGGAGGAGGGAGCCAGGCTCATGGATTCACCTGCTAATAACAGACTTTAGGATAATGGTTCTTACCCTAAATGTGTCAGAATAACTCAGAGTGCTCGTTAGAAATTTGTTTTCCCAGGCCTCACCCTCAGTGGTTCTGATTTAATGAGCCTGCCTTGTGGTCCAGCACTCTGCATTTTTAATAAGCACCAGAGCTGATTCTGATGAAGGTGGCCTTTGGGCCACACTAAGAGAAAAATGATACTTTCCTATTATTCACCCTTTCCTGAGACATTGCCTCATGGTCTCCTTAAGGATGAAAGTTAGGGTTGTTTCTCTTGTGACAAAGGTGCACTAGCCAAGATGGGGCACAGGGAGGATCCACTGTCCTACCCAGGCTGCCAAACTCCCAGCCCTGAATGTCACATGTGTGTGCCTGCATGCACATGTATGACACAACTGAAGAAAACACCCGAGGGCTATTCTCATTCTCCACTTTGTCTAAAAAAAAAAATCAGGAAAATATCTCACGCCACATAAGGCCACCAGCATGAACTTAGACGTGTTCAGATAATAATTCAGAGGAAAGCATAATGAGATGTGGCTTGGGTTCATCACTGTGCTTTGGCAGGAGAAGTATATTAATGGAAACCCAAAAGAAGAGCTTCTGCAAGGTCAAGGTCCCCATCTGAATGTAACTGCAAAGGCCCTTCACTGCTACATATCACAGAGCAGATGCCAGATGGTTTTTACCATCCATAAAAGCCATTTCTAGTTGATAATGAAGGAGGGTGGGAAGCAAAATGGGAAAGCAAATTGCCTTGTCCCTGTCTTTGGGAAAGAATGTAATACAAATGGTTTTCAAGTGTTCTGCTTTGGTCTCTGTGTTTATTTATGCATTTGTGTATATAATCTACCCCTAATAGGCTGAGATACATCATTCATGCTGCTAATATCTGAGTATTGATAAGAGACCAATCGGAAGTTAGAAAATGAAGGCCTGCTAAGATCCTGAATTGAGCAGGTTGGTCAATTATGTATTTTAAGGGTGGTATCTTTGCACAGAGTGCCACCAGAGAAGGTGCCCTAGCTGGGGCCTGAATCTTCAGGAATTCAGGGAGGTCCAGGGATGGCCGGAGAGGGATGCTGGTGATCAGAGAACCAAGGGAAGGGAATGGAGCCACTGTAAAATTCTTTTTCTTTCTTTTTTTTTTTTTTTTTGAGACGGAGTCTCACTCTGTTGCCCAGGCTGGAGTGTAGTGACGCAATCTCAGCTCACTGCAAGCTCCACCTCCCGGGTTCATGCCATTCTCCTGCCTCAACCTCCCAAGTAGCTGGGACTACAGGCACCCGCCACCAAGCCCGGCTAATTTTTTGTATTTTTTAGTGGAGACAAGGTTTCACTGTGTTAGCCAGGATGGTCTCGATCTCCTGACCTCGTGACCCGCCCGCCTCGGCCTCCCAAAGTGCTGGGATTACAGGTGTGAGCCACCATGCCCGGCCGGTAAAATTCTTTATAGGGCCCAGCAACTCAGCCTGCCTGAGCCTCTCCAGAGCCCTGGATAATTATCCAGCCCTGGATAATTGCAGCAAAAATAGGCCCTATTATCAGCATCACTCATGGGCCACTTGGGATATTTTTAAAGACATGCATTTCAAAAATAGATAAAATGATCAGAAAACAGGAGAAAGGGATGGTGCCCTATAACAATTTTACCCTGATGCTCTAACCCAGGGCCTCTTAGGGATGCAGGGAATCATAGGGAGCCCCTCCCCTGGGAAGAAAGGATGCTACACATGTGGCTGGTGAAAGAGTGAGGAATGGTTCATCTGTGCCACCTGAGAAAATAAACTCATGGAGATTCATAATGGGCCCACATTGTTGTGTATGTTGTATACAAACATAGAAAGAGAGAGACACAATTAAGCCACATGTGCAGTGTTGACATAGCTGAGTTAAAAAATCATTATGAACACTTTAAAGACCTTTGTGTATTTAAATAAATATGATCTATAAGAGGGAACACAATTCTAATTTACTAAAGCAATTAGTAAATTCCCCAGTGAGTATTCTTATCTCTCTTTCATAGTATGTGGTAGTAGCATTTATCATGGTTCATGCCTCACAGTGATTTTTGTAGGCTTCTCTCTCACTCACTAGACTGCAAGTATTTAGACAATGATGACATTTTTTCTTTGTTTGGTCTCCGATTCTTTCCTGTAATATCTAGTCCTGGGCTTTGCATGCTTGGTAAACAATGATTGAATCAAGTAGATGTAAAAAACCAGCAAATTCTTCTAACCACAAAGTTTGTCACATTTGAGTGGAAGAATTGGGAACTGCACCCCAAAAACCTCCTTGACAAGGGGCGGCACCATAAGGCTTGACAAAAGGGTTCTCCAAGAGTAGCCACTGTCACTACACGCCAGCTGCATTCCTTCCCACGTGATTTATTTATTTATTTATTTTTGAGATGGAGGCTCATTCTTTCTCCCAGGCCGGAGTGCAGTGGCACGATCTCGGTTCACTGCAACCTCTGCCTCCTCAGTTCAAGCGATTCTCCTGCCTCAGCTTCCCTGAGTAGCTGGGACTACAGGCGCATGTCACCATGCCCAACTAATTTTTGTATTTTTAGTAGAGATGAGGTTTCGCCATGTTGGCCAGGCTGGTCTCGAACTCCTGACTTCAGGTGATCCACCTGCCTCAGCCTCCCAAAGTGCTGGGATGACAGGCATGAGCCACGGCGCCTGGACCTTCCCATGTGTCATATCACTGGGTTTTCCCAACATCCCCCAGAGGTAGGGATTATTAGATTTTCCAAAACTGGGGCTCTTCCAGAGTAGAGAATTTGTCCAATGATTCACATTCATAGTGGGAGAGCTGTCATTCAAGCTCAACAGCTGTGTGTTATTTCTTATTTTGATTTGGAGCTTTGTGACGAGTTACCTCCTCCCTTTGGTAATCGGCTTTGGCTTATGTCTGGGCTTTCCTCTTTTTTAAAACATCATTTTTCTCCACTTGACCTGTTGCTATTTCAAGAGTGAGAGGACAGCCTGGGAAATGAATGTTTTCAAAATCTAATAATGAGTATGTCTGGAGGCTGCGACAAAAGGCACTTGCTCAAAGGCATCTAATGGAAACACACAGTTTTCTTCACATTTGTGTGAATGGTCGTATCCATTCTTACACTGCCTGCCATAGGCTGTTCTGCCTTAGGTGGCCAGTCCTGGTGTGGCCAGGCAGTGAGTTGGAAGAGCTTTTAGAACTGGTGCCTGGCTCAGCCTGAGGAGCCATGGTGGCATCTGGCTGTTGGAAAGCACACAGGGCAGGTGTAGAAGACAAAACTCACTTTGGGAGGGCTTCTGCCCTGTTATTACCTGGCCTTAGACAAGTGTCAAACAATTGTGCTAGAAATTAGCTCTTTGTGCTAGTAGTCAAAACTGATATCTAGTGGTTTCCTGTATATTTGGGCTAACTATAACGTATCAGCATGGACTTAGTTGATGTCAAATCTTCAGATCCCTTTAACGAAGCTTCCTAAAACTCTAACTGCTGTCCTTACTTCTGTCGTCTCTGTCTTCTGTTTTCCACATAGTGTCACCTATTATCATCGGCAAAGACCATCCCCTGAAGTTCCTACTGAGAGACAGGACTAGCTGGATTTCCTGGGCCGACTAAGAATTCCTAAGCCTAGCTGGGGAAGGTGAACGCACCCACCTTTAAACATGGGGCTTATAACTCAGCTCACACCCGACCCATCAGGTAGTAAAGAGGGCTCACTAAAATACCAATTAGGCTAAAAGCAGGAGGTAAAGAAATAGTCAAATCATCTATTGCCTGAGCGCACAGGGGGAGGGACAATGATCGGGATATAAACCCAGGCATTCGAACTGGCAGTGGCAACCCCCTTTGGGTCCCCTCCCATTGTATGGGAGCTCTGTTTTCACTCTATTAAATCTTGCAACTGCACACTCTTCTGGTCTGTGTTTGTTCCAGCTCGAGCTGAGCTTTCACTCGCCGTCCACCACTGCTGATTGCCGTCGTCGCAGACCCGCCTCTGACTTCCACCCCTCTGGATGCAGCAGGGTGTCCGCTGCGCTTCTGATCCAGTGAGGCGCCCATTGCTGTTCCGGTTCTCACCATTGTTCCTGTGCGGCTAAGTGCCTGGGTTTGTCCTAATCGAGCTGAACACTAGTTGCTGGGCTCCATGGTTCTCTTCCGTGACCCACGGCTTCTAATAGAGCTATAACACTCACTGCATGGCCCAAGGTTCCATTCCTTGGAATCCGTGAGGCCAAAAACCCCAGGTCAGAGAGCAAGAAGCTTGCCGCCGTCTTGCTTGGGAGTGGCCCACCACCATCTTGGGAGCTCTGGGAGCAAAGACCCACCAGTAGCACTATGGCCCAAGGTTTTGTTTCCTATATGGGATGGAAGCAAGAGACATTTGGGGTAAGGCATGAAGATCTGTTTAGCTTAAACATGATAAGGTGTGAGTTGTAACTAAATTTTCTAGAGCTTTCTTAATAAACCATGGGGGGAGGGGTTCCTGTATTTATTCAATCTCATTTGAACCTGCTTGTATTTTCAGTCTTTGCAGGTACATCTGCCATTCATTCATAGGCAGTGAAGTATAGTAGTTGAGTGGTGTGGTGCCAGAATCAGGCAGATCTAAGATGAAATTCCAACCCCACTGCATACTAGATGTGCCATTATGGTTAGTTTCTTGACTTGAGAGCCAGTTTTCTCATCTGTAAAATGGGTATAATAATAATTTTGAGGGGACTCAAATGAGACAATTTGTGTGATGTACTTAGCAATGGCTGGCATGCCTAAAGCCCTAAGTAAATGGTAACTATTTTTATTCATTCAATAAAAAAAAAGAAAAAGAAAAACACATGTATTGGGTATCTGCTGGGCTCGTGGCATGTTGTAGGTACAAAATGTATCAAGACATTGGCCCTGTCCATAAAGAATTTACAGTCAGGGTTGGTGGAGGCAGGGAAGCTAAACACTTCCGTAATTTCAAGGTAGAAATTAATAAAAGACAGAAAGATTATGGAAGGGACAAGTCTTTGAGAACAGTTGTCCTTGGGTTGGGTCTTGTAGGATGTGAAGAATGTGGACAGGTAGAGTTGAGTGGGGATTAAACAACTGACATTGTGGAGAAAAGAAATAAACCTTAAGAGAGGAATTAGACAGGAATGGTGAGGATATCTCAGCACCCAGCAAAGTTTGGCTTGTACCTAGGAAGTAAAATGGACAGAGGTGGGAAGCTAGACCAAAAAAATGAGGACATATCAGAAAGGGAGTGCACACTGGTTGGAAATACCATGCGAAAGCATCTGGCCTTGGTTGGATGGGCTATTGAAGACTTTTGGAGAATGGGAGGAAGTAAAATCCCATAGTTTGCTGTCTACTGTATGAAGTATTACCTTTCCTTCATTTATCCTATTTTTTTTTGTTTATTTATGCTCTCTCAGGTTTTTGGAGCATTCTTAGTACTGGACAGTCTGAACATTAGCATGATTTAATCATGATGTGCTGGCTGGGAGAGGGACTAGCCTTAACTCCAGTGAGGAGAAGAGGGAATGAAGCCCTAATAGGCCACATTAAATCTTCATTCCCTCTTCAAAGGACAGCTGTTCACTTCCTTTCCACCTTGCAAATATTGATAATACTAAAATGCTTGCCCAACTTTATCTGGAATTTGGCAAATGATCCACTCTTTCCTCTGGAGGGTGCCCCAATATTGAAACTTCAAATATCCATGTTTACATGACCTTCAGTTATTGACAAAGTTGTCTTCGTATTATTACTTTTACTATTATATATGATAATTGACCAATATAATGATATTGACCAGAATGATGGCTCTAGTTAGGAGGCCTAACAACATCCCAAATCCTTTTTCACTGACTTTATCGCAATTTCCTCTGCTTAAGAGATTTTGAAACAAAAGAGTGCCCCTGCTCTTGGGTGCATAAAACCCTGCAGGTGAAAATGATGAGAAAAATTACTGGGCAAGGTATTAGGCAGGCACTGATTGTATCCTATTTAGAGCTCTGCAATTAAAAAAGTATATATAATACTGAGACTGGGTGCAGTAGCTCATGCTTGTAATCCCAGAACTTTGGGAGTCTGAAGCGGGAGGATTGCTTGAGCCTAGGAGTTCAGTCAGCCTGGGCAACATGGCAAAACCTCACCTCTACAAAAAATTAGGCCAGGCGCAGTGGCTTACGTGTGTAATTCCAGCACTTTGGGAGGCCGAGGTGGGCGGATCACGAGGTCAAGAGATCAAGACCATCCTGGCCAACATGGTGAAACCCCGTCTCTACTAAAAATACAAAATCATCTGGGCATGGTGGCACGTGCCTGTAGTCACAGCTACTCGGGAGGCTGAGGCAGGAGAATCGCTTGAACCTGGGAGGCAGAGGTTGCAGTGAGCTGAGATCACACCACTGCACTCCAGCCTGGCGACAGAGCAAGACTCCGCCTCAAAAGAAACAAATAAACAAAAATTAGTCAGGCATGGTGGTGTGCACCCGTAGTTCCAGCTACTTGAGAGGCTGAGAGGTGGGAGGATGGCTTTGGCCTGGGAGGTTGAGGCTGCAGTGAGCCATGATTGTGCCACTGCACTCCAGCCTGGGTGACAGAGTGAGATCTTGTCCTAACATATACATGTATATATACACACACACTGGTTTTAGCTAAATTGATTATAACTCAGGGACCGTGAGCTTAGGATGGACAGAGGTGCATAACATTGATTACTTTTGTTCCAATATTGACTTTTTTCTATATGAGTGATTCATTTAAATTTGGAGGGTGGAATAAATTGATATTAGTTTCCAGTCTAACTGGAATATCTGCAGCCAGAGGACAAAGTACAAGGACTTATCAGAGAGGAGACAATGAAGCTCCATGCTCTGGAAAAAGGAAACAAGAGGCTGAGGGAATGAGATAGCTTCTAAGGAGGGAGCTTACAAAGGCCCCTCCTCCCCTGGCTCTTGCCCCGTGGGCCAGGCTAATTTGCATTTCAATGAGGACTTAATACTACTGAAGATTTTATGAAACGCCTAAGCTTCTCAAATGTTTGTTACTTTTGTTACCCTAGCTGAAATCTGCAATTACCAGTATTTTTAAAAAATCCTAAAATGAAGAGAAGAGGCCTGTGGGTGTTCAGTCAAGGAGGGAGGGGTCAAGTCTCAGTCCAGGAACTACTCTGTGCTGGGAGAAGCAGCCAGATACGGCACAGGTCGCGGTAGCCGAGAAAGAAAGCGAGAGAAAGGGTGAGCCGGGGAGTCGCTGGGCCAGACTGAAGTGTGCCTGTGTAGAATAACTGGCAGGAGAGCTGCATTTTCTGACCCCGGGAGGTAAAAGACGACGCCGTCCTTGGCACTGAGTGCGGTGACCACCAAGAGGAGCAAAAGTCATGAGTCTCCGACCCCCAGGCCCCCGGCTCAGCTGCCTCCACTCCACCCTACTCTTCTCAGCCCCAGCCCAGAAAGCAGGCAGCGAGGCAGGTCTTTGAACCGGACCAGGTTCCTTCCCCAAACACCCGGATCCAGAGAGGGGCAGGAATTCCCTAGTCATTTTCCCCTGCTCCTCCCCACATCATCCGCCCGAGGGGCGGCAGATCCAGCGGAAGCTGTCCGTGGTGCTGACTCCTGCCTTTGGCTTGGCCGGACCCGCTGCCCGCTGAGCGCGCTGCAGCCAAGCAGGGGGCTCGTGTGGCGGGGCCACGGGAGGGTGAGGGTCCTCAGGTCCGCGACCAGCTCCAGGCTCTGCTGTTAAATCCCAGCCCGAGCCCTCTAGCGTCTCTGCCCTCCGCAACCTGGCCGCTAGGCAGGATCCAGCCTTTAAGAACGGGTCAGTCGTGCCTCTCTCAAGCCCCCAGCTGCATTGCAATCTCCCACCGCTACTTCCTTCCCCGCTCCTTCCCTCCTAAGACTGCACCGGCTCCTCCCGATAGCCTGACGCTTCGCGCCTCTCCTCCGCCCTCCTCCACTGTGCGCTCCTCCGGACCCTGACCCTCCAGGGGCCGTGCAAGCTCCTGCAGTAGAGATTCGTCCTCTTCGCTGCTCTGGCCAGGTTTGCCGGCCCCTCCTCCCGTTTCGGATTCCATCCTCCCCACACTGTCCTCTTCACTAGTTCTCTAAGCACCGAGCATGGCAGAGCGCGCTCCACCCCTATTTTCCATACATGGGAGCTGGAGTGGGGGGCGGAGCTGAGGGGAGGCGCTCCCAGTCCCTCTAAGAAGCTGCTAGCCCACTGGGAAACATTTGGATCCGTTCAGCTCCCGCGGAGAAGCGAGACCGGATCACCGACGTGGGCAGAGGACTACCGAGGGCCAGCAGAAATTCTGCCCCTTCTTCCCGCGAGTGCTTTCCCGCTCTCCAAACCCCACTCCCAGGTAGGATCGCGCTCCTGAGTCTGCCTGCGTGGACTGCGAGGACCGTAAATAGAGGCGGAAGCGTTTAAATAAACCGTATGTTCTAACCGTGCTTAGGTTTATTTTACAGAGGTGAGAGGACAACACTTTTTGCTACTTTTGCTGTTGTTCTGTGGCCGGTTATTCCCAAGGGAGGACTCAGGCGATGGGGGAGGGGCGCGGCTGGTGTAGGAGGTCGGATGGAGTATGGCAAGGGAAGTGACGGACTTTGATTACCTTTGAACAGGTGGCCATGGCCTCATCGACCACTCGGGGCCCCAGGGTTTCTGACTTATTTTCTGGGCTGCCGCCGGCGGTCACAACTCCCGCCAACCAGAGCGCAGAGGCCTCGGCGGGCAACGGGTCGGTGGCTGGCGCGGACGCTCCAGCCGTCACGCCCTTCCAGAGCCTGCAGCTGGTGCATCAGCTGAAGGGGCTGATCGTGCTGCTCTACAGCGTCGTGGTGGTCGTGGGGCTGGTGGGCAACTGCCTGCTGGTGCTGGTGATCGCGCGGGTGCGCCGGCTGCACAACGTGACGAACTTCCTCATCGGCAACCTGGCCTTGTCCGACGTGCTCATGTGCACCGCCTGCGTGCCGCTCACGCTGGCCTATGCCTTCGAGCCACGCGGCTGGGTGTTCGGCGGCGGCCTGTGCCACCTGGTCTTCTTCCTGCAGCCGGTCACCGTCTATGTGTCGGTGTTCACGCTCACCACCATCGCAGTGGACCGCTACGTCGTGCTGGTGCACCCGCTGAGGCGGCGCATCTCGCTGCGCCTCAGCGCCTACGCTGTGCTGGCCATCTGGGCGCTGTCCGCGGTGCTGGCGCTGCCCGCCGCCGTGCACACCTATCACGTGGAGCTCAAGCCGCACGACGTGCGCCTCTGCGAGGAGTTCTGGGGCTCCCAGGAGCGCCAGCGCCAGCTCTACGCCTGGGGGCTGCTGCTGGTCACCTACCTGCTCCCTCTGCTGGTCATCCTCCTGTCTTACGTCCGGGTGTCAGTGAAGCTCCGCAACCGCGTGGTGCCGGGCTGCGTGACCCAGAGCCAGGCCGACTGGGACCGCGCTCGGCGCCGGCGCACCTTCTGCTTGCTGGTGGTGATCGTGGTGGTGTTCGCCGTCTGCTGGCTGCCGCTGCACGTCTTCAACCTGCTGCGGGACCTCGACCCCCACGCCATCGACCCTTACGCCTTTGGGCTGGTGCAGCTGCTCTGCCACTGGCTCGCCATGAGTTCGGCCTGCTACAACCCCTTCATCTACGCCTGGCTGCACGACAGCTTCCGCGAGGAGCTGCGCAAACTGTTGGTCGCTTGGCCCCGCAAGATAGCCCCCCATGGCCAGAATATGACCGTCAGCGTGGTCATCTGATGCCACTTAGCCAGGCCTTGGTCAAGGAGCTCCACTTCAACTGGCCTCCTAGGGCACCACTCGAGGTCAATCTGGTGCTTATTCTCAGCACCAGAGCTAGCTAAGCCAACATAGGGCAACATTTCCAGCCCAGCCCTCTTGTCCGGCTGTCTGTCTTGTCCTTGTGTGTTTGTAAAATGTTAAGCGGGCTTTGGTGAGAGTCTTGCTCTTTGCTTGGGGGAGGCCAAAGAGAGGGAAGAGGATTTCTTATTTCTTCTTTATGCCCTTGAAGGACAAACAAAACTTTTTCTCCACGTTCAGAAAAGTATTTCAGAACCACGATTGCCTTCCTGGCGTCCCCTCCTCCTGCTCGTTGGTGAAATGAACAATATGAATGGGATTTAAAAGGAATGCATTGGGCTTGGTAAAGATTTTCAGTTTGCCTTTAGAAAAAGGACCCAGCTGAGAGTACCATGATATTGCTTAGTCCATTTGAACCCTTGCATTCCTAGAATTTCAGGTAAATATGTATTAAAACTCTACATCTAGGATTTCAGCATTTCCTGAGTAAGACCTTTATATGCCAAAAGGGTTTCGTTTTAAAACCACTTGAGTTTATAGTACAAAAACACCTACAAGCTCCCTTTAGAAAGGTCTTGCTATTGTTTCTCCCCTTTCCTCCCCAACTACTATTTAAAAATGATGAGACGAATTAGTCAATGAAGAGATAGATAAATAAAGAGGAAAAGGTCCAATTCACTTAAGAGGTCATTCAATTGTACCTAAGGACAGACATCCTCTGTGTATGTGTGTTTGTGTATGTGTGTGTATGTGTGGGTACACATTCAGTGTTTGCCACAAAGTGGGCACTCAAATATTTGGTTTTCTGAATACTCAATGTAAACTGTGTAGCGTGGCATTCTCCTGCAGTCTCTAATTGCTCACTTGCAACAGATCAACAGCTGTCATCTGACTGCTCAGCACCTGCTCTGTAGTGATTCTTGGAACATGATCAACCCAGAAATCAAGGACCGGCAGAAGTTTACTTAAGGACAGAACAGAAGAATAAGCTACCACCCACATGATGTGTAGATCAAACACTAATTACCTCCAGGGTTAAGGGAAAAGGTGAAGACTGTGGAGCATGATACCAGGCTGATAATCATCACCTTAACCTCCTGTGAGTTCTGTAAATGAGGACAAGTGCCTTGGGACAAAGGTCTCCACACTGTTGGAAAAGCAACTTGGGCAGTGAGGGCAGGAGTCTTGGGAAATGATACATAATATCCAGCTGTCAGATCAGCCTCTGTGTTCCCAGTAACTCAGTCACCATCTGTAGGGTTCAACTACTTTCCCAGCTCACTGAACACAAGAATCACTGTTTCACCTCCTCCTGCTTCTCTTATTCAGAAATAAGCTCAATTCATTCATTAAAATGTGCCCTAAAAGGAAAGGAAAGAGGGATGATATGGGAATGACAAGGGTTCAATCCTATTACATTCATGTCAACAACCATGGTGGGAGTGGGAGTGATCACGGTTGGGCTGGTTGGCATAGGAATCTTTAGTA
The DNA here is from genome assembly GCF_000001405.40 of Homo sapiens. NCBI lineage: Eukaryota > Metazoa > Chordata > Mammalia > Primates > Hominidae > Homo > Homo sapiens. The sequence goes on along the minus strand of NC_000010.11, from coordinate 118,592,583 downwards.
GTTACAGGGCTAGACTTTTTGCACACAGTAAAGGGTAGGAAAGGCTGGCTTGGGAGAAAGGAAAAGGCAGGCAAAGATGGGTATGGAGGTTACCTCTGGCAATGGTGCTAAATGAACTTGAGCTTCATCCGTGGATTGGAGAACAAAGAACCTGTGTGCTAATAGTGCAACCCACCCCTGCCCCAGATAAGCTCATCTCCCAGGCATCCCGAGGACTGGCTCCTGTGCTTCCAGCAGCTATATTACTTGGGAGGCTCAGGGCCAGACATTTCTCATTTCCTCAGAGAGTTCCTTTGATGGTCATGTGTGGAGAGTGTAGATGGTAGAGGGGAAGGAGAGGGATTATTTGGGGAGGGATCTGATTCATCGTCGGCTCTTTGTTGGAAGGTTTGAATCACTGGTTCTCAACCCTGGCTGCTCCTAGAATCACCTGGGGAACTTTTTTTTCTTTTTGTAATTGATGTCTGGGCTCTCCTCCCAAGAGTCTAGTTGATTTGAGATGGTGCCTGGACACTAGCATTTTCCAAAGCACTTCAGGGGATTTTAATGTGCAACCAAGATTAAGCACCTTAAGAATTATCCTTTCTAGGGCTGGGCATGGTGGCTTACACCTGTAATCCCAGCATTTTGGGGGACCGAGGCAGGCAGATCACAAGGTCAGGAGTTTGAGACCAGCCTGGCCAACGTGTTGAAACCCTGTCTCTACTTAAAATACAAAAATTAGCCAGGCGTGGTGGCGCACGCCTGTAATCCCAGCTACTCGGGAGGCTGAGGCAGGAGAATTGCTTGAACCCAGGGAGGCAGAGGTTGCAGTGAGCTGAGATTGTGCCAGTGTACTCCAACCTGGGTGACAGAACAAGACTCCATCTCGGGGTGGGGGGTGGGGGCGGGAATCCTCTTTCTAATGAATCTCAGAAACATCCGAATGAAGCTTTAGTTGTACCTGCCAAAGGTGTTAATAATTTGGAGCTGAATTTGACGGTGTTACATGCCATACTTAGAGAATACTCTTTTAGTCTTCAGGCAATACCAGCTCAATCACAAAGAGGCAAATTATTGAAATCAGAATATATAGGGATTCGTTCAACAGTTTACTTACATATTTCTTATGTATCAGTCCAATCAATTCAGAAGGAATATCATCATTCAACCTTAGGTCAATTGTATTATAAAGTTACATACCATGGCCAGGTACCATGGCTCACATCTATAATTCCAAAACTTTGGGAGACCGAAGAGGGAGAATTGCTTGAGCCCAGGAGTTCAAGACCAGCCTGGGAAATATGGCAAAACTCCATCTCTACAAAAAATAGCCGGACGTGGTGGTGCACACCTGTGGTCCCAGCTACTTGGGACACAAAGGCAGGAGGATCACTTGAGCCTGGGAGGATCACTGGGCTGCAGTGAGCTATCATTACACCACTGCACTCCAGTCTCAGTGACAGAGCAAAATCTAGTCTCAAAAAAACAAAAAAAACAAAAACAACAAAAAACAACAAAAAACAAATTTACATACCATGAATTATTTTAAATCCTGGTTGTCAGGGTGTTAGAAAAAGTGCTCCTTGATTAGCTTAAGTTTATATCAACTATGAAAAACAAGCATCTCCATTAATTACTAGAAAAGCTGCCACTGGTTTCTGTCATGCCTACAACTTAAGTTTGAAACACTTACATGGACTTTATAAAGAGCTTAAAGAGGTTGGAGAATTAGATTGTGCTTATAAACATCTTTACATATTATGAAAATCAGCAACGGAACAGCAATTAATTCTTACAACATCTGAAATGTGTTGTGGACTAGTTTATAAATCAAACCGAATTTCAAAAAAATCAGAGGTGAGTCCCAGAGAGAACTGCGTAGGACTGTAGGTAGAAAATTTTATTTAATAATTCATTTTGGTTAATATCAAGCATCTAAGATGTATACACAGTCCTCTTCCTGCAAGGAGTAATACAGGCAGTCAGGCTGGGAACTGAGCCAACTTGGTACTTGGCAGCAGCCCTTCTCAAGGCTGATGGGAGGTTCTGTAATCCTCTTTGCAAGCTTTGTCACCAGGTCACACTTTTGGCAGCCAATCAATAGATTTATCTCATTAAACTGGCAGAAGAGTGTTTCAATGCATGCTCCAACAGCTACCTGGAAATAGCAATTGTGAGAGATGCTAAGGTAAGGATATTCCAGTTCCTATAACCGTCTGATTTTTTGTCCTTGTGAATTTTCAATCTGCTGTTTTACTGGGATAGCTAAGTTCCAGGTTTATTTTCTCAGGTAGGCTCACCCACGACCTCTGTCCTGTGGTTTGCATTCCTGAACATCTGTTAGTCTTTCAAATGCAAGGCACAAAACTAACCTCAAGAGTGTGGCTAGATCTGGGAGTGAACACAGGGCCTGTCCCTCACAGACGAGAGGTCAGGAGCACCTTTGTTTCCCAAGGCAGGTTCTTGATTGATTTACCTTCATGCGTTGATGTCTTTGCTATGTGTGTAAAATGCATGTGTTGCTGAATCACATGTGAAGCTCTACATGCTGGGGTTTATACTGTGTTTGGCATGTTGTGGGAGCTCAATAAATACTAAATCAGTTGCACAGTCTTCAGCCACAGGATTAATAAACCAAGCCAGTTATACATATGGGGTAACTACACAACCTCAGGATAGCCAGAGTCAAAGCAAGGATAAATCATGTCAAGGAAAACATGCTATTCAACCTAGATTTGTCAACTCCACCTTATTCCAGAGATGAACTGTTCATTTTGGGTCTTCTGTGACCCCCTGCCCCCAACCTCAGTAATGCCAGCATTTAAATATATGGCACCAAGCTCTCTACTCCCCAAGACTGCATATGCCTAAATCCACGGGTCCATCAAAATGAGAGTAGAGAACTTCATGCCTAATTTCTATACCATCATATATTGGAGAGTTATTTAAATGTTAGCATTTTATCACCCATTTCTCACACATAATTTGGGAAGGTCTAACAACATCCCACATATGGGTCTATAAGCAAAATCACGAGGTTTCTAAAATGTTCATGATGGAGTCATAAAAAAGATTTTTCAGTACACCTAAAATACCACTCAAAAATGGACATATGTATACCTTTTCAGCGACCCATTTATCCTACAAAGTAAAATAGTATACAGATGTGGGAAATGTAAAATATTTGGATGGATGAGAGTTGCAATCTTGATTGTTAAGACTGTACATTTTCCAGTCTTTGGAAACAGCCTTATTTTGAAAACTGGGCATGTACACTTCTCACAGGTTTTTGAATTGTTTTTCTTTGCTTTTAACACAATTCCTCTCCTTTTCCACTCTTTATTTCTCATGCCTTTTTCTGCTACTTTTTCATATTATCTGTATCTCCTCTCTAAGCCCCTTCTGCCTCAGTGAAGGGGAACTGGTGGGATTCAAGCATCCATCTCCTGGTCAATCGCTACAAAGTGAAAGATGATGGCGAGAACCCCTGGCTAATTCCACTGCAGAAGGCAGTCTGCACTAAGCTCCTAGAAGGCTGCAGTTTGTTGTATTTCCCACACACTGTGGGGTCTTGGAGTTCACACAATTGGTCATTTTGCGGTCAAACTGCAGGCTCAGGTGGATAACAGGAGTTTGCATAGACTCTCCACAGGGCTCTCAACCTGGTAAGTCTCACAGCGAGCTCTCCAGAGGAGCCTAACAATGAAAGGTCAAATGTGTTTCATTTTTATGTTTGGTTCTGGAGTAAAGAAACTGGAGTCAAAAAAAGCAAAGGAGAAACAGTCTGCTTTTAAGCATTCTCTGCCTCTCTCCCTCCCTCAGCTCTCACAATATCCTCTCCTTAACTTGCTGATGACTAAATCCCCTGGTCTCAGGACCCATCTCCTTCTTCTGAAATGACATCCAATGAAAAATGGAAAGCTATACTGTGAAACCCCTCCTTGCCCCCACAGTTATTGCCAAGCAATGAAAACACCCTTTTGACCTGGAAAAAATTAAGACTCCAGGTTTGAGCTCTCGGTTAGCAGTCAGGCACTGGGCTTTCCTCCCTAGCCTAGACCACAATCACCCTGGTTGGTGGCTGGGCACGGGGCTGCTTGGCAGGTGCTGGGCTCCCCATCCAGCTCTGGCATTATTGCGTCACCTCGGTCATTGTTTTTTGCGCATCACCTCCAAGTTCGAAGTAGTACAAACCACCTATTTCGCGTGATGGGGACTCAAGGAGTCTACATCCTTCAAACTCCTTGCTAGTGGAAATGGTCGGGACTAGGGGCAAAGAGGGAAGGAAATTTGCAGGTCAAGATGTAGTCGCCCCACAGGGCTCTCCCAGTGGGGCTTCTGGAGCAGCAGTTGCCTTTGTTTTTCCAGGGTGTGCAGCCCCTCAGCCCCCAGCTAAGTCCACACGCACTGAAAGCCGAGGTTCCTGCAACGTGGTGAATTCACACTTTACGTTTTTGGAAGAGGAGGGGTCAGCTGGTGAAACCACAGCAGCCCAGAAGAAAAGCCAAACCCACCTGTTGGTCCATTGCCCCAGGCAATTCGTTGATCTAAAGCTAGGCCTGCTGAATAGCAAAGACAGCTGTAGATTTTTTTTTTAATTACAAAATCAACATATTTTTTCTTTAAGTAGTAAGTGAATATTTCCCACCTGTCTTCCCTGGGCGAGTTAACAGTTTGTGCTTTTCCTTCCTAGGCCCTTCCAGGAGCATTCACAAACATATTCACAGTTTGTATTTTACCAAAATGCGATTAAACTACATCATTGTTGTGTAACTGACTTCCACATCCCTCCTCTTAAAATTATATCAAAGAAGACTTCTATGTTGGGTCATACTCATTCTGGCTGAAGAGGAATCCATGCCTGGGTGGACCACTGTTCAATCATTTTTCAGCCAGTGAGTGGTGTGGGTTAGAAGAGATAAATCTGAACTTAGAAGGTGCCCTAAGCCCTGCAGGAAATGCAGAGGAGTCGAAGTCTAATCACAGCCACTGAAAAGCTGTCCCTCTGTCCCTGGAGGGCGAGGTCCTCCTTGAAGCCCTCCCAGAGACCAAAACCATCTGGGTGAGGGGGTGGGACTCCTTCCCCTTAGCTGCTTCCAGATCCTGCACAGCACCCCACCAGGGCTGGGGCAGGCCCACCAGCTGTTCTCTGGCAGACAGCAACTGGTGTCTATGAGACTCTGCCAACCCAGGGTAGGATTTTCCCAGGAGTCAGGAGCATGGTAGGGTCCCTCTTCTAGCCATGAATCCACATGGGCACAGGTCCATGAAGAGTCAAATCCTTCACCTTATTTGCCCACAGGCAAGCATTTCAGCAGGGCCCTTAATACTGTTGAGGTTTTGTCAACAAAGGTGAAGGTGAAGGGTAGGGAAATATGAAGTATGGTGCAGGAACCAGTAGCTACTACAAGCAGAGGAGCTGTCATCTCTCAATCCAGAGACCAGAGGGCAGGGAGGAGTTGCTGAAACTCCCAAGGGTGGAGTCATTTAAAGGAGACTTTCTCCAGAGGAGCAGTAGCCTTAGATAGAGGGATGGGGCCAGCCTAGGATAGAGGGTTGAGCCAGCCTGGAGTGGAAGGATGGGCCAGCCTGGGGTGGAGGGATGGGGCCAGCCTGGGGTGGAGGGATGGGGCCAGCCTGGGGTGGAGGGATGGGGCCAGCCTGGGGTGGAGGGAAGGGGTCAGCCTGGGGTGGAAGGATGGAGCCAGGCTAGGATGGAGGGATGGAGCCAGCCTGGAGTGGAGGGATGGGGCCAGCCTGGGGTGAAGGGATGGGCCAGAATAGGATGGAGGTATGGGGCCAACCTGGGGTGGAGGGATGAGGCCAGCCTGTGGTGGAGGGATGGGGCCAGTCTGGGGTGGAGAGATTGGGACAGCCTAGGATGGAAGGATGAGGTCAGCCTGGGGTGGAGAAATGTGGCCAGTTGACTTCTGTACTAAGTGTCAGAAAAGTGATACATAAACCATAAACAAATGCCATGTGAATTCAATGGTGGGGCTGTTCATGTATGACCCTGGCAGTCAGAAAAGCCTTCATGCAGGAGGTGATATTTGAGCTAGACTTTGAAGGATGCCTGGGATTTTCTTTTATTTTTTTTTTATGAGACAGAATCTTGCTCTGTCTCCCAGACTGGAGTGCAATGGCACGATCTTGGCTCACTGCAACCTCTGCCTCCTGGGTTCAAGTGATTGTCCTGCCTCAGCCTCCCAAGTAGCTGGGATTACAGTTGTCCATCACCATGCCTGGCTAATTTTTGTATTTTTAGTAGAGACAGGGTTTCACTATGTTGGCCAGGCTGGTCTCGAACTCCTGACCTCAAATGATCCATCCACCTTGGCCCCCCAAAGTGCTGGGATTACAGGCGTGAGCCACCACCCCCAGCCAATGCCTGGGATTTTATGTAATGAAGAGAGTAGTGGCAGGAGAGCATGCTATGGGCAGGGTAAGGTGATTAGCAAAGGAAGGAAAGGGTGATGCCTATTTGAAAGAGTGCAGGCTGTGCTTACGAGACAGAGTGGTGAAAAGCTGGCTGAAACTAGATTCAGGAAGATTAGTAATACCAGTTAGGTTGGCTGAATTCTTACTGTGTGTAAGGCACAGTGCTGTACCTTACATTGCATCACTTATTTCTCAGCACATTAGGAAGTAGACATTCTCATTGTTATTTTTATTTTACAGATAGGAAAACAGATATTTAGAAAAGTCAAGCAATTTGCCAAGGAATGATGTATGGGAGGTGGTGGAGCTGGGATTTGGTCCAAAGTCTGCCTTCCTAACCACTATAAAGTCCTACCCTGAGTTTCAACCTAAGGAGTCTAGCTCTTCTTGGGAGGCAGTGGGGAGCCAGTGAAGGTTTAGGGTGAGTGGGAGATAAAAGAATGACTTGTTTAGGAAGGTACTCTGGGACCTAATGCTGGCAAAAGGGAAAGTGTGGAATGGGAAGGCAGGAAGTGGGGAAATACATTAAGGAATTATTGCATGGTCCAGGAGAGAGAGAATCAGGACTGGAAGTGGGCCAGTTTAAGTGAGGATGAAGAAGAGATAGGTGGAAAAGGGCCTTAGAGAGTAATTAGCATCATATCTGAATGTCTTACCTCGTTCAACATTTCACGTTTGCCCCAGGAAGAAAAGGTAGCATATGGGATCTAGGCCACAGATGCTCAATTCCCACGTCAATCAGGAATGCTTTCTGTAGGAAGTAACAGAATACCAAACTAACCACAAGGCAGAAGTCCTAAGGTTCTTTATCATCTGATTTACAAAGAAGTCTGGAGGTGGGTGGGTGTCAGGTCGGCCCAGTAGCTCAATGGTGTCATTGAAGACTTAAAATCTTTTTCTGTCTTTTGCCTCCATTCATCGTTAACTGCTTCACCTTTATCCTGATGCTGTTACCTCAGGTCTTCAAAATGGCTGCTAAAACTCCGGATACTCATCCACATCCGAGGCAAGAAGGAAGGGGAAAGGGAAACACCAGCAACTCTCCTTCAGTGCAGGAAGGCAGAGGCCTTCTCAGTTGCTCTCGTTATGTATCACTTGCCAGAACTGGGTGACATACTCCTAACTGAAAGGGAGGGAAAGAAACCCTTTTACGCCTCTAAAATGGGAGGTTCATACTGGCCATTGGGTTATCTGGCCCACAGGACTACCACAAGTCCAGGGCAGCATCTTCTTCAGGCCTTGTTCCATATTCAAGAGCCCTTGTTCCATATTCTTCCCAAATGAGAGGGAACAAACATGTGTTGGGTTCTGAAAAGTGGCAAATTGTAACTCGGGGAATATGGGCCTGAGTAACCACTGCACACTAATGGCTTCCAGCCAGGCCTGCCAGTGTTGTGATTCACATTTTATGAGTCATCAGCTGTATCTTAGCAGATAGCTGCTAGAAAGTTGAAGTTAATTTCTTTTTAAAAATGTCGTAAGGTAATCATAAACCATGGAGACTCAACGGTGATGAAAATGGATGAAAAATAACATAAAGATGCTTGATGCTAAAGCATAACTGTGCTCACTGCTGAGTTTTTTTCCCCTTTTTTATGTTATGATGCTATTCCTGCTTTTATGCTTCCAGATTGTGATAAGAGGGAGGGTTGGCTACCTGCTCTGTTGCCAAACTCCCAAACGCAGAACCCTGGTCATTTTAAGGCAATTTTGAAGTGTGGGTTTCCTGCTCTGCTCAACACGTGGGTCCCTGCACAGATGTTGGCATTTGTTACAGCACCTTTGGTCAACCTTCCCTGAGGGCCAGGGGCTAGTGTGTGCCTGCTGTATACTCTTTGTAGCTCAGAGTTCACAACCTCGAGTTTTCTGAGAAGTTGCCAAAGTCAACCTCCATTGTTCTGAGGCATAGTCACATTGAATCTCACTAGGCCCAGGATTCTGTGGCAAAGTCCCCCACAGAAGAAGACCATAGGAGGGCATGGCTGTTCCCTAAGAGATAACCCTGAGGTGACACATGGCCTCCTCTTTTAGGAACTGTGGGTAGCTCAATCAGTCCTAAAGTTGGCCTGATGCTTCTGGAATGCTGTTTAGAATAACACCCCATTTCCTACTGCAGCGCCTTCTACCTTGCTCTCCTCCTGGAGGAAGAGATCTTTCCCTTCAGGTCTCAGCTTAAATGTCACCTCCTCAGAGATGCCCTCTCTGACTGCCTCATTTAAAGTGCTCTGGCCTCTTATTCTTAACTTTATCTCCTTGCTTTTTCTCTTCATGACGCTCATCATGATTCGTCATGACACATTGGTCTGTCCTCTATGAGATGTGAGCTTCGTGTGGGTACAGGCCATATCTGCTTTCTTCACCCATGTATCCCCAGGGTCCAGCGCACTTCCCTGCAGTGAGCCAGGCTGCACCCAAGAGGGCTATGACTGCAAGGTTAGTGCCTCCATCCATGGACTGGGCATAGGCTTTTGCCAGGGGAATTTCTATTACGTTCCCAGTATTGTCTTTGAAAGTACCCATAAAGGAATGACTTGTTCAGGAATGTACTAGATTTCCCTTCTTGTTTTTCTCATTTAGAGGCTCCCTTAATCACACAACTATGAGGTCTGAGATTATGAAACTTCACATAGCAAAAACAAATGAGTTAAATGACTTGCTTCAGAATGCAGGTACCATTATCTGATTTTAATAAATTGAAAGGTTCCCAAACCTGGCTGTGCATTGGAATCATTTGCAGAGCTTTTCAAAAACACAGGTTCCTAGTACCTACCCGAGACCTACTAGATAAGAAACTCTTGATGTGAAACTGTATATTTTCAAAATGTCATGTTTGGTAATCAATTAAAAAAATGTTGATGTAGTGAACATGTTAAAAATAACAAGCTTGGCCGGGCGTGGTGGCTCATGTCTGTAATCCCAGCAATTTGGGAGGCCAAGTCCGGTGGATTACTTGAGGTCAGGAGTTCGAGACCATCCTGGCCAACATGGTGAAACCCCATCTCTACTAAAAATACAAAAATTAGCCCGACATGATGGTGCATGCCTGTAATCCCAGCTACTCGGGAGGCTGAGGCAGGTGGATCGCTTGAACCTGGGAGGCAGAGGATGCAGTGAGCCATGATCATGCCACTGAACTCCAGCCTGGGTGACAAATTGAGACCCTGTCACAAAACAAAACAAAACAAAACAAAACAAAACAAAACAAAACAAAACAAAAAAATCAATCTTGCTAGGAGACACATCCGTGTGTTATTGAACCAGAATTCTAGTAGCAAATTGGCCTAGGTCATGGGGCGGGTGTTTCTCAGGTGCCTCAAATGTGTAAGGTGCAATCTTCTTTGGAGCATTTTCTTGTCCAACTTCAAGCAAGAGATGAGAACTCTCTGAGGGTGAAGTGAGCCCTGTAGGTGCCTCAGGGCTCTATGCTCTCTCCAGAAACTGGGGGCAGCCTGGTGGGCTCAGGATGATGCACACAGTGGGTGCTCAGGGTCCTGCTGTCCTTGCTATGCAAAGGTAGCACAAGCGGTGGGCCCATGTTTCTTTCTGAGATTCCTACTCCAAGCCATGCTCACACATCTTCAACACCAACAACAGCCCTGCGGAATTGATACTGGTATCCCAGTTTTACAGATAAACAGACTGAAACTCAGAGAAGTCATTTATCTACAGTGCAGTGGCACTGAGATTCGAATCCAGACCTGTCTGGTCCCTAAACCCCTTTCTGTTACATTGTCCTACCTCACACAATGGACATATTAATAATAATGACAAACAATAATAGTAATAATAACTATTGAAACACACCTGATAGCAGTAGCTTAAGCACACCCTTAGAATGACCACATGGCAGACGCACCTGAATGTGTGTTCTGAGTTAGGGAGCCCGGGTGTGGCCAACCCGGAGATTCATTCCTTAGCTACTAGGGGCATCTGAGCCCCTGATCAGACATCTGATTGAAAATTTACTGCATACTATGCAGTGAAGTATTTTATAGATAGAAACTCTATGAGGTTGGAATTATGGATATCTCACGTATCTGTTAGCTTTGGCTGCGTAACAAACCACCCCAAAACATAGTGGCTCACATTGTGTCAAACCCCTACCCACTTCAATAAGGAAGGCACCAGGTTCAAGAGACTGAAGAAGAGACCCAGAGCCAGCAAATGAGACATGGGGTTTTATTAGGGGCTTACATACAGGGGAGAGAGTCCAGTGGTGGTGGGCTGGGCAGGATAACTGCCTTACATACAGAAACGGCCTAGTGGTGGCGGGCTGGACAACATAACTGCAGAGCCCTGTGGTAGTGGGCTGGGCAAGATAACCACCACCACTTGCTAACAGCCTGCAGTTTCTCTAGCATTTTGACTTAACAGCCTCCCTTTAACAACCTCCACCTGGTAATCTTCGTTTAACCCAAAACTCAGGGCCTCAAATCCTCTGTAGAGCCTGTATTTAACGGGACTGACCGGGGTCTCAGATGCTTCTCATAGATAAGGAATGAATCTCTGGGTTGGGCATGCCTGGACTCCCTAACTCAAAACACACACTCAGGTGCATCTGCCATAGGGTCATTCTAAGGGCATGCTTACACTACTGCTATCAGGTGTGTTTACTGTTCAGCTTAAATCAATTAAAAAAGTTATTACTCACAGTTCTGTAGGTCAGCTGGGCAGTCCTTCTGATCCTCTGGCTTTCCGTCTCCTGGTGAGTTGTTGGGGACTGGTTGACCTCACAAGTCAACCTACAGTGCCTTCACAAGTCTAGTGGTTGGCAGGCTACTGTATTAGGGACCCTCAGCTGGAACCACTCATCCCTTCCTCGCATAGCCTCTCATCCTTGTAGGCCAGCCTGGGCTGTTCACATGGTGGCAGAATTCCAACAGAAGGAGTGGAAGCTTCTAAATTTATCAGAGCCTAGACTTGGGACTCATACAATACCCCTGCTTTATTCTATTGGGCAAAATCAGCCACAAGGCAGTCCAGATTCAAGGGTTGGGGAAATAGGCTCCACCTCTCAAAGAAAAGAGCTACAAGATATTTGTGGCCATTGCCAATCTACGTATACTGTAGGTCAGGAAACTATGTAACAGAGAGATTGAGTAGCTTGGCCAAGACCATACAGCTTGTAAGTCAGCAGCAAAGTTGGGAATCAAGCTCAGGAAGGCTTCTCCAAAGCCCAGATTCCTTCCCCACTACCCCGTGCTGCCTCCCGAGAAGCGTACTGTTTCCTCACGTGTGTTGGGTTTTCCTGAACTGCGCTCTCTCTCTCTGTCCCCATTGCTTTGTGTTTGCCAGTATCCTTTGACGTCCAGACAGCTGGTCTCCTGGCACATGTTGTGCAAAGGCTGGCCTTGACACAAAGCTAAGCCCACAGTGGGTCTCCCAAGCCAACCCATGCCCTCTGTGGATGCTGACCAAGTGAGGTCTGATATTCTATCATTAGATGGACGTCCCTCGCCTCCTTTCCTCTCCTCCTTTCCCTCCCTTCTCTCCTTACCCTCCCTCCCTCCTAAAATTTATTACCCATGTCTTTCTTCTGCCTTTGCTACTGGTTATTTTCCACTCCAATGGAAGGATGAAGAATGCTCTGGCTGCTTGAATGAATGCCCTGCTAAATACACCAGTGCATGAGCAATTTATCAAGCCATTCTTGCTCAGGTGCCTATTATGATAATCAGCAGGTAATAATACTCAGGGGCTGCAGCTACAGCCTGAATAGAAATCAGCCTGCCTGGACTAAGAAAAGAAAAATCACGGTAAGACTGTATTTATGCACCAATTTCTCATGCTTATTGTCAAGGTAGTTAGGATGTGTGTCTTAATGAATCTGTTCATTAGGGGTGATTTGGTTTTGGGTTTATTTAACTCTCAGCATCCCTTCCCTGTGGTCAGCGCACCTGCTCAGAGAGCATAGTTCATTGTGTTGTTTTTTGACTGCAAACCTGACTCACGGTGAACAGGCTAACTCCTGGATGCTCGTAGCTGATGGAACAGAACCCAAGAGGAGCAGACACAGCCTTGTACTTCACAGCAATAAGGCTGATTTCTGCATTTGATTGTTGACTGTTATTCTGGGACACGCCAGGCACTGCCCACTTTACAGAATTCTGCTTGCTGCTGTGCCTGCTGGGACTTGGAGAAGATTGAGAGTTTCCTGCTGGCTAGTCGTGCTGTAAAATATCCTATTCTGGGCGGGGAGAGACTCTGACATACATGTAGAGGCCAAGGTCCTCAGAAGGACCATGAGGGAACATCTGGTTCAATCCCCTCATTCAATAGATGAGATGACTGAGGCCCAGAGAGGGTATGGGGCTTATCCCAGGGTGCACAGCCTGCGTTAGTGACACAGCAGGAGCATACATCAGTGATTTTGTTTCAATTCTTAGTATCATTATTTTTCTGACTTTATAAATCATTCATCTTATTTTTAAACTAAACAATATATAAAAATATAAGGAAGACATGGAAAAATGCAAGTCGTTTGTTAAGCTCTGCAAGAATATCACTGTGAGTTTATGCATGATCAGGCTTATTTCAGACACTGTTAAGAATAAAGTAGCTGGGCCGGGTGCAGTGGCTCACATCTGTAATCCCAGCACTTTGGGAGGTTGAGGTGGGAGGAATGCTTGAGTCCAGGAGTTAGAGACCAGCCTAGGCAACATAGCAAGGCCTCATCTCTATTAAAAAAAAAAAAAAATAAAGTAGCTGAGGAAAATAGAACTGGCAGATAATTGAATAGCAGATAGCCATCGATTGATGGATTTTCTTTTAAAACAATTTATTGAACACACTCAGCCTTTACAATGACAGCAGGTCAGTGGATTCAGTTCCCAGTAAAGCTTATTTAAAGCAAAGATGTCAATTTATACCTCACTTTTCTATCACGAAGCATGGGGCTGCACTGTTGGATTCTGGGACAAATAGAGAAAGGAGAGGGTATTGCGGGGACTCACTTAGGTCGAGTTCCCATGATGCAAGAATTCTTGTTGGGTGTTTACCATTTTTTAAACATATATATCTTTACAGTAACTTTTAAGAGATACGTATTAGTGTATGCATTTGATATCAAATAAATTTAGGTGCCAAGAGATGAGCTTATCTTGCCCAAGAATGACAGCAAGAAGCTTCATAAGCTTATTCAATAAGAAGCCGGACTGGTCTAGTGGGGAGCACAGTGGGGATGAATGAATGCCACCTTCTTCCACTCTCTGTCTCCCTCAGATCAAGCTTAAGGGAGGGAATACATGATGGACTTGACTTTGTTCCCCTGGCCCACTTTATTTAAATCTCCAAGGATATTGACTTCTATTGGTAACTGGATAACAGCTGCTCCAGTCTTTGACCTGTACTCCATCCTCTGTGGTTTAATCATGGTTTTCATGCCTGTTTTCTGACCCCAGGACAATGGTAAGTACCCAGAGACAGAGACCATGTTTCGTCTCTTATACCTCCCAGATAAGATAGCTTAGTATGAAAAAATATAAATGAGTAGGTGAGTATGTGAATGGATGTGTGAGTGAAGCAACTGAAAGAGGCAAGACACTCTTCTCCCTGTAATCAGATGATTCTAGGGACATTTGTGCTTGGGGCTGCCCAGCCTCCATTGCCTCTTCCTGTTGGAACTTCCACTTTCTTTGATGGAATTAGCTCTTTCTCCATAGTTCCAGATAGGTGGGACTGCAGTCAGGTTCCCTGTTCTGTGTGGCCACGGGAACAAAACCAGGTTGATCTCTTTGGACTATTATGCTAGAGAGCAGAAGAGTTAACATAGATCAGGAGCAAAGCTACAAATGTATCTTGAACACAAACTGGGTTTGATACTTTTATTCTGATAGGGATGAAAAAGAATGCATTTGCCTGATAAAAGGCTATATATCACATATCAGAGGCCAAGTTAATATTTTATAGCAAAGATACCATATTCAGCACAGCAGCTGCAACTGCTTGATTGAGTTTACAGCACTCCAATGCCATCTTCTAGCATCTGTCTAGTTTTTACAAGGTTCAGCCTTGTGAATAAAATGCAGTTAATGAATAATCACAACCTCTCCATCTTTAGGTCTATAAGGGTGGCACTAATTTGTGTCATTCCCTCTGGGACACAGCATTGCTGTTGATTTACTGTTTTGGCTGGGAGAGGCTGTTTTAGAGTTTTTCTGAAGGCCTTCCCCATTCTGATAGCTCTCATCCCAGAGACCATGAAACTAATGTAGATGTTATACTATCAAGTGAGTTTTTGGGAACCACAAAAATGAACACCAGGTGAATCCATAGACCCAGTAAGCCTACTGTGAGTCAAATCTGGCTGAGAGCTCATATATTACCTGGCCTCCATATACCCCCAACTATAATGGGGGGGGCATGATGGAGCTTTGGGTCTCTAGGTGTCAATGCCAATGGATATCCCGTGCTGACAGTCCTTGAACTGTTTGGGTATTCCTTTTCCCTCAGTGTACAGTTGCCTAAGTAGATGGCTGTAGGACCTCTTAGGCAAAGACTGCGAGAATCATTACCATGTACACTTGCTCTGGTGTTGCTGAATCCTTCCTCCTAAGACCTATCTCTGCTTTAGTCAATGGATTCTGGGTCTAAAAATTGGTGTGGGTACAAAAACTGGACACAGGACAATAACTTTTTATTGACATGACTATTCTCAATCTCTGGATCAAAATTTTGGTGTGTTAGCCCAGATATCCCTGTCCCACGTGTCAGAATCCAATTCTTTCCCAGTGGGGCCTTGACTGTAACAAGGTTAGGTTAAGAGCTTGGTTACCTTTTCAATTAGTCTAGCTTTGGTCCTCAGCTTTCTCTGCCCTTTGGCAGCAGATCAGCACCTTCTTATATACTCCCTGGAAAACTCTCTGGCTTTTACATGTAGCTTTAAGTGGCCAGTTAATCACCCTCAGCTGTTTGTTATTATTATTTTTTTGAGGCAGAGTGTCGCTCTTGTCGCCCAGGCTGGAGCACAATGGCGCGATCTCGGCTTATTGCAACCTTTGCCTCCTGTGTTCAAGCAATTCTCCTGCCTCAGCCTCCCAAGTAGTTGGGAGTACAGGCGCCTGTCACCATGCCAGTCTAATTTTTGTATTTCTAGTAGAGATGGGGTTTCAAAGTGACGATCAAGTTTAGCGATAGCCAACACCCTGTCAGCATCACCAGGAGCTGAGCTTCACCATAAGTGATGGGGTCCACATGCTAGTTGCATGATTCCGTACCAATGTGTGCTTTCTTGGACCATTCTTGGCACCAGTGATTGCAGGTTGGGTTACTCAGGAAGCAGATTAGAGATTAGCACATGAGGCATTTATTAGGAAATGCTCTAGGAATCAGTATCTGTGGAAGGGAAGGGAAAGATCAGGAAGGTACAAGGAGAAGTTGATTTCTTTTAAGTGTCAGTGGAGGCCTTAGCTGATCCTACTGGTTGCTCTGAAGCTGGGATGATTCTTCAGAGTTGTTCTGATTTGGAGCAAGGAGCTGGGCCTTTATTTCCCAGCACCAATTTATTTACTGGATGCAGGCTGTCCCTAAAAGAGACATGACCTTGGGGGAGGCAATTTTCTTTCCAGTTGAAGCAATCCTTGAAGAGGGCTGACAGCTGAGAGTTGTCTTTTGCCAGCACTCCCAGCAGATGGGGAATACATCCCTTTCCCTGAAGGCAGATCTGGGTGACACATCACAGTGCTCAGCACACTTTGTGTGCTCTACTAAGCAAAGGGACTCTACTTATCTTCAGGTCCCTCCTCTAGTGTCACAGGAAAACTGGGAGAAGCATTGAAATTTCAGGAGTTCCTTTCCCTCGGCACCATTCTCCATTTCACTGTAAACGAAAGGAGCAAGCAGAACGGAATATTTGTCTTGCCTCTATCTCCCTACCTCCCTAGAAGACAAAGCAAATATATTCAAATTTGTTCTAAGTAACATATTTTACCCATTTTTCTACACAGTTAATATGCATAGAGGAAGTGGACGATTGACATCTTCATGATGCTGAGTCTTTCAAACCATGGACATGGTATGTCTCTCTATTTTGATATTTTTTGATTTCTTTCATCAGTAATTTTCAGCCCACAAGTCCTGTAAAGGTTTTGCTAGATTTATACCTGAGTATTCCATTTTTTGAGCAATGGTACATAGTGTTTAATTTTAAATTTCATATTCAAGTTTTCATTGCATATATATATGTATATATATGTACAATTGATTGTGATTTTTGTTTGTCTTTTACCTGTTACCTTGCTGAAGTCACTTAATTCTAGGAGGGAGTGTGTGTGTGTGTTTGTATGTATTCCTGGGATATTCTACATAGACAATCATGTCATCTGCAAACAGGGACAGTTTTAATTCTTCCTTCCTTTGTGATCTCTTTGCTTTGTATTACCTTTATTTCCTTACTGCACTGGCTAGTGCTTCCACTGCTATGTTAAATAAAAGTGGCAGGAGTAAATATCCTTGCCTTGTCCCTAATGTCAGCTGTAGCTTTTCTGTAGATGCTTTTTATCAAGTTGGGGAAGTATCCCTCTATTCCCATTTTTCTGAGGGTTATTGTCGTAAAAATGGGTGTTGAATTTTGTCAAATGCCTTTTATGCATCAGATGACATGATTATAAAATTTTTATTCTCTAGCTTGTTAACAAGGTAGAGTACATTGATTAATTTTCAAATACTGACCCAGCCTCGCATATCTGGAATAAGCCCCACTTGGTCATGGCGTATTATTTTTTATATATTGCTGAGTTATATCTGCTAATATTGCACTAAGAATTTTTGCATCTATGTTAGTGAAGGATGCTGGTCTGTTCTTAAAAAGATTTGTAGTATCCTTGTCTGATTTTTGTCTCAGAGTAATACTGGCCTCATGAATTTATTGGAAAGCGTTCTTCCTCTTGTTTTCTGAATGAGATTGTGTAGAATTTGTATTAATTCTTCTTTAAGTGTTTGGTAGAAGTCTCCAGTGAAAATATTTGGGCCAGGAGATTTTCTTTTTGGAGAAGTTTTTAAAAATTACAAATTCAATTTCCTTAATAGTTTTAGGGCTTTTTAAATTATTTATTTCATAAGGGACTAGTTGTGGTAGTTTGTATTTTTCATGGAAGTGGTTCCTTTCATCCAATTTGTTAAATTTATGTGTGTAGAGTTGTTCATAGTATTTCCTTAGTATTCTTTTGATGTCTACAGGGTTTGTTGTGATACACCCTGTTTCATTCCTGATATGTGTAATTTGTATCTTCTTTTTGTTTTCAGTCTTGCTAGATGTTCATACAGTTTATTGATCTTTTCGAAGAACCAGTTCTGTGTTTTAGGGGTTTTAAAGTTGTTTTTCTGTTTTCACTTTTATTGATTTCTGCTCTTATCTTTATTGTTGTCTTTCTTCTGTTAGTGGTGGGTTTATTTTGCTCTTCTTTTTCTTGATCTTTGAGGTGGGAGAGTAAACGGTTGATTGGATATTTTTTCTCTTTTCTAATGTATGTATTTACTGCTATAAATTTGCCTCCCAGCATTGCTCTAGCTGTGTCCCACAAATTTTGATGCATTTCATTTTCGTTAAGCTCCATGTACATTTTCTTTAACCATTCATGTTTATTTCAAATAGTGTTCCTTGAACATTGATAGGGAGGGGTCTGTGAGGGCCTGTGCTCTAGGAGGAGGGATTGAGAAGGGTGGCTGCTCTGACTTTGCCCAGGCTGCTCAGTCAGAGCTGGCCTCATTCATCTGCCTTCCAGGGTTTGAAAGGCTGTGCTTGGCTTCAAACTAGGTGCTGACTAGGGGCTGTCATGGTCCCCTTGAACTTCTGATCCTCCTTTTCCCCAAAGTCAGCATGAGGATTCATCATAAGTTGTCTAATTCAAGATTAACGAAATTAAATCCTCAAACGGACTCAACTGTGCTGAGTTTGAGTGTGAAATAGAAATATTAAAATACAGAAACAGCCCTTCTATCTTGACTATCTGTTAAGGTCCTGCAATTAATACAACAAAAGCAAGTACTATTTTTGTTGTTGAATAGTTTATAATAATAGTAATAGTAATATAATAATAATAATAGTAATAGCAATCCCAGAGAGGTGCTGTGATGGGGCCTGGCAGCCTGCTCCCTTCATAAAGACATGAAGTCTTCATGGCAGTTTTATTATCAAAAGATAATGTCTTTAAATGCATAAAATACATGCACAGGTTTACAAAGGAAATCAATTATACTAAAACAGTTAATATATCCCAAGTGTGGACTTTTTAATATTTTAATATATGTGTTTCTTTATTACTACAGTAAATACACTATCTAGTGGTGGTTGGGGGTTTCTGAAAGCCCCTGGTAGCTGTACCCACAAAGGAAATAAATGCAGGTATGAAGGGAGAATAAGGCCATGCTCAACATGCTTATTAGAATAGGGTTGTTACTTCTGAGTAGAGGTAGCACTACAAGTTGGAGAAGAAGACATGCTACAGGTGGCCTATCCTGTTCTTGCCCCATCCAGGCTGAGTAAAATGGGCTGGAGAGAGAGAGAGAGCCATGAGTACAAGGACTCAAACTCCAGCTCTATCTACTCAAAACACCTTAAGATATACTCTCCAATACCAATGAAATAGATGTCCTGAGCATTCCCAGAGAGGTGCTGTGATGGGGCCTGGCAGCCTGCTCTCTTTATGAAGACATAAAGTCTTCATGGCGGTCATGGCGTATTATTTTTTATATATTGCTGAGTTATATCTGCTAATATTTCACTAAGAATTTTTGCATCTATGTTAGTGAAGGATGCTGGTCTGTTCTTAAAAAGATTTGTAGTATCCTTGTCTGATTTTGGTCTCAGAGTAATACTAGCCTCATGAAATTAATTGGAAAGTGTTCTTCTTATTATTGTCTGAATGAGATTGTGTAGAATTTCTATTAATTCTTCTTTAAGTGTTTGGTAGAAGTCTCCAGTGAAAATATTTGGGCCAGGACTCCAGAGTTTGCTGGCACAGTGGTGACCCTGCCACAAATGTCCTCATCCCAGGCCTTCTTTGAGGGTTTGGACTCAAGTTTTCAGAATGTCCAGAAGTGTCACCGTGACTGCAAACTATGGAACCTGCTGCACAGCCTGACCTGAAAGAATGAGTAGAGGATGCCTTTCCAGTAAGCTCATTGAACCCTGGGTGGTTAAAGTTGGCAAATGGTGGGAAGTAGATGCTGGAGAAGGGAATATCTCTAAGGAGAGTAGCACCAGGCCTTTGTAGAGGCCAGCCAGGCTCTGAGTGCAAAGCACCTTCCCGGCAATGAGGGTGGTAGAGGTCCACTTGTGGGTGGAAGCTGTGACCTCACCCTGATGGGGAAGGGGGAGGCACTGCCTCATTACTGCTAGGGGAGGTAGACGTTCAGGTTTTCCATTTGGCCTCTGTTGACACTCTAGAGGGAACTTATTTCTCATTACTGCTGTACAATAGTGAAAGTCTTGACCCTACTAAAGGCCCCGTCTGATACCACCCCAGTAGGGAGGGGGAGGGATCCCTTATTACTGCTGGGTGGGGTGGATGTCCCAGCTCCATGGATACTGGCAGGTTGGGGATGTGGAGAAGGAGATGGGAGTCATTAAGGTCTGGCTGGAATGGAAGTCCTGGCTCCCTGCTTGGCCTCTTCGGATCCCACCCCGGTGGGAGTGTTGGGGTGCCTTGGAAATGTAGAAGTCTGGGCCTTCCGCCTGGCTTTGCTCACGTGGGTGTTGGCCACAGTGTTCGTTCCTGTGGTCTGTGGCTGGAGTGGAGCAGTCATCGTCCGAGTTATCTATCTTGCTAAGCTTTTTTTCTAGGCTTGACTAGAGACAGCAGGCCTTTTGGGGTGGCTTTTGGGCTCATGCCTGATGGTATTTTTGTGCTGCCAGGCTTTTCAGCTCCAAGTCTGGGATATACGAGGCAAAAAGACAACCCAGGGAACTCTCCACTGTGTTGTACCCCGGATTCTGCGGTCCTTGTCTGGTCTGTCTCATTTCCACCCTTCAGAGTCTTCTTATCTTTTCTTTTGTGTAATATCCAGGATTTTTATTTATGCTTGGCAGAAGCAATAGGGAAAAGCAAATCTATTTTCTTCCTGGAAGCAGGAGTTCCAAGATAATGTCTTTAAATGCATAAAATACTATGCACAGGTTTACAAAGGAAATCAATTATACTAAAACATATATATCCCAAGTGTGGACTTTTTAATATTTTAATATATGTGTTTCTTGATTACTATAGTAAATACGCTATCTAGTGGCAGGTTGAATGGTCACTGTAATATTGAAATAATGATTTGCATAAATGGTATTCTGAGAATTTGCCACAGTTGCAGGATAATGTCAAATGATCTGTGATTCCCACTGGTGACAGAGTCACTGGTTTCTCTCATACAACTCTGCTTTTTTGTCCACATTTATAATGGAAGGAAATGACAGATTTTAGTTATAGATGAGTGAAAAATAAAAGTCAATTGTTTTCTGATCCCAGTTCACAGACCCACTGAATTCTTAACCCTGGCTCACAGCCCCTGCTTTTAAGGATAAAATTGGATATATTGTTAACCTCGAGCCCAGAGCAACAACAGCAAACCTTATAGGCAGAGATTTCTGGCAGACTTAAAAAAAAAATCATTTGAGACCAAAAGCCCACAATGATCAATAAATAAGATGATCAGGCAAGGATAGCCAAGAGCACAGCTGGATCTGATTAGGGGATGACAGGAAGCCAAGTTTCTGAGCCAAACACGGGATTCCTGCTGCCCAGGACCATGGACACTGAGTCAGTCAAGTGGGCAAACCCTGTGAGACCCTGGCCTCTGCTGATCACCCAGGAAAGATGCATCTGAGAAGAGGGTGGGTCTTTGGCAATTCAACTGGGCAGAGTTTAGAAACAAGAAGCCTCCCCACCCCTCCTAAAACCAGCCAATTACTCACTCTGCGCCTGTTCCTGCTGCACAAAAGTGATTTTCCTCTGAGGACACTGTGTTCTGAATTCCAACGTTCAGGGCCTGACTCCCAAACAATGGCTATCTGGGCAGCCTCAGATTGGTTTGGCAAATGCACCATGTGTTCATAAAAGGCAGGACTGCATGGTGAAGCCCTTGGAGGACCAGAAAAGCTACATCTGCAGGAAAACGAAATAAGCACCCCAATTTACAAGTTACCAATTTGATCCTATTTGTCTAGGGCTGGCCTGATGCAATTTGAGGGGTGGTTAGAAGTTTCTTTTGCCTCATTCCTTGCTTTTCTATCCTTTTCATTAAAGTAAGAAATAACTGCGCCTCACATTTTAATGAAAAGGAGTGGCGGGAACAACCAGAGGTTTCTAAAGGAAACCTGAAATAATAGTGCAGTTGCTAAGGAACAGGCTGGACAAGTTAATTTTGTTGGCATAACATCTCCTCGTTATTTAATCTCGTAGTGTATTCATTTTATCCATCTGCCACCATGCTACTGAAGCCAGGAAGAGCTGCTACTTGCAATGCCAAGGCTGAGGACAGACCTGTCCAAACCCCTTATACATTTCAGCTGTCAGAGTGAGGTCCCGAGCTTTGATTTCACTGCTGGAGAGACCACCCCCTTCTATTTTGGGAAGAAAGCTGCTGAGGGGCCCACCACTCTGTTCTGCCAGACAAACCTCTTGTTTACCCCAAAAGTGGCTCTGTATCCCTGCTGAACACTAGTCAGCTGGTGTGCTTTTCAAAAAGACCAATGTCTGGTCCCCAGCCCCAAGGATTCTCATTTAATTGCTCTGGAAATGGGGTCAGGCATGATTTTTATAAAGCTTTCCTAAGCGATTCTAATGGGCTGCTCAGGCTGAGAACCACTGATTTATAGAATTGCTACCTTTCCACTCCTGTGTCTCATTTTGAAATGAGCCAGAGCCTCTCAGAATTATTATTCTTTTGGTCATTTTCTTATCACTTTCTCCCTATTGCATAGAAAATTATAAGTATGATAATGAGTTTTTAGTGAGAGCCTGAAGCCAGGGTATGATCTTTTGGAATCCAACAGCCTTGTAAAGCAGGCATTTTAAAATTATCCCAACCTTACAGACAAGGAAACCAAAGCGTGGAGAGGTTGAGTGCCCAGCTGGCTGGTAAGTGGCACATCCAGGATTTGGACACACGTTCCAACTCCAAAGTTCAACTACTCATGCCAGTGACTTCTGTCCCCATGGAGAACCAGCTGGAGAACTTGTGGGTAGAAGCTGTGACCTCACCCTGATGGGGAAGGGGGAGGCACTGGTTCATTACTGCTATTTGGGGTAGACGGTCAGGTTTTCCATTAGGCCTCTCTTGACAAAGGGCTGCAGATGCAAGCTCAGCTTCCACCCATGGTTAGGACCAGCTGGGGTAGAAGGCCTGAACTGGTGGATCAGATGACTCAGCCTGGGCAGTTATGTTTCATCAGCTTGGACGCTGGGTGCCGGCTCTGAGAAGCCTTATGTGGACTCTTCCTCTCAGCCTCCTGGATTCAAATCCAGCCTCCTTCTTACCAGCAAGTGACCTTGGCCGAGTGTCTTAGCTTCTTTCAAATCTGGTTTCCCCACCTGTTGAGGAGGAGGACAAATGCACCTGCTGCGTAGGAATGTCATGAGGGTTACATGAGGTAACACATATAAGCACTTAAAATAGGGGCTAGCACACATTACTCATGGAAGATTAGTTACCCTGGTCAGCCTTATTACCACAGAGCTAGAACTTGGAGGCTGCCTTACTCCTCTAGCCTCCTAAGGCCCAGAGACTCCCGGTGCCTGGCACGATGTCTGGATTCCAGATGCTGGACAGCTCTGAGGCGGTCTCTGGGCTTCCTCAAGCTGGCGCCTGGACTCCCTCCTTCAAAAGCAAGCAGCTGTCTCCAAAGGCCAAGCCACTACCTCTACCTTTGGTTTATAAAAACCACTTCACAAGGACCTCTTTTCACATGTATTAGCAGGAGATTTTTTAGTGCAGGGAGAGAAACGCATCTCAAACTGGCTTTAAGCTGAAAGAGAATTATTGACTGATGCTGGCTGATGCAACTAAGAAGCTGGGCTGGCTTCAGGGTCCAGGGGCTCAAATGAGGTCCCCAGGCTTTCGTCTCCCCGTCTTCAGTGCTGTTTTCCTTTCCTCTGTGCTATCCTCACCCATGGGCAGCTCAGGCATACAGCTTTATAATCAGCAAGTCCCGCTGTGGAGGAATTTCTTTTTCTTTTTCTTTTTTTTTTTTTGAGATGGAGTCTCACTCTGTCACCCAGGCTGGAGTGCAGTTGCGCGATCTCAGCTCACTGCAACCTCCGCCTCCTGGGTTCAAGTGATTCTCCTGCCTCAGCCTCTTACAATTTCTTGATCTCAATAATTCCAAGAAAGTCAGGCAATGGCCTCGGATCAGAGCCATGTGTTCAAGGCCAGTAAGGCAGCAGTATCTAGTCTGGCCCATGTGTTGACTGAGAACAGAGAAGCAGCAACTCAAATCACCACATTTCACAGCCATCTGAAAAGTTCATAGCCGGGTGCCCAGACAACTCCAGAAGTCCATCTTACGGCCTGTTTACACAGACCAGAGTCTGGTTTGAAGGACAATTAGATTGTGGTGGGTAGTGGGGAGCTGCCTAGGAACACTTGCTTCCCCTCCAGATATTAAAAAGGAAAACCGAAACAAACCCCCAAATCCTCGTGGAGTGAGACGATCACTTTCAGCTCGCAAAGTGTAGGCCCCAAACTATGTGAGCCTTGATCACCACCTTGTGGCAAAGAGTGGAATTTTTCTAGGATGGACTTTTAACTTTTCACTTTTTTTTTTTTTTTTTTTTCTCTGAGACGGAGTTTTGCTCTTTCACCCAGGCTGGAGTGAAGTGGCACGATCTCGGCTCACTGCAACCTCCACCTCCCAGGTTCAAGCAATTCTTCTGCCTCAGCCTCCCTAGTAGCTGGGATTATAGGCACCCACCACCATGCCAGGCTAATTTTTGTATTTTTAGTAGAGATGGGTTTTTACCATGTTGGCCAGGCTGGTCTTGAACTCCTGACCTCGGGTGATCCACCTGCCTCGGCCTCCCAAAATGCTAGGATTACAGGTGTGAGCCACCGTGCCCGGCCTGGACTTTTTCCCGGGAAAATGCTTCAGCTGTGGGAAGGAAGGAACAAAGGGAGGGAGGGAGAGAGAGAGGACTCATTAGATGCCGTTGCACGGCCTGTCCTATGGAGAACCATTTAGTCTCCTCAACTGTGGCAAGAACGTAACCAGAATAACTCATGAATTAGATAGTAGACTAGCACTGGGCCTAGCGGGACTCCATGCCGGGGACACAGAAGTCACACATTACCCACCATGTGGAGAACCTGCTAGGCCGCAGATGCAAGCTCAGCTTCCACCTGTGGTGAGAACCAGCTCCAGTCCTTGTAGGAGTGGAAAGCCCAGATAATACAATGTGACCTGGCAAGCACTGTTTCAGAATATGAGAAGTGTCCCATGGGGGCCCTGGAGAGGGAGGCACTGTCTCTTCCCACAGACCCTGCAGGCCAGCTCAGAGCAGGCACGCCATAAATGCTTGACGAAGGAATGTCGGTGGTTTCTCCTAGATTCCCCATTTTCCATTCTGTTTCTTCCGACGGACATATTCCCAGGGCTAAAATTAATCTCTGACACATTTCCAACTTTCTTGACATAGGTATTTCCTCTGTCACTGCTGGCCTACAGTTTGTCTTCCTATCCAGGATTTTAGGACCAATACTTCCCCTAGCCAATGACAAAGATTCTTTGCTTGGCCAAACTTCAGTCAGCCTCCTGCACCTTCTCTTAGGCCCACCTCTGTGCACTTCTTGTAAAATCCAGCTTTAGCAAGAGTCCTGCTAAGTCAGGTTAGCTAGACCCCTCCACTCCCAGCTGTCATTCTCCATTTCTGATCACTCTCGATATCTGGTCGGGTTCCTCATCTTTTACCACTGCCCTGGGGAGGTCTGATCTTCCTGGCCTGTCTTCAGCAAGAATCCCCTTGGCCCCTAATGTTTCCTCTTAGCCATTTCCACCCGCTGACCCCCACGCTGCTCCTTTGCTCCAACACTCCACCTGCCCTTGCAAGTGGGAGTTGAGCCCGGTTCTCTATTCTCCCTATTGCAATAGTCCTGAGTAAAATCGGTTTTTACCCCTTAACTGATGTCCAGCTCAGGTTTTTGACTCCAGCGCTTGTCCCATCAATGAAGAACTCATTGTCTATACAGTGCCTGACTGCACACTCTAGACTCAGAAGGCACAGCTTCAAATAGGACCCTCCACCCTGAGCCTGTGTTCATGGAACTGAAGTCGTTTTCACCACATCATCTTACACACACGAGCCAGGAGAGCAGACTGGCCAGCAGAGCCAGGTTCCCTGGAGCCCTGCAAAGCCCACAAACACCCGAGCTGTGGGGTGGCTTTGCAGCTTCTCTACCAGCCACCCCACCACAGGGCAGGACTCAGGCATGCTGAGGGCCCAGACTTGGTTGTGACCTCATCATCTCTGCCAGCATCTTGGTCTCCTTCAGCTGGCGGAGACCTGACCAGATTAAGGGGACCCCAGGCCCTAGCCTTCTCCCTGGAGTGTGTGGAAACATGCCTGCTCTCACCCACGATCGCCTTGTGCCACTCCCATTTGGGCGTTAGAGTCTCTCAGTGTCTCACTTTGTCAGCTGTTTCATTTGTACAAAATACAACAGGGAACAGCCTGGGTCATAGTAGAGGAATCATTAATTATGTAAACAACTCCATATTTGGGAGCCAGTGCCAGACGCTAAGCCCTGGGGATAGAGCAGTGAACTGAACCTGGGAGGTGGAGGTTGCAGTGATCTGAGATCACACCATTGCACTCCAGCCTGAGTGACAGAGTGAGACTCTGTCTCAAAAAAAAAAAAAAAAGGATCTACTGGGGCCAGGCATAGTGGTTTATACCTATAATCCCAGCACTTTTGGAGGCCAAGGCAGGAGGATTATTTGAGCCCAAGAGTGTAAGACCTGCCTGGACAACATGGTGAGATCCAATCTCTACAAAAAAAAAATTGCCAGGTATGGTGGTGCACCTGTGGTCCCAGGAACTTGGGTGGCTGAGGGGGGAGGATTGCTTTAGCCTGGGAGGTTGAGGCTGCAGTGGGCAGTGGTCACACCACTGCACTCCAGCCTGAGCAGCAGGGTGAGACCCTGTCTCGAAAATAAAATAAAAATAAAATAAAAAAGATCACTTGGACAATTGACATGGGGGCAAGAGAGAAAGTGGGAGGGGAGGGGAAGAGTTAGGGGGCTTCTGCCAGGTCCCATTGGACAAAGGTGAAGGCTGGGACTGGGGTAGGTGCCACACTGAGGGGGCAAACTTGGGATGTGTTTTGTGGGAGCGCTGCCAGGACTAGTCAATGGATTGGATGTGGGGCATGGGGAGGGAAAGGGAACACAAACATGATGTCCCCTGTGGTTTTGGTCTGGGTAGCTGGTTGATGGTGGTGTAGTGACTTAGATGGAAAAGCTGGAGGAATAGCAGGTCCAGTGTGAAAATCAAGGGTTCTGGTTTGGCCATGTTGGATCAGAGAAGCCACCCACAGAAGGTTTAAGGTACCGCGTGGCACCTGCAGAATGTCCAGGATGGGAGGATGCCTCCAGCTGCATCTCAGGCCCTGGCTCTGGGGGGGCACCCCCGCCCCCTTCTTGGAGTATGCTCTTTAGTGTGAGGAGAGTGGCCCCTAGTGAGTAGGGATCGGTAACCTCACCCACCTTCCACCCCTTTCATGAGGCTAGGCCACCGCATCTGGGCAGGAAACAGCAGAGCCACGTTCACCTGAAGGCAGTGACCACCTGGGATGGGTTAAAATGCGGAGGCTGCAATCGGGGCCCTGAATGTGCGTATTGAACTTGGGCCCTTGATATCTGTCATCAGGCAGGTTGGGTCCCACGCTCTGCAGATGTCTGTGATCCGAGGGTGTTGAATGGCCACGGCCCTGAGTGTCCCCATGAAGACTCCTTCCCCCACACACCTCAGTTGACTCACTGAGGGCCAAGGTGACAGAGTCCTTAAGACCACGATTTTGAAGTCAGATACCCAGGATTGCCTCAGCTGCCTCCATTCCCAGCTGCCTGACTGGGAGGAGTTGCGGAACCTTTCTTGGGGATCCCTTTCCCCCTTTGAGGAAGGTCTTAGCTGCCAAATGGCCACATTCTGAGGCTTTGGTGGACTCCTGTAGGGGAAGGACATGGTGGCCCTTACTGGTTGAAGGTAAAGCCCCTGACTCCTGGAAGCTTCCAGGAGACTCTGGAAGCTACCCTCACTTTCCGTAGGAGGAAGACCCTGCCTGCCCAGGGCTGCAGCCACTCTCCTTGTCATTTGACTAAATGCACCGCTTCCCGTCCCTCCACCAGATGTCAGGCCAAAGCTGTGGAATGGAAATGATGCCTGGGCTCTGCCAGGCGGCAGCAGCTGCAGCCTGGAATGCGAACCTCCCACAGATGCCCCATTAGGAGAGTTGGGGAGGGGGCACTGAGGGTAGGGAGGGGATGTGCAGGGGTCCTGGCATCCACACCGGGGCTGGATTCTTAGATCTCTGGGTCGAGGCTACTCTTCCAAAGTCAGAAAGGGAAGTGAATGGTGGGGTGCTAGGGCCCCTCTCCTGGCCGTAAGAGCTCAGAACACATGACCAGCAGAGACAAACAAATTCTCAGGCCCTACCAGATCTTTTTAAAAAATGTTTTTGGTAGTGGGAGGCATTAGGATTTATTTGAAACCTGTCTTTTTCTATTGATTGAATTATAGGTGACAATAGCCACGTTTCATACACTCCCTTTTCCCTCTTTGGGGGACTCTTGGAGAAACAGCCTCATGAGTTCATCTGACCCATACCCACTGGGGCAGAGCCCAGCCACGCCTGAGGGGTCTGTGGTGTGTCTGGACCCTTAACTGGGAGAGTAAGAAGAGAGGCTGCCAGAACCCAGGAATTCTGCTCTAAAAGGGACTGCAGCGGCCTTAGGTCCAATGTCTGGATGATGCTGGTGCTGTTTGTTTGGTTTCTGTCAGTCCCACCAGACTGTAAGTACCATGAAGACAGAAACCACATCTGCATTGCTCACTATGGTGTCTCCAGACCTAATAAGGTTTATCTGAGCTGAGAATGAATGCTTTTGGGGAGATGAAATATAGCAGGATGCCCTGGTGTCAGTATTTGCTTCGATGAAAAAAATCTTAGGTTTGTAACTTGCCTAGCTCTGTGGCCCTGGGCAAGTTGTTACAAAACTTTGGCCCTCAGTTTCTTCATCTGTAAGATGGGGATAATAATGGTGTTTCCACAGGGCTGTGGAAAAGAGTGCCAGAGACTCTGCACAGTGCCCAGTGCCTAGTCAGATGGGGTGCTTGTTCCAGTTACCTATTACCATGTAACAAACCATCCCAAAGCAAGTGGCACAGAGCAGCAACAATTTTATTACACTCACAGATTTTGTGGACCAAGACTTTGGAAGGGAACAGAGGGGTCATTGTTTTCTGTTCTGCAGTGTCAGCCAGGACCTCAGCGGGAATGATTCAAACAGCTGGGGCGGGGTGGGGGCAGTGATGAGACAAGCTAGAGGTGGGAACAGCTGGGACTGAGGATCCACTTCCAAGGTGGTTTCACTCAACTTTCCCTTGCCAGGCCTGAGGCTGCTGGGGGCCATCAGGATCAGGTGGGACTCTTGACTGCAGGAAGCCTCCATGTGGTCTCTCCAGTATGGTAGTCTCAAGGTGGCTCAGGGATCCAACAGCAAGCTCTCTAGGGAACAAGGTGGCAGCCTTATGGTCTTTGATGACCTTGCCTTGAAGTTCTATGGAGTATCTTTCACCACAATCGAAGGTGGAAGAAGACACAAGCCCATCTGCATTCAAGGGTTGGGGATGTAGACTACCTCTCCAATGGGATTACTATGGAATTCATAGCCATGTTTAAAAACTCCAACACTTTTAATTTTAATTTTTAAATTTTGACATAATTTCAGACTTTCAGAAAAGTTGCAGGAATAGTTCAAAGAATTGCTGTATTCTCTTCATCAAGCTCCAAATTTTAGTCTTTAAAATTTATCCCTTTCTCTCTATATATACTTCTACATTGTTTTTGCTGAACTGTTCAGTATAAGTTGCAGCTGTGATACTTCCTTATTTCTACATACTTCTGTATTTCTAAAAACAAGGACATTCTCTTACATAGCCATAGTACAATGTCCAAAATTAGGAAATCAGCAAACATGACTATTTCTGTTATAAGGTCATATTCAGATCGAATTGTCAATTATAAATTATAAATACATTATAAATGTCTTCATAGCCAAAGAAAACCCAGGATTGTGTGGTGTACTCAGTTGCCATGACTCCTTAGTATCCTTTAAACTGGAATAGACCCTAAGACTTGCTTTGTATTTCATGTGTTTACATTTGAAGAGTATAGAGCAGTTCATTTTTCAGAATGACCCTCCTTTGGGTGTGTCTGATGTTTCCTCATTGTCAGTTTCAGGTTATGCCCTTTTGGCAGGAGTACATTATAAGTGATGTTGTATTCTTCTCAGTACATTGTATCAGGAGGCACAGGATCTTAATTTGACTCATAACTGATGATGTTAACATCGATCACTTAAGGTGGTGTCTGCTAAGTTTCTCTACTGTCAAGTTACTAGTTTGCTATTTATCGTTAATAAATATCGTATGGAGAGGTAATTTGTGACTATGTACATATTCATGTGTAAAAATAAAAATTTCACCCACTAGTTTAAGGATCCATATGTTATTCTGACTTTAATCAATTGTTATCATGATGGTGATTTTCTAATTTTATTGTTTCTTCTATTAATACAATATTTTTTGTTTCTCCTTTGTAAGGAAGAACTTTCCTTCTTTTTCTTTCTTTCTTTATTTTTTTAGACGGGTCTTGTGCCAATGTTTTAGTGCTAGGGGTTTATTACTAGGTGGATGTCATTGCTTCTAGGCCCTCACAGTGGGCAGAGCTTAGAAATAAATGAATGCACACACACATGCATCTATCTTTATTTTTGTATTGAGCAATGTGTATATTTTAAAACTCATTAATTCCCACTGATACCCCAAATTTCAGTCATGTCCTACAGAGCATATTCTCGCCTTCCTTCTCGTGTATTTGTAACTCCTTTCTCTACCAGTGGGGAAACTGGCTCCCATGTTCCTCGGTATATTATTTATTTATTCAGTCCTAGTTTCAGAATTGCTAACCCATGGCTTTGTGGGGGAAAAAATACCTTATTAACTAGAGTTCAGTATTTGTTCAGTATTTTGTTTTTTTTTAAGTTTTAGTGTGAGGACATGTTGTCTAAATACTGTCATCAAAAGTTACTTGGATCACACTATTTTTATTCTATAAGAGGGAACCCAGGTCAGAGAGGAAAGGTGACTTAGAACAAGTCGTGAATTCTCTTCCAGTGTCAAATTCTCTAATTGGAGTTTGCATCCCCAGTGAAGCTCTCAACATCTCATCATGGAGCTATGCATCACTGTTGGCAGCATTCTTGGGACACTTTGCCACTTTGCTTCTCACTTTGTGCATTTTGTGCCAGGCTTGGTGTGAGAGGAAATGATTTAATAACTTAAATTATTTTAATCCTAACCTAGGATCAAGAAAATGAAGAAAGAAATCTGATTACAAATAAAATAAAATTGCAGTTAGAGAGCCATTTCGTTCTCACTGTGGTCAGGTTGTCTTGGGAACTTATCTGGTGGAGGCCAAGGGGGTGATAGTGGCCATTGGGATCCTACTCCTGGCTTTAGTGGGTGTCCCTTTATTGTCTCAGAGGAGTGATGTTAGTTATTAGTTCGGGATAGACAATTTTCATGGTGTTGAACTATTCCTGGTTTACCAAGAGTTTCTAACAGAGAAGGATGGTAAAGTTTATCATTGGCATTTATAGAGATGATGATTTAGGTTTTATTATATCTAGCAAGTATTAGTTTTATGGATTTACTATACACCAGGCATTGATGTAAACATCTTTTACATGTGTTAGTTTATTTAATTCTCACAATAACCCCACAAAGTATGTAATGTTAGTATTCTCATATTTTGTAGTATTATTTTATGTGGGTGTCACATGTGGCCACAAAAGGAGACAGAGGAAAGGCTCTGGAAAAAAAATGAAGTTTATTATACTCATGGTCCCAGAGACAGGAAGTACAGGGCACACCATGCGGGACCACATGGGAACGACACCAGATGGTCAGGAGAGAGAAGACAGGGGTGGGGGAAGGCTTAAGTCACTGCCTTTTCTTGGGGTTTCCAAGGGAAAGGCAAGGCAAGGCAGGGCAATGTGAACAGTTTAGGATTGGCCAGTCTGGATAATTTCAGTGAGCTTTGGGCTAAAGGGGTGGTGGTCCCTAGTTGCCTGGTATCTGGCCCTGGGATGACTAAGGCAGAGGAATACTGTCTCCCGGAATGTAGGGCCAGAGAGAGGAGGTGTGGCTCTGGACTGGTGAGTTTGCATGTCAAAGGCACGCTGCAGTCTGGACCCTTATAACCTCCAAGAATTCACTAGCTCTAGGAAGAACAGTCTCTCCCCAGCCAGAAAAGTTTATTTAAAGGCACCAAAACATTATAATATATAGAAAATTAAGAAAAAAACATTTACAATATGTCCCATGTTATAGCAAGAGAATTGGGCACAGACCTTAGATTGCTTGATAAAAGTCACAGTGGAAGTGGAAAAGCCAGGTTTCTAACCCAGGGGCCCTGGCTTTTAAATCTGACTGTTAGCCTCTAACTATTCTCTTCTTATTGTAATGCCTTCTTTGATCTACTGATGTGATAAATCACATTAATAGCTTTCCTGGTATTGAACCATGCTTGCATTCCAAATCATGGTTGGTTATGGTGTTATTATTATTTCAAAACACTACTTGACTTGATTTGTAACTTTACTTTGTATTTATATTCATGCAAATTTTTTATTTTCTTGGCACTGTATCAAGAGTGTTCTAGGCTTAATGAATTGAATTGGGAAACTTACTATTTTTTACAGACTTATTGAACTATATAAAATAGAAGTGATAGTTTCTTAAAAATTCAAAGAAAAGATAGAGCCTGTAAAACCAAGTAGGCCCAGGATCTTTCTAAATTATGTTTTCAATTATTAGCCTACTTTTTGAATTTCTTGCAGGGCTAGTAGTCTGCTCAGATTTACCATTTATTTTTTGATAATTTTGAAAATTTATGTTTTCTTAGAAAACCATCTATTTTATCAAACTTTTCAAATTTATTAATACAGAATTATACATGTTATTTTCCCATGACTTAAAATGTCTTCCATATCTTTGTTTATATCTCTTTACTTATTTCTAATTCTCAATATCTGTTTTCCTTTTTTAAAAAACAATACTTTCTGGAAATTTGTTTATTTTACTGTGTTCTTTCTTGTCTTCCGATTAATTAACATCTCTTTGTAATATTTACTCTCTTGCTTTTCTTAAATTTGTTGTGTTGCAAGGAACATTTTTCCCTTTTGTTGAAATCAGAAAACTCATCTTTTTTTCCTAGAAAAATTTCATGATGTTTTATTAACAAGACTATCATCACACAATGGCAAAGCCTTTCATGATTGTCTTTCAATTAATCCATTTACACAGTCAGTAAAGGAAATTTATTTTTCAAAAAGAGCCTGCTATGAATGGTTACATTAAATGTATTTAGAGATATTTAGGCTATTGTAGAAGATCAGTTTACAATTCATATCAAGCATTATAGGTAACAGCTTCAATTTTATATCACTATCTGAACTGTCAATTTTCATGTGCGTGCAAATATGGGAGCCCATCTTCATTTATCCTCCATTTGCAATTAAAAGCTCTGTTTAGCCTAATTCTTCTCTATATGATCTTGTGTCCCACTGTGCTATTTCAGAATAATAATAGCTCAGGATTTAGGGCTATGGAGGCCTAGTTTTACATGAAAATCTTTTTAATGGAGAAAAGGCAAGTAAAACAACAAGTATTTATTCAGCAACCAAGTGTTCAATGCTGGGATGGTAGGTAAGTGTGTTAAAAAAATGGAGAAAACATGCTTGCCTTTGAGAAGCACATAATTCTGTCCATTATATACTTAGGAATGTGCAAGCTGCTTTTCATGTACTTTGTGATAATTCTTATAATAACTTCTCACAAAAAAGCAAGGTAGGCATGACTGTCTCCATTTTGCAGATGAGGAGCCTAGCTTGCGAGAAGTTAAATCGTTGACCCATGGACACATAGCTAGTAAGCAGTAGGTTTGGTATTCATACTGAGGTCTCTTTGAATCTAAAACCCACACTTCTTCCTGTTCTTGGTGATTTTCAAACTTTGGGAGTCTCAAAGAATATAACCAGCCCTATATCCCATCTTCTGGGTGATAACCTGGACACTTTCTACTGAACTGATCAACACTAGACTAGATTTTTCTTTCACCTGTATTATATATTAGGCTTTACGTAAGAATTCATTTGAAGACAGTCTTGTGGATCTGTTTCCTTTCACAATAAAAAATTGTTCTAACTAGTGTCCCAGTTCCCGTCAAAATAGCATGTATTGAGTTAGCTCTTCCCCTGACAGTAATGATAAAAGCTGGAGGAAAAATTATCCACATTATGGATATAGATATATGTACAGTTATAGCTCAGGGAGTTGGTTTCAGGACCTTCTCCTGGATACCAAAATCTGTAGATGCTTAAGTCCCTGATAGAAAGTGGTGTAGTTTTTGCATATAACCTACGCACATCCTCCCGTATACTTTAAATCATCTCAGATTACTTATAATACATAATACAATGCAAATCTATGTAGATAGTTATCCTGTGTTTTAAATTTATATTGTTTTTAATGTTGTATTGTTATTTTTTATTTTTCTGAATATTTTCAATTTGTGCTTGGTTGAATCTGTGAATGTAAAACTCATGGATGTGGAGGCTGAGATACAGATGTGAAGGCCCTGGAGGGCAGCCAAAACAGGCAGGAACTGAAGGAAGCACAATCCCTGAATGAAAGGAAATACTTGGAATGAGTTCCATGCTTAGATACTCACCTCAGCTTTCCCCCTAAGGGCGGGCACATTGCAGTTCAATAAGCACTAGGCCTTCGCCAAGCAGAAAGCTGTAATCTGACTGGGCCAAGGAGACAATGGATGAAGTCTGAGTCTGCCAGAGCAGGAAAGGATTGAGGAACAAAATTCTGGAAAAGACTTAGCTGCAATGAGAGAAGCTCTAAAATGCCTCTTAGGTCATTGGCTGTCTCCTGAGATTTCCGCGTACAGAGTGATTCCAAAGAGCCAAGCAGAAAGCAGCAGTTGGGAGGCTGAACTTCTGAGTAGAGATCCCAAAGCTTACCATTGCTGAGGAGCTAGAAATTGGAATTTAAGTTCTTTCAAATTGGGAGAGGTTTGGTTAATGCCTCAGATTCTCTGTTAAGATCTCAGAGGGACCATGCTCTGTAAGAGAGGGAAAAACTGAAAGAGATGAACTCTAAGAAAGTCTTAAAATTAACTTTCAATAGAATAAAGTGATCTGTTAACTTACCAAAAAGAAAAAGAAGAAAAATCTTAACCATTTGGGAGAGAGATAACATCATCCAGAGCTCCACATTTTTTTGATTCACAATGTCTATTACTCAATAAAAAATTATAAGAAATGATTTTAAAATGTTATTATTATTATTTTTGAGACAGAGTCTCTCTCTTTTGCTGAGGCTGGAGTGCAGTGGCACTAGCTCAGATCACTGCAACCTCTGCTTCCTGGGTTTAAACAATTCTCATGCCTCAGCCAACTGAGTAGCTTGGACTACAGGTGCACGCCACCACGCCTGGCTAAGTTTTTTGTATTTTTATTAAAGATGAAGTTTCACCATGTTGGCCAGGCTCGTCTCAAACTCCTGGCCTCAAGTGATCTGCCTGCCTTTGGTCTCCCAAAATGTTGGGTTTACAGGTATAAGCCACCATCCCCGGACTAAAAAAGGTTATTTAACTAGAAATTAAGAGAAATAATATCAATAAAACAGACCAGGCCGGGTGCAGGGCCTCATGCCTGTAATCCCAGCACTTTGGGAGGCTAAGGAGGGTGGATCACCTGAGGTCAGGAGTTCGAGACCAGCCTGGACAACATGGTGAAACCCTGTCTCCACTAAAAATAACAAAACTAGCTGGGCGTGGTGGCGGGCACCCGTAATCCCAGCTACTTGGGGGGCTGAGGCAGGACAATCGCTTGAACCTGGGAGGCAGGGGTTGCAGTGAGCAGAGTTTGTACCACTGGACTCCAGCCTGGGCAACAGAGTGAGACTCTGCCTCAAAAACAAACAAACAAACAAACAAACAACCAGACCAACAGGTGATTCAGATAATAAATTTCTCAGGAAGCAGATTTTAAATAATGATTAGTAAGTTCAAGAAAATGAAGATAAAAATGGAGAATTTAAACAGAAACCTGGATTCCATAAAAAAGAGTCCAGTGGAAATTCTAGAATTAAAAAATACAGTGCCTAAAATTGGGAATTCAATAGTAGATTGGACATGGCAGGACACAATGAAATAGAACGTAGGTCAGTAGAAAGTATCCAGATTGACACACATACACAGAAAATGGTATATAAAATTGAGGAAAAAAGGATAAGATAGTAAGTGGTAGGTCTAACATTTGTTAACTAAGAGTTCCAGAAGGAGAGGAGGCAGAGAATAGGACAGAAGTAATATTTGAAGAAATAATGCTTGAGAATTTCCAAAAACTGGTGGAAGACATTAAATAATAAATTCAAGAATATGAGTCTCAAATAGAAGACATAAATATAAAAATTACATTTAGGCAGAGTTAATTTCTGAAAACCAAGGACAAAGAGAGAATCTTAAAAGGAGTTAGAGAAAAAAGGCACATTACCTTCAGAGGAAAAAAGATCAGAGTGATGGCTTACTTTTGGAAGTCTGAAGAAAATGTAATGACATCTGAAGTCTGAAGAAAATGTAATGACATCTTTACAGAGCTGAAAGAAAATAAATGTCAACCTAGAATTATATAGCCAGCAAAAATACCCTTAAAAATGTAGGGAAAATAAAGATGTTTTCAGATAAGAAAAGCTGAGAGAATTTAAAGCTGGCTGACTTGTACTACAGGTAATATTAAAAACAATCTATAGAACAATGAATTCCGAGGGAAGCAGACATGCAGGAAGGAATAAAGAATACCAGGATGGGTAAATATATGAGTAAATATAAGTGGATATTGACTATTTAAGACAAGACTGATGATAATACACGGTATTGCTTAAAATATATGCGGAAGTTAAATGTCTGACATCAATAGCATGAAAGACAGGAGAGGGCTAAATGGAGATTAATTGTAAAGTTCTCATTTTTTTGAAGTGGCAAGAGTACTAAGTTAAAGTATATTCTAATAAGTCAAATGTGTGTGTTTTTCATTGAATGTCTAAACTGAAAAGCTGAGAGTGAAGAAAAATATAAAATGCTTACCAAAAGAAGGTAAGAAAAAAGAAATGAAGGAAGAAAGAACAAATGGGGTATGTAAAAAACAAAGAGTAAGATAGTAGCTCTAAGCCCAACAATATAATCAATTTCATTAAATGTAAATGGATTCAATTAGATTAAACCATCCAGTGTGATAGCAATTAGGCGCAGGTGGCTAGTTAAATTTAAATAAATTAATATTAAATACAATTAAAAGTTTAGTTCCTCATTTGTACTAGCCATGTTTCAAGTGCTCAAAAGTCATATGTAGCTTGTGGCCACTAAATTAGACAGCATAGATATAGATCATTTCCATAATCACAGAAAATACTATTTGATGATGCTGGAATGAAAACTCTAATTA
The DNA here is from genome assembly GCF_000001405.40 of Homo sapiens. NCBI lineage: Eukaryota > Metazoa > Chordata > Mammalia > Primates > Hominidae > Homo > Homo sapiens. The sequence goes on along the minus strand of NC_000010.11, from coordinate 118,555,385 downwards.
CAAGCAAAAGTTATCAGACCAGATTAAAAACCCAATTATATGCTATTTATAAGAGAAATGCCAATAGAGTAAGGACACAGGTATATATACATATAAGTGAGTATCTTAATTAAAATTTTTTCAGCTTTATTGAGGTGTAATAGACAAAAATTATATATACTCAAGGTGTGCAATATGATGTTTTGATATATGTACACAGCATAAAATAATTATTGCAATCATGCTGTTAAAATATCTAATAGTTTATATAGTTACCTTTTTGTGGTAAGAATATTGAAGATCTACTCTCTTAGCAAATTTCAAGTATATAGTACATTATTATTAACTCTAGTCACTATGCTGTAAAATAGGTCTCCAGAACTTATTCATTATATAACTGCAAATTTGTACACTTTGACCAAGATTTCCCCATTTTCCCCACCACTCAACCCCTGGTAACCACCTTTCTATTTTCTGTTTGAGTTAGACTATTTTAGGTTCCACATATAAATGAGATCATGCAGTATTTGCCTGGACAAATACGTTGGTATATTTAAAGTAATGGGATGGAAAAAGATATGCCATACAAACAATATCCAAAAGAAAGTTGTTCTGGCCATATTAATACCAGGTAAAGTAGACTCTAAGGCAAAAATTTTCACTAGAGATAGAGAAGAAACTTCATGATGATGAAAGGATCAATTTAACAAGAAAATTCAACAACCCTGCATATATATGTACTAATAATATAGCTTCACAATAGAAGTTGATAGAACTAAAAGAAGAAATATTTGAATTTACAATTATAGTTACAGATTTTAACATCTCTCCCAGCAACTGATAGAATAAATAGACAAAAGAATTCAGTAAAGGTAGAGATTAGATTAACATAATTAACTAGCTCGATCTAATTGACATTTATGGAACCCACACACAACTGAAGAATACACATAGCTTTCAGTGTTCACCAAGATAGATCACACACCGAACGATAAAGCAAGCCTCAACATATTTAAAATGATTAAAACCAGAGTATATTTCTGAACACAGTAGGATTAAATGAGAAATCAACAAAAGAAAGAAAATTTGAAAATCCCTAAGTACTTGGAAGTTAAGCAACATATTCTTAAGTAACTCATGGGTTAAAGAAGAAATAATAAGAGAAATTAGAAAATATTTGGATGGAAGGCAAATGAAAACATGTTGCATCAAAACCTTTTAGATACAGCTTAAACAGTGCTTAGAGGAAAATTTATAGCTTTAAATGCATATATTAAAAAAGAAGATAGATGGAAAATCAATGACCTAAGCTTTCATTTCAAGAAGCTAGAAAAAAAAAACTTCAGCAAATTAAACCCAAAGAAAGTAGAAGAAAGGAAACAATAGAAGAAAGAGCATAAATCAGTGATATAAAAAGCAAACATACAGTAAGGAAAATTTGAAAAGATTAATGTTGAGTATTTGAGTACATTAATAATCTTGAGAAAACCCTAGCAAGACTTATCAAGAGGAAAAAGAGAAAACACATATTATCAATAAGAATAAGAGGGGAAGGAGCATGACTATATATCCCATAGACATTAATAAAGTAAGATATTATGAACAGCTTTACAACAATGAATTTGACAATTTGCATGAAATGAATAAAATTATTTGAATAGCACAACTTCCCAAAACTCACACAAGAAAAAATTTGAAAATCTGAAAACTACAACATTTGAGAAGGAAATTGAACCCATAACTAAAAGTCTTAAGGAAAGCTCATTACTCAGATGACTTTACTGAGAAATTTTCAAATATATAAGGAAGAAATAATACTAATTTTACAAATGTTTCCAGATCATAGAAAAAGAAGGGATATTCTCTAATTTGTTTTAAGAGGCTATTATAAACGTCTATTATAAACATAGACACAAAACTCCTCAGAAAAATTTTAGTTATGTGAATCCAATTATGTATAAAACTGATACTTTATGTGATCAAGTGGGATTTATCCAGGAACACATTAGGTTGATGCAAAGGTAATTGCGGGTTTTGTCATTAGTTTGGCAAAAATTGTAATAATTACTTTTGCACCAACCTAATAAAATTGACCTAATGTTTCAAAATTAATGGATGTAATTCACACAATAACAGAATAAAAGAAAGAAATCATCGAAACATCTCGATAGATACAGGAAAATTATTTAAAATACAAGAACTGTTTATGAAAAGATTTCTTAAGGGGAACATACAAAGCATTACCCATAGGCAAAAAGTTTGATAAAATTAAGAATTTTCTGTTCAAAAAATGCATCATTAAGAGGGTGAAAAGGCAAATCACAGATTGGGAAAAGATATTTGCATTACGTATATCTGACAAAGAACTGGTATCCAGAGTGTATAAGGAACTCCTACAAATTGATAAGAAGAGATAATCAATTTTTTAAAAATGGGCAAAAGGTTTGAATAGGCATTTGACAAAAGAGCATATTTAAATGTCCAATGAACATGTGAAAAGGTGCTTAATATCATTAATTACCAAAGAAATGCAATTAAAATTATAAAATTACAATGGGATGCCACAACACACCCACCAGAATATCTAAAATTAAAAAGTCTGACAATACCAAGGGTTGCCAAAGACATGGAGTAACTAGACCTCCTATACATTGCTGGTGAGAGTGTAAATTGGCACAACTGTTTTGGAAAATTACTATTTGGCAGTATCTGCTAAAGCTAAACATACGCCTACACTGTGACCCAGTAATTCTACACTTATGTATATACCCAAGAGAAATGATTTCATATGTCCACAAAAGGACATATTCAAGAATGTTCATAGAATAACATGCATATATTCTTAGTTCATAATAGTAAAAAACTGGAAATAACCCAAATATCCATCGATAGTAGAATGGATAAATTGTAACATATTCATACACCACCATATCATATAGCCATAAAAAAGACAACTGTTGCATGCAATAACATGGCTAAATCTTATAGACATTACATTGAGTGAAAGAAGCCAACATACAAAAGTATGTACTGGTCGATTCCATTCACTTAAAGTTCAAGAACAGGCAAAATTTATTATGGTGTTAGAAACTAGAGTATTAGTTTCCTATTCAATAGGGGTATTGACTGGGAAGGTGGCAGCTGGCCTTCTAGGGGCTGAAAGTGTCCTATGTCTTGGTCCGGGTGTGGCCACTCATGTATATACAAATGTAACAATTCGTCAGACTACACCTTTGAGGTGCATTTAAGACTTGGGCATATTACCCCATGCATTTTGTATCTTCTAAAATTGCTCCAACTAGGAATCTGTCACAGCAGTCCAGGCAAGGTAGATTCTCTTGGATGAGTTGTGAGCCATGGACTAAAGCAACCAAACAGGCATGCGGACATTTGAAATCGTTGCCATCATAAACCTGGCCAGCGGCCCCCTACTCCTGCTCCCAATCCTGACCACAGCACTCTCCCTCCTTCTCAATTTAAACCACAACGCAGAGAAAAGAAGAGGAAGGAAAAAGAAGAAGAAACACAAAGAGGAAATAGTGGGCAGGGGACAAGAGAGTGAATTACATTTGTTCATACACTGGGGAGCAAAATTAGAGCTGCCAAGGGGAGGACTAGTGCCGACCCTGAATCACATGGCCACACGGTCACCTTGGAGTACAGTCAGCCGCGATGGAGTTTGGCTCTGGGCACGTATCCATAGGGCTGGGAAGTCTTATGGGAACAGGCTGGAGAGTGAGGAATTCTTCCCTTTTCCTCCTACCAGGGGTCAGAGGCAGAGGGAAAGGGGCTGTATATGACAGCATGTGCTACCCACGCATAAGTCCAATCTTATGGACATCAGAGGCTTAAAGAGACTGTTTCTGGCAGTCCTGTAACAACGCCAACTGTTTAAAATCTGGCCCCATTGGTCCTGAGATACCGTCTCAGGGACACTCAAAGCTATACGGAGTTTTTAAACTTTTATACACTTACTCACTGTCACAAAAAATGGAGATGTTCATTAAACTACACACACACACACCACACACACACTCTTAAAGTCCTGAGAAGTCTGTTAGAAAAGATCCAGTTGTGAGTTTGTGGGAATTGAATCTTATACCCTTGGAGCTGCACTTGACAGGAAAACTTCACTTAACACAAAGATCTTTCCAAAGGATATTGGGCTTGAGTTTCCTGGATGATGCAGTACAGGACACAGTAGTCTTTCTTGTGGCCAACTCCTGGTGTTTCAAAAATTTCTAAAAGCTATCAATGTGTTCCCTCCCCCATCCTTTTCTGATGTATTAGGTAAAATAGCCCTATCATAATTAAATTTCTCCTTCAAGACCCAGGATATTGGGGTCTCAGCCATCATGCTTATCATTCCACAGTGATAATTTGTCTTCACCCAGGACCAGAGAGGAAAGTGCATGGAAGAGCGTTCACGGTTCCCGGCCCATACCTTAGAGTGCAGTTCTTGAAATATATCCTTTAAATGAACGTCTACCCCGTCTCTGACCCCCCAGGTTTGCGCCTTTTTTCTAAGATGTTTTTAAAAATCCAGTTTAGTGAAGATCTGGGTTAATTTCAGCTTCAATTCACTATAACACTTTGAATTTCTGAGAAGAGTAAGGATAGAGAAAGAGGGAGAGACAAGGAGTACCCTGAGAGTCACGATTCCTTCCTGTCTGCCTCTGCCCAGTTGCCTAGCCCACTGTCCAATGGTGATTTAACATATGTTCAAGTCCATCTTCCAACCTGATCACCAGAAATGGGGTACAATGTCCACAGGGAGCTCTGCTTTCCACCAATATGGATGGAAACACCAGAAGCTCTGCAGAGCCCAGCAGAGAAACAGAGGTAGCTGGTCTACCCAGGGGGATGAGCAAAGAAGGGGTGGGAGAAGCAAATTCTTGGTCTGAAGACTCCTTCTCCTTCCTGATTCCTGGCTCATTCCTCCCACTCCTCTTATTATAGCAGCAGCACCAAGCCCAGCTCCTATGTGTATGGCTACCATGTAGAAACCAAACCAGTGGCTTTTCCAGTTTGTGGAGTGATAGTCACACCAAGGTCAAAGGTCTAGCAGTGACTTTGAAGGTCATTTCAGGGGAGCCATCCATATCCGATGATAGATTGGTTGGCAATGCCTCCTTGAGGAACTTCCCTGCTTTTTTTCCTGGTCAAAAAATAATCTAAAAACTTGCATAACTGCATTTCCATTTCCCATTTGAAAGGATAAATTGAAGTGCCACATTTCTACCAAAGGATGTCTGGCCAACAAGCTGCCAGAGGGCTTCTCTGGGCTGAATCTACAACAGGAGGGGCCTGCTGCTGCATTACAGCTGTGTTGTAGGCAGTCCAGGGCCACTGGCTGCCTGTGTAGGCCCAGTCAGTGGGTGGAGAAGAGAGACCTTCAATATATGGCTTAATGGAAATTCCAAATAGACGGAAAACAGTCTTAAATCTGATAGATGAAATTTCTATCATTTCTTGCTAAAACAATATAAGATTTTGGATAGATCTTTAAAGGGCAATTTGACAATAAATATTGAACATGTTCCAGACAATTTTTTTGAGAACGGAGTTTCACTCTTGTTGCCCAGTACAATGGCGTGACCTTGGCTCACAGCAACCTTCACCTCCCAGGTTCAAGCAATTATCCTGTCTCAGCCTCCTGAGTAGCTGGGATTACAGGCATGCACAACCACGCCCGGCTAATGTTTTGTATTTTTAGTAGAGATGGGGTTTCTCCATGTTGGTCAGGCTGGTCTTGAACTCCTGGCTTTAGGTGATCCACCCCCTTCAGCCTCCCAAAGTGCTGGGATTATAGGCGTGAACCACCTTACCCGGCCCAGACAATTTTTTAAAACTTCTGTTTAACTAGAAGAGACATGGGTAGAAAAAGAAAGTAGAATAGCTTGTGCATCCCACTATCAGCCAGTAATAATAATAATAATTGCTATCATTTACTAATATTTCCCACATACCAAATGCTTGACACACATACATTATCAAACAAATCCAATAAAGAAATTGAGACCCAGGATGTGAAGGGGGCTTGCTCAAGGTCTTTCAGGTTGGAAATAGTAGGAGGGGGATTTACACCCAGGTTTCTCTGCTCCAGGGTTCAAGTACTTCACGTAATGTCACAGTGCTCTTACCATAGGCATGTGGTTATCTCCAAGACTAAATGGCAGAGATCTCATGTTTTTTATCCACTGAGTATCTCCTTTGAAGACATCAGCTTGTTCTGATAGCAGGTGTCTTAGTTTGGGCAACTATAACAAAATACCATAGACCAGGTGGCTTATATAAAACAGAAATTTATTTCTCACAGTTCTAGAGGCTGGGAAGTCCAAGATCAAGGCACTGGCAGATTTATTAATAGCATCTGGTGAGAGCCTGCTTCTGGATTCATAGATGACTTTCTCATTGTGTTCTCACATGGTAAAAGGGGAAATAAGCTCTCTGTGGTCTCTTTTATTAGGGCAATAATCCTGTTTATGAGTGCTCTACCCTCATGATCTAATCACCTCCCAAAGGCCCTACCTCCAAATACGATCACATTGGACATTGGGCTTTAATATATGAATTTTGAGGGTATACGAACATTCAGTCTATAGCAGCTGGTACCTATAAAGATAGATGTCTTCAGGATCCAGCCTTATGCAAATGATTATTTTGAAATTGGGAAACTCTGCCTACTTCTCTTTACACTTTTATTTCTGTCAGCGTCTGTCCATTTCAAAGAACTGCATGTCGTGGGCATTTTTGGCAGGAGTTCAAATGCAACTAATAAGGGCTGCATCCTTCTCCCAACTTTGGGATCTGCTGGTATCCATGGATTTGTCTAAGAATTTTTTTTTTTTTTTTTTTACTGGGGTAAGAAGGAGGACTTTCGGTAGGGGGAGCAGACCATGGGATAAATGGGGGAGGAAGAGGGTTGATAGGATTTGCCACTTAGCTGATCCCTTGGATAGAGTAGGAGCTACTGTGGCTGAAGGAATGAGAGTTGGAATGGACAGATTTGGTTCTATAAGGGACCTTGTTAGACTCTGGGCAAAGTCATAGCTGATTTGGGGCTCCGATGACAAAGGAAGGAGACAATAATACCCAGAAGGGGTCTGCCACCTTTAGACCAGAAGACTTGGAGAGCACTGAGGTCATACAGGTGGCCCCTGGGGCTCTGATGATGGGAGTGGCCACAACAGGCACCTCATGAGGCTGTAAGGACCCAGATGTGAGTAAGTGGAGCTGCTGCAGGAGGGGAAGTGGGGACAAATGCCACATGGCGACTGCCACTGCATGACTGTGAGGATCCTCTTAGGGACTCCCAGTAAAATGTGTGGGACAGTCAGCAGGGAGTGAATATCCAGTTGAAGCCGGATAGGGATTATGCTACTATCATTTTGGTGTAAAAAGGAGTGCCATTTATTCTGTAGTAATATACAGATTTTAGAGTTGAAAGGAGCTCAATTAAATATAATATTCCCACTGATCGGATGAGACTCAAAACCCAGCTAAGCTAAATGATCCATTTTCCCATCCACCCACATTGCCATCCTCAAGACTGTGAAAATTGCCACACTGTTTTTTTGTGCCTTGCTTGATTCTGGCTTGTCTGGGCCCACCTGGACGCTGGGTGCCACACCAGTGACTTCCTAACATCCTTCCAGACCCCTTTCCTGCTGAACCCAGCTGGAGTTGGGCCTCAGCCTCTTGCAGCCCAAGAAGCCTTAGATGATGCACAGAGATTCCGAAAAGCAGTGAAAGCAGGACTGGGAGGAACAGCGAAGCAGTGTGTCCTGGCACCACGATGCCAGGACAGCCTTTCAGCTTTGTTTCACTCAAGTTGATGGGAAACAGCAGGAAAACATGCTCAGACTTCCAGAGGCCTCTACTGGATACACCCCCAATCTACTTCTCCATTTATAATTACATGTATTAACAAGTTCATGGCGGTGATGCATGAAGCAGCATATTATGTAATCAGACTGTCTTTGATGGTATAGTTAACGCTAATGTGATGATTATGTGAGAACATTTAAATATATGACACTCATTATCAAAAATTGATTTAAGGACAAGACATCAGTTTTTCCCCCCTTCTAGATTCTTTCATGTTCTTTGTCTCTAAGTTCTTACGAATTCAATAGGCACATGTCTAACTCATTTTTTAATGAAAGGACATGGCTGGCACTCTGTTTGCTGTGACTGCCAGTCTTCCTTAGTTCTTCTCTGGAATCCCTGGGACAAAGAGTTTTTCTCCAGGATAGGCCCTGCTCCTGCCCATGGGAACTGGAATAAGAAATTGAAATGCAAGGGACAGCATGGAGAGGAGAAAGACTGACTGGGTGGGAGAAGGTTTGCACAAAGCAGTTAACCTCTCTGGGATTCAATTTTCTCACTTATAGAGTTGGATAAAGCTGGGCACGGTGGCTTATACCTGCAATCCCTGCATTTTGGGAGGCTGAGGTGGGAGGATCCCTTGAGCCTAGGAGCTTGAGACCGGCCTGGGCAACATAATAAGACCTTATCTCTAGAAAAAATGAACAAAATTGGCTGGGTGTCATGATGCATGCCTGTAGTCCCAGCTACTCAGGAGGCTGAGGTGGGAGGATTGCTTGAGTCCAGGAGGTGGGATCTTCAGTGAGCCAAGATCACACTCCTGCACTCCAGTCTGGGTGGCGGAGGGAGACCCTGTCTTGGAAAAAAAAAAAAAAGATAAATGAGACAATAAATCAAATGTCAGCTGACAGAGGACAGAGTGAATAAATTATAGGGGATGCAATGAAATACTGCACAACTCTTAGATCAAGACAGGTAGATATCTTTGTTTTGACAGGTGCAAAATATGTTGTTTGATAAAAAGATTTCGCATATAGTATGATTCTATTTTTAAAAAATAATTAAAATATGCACATGAACAAAAACTGCCTGGAGGAGTATGTACTGAACCACTATTGATATTTAACTCTGAGAGATGAGGCTATAGAGGACTTTTGCTTATTAGAGCAAATATTTCTGTAATATTTTGAATATCTTACAATATGCAAATATTTCTTTTGGGCACATATAAGTAAAATATAAGTAAAAATCATAAGTATATTATAATTTAAGTATATAAGTAATATAAGTAAATATAAGTAAGTCTTATATTTACTTATAAGTATATAAGAAAATATAAGTAAAATATAAGTAAAAATTAACAAAAAAATAGAGCCAAACCTGGCTGTTCTCCATGTTCCCTTAATGCTTGAAATATTAGGTTGGTGAAAAAGTAACTGCAGCTTTTGCAATTTTATAGCAAATACTTCTGCACCAACCTGTAACACTTTTCTAAGGCCACTGTCCTTTCTGCAGCTCTGTGCCATCATGGGAATTTGGGACAAACCGGGTCTTTGAGGGTGCTGAAAATATTGTTTAGAGCACAAAATCAGGGTTGGAGCAATGGGAATGAACTGCCCATGTACCGTTTGTATGTAATGTATATGGAAAACACAACAGCTCTGCAGGTGCTTGTGGGGCAGGGGGATCTGTTGAGTAGCTCACTGATACATTGTCACTGATGATCTGAAGGAGGAGTAGCATCTTCCTTCCTCTGGCCTGAGCAGGTACCCAACCTTTCCCAGGTTCCCAGGCTTCATTTGCTGTGATGTTTCATAGTAAAAAAATGCCACCTGCCAGGCACATGGGAGGTAACTGCCTGACCCATCTTGGCTTTGTTTGGGGATCTATGCCTTTGGAGAAGCCATGTGAGGTTGCAGAGGCGGCTCATGCTAGAAGGTGAGCTTGAGCTCCCCCAGGACTGGGAAGGGATGGATTGGACATGGTGGCTGCAGTCCACAAGGGCTGTACACATTTGGGCTGCTGTGGAGAGACTACTAAACCCAAGGTCTGGGGTGCAGAGGTGTGAGGGAGTCTTTGAGCCATCAGTGTGGGGAGAGGGTGCTGGGGATCACTCCTGGGTCCACTCAGGCATTTGGGGATGAAGACCAGCCCTATGGGTACATCACTTGGCAGAAGGGGCAATGATTTTCTGGAAAAACGTGTCCTGTTGGGCCTGGACTTGGAGGACTGGGGACACAAGGTGGGAGGTCAAGAGAAAGAAGTCAGGGAGGAGGCTGAGAGTGAGGTTGGGGTGAAGGGGCGCTGGGAGATGTGGTGGAGAGTAGAGATGCAGGGAAGACCCAGAAGCCAAAGGCTGAATTGGAATCAGAAGCAAATCAGGAACCAGACAGGCCAAAGAGTTGTACTGGACAGGACCAGAGTACTGACAGATGACACTGACTGTCACTATGTTCCAGGCATTGTGGTAAGCATGAAGCTTTTTGCAGACGATCTCATTTCAGTCTCTGCAAGCCTGTGAGGTAGTTGTCACTAATGCCCCCAGCTATAGACAGTGTGCAGTGCCTGGGTACCCCAAAAAGGGCTGCTGCAAGTGGAAAATGTCTTTGAAGTCTATTGTTTGGTCTTTAAAAATTGTAGGGATTTTTGCATCCTACTGGATAATACATCTGTGTTTGTTTTAATTTAAATGTCTTTAAACTTGCTGCCATTTTCCTCCTAAATCTTTGAATAAGTGTGCCACGTTTCTCCTTCTGTTCATACTTCTGGGTCACTGCTGAGCAACCTCTGGGGTACACCGGGAGGCTGATGCCTCACATTGCTGACTCATCATTTAAGGCCCTTCTCAAGTGGTTTCAATCCACATTTCCAAAGCTTTTGCCCCTACTTCCCTACCATGCCCTACGATGCTGCTGTGGAGGTCTGTTGGTTGCTCTAGGACAAAGGAAGGCACAGTCCAGCTTCCCACCTTGGCTGTTGCTGTTTCCTAGCCCTTGGAATGCCATATCCCTCTAACCCATGTCTCCCATGCTGGTTTTCCAGGCTCCTCTGGAACACACTACCTGCTTCCATCCTCATGAACCAGAAAGCACGTGCCTGTGGCAGTCACCAGTCATGTGTCTTCTTTTGGTACATGCCTGATGTTCCAGATGGTCTGTGAGGCAGGGTCCTTGTCTTGTCCTCTGCTGATCCCGAGTCCACACAGCATCTTGCATGGAGCAGGTGACCCCCTGGAGCGTGTGTGGATCCAGCCACCTCCTCTTCTAGGGCAGCTCAGCCTCCCAGAGCGCCATCCTCAACATGGCCAGAAGATGGCACCAAGGCTTCTGTCAGCGCCACCTGGCAGGTTTGTGTGTTTGGCTCTCGGTTGAAGGAGAGAAGCCTTATAGGTTTTGCCCGCCGTCTATGACAGTCTCTTTTCTTGAGTCAGGCAGAGGTGTCCCTCTGTGATTTTTACCTGTTTGGGCAGGGGGTCAATCCTGGCTAATTCAAGTTTCTAGAAGAATCCCAGGATTCCCTGTCCATCTCAGAGGGACGCCAGGGAAGAGGAGAAGGCATTGGGAGAAATCACACCTGTGTGAGCCTTGGCCTCCTCCCGCCCCCCGGGTGAGCCTCAGCTCTGTTCACCTCCCAAGAAGGAGGTGCATAAGCTACGTTTTAGCAACCGAGGTGACCCCTGTCCCCCACTTCAATCCAGACATGACCCAGTTTGGGCAGGAAAATGCCTGGTGGGCAGAGTTTGGCTTTTTACTCAAAGGAGGCTACCTGGTGAGGTTGGAAGAGAGAGGGCTTCGGAGTCAAACTGGGGGCTGAATCCTGACTCAAAAAGCAAGTGGTGACCTGAGGGGTTAGCCACTTTCTGGTGTTGAGCTTTGGGCAATCTTAATGTTCCTGTCTATAAAATGGGGTTGAGGGCATGAAATAAGAGATCATGGGAACACATCTAGCATGTGTCTTACATGATGCTGGATACCAGCCAGTCCCCTTCCCCATTCTGCACACAGAACAGGGCAGCTGCTGTTGGTGAAGACGTATGTTTTTGGTATAGCTGAGAGACATCTACATGCAGCCCTATATTTCCACTATAGATAATGCATCAACAGTGGCATCTGTGGTTAACAAATACCCGTAGAATACATGAATAAATTACAAGCAGAGATATGCAACATTTGTGATTTAATTACACACTTAAATTTAAAAATATTTTTAACGTTAGACCTGGAAGAGCTCATAGAGATTATGTATTATAAAGCATAAAACAAACATTTTCTCATAACTAAGAGTTTGTATTTGTCCAGAACATTATATAATATGAAGTGCATTCATTTACTTTTGCTCCAATGGGCCTTTATGTTGGTCTTGTGAACTAAGCAAGGCATGTGCTATTATCCTCATCTTACAGATGAGGAAACCGAGGCACCGAGCACTCGGATCAGATCCCTGCCAATGCATCATTATTGAGTCCAACAAGCATTTGCTAGTCCCCTCTTCTGTGCAGGGCACTGTACAAAGGAGGGGAAGGGGCTTGGAGAAAGTGAGACATGGCCCAGCCCTTGGGAGATCAAGGCAGAGCAGGCCCAAGAGGTCCCAAGCTCCTCCTGCCACATCAGGCTTCTGATCACAGTGGCTGGTCAGGAAGCTTTCACTTCCACATGGTAGAAGTTCAGTTCCAATGGGCTTAGCAAAATAGGAACTTCATGGGCTTTTATGTCCTTTGAAATTGAGAAATGGAATTGGCGTCAGGCATAGCTGGATATAGGAGCTCAAGGGTGATCACTGGGATTCTTTTTTCTCATTTCCATCTCTTAGCTCTACCTTTCTCTTTATGTTGTTTTCCTTTTCTCTGACAGCAAGAGGCTTCACCGGGGGGGCCAGAGAAGATGGCCATCAGGAAGCCCGACACAGGTACAGCAGTACTTGACCTTGAAGGCAATAGACAATCTTTTCCATCCGGGTAAAACTCTTTCCTTAGTGCTTATGCCTCAGTCATATGCTCACTCCTGGACTAAAGCCTATGGCCAGGGGAATGGGGCACTCTCATTAGCCAGCCAGGACATGCGTTAACCTCTGTGGCAGGGCACCATGACTGATTGGGACTGCATGGAATGGGGGAAGGAGGTTGCCTACAGGAGGGGATAATGGGATGACAACCAATAACTGCCTACCACACATATTACCCTGTTCTGCTTAGCAGGGTGGCCAGTGGCTCTTAAGGGACACCAAGGGGTCCTATCTCAGGAGAAAGGCAGTAATTGAACATTTTCCCTGGGATGATGGGGTGCTGGCCCTGTGCCTGTGTAGGGCATCCCAAGTAGGCACCTTGGCAGCATTAGGTCCTGACCCAGGGAGGGATGCCCTAGGAAATGACAAGTGGGAGGGAAGATGCTCCATGCACTGATCTGACCACACCGCTGGAAAGTGCAGCTGTATTGCCTTAGAAAAATAGAAGTCAGCTGTTTAGGAACATCAACTGATAAGGCCATTAGAGATTGTCTAAGCCAATGGTGTGAAATATATTATTTAGCGGCTGTATTAGTTAGCCATTACTGCAAAACCAAAACAAAAAACAAAAATGAAAAGACAAAAACTCCAAATCTTGGTGACTTAAACAGAAAGCATTTACTTTGTTCATGAATGTGCAGGTTGGTTGAGCTGTTCTTATCGGGGGCTGGATTTACTCATGTGTCTGCGATCAGTTGCCTATCTGCTTCTGTAGGAGGATTGGCTAGCCATCAGGGGAGTCTTTTACATGTATAGGAGTTCAGCTGGGATGACTGGAGTGGATCATGATTGTTGTGGTCTTTCATCTTCTTCCAGCAGGTTAGCCCAGGCTTCTTCATGTAGCAACTGGCTTTCATGAACACCTAGAGAACAAGCCCCAATGTGCAAGCACTTTTAAAGTCTCTGTGTCATGTTTCTTAATGTCCTATTGTCCAAGTGAGTCACATGGCCAATTCAGACGAAACTGGGTATGTGTAGGGTGGTATGGATATACACACATGGCCAATTCAGAGTCAGTGTGAAAGGGACAAAATCTGTAGCCATTTCAGAATGTACTGTGGTAGTAAAACCATTTTTCAAATGAAAGCTGTCTTGGAACTACATTTCCTAAAGCAGATATTCCCTGGATAGTGCAGGGTTGGGGTGCCCTTGGCAGCTCCTAGGCATCTGTATTAGTCAGGGTTCTCTAGAAGGACAAAACTAATAGGATAGAGGTATATAGAAAGGGGAATTTATTAAGGAGTATTGACTCACATGATCACAAGGTGAGGTCCCACAATAGGCCATCTGCAAGCTGAGGAGCAAGGAAGCCAGCCCGAGTCCCAAAGATGAAGAACTCTGATGTTTGACAGCAGAAAGCATTCAGCACGGGAGAAAGATGTAGCCAGAAGACTTAACCAGTATAGTGTTTTCACATTCTTCTGCCTGCTTTTATTCTGGCCATGCTGGCAGCTGATTAGATTGTGCCTACCCAGATTAAGGGTGGGTCTGCCTTTCCCAGTCCACTGACTCAAATGTTAATCTCCTTTGGCAACTCCCTCACAGACACACCCAGGAACAATACTTTGTATCCTTCAATCCAATCAAGTTAACACTTAGTTTATTAACCATGGCAGCATCTCTAGGGTTCTGAAGAATGGGGTTTGAAATCTACAAGTCATGTGTAACCTCCTCATTGTACAGATGAGGAGTCTGAGGCTTAACAGTTGCCCAAGGTTGCACAGCTAATCAGAGGTGGAGCTGTCTCTCTTGATCACATTTCTACTCCCACAATATATGATGTGAATAGTTAGCGTATTGCAGTTGGAGAAGACTATAATGCTGAGTAATTTTGGAGACAGTGTTTCCTATAAGTTCTGTAAGTCTTGATTTGAGGAGGTGAGATTTAAACAGACAGCCCAAGGAAGATGAGAAGCCAACCTTATATAAAGTGCGGTGAAGATCACCTCGTGTTATTCCAATAAACACCCCATCAGGTTTTTGTTTTAGTGGAGCTACAAAGTTGGTTATAAAATTTATTTGAAAGAATAAATAAGCAAGAATAGAAAAAAACAAAAATGAAAGCAAAAACCAACACCTAAAACTTGTGAAAAAAGAACAGCAGGGGGAGAAGAATAACTACCAGATACTGAAGTGTAGTATGACTTCAATAATCAAAACAGTGTAGCCTAGGTGCATGAACAGAGATACAGAGATATAGGATAGAATAGAAAATCTAGTAATAAACCAAATCATATATAGAAATTAAGAATGAAAAAAATGGCTGCATCTCAGCTCAGTGGGGGAAATGATGGATTTTTAAATAAGTTGGGATAATAAGTTATCCGTATGAAAAAGAGAACATTGGGTCCATTCCCTATACTCAACGCAAGTATAAACTCCAAATAAATCAGAGATTTAAATATAAGAAAGTGAAACCATGCAAGGGTTGGAAGAAAACCTGGGTGAATTATTCTATAATCTAGGATTAGGAAAAACTTTCCTAACTATAATATAAAATCCTAATGTAATAAGAAAAAGATGGATAAATGTCAATGTGGAACATTTTCTTTTGCAGTTTATATCACAAAGAATTAGTATTCCTTACCATGCAGCCATAAAAAGGAATGAGACCGTGCCCTTTACAGGGACATGGATGGAGCTGGAAGCTGTTCTCCTTAGTAAATTAACACAGGAACAGAAAACCAAACATGCATGTTCTCACTTATAAGTGGGAGCTGAAGGATGAAAACACATGAACACATAGGTGGTGGGTGGGGGGTGGGGGGAGAAACATACACACTGGGGCCCATCGGGGTGGGGGAGGGTGCCAAGGGAGAGCATCAGGGAGAATAGCTAATGGACACTAGGCTTTATACCTAAGTGATGGGATGATCTGTGCGGCAAACCACCATGGCACATGTTTACCTATATAACTAACCTGCACGACCTGCACGTGTACCCCTGAACTTAAAAGTTGAAGATTAAAAAAAAAAATAAAAACAATCCTACTAGCAAAAAGAATAAAATAATAAAAATATAATACATTTAAAGTAAAAAAAGAAAAAATATCCAATGCTGAACCAAACCCTAAGAAGAAGCTTCTACACTCGCACACCCAGAGATGCTCAGAAAAAAAGGAATTAGTATTCCTAATGTAGAAACACCACCTACACACAGAGAAGAAAAAGACCAACATAACTGGAATAGAAAAATGGGCAAGAGATGTAAACAGAAAATTAACAGGGAAAAAATTCAAACAAGCATATAAAAAGAAGCTTAACTCTGCTCATAAGAGAGATACAAATTAAAACTTCACTGAAATAGCCCTCTCCCAGTAATGGCTGATTTGTAAACTACTACTGGATTGAACCCTCTGTAGATAACAACAACCCAAAGCAGCTACTGGATGGTTCTGGAGTGTAAAGAGAAGCAGGCAGATTCTATTGTGGAGTTCGTGCTTAGAGTAGGGGACTTATATTGATGTAAGTTTCCTGTTTTTTTGCTTGTAGCCTGGAGGCATGTGCAGTGCTGTGTACACATGGAGTAGTGGGGGTGTTGGTGGAAAAACTGTAGTCTTTCTGGTCTGGAGAATAAGAGCACTGAGCAGGGTGTCTAGCCATTAGAGAGAGAAGAGGGGAATCTTGCAGGAAAGAGCTAAAAAGGGTGTCCTCAAGCTCTGTCTTTCTGCAGCTTTGACTGACCCCTGAAACATGCAAGCACAGAGGCCACTCAAAGCTTCCCAGCTGAAGACAAAAAAAATCTGAGCTGAGGCCGGGCGCAGTGGCTCACGCCTGTAATCCCAGCACTTTGGTAGGCTGAGGCAGGTGGATCATGAGGTCAGGAGATTGAGACCATCCTGGCTAACACGGTAAAACCCCGTCTCTACTAAAAATACAAAAAATTAGCCAGGCATGGTGGCGGGCGCCTGTAGTCCCAGCTACTCGGGAGGCTGAGGCAGGAGAATGGCGTGAACCGGCAGGTGGAGCTTGCGGTGAGCCGAGATCACGCCACTGTACTCCAGCCTGGGCTACAGAGCGAGACTCCATCTCAAAAAAAAAAAAAAAAAAAAAAATCTGCGCTGAGATTGGAGCTGCGGCCCATGAAACAAAGTTAAAGTTTGTATCCAACCAAGTCAATTAACTGCTGAAACAAAAGAAACATTACTCACTGGTCAAGTGTAAAGGAATCCAGACTCTCCACTATCACAGTAATGGCTAAGATACAAAGACTTAAAAGGTCTACAGTATGATCCAAAATTACCTGACATACAATGAACCAGGAAAATGGAGGAAAATGGGACTCATCCCCAGGAGAAAAGGTAATCAAGCGAGACCAACCTAAGATGATCCATTTGTTGCAATGAGTAGACAAAAATGTTAATGCTGCTATTATAAATATATCAATGACATAAAAGTATATATGCTCTCAATGAATAAAATATAGGAAATCTCAGCAAAGAAATAGAAATGATTAAAAATTCTAGAACTGAAAAGAATACAATATGTCCAACAAAAACTTACTCTGCAGATTTAACAGCAAAAACAGAAGAGTCAGTAAACTTGAAAACAGATCAATAAAAATTGTACAGGCCAAAAAAAGAAAGAAAAAGATTTTTTAAAAAAGAACAGAACTTCAGAGACTTGTTAGATAGTATCTAACAGAATGACATACGTGTATTAGGAGTTCAAGAAGAAAAGAGAATAGGGCAAAATATATATTTGAAAAAAATGATCCAAAATTTCCTAAACTTGCTGAAAGACATAGATTTGCAGATTCAACTTGCTTAATGAATCCAAAGCTGGATAAGTACAAATGAGGCCATGTCTATGCACACATTATAGTCAAACTGTTGAAAACCAAAGAGCTAAACTAGAAAGCAGAAAATGAGAAAAATGACACACTATGTATAGAGTAAAGGTGATTCAGTTACAGCAAGCTTCTCATCATACATGATGGAGGCAAGAATAAAATGGAGCATCTTCAAATGAATGAATTTTTTAAGAAGTCAAACTAGAATTCTATATCCAATAAAAATGTATTTCTGGAGTAGAGGTGAAATAATGACATTTTAATGTATAAGAAAACTAACTTACTTCATCACTAGCAAACTTCAACTACAATAAATGCTACCTCAGATCTTCAGAAAGTTGTAGAAAGCATTGGAAATGATAAATATCTCAGTAAATATTAAAACCTATTTTTCTTCCCCCTAGGCTTTAATTTCTTTATAATACATATGGTTGTTGAAAGCAAAAATTATAACACTGTCTGTAACATGTAGATTATATATACATGTGTATGTTTATATTTACACACATGTGTGTATATTATATATTAGCTATAGCATAAAAGACAGGGGAAGTTAACTGGACCACAAGTTTTCTATAATTTAATGTGAAGTGGAATAACATTAACTGTAAGTAGCCTATAAGAAGTTAAGAATCTATGTTATAATCTCTAGAGTAATCGTCAATAAAACAATATGAAATAATGTGCCTAAAAAAGCCAATACAAATGTAAATGGAATTCTATAAAATCTTCAAATAATCTTCCCTAACAGAGAAAGAAGAAACAGAGGAGTTAAAAAAGCATTAAAAAAGCATTTACAAAAAAAAAAAAAAATACAATGATAGCACAAACCTAAACATGTTAATAATCACATTACATATTAATGGAATAAACACTCCAATTAAAAGACAAAGTTTGTCAGAATGAATAAAAAAGCAAGATTCAACTATATAATGTCTACAAAGATGCACTTTAAATATGACACAGATAATTTGAGAGTAAATACATGGAAAAGATATAGCATGCAGACAGTAAACATAAGATCAAAGTGAGTCTGTTGATTGATATCAGATGAAATAGATTTCCACACTAAAGGAGAATTACCAGTGATAAATGACATTTCATAGTAAAAGCGGGTCAACTCATTGGAAGACATAACAACAGCAAACTTGTAAATATCTAATAACAGACATTTAAAATGCATGAGGCAAAAAGGATAGAATTAGAGAGATAGACAATTCCACAATCATAGTTGAAGATTTTAATACCCTTTTAACAGCAATTGATACAACAATAGTAAAAAAAATCAGCAAAAGCAGAGAAAATATGAACAACACTATCAATCTTTCTGACATAATTGATATTTAGAGAACACTATATCCAACCAAATAACTTACCATATGATTCAGCAATTCCACTTCTAGGTATTTACTTAAGAGAAATGAAAACATAGGTTCTAACAAAGACTCGAATGTTTATAATGGCATTATTTGGTGGTAAAAATATGAAAGTTGCATGTATAAAGTTATTAATTGCAGCTATATTTATAATATTAAAAACTCAGGAAGTATCCATCAGTAGGACTGGTCAAATGAACTGTGAAACATTCAAATAGTGGAGTATTATGCATGCATAAAAAGGAAATGAAAATATTTCTACATACACATATATTATACATATATTTAAAGAACAATGGAGAATAAATTGAAAGCTTAGAATAAATCAACACTACCACAGGGTTCTTTGGAGAAATAGTTGATTCCAAGTCTGTGCCAGGAAACAAAGAGAAAAACTTGAAGCTTTTTGTTATGCTAGATAGCAAGGACATGTCAAAGCTTACTGAAGGTGCGCCAAAAGAATTCAGAAGCCTTTTGTCTGATCAAAGATGAGGCAATTTAAATTTTAATTTAAGAATAGTAACTACATTGGCTCCAAATGGAACATATATGTTTAAACCTACAAGTAGCTCATAAGTTAAGAAACCACCATTCATCACCTATGGAGGATGTTAAGGTAATTTAATTATGTTATTTTATTTAATGATGCAGCATTAAATCACCTAGCACTGTCTTGGGAGGGTGCTGGGTGATTTAATGCTGCAACATTAAATAAAAGAAGATAACCAAACTTTTTTTCTGCCTTTCTTACCCTATAGTATTCTATATTTATGGTAACCAAGCAGTTGACAAAAATAAATCTTTTCTTTATAGTTCCTCTTTATTCATTATTTTATTATAAATTGAAAATAATAATAAAATTAGAATACTATCATTTTGTGACTTCTGATGACAAAATGGATGTAAGCAAGCTCATTAGTTGCTATTAGCATAACAGAAAGAGAGAGCTAGACATTCTATATCTCCTGATAGAACACACTCCCACCTACATTTGATTAAACTATCTAATGATTAATTTACAGAATACACAGAAGACAGAAGGACATGTCAAATGACACAAAGGGGATGTAATCAGGTACAGACTGGAAAACTCTACAGGATCAATGACTTGGTTTCTTCAACAAATAAAAGAACATAAAAATGGAAAGAGTGGGAACCTATAGATTAAAAAGAAACAGAAGAAATATCAATCAATTGCAATCTTATTTTGATTTAGATTCAAGCAAATAAACTATTAAAAGATAGGATTTATGACACAATTGGGGGAAATGGGAATACTGCTTGGAAACTTAATAAAATTAAGAAATTATTAATATTTTAGGTATAAGATGGTATCATTTAATATTTTTTATAATTTTAGAATTAGGGCATGATGATATAATTTTTAAAAAGATCTGTATCTTTTAGAATTACATGCAGAAACATTTACAGATTCATTGTTACGCTAAGATTTACTTCAAAATAAGTCTGGGTGGAGGGTGAAGAAGAGGATAGAGATGGCCCCGGTTTATTGCTCATAAATTGAATCCAGGTTATGGGTACATAGGGTGCATGCTACTCCTTTCTCCCTTTTTTGTATGTTTGAACTTTTCCATAATAAAAAGGAGTGTGTGTGTGTGTGTGTGTTTAAATAGAGTGAGTGGGCCAGGCATGGTGGCTCACGCCTGTAATCCTAGCACTTTGGGGGGCCGAGGTGGGTGGATCACCTGAGCTCAGGAGTTCGAGACTAGCCCGGGAAACATGGTGAAACTCCATCTCTACTAAAAGTACAAAAAATTAGCTGGGAGTGGTAGTGCATGCCTGTAATCCCAGCTATTTGGTAGGCTGAGGCACGAGAATCGCTTGAGCCCAAGAGGCGGAGGTTGCAGTGAGCACCATTGCACCATTACACTCCAGCCTGGGCAATAGACCAAGACTCTCAAAACAAACAAACAAATGAAAAAATTGAGTGAAGTCAAGTTCCAGTAAGGAAAGACTAGGTACCAAGACTTTGAAGCACAGAAAAGTTTCATGTACTAGAAGCCGTGAAGGAAGTCAAGAGGAACCACAACTTGGTGAGGAGATGTCACAAGATACCAAATGGGGCTGACGTAGGAGACAGAGGCCAGCTCATATGGGCCTTGTGCCTGGAGAATGGAGTCTGGATTTTATTTTAAGAGCCATATGAATCCACTGGAGGGTTTTAAGGATGGTATCAACATGATCTGGCTTATATATACATATATATATATTTAATCTTAAACTTTTTTTAAATTTAAGTTCTGGGATACGTGTGCAGGAACATGCAGGTTTGTTACATAGGTATGCATGTGCCATGGTGGTTTGCTGCACCTATCAACCCATCGTCTAGGTTTTAAGCCCCGCATGCATTAGGTATTTGTCCTAATGCTATCCCTCCCCTTGCCCCCGAACCCCGCAACAGGCCCCGGTGTGTTTTGTTCCCCTCCCTGTGTCCATGTGTTCTCATTGTTCAACTCCTGCTTATGAGTGAGAACATGCAGTGTTTGTTTTTCTGTTCCTGGTTAGTTTGCTGAGAGTGATGGCTTCCAGCTTCATCCGTGTCCCTGCAAAGGACATGAACTCATTCTTTTTTATGGCTGCTTATATTTTATGTAATAATAACATTGTCTATATTCCTTGAGCACATACTAGGCACCAGCTGCCATGCCAGGTGCTGTGTATTCATTGCACCTAGTCTTCGTATCATCCTCAACCCCAAAGGGGGTATCAGTCCCCTCATTTTACAGAGGGGGGTGCTGAGACCTAGAGAAATTAGGCCACTTGCCTGATGTTACCCAGCCACTGAGTGGGGGCGTAGATGGGAATTGTACTCAGGACTGTCAGGCCCAGAGCCCAGGATTTTCCCAACAAGAATGGGATCGGTGAACAAAAAGAGTGTCTTGACTTTTCCCTATATAGGCAGCTCACTTACCTAAAATTTTGAGTCAATTAAAAAAAATTAGTCCAGGAGGAGAGGCAATGATACTAAACACCAGGCCAGTTCTGTTCTTGTAGAGCTATTGTGTTGCCTGACACTCCTCCTTGAGAGAAGTCATTGCCAATTTCTGAGCCAAGTACCTGTGCCATTCAGCTTGCTTTCATTCATATTTATCTGAGAGAAGGATTAGCCAAAATTTCTATTAAGCAATAGGGTACTTTATCAGAGGGATATGGGACTGAAGTTAAGAAATAGTAATATATAAAAATACTATCACTGCAGCCACCCCTCTAACCACCATCCCACCACCATCATCACCATAATCACCGTCACTACACCACCAACCCTACTATGTGATAAGAGCTCTGCAGACTGAAGAATGCCTTGCATTTATTAGCTTACATGTGTTGTGTACTTTCCATCACTTGATCTTTACCAGAGACCTTCATACAGTTTGACAACACCCAGGGAGCTTGGAGAGATGGCCTGGCAGGAGAGCTGGGTGACTATGGTTTCTGTCTGCACTGCATGTTTGTCCCATTTCCCATCTTCTGGTTTCTTTGGGAGATACCCAGTAGATCAGAAGAGGAATGACTGTGTGGGTACCCCCAATGTGAGAAGAGGAGGCCCCCTGTGTACCAGCAGGGCAGGAAAGAACAGCTAACCAGGGTAGAGAGACCACAGCTGCCTTCACACCATATGCATCTCAGTAGGGGCCAGGAGTTTAAAGAATGGACACTTTTCTCCTTCTAGGCACTGTGTATCTGGCTGACCATTAGCAAGACCTTTGATGTTTCCTCTTTGGTCCGCCATTTGATTTAGGACATGGTAATGTGGCTCCATAGAGATGCCAACACACAAATCCACTGAAAGGCTCATGATGATGGCACAGGACATTGAAGGGGTCTCTATAGCTTCTCAACATAGTTCAGGCCTGGACATAACAGGCCTGGTGCAGCCAGGCTCCCAGAAGGATCCCATGCAAAGAAGGTTTTATCTGAACATTAGTAGAAAATGAATGCCAGGTGCCTCATTGCTGAAAGACCCAAGATGTACCAACCATCAGCCATCCCTGCCCTCATGCCTCTGAACATTACAACGGGGAATGTCTCAGACTCCACAGAGAGCCTCTGCACTCCTTGTTTGGAAGGCCATCTTTCTTTGGGGAAAACTTGTAGAAAGGAGATTTTTTTTTTCTCACACTATCTGCTGGTGTGCGTGGATAGAGGACTGTCTTTATTTGGTGTCATATATGTATGGATATGTAAACACAGCTGACATATGAATCAAGTCTGTGTAAGACTCTGCTGTGAATGCCCAGGGGACAGGTACATTTCCAGAAGGAAAAAAAAGAAAAATACATGTCTATTACTACAGTTTTATGCATCTAATATCACGGGCAAATATAGACACCTGGAGACTATCAAACCAAAATTAAAAACTCATCGAAAGGAAAGGACAGTATTTGCACAGATTGCCCATAAATCTGCAACAACGGACTCTCTTTGGGCACAACATCAGATGTTTGCTTTCTTTGTGGTGTCTCATTAGGAAGGAAATTTATTGCCCAACTCCTGAACTATGTCAATTTGAAAAAAAAATTTTGTGAATATTTCCAGGAACCACACGCTTGGTTTTATATTAGCTTTATGTCACTGAACAGGAAAAAGCTTGGTCTTCCCAATGATGAAATGACACTAATCATGAAATTAAAGGAGCTAGCATGTACTCAGTTGGAAGAGACAGCAGTTTCCCATAAATGGATCATAGCCCTGGCTCCCTTTGATAAGTTAGGGTGACGTCACCCCCTCCATCCGAGGCCAGCGCACAAGCCACTTCCCCTGCCTCCCTGCCCTGGCATCTTCTTCCCCTATCTAAAAGAGGAGGCTTCAGAGGAACCGGATTCTCATAGTGGGGTATGCTCCCCAGCTGTGCTTGATTGCCTGCTGCAGTGAGAATAGTTTGCAAAAGACTAGGAAGGAAGAGAAAAACGTTAAACAAAAATCAATGAATTGCACATGGTGCCTGTTAAAAATAATAACTAGGCAGGAGATGAAGGGCCGAGCTTACACATGTGAACTTGTCTCTGCGAGGGCCCTGGCATCCAGACGGGGTAGGAATGGCTTCTTCCTGTTCCTGTTGCCCCACTCAGACCACGGCCTGTGGCAAGCGCTTCACACAGCCACTGAAAGGGGAAAAGGAAGGGAGCAAGGAGACTTGAGGGTTGACCTAGCCCTGATCCCCACCTTCTCTGTGGGACTCTTCAAACAGGAGGCTGCCTAGGGCATGGAGTGGAAACTCCAGTCAACGCAAGAAGGAATATTTAAGTTGCTGCAAACATGTTTGAAAACCAGGGGAACATGGAAGGTGGGGTTCTGTAACACTGAAACCAAGTCTCTACCCACAGTTGGAAATGAGATTTGTTGAGTTTATTTTATGGCTCAATGTATGACTCGCCTTTCCAGTTTTATTGTGTTAAAGACACTGCTATGCAAGCTTCACTGCTAGTTCTTGGTAGCAGTTGTGAATTTTTTCTCTGGAGATTTTAAAGAACAGAATGGAGCTAGAAAAAGGAAATAATTAGTTCTAAAATAAAAAAATAAAGTGAGATGTAAAGCTGCAAATTCACTTACTTTTTGGTTAAAAAAAAATAGAGGTGGGGAGAGAGAGAGAGAGAGAGAGAGAGAGCGAGTGAGCGAGAGAGCCTAATACTCATTGAGGCTAGAACGGAGACCACTCTCCTCAAATGACCTAGAGAATGGGAGAGGAATAACTGAACACAGAACCTCATTTTCCTTCCTGGCTCTGCGATTTATGATTTGAGTCTTTAATTAAGGTATCCTTGGATGGATGCCGTTTTCCCCCCACAAAAATCATTTGCCTCTGTTAATATACCATTAATACTATTTTCATTTGTTCAACTAATATTTGAGTATCTACTTGGCTAAAGACCCAGAGAGGCATGAAAAAAGGAGTTACTCACAAATAACTAGTATTTGAATAAAGAGCTGTATGATACCATTTTACAACTATACTATGAAACTATACATATGTTGTTTTTTGTGTGTTTATATATGTTTGTGAATGTGCTTTCTAATTTTTTAACAACTTATACTAGTTTTTTTAACGCAGCAGAGCACCAAAATGCTCAAAATATGACTGCCCAGATAACCCTGAAGACTTTTGCAAGAAATAAAAGTTACATATGAAATGACTGGAAAGTACTGAAAGATGTGGTTTTAAACACCTTACATATACATCCTGAAACCCAAATTTAGAGTTGTGGCAAAAACTCAAAAGTTGTTTCAATTTTTTTTTTTTTTTTTTTTGAGACAGAGTCTCATTCTGTCACCCAGGCTGGAGTACAGTGGCACGATCTCGGCTCACTGCAATCTCTGCCTCCTGGGTTCAAGCAATTCTCCTACCTCAGCCTCCCAAGTAGCTGGGATTACAGGTGTGTGCCACCACACCCAGCTAATTTTTGTATTTTTAGTAGAGATGTGGTTTCGCCATGTTGGCCAGGCTGGTCTCGAACTCCTGACCTCAGGTGATCTGCTCACCTTGGCCTCCCAAAGTGCTGGGATTACAGGCGTGAGCCACCTCACATAGCCAGTTGTTTCAATTTTTAAAACTCCAGTGTATACTGATTTCCCAGGGCTGCCATAACAAAGCACAAGCCAGGTGGCTCAAGACAGTAGAAATTTACTCTGTCACCGTTCTGGAGGCCGGAAGTCAAAAATCAAGATGTTGGCAGGGCCATGCATCCCTCGGCCTCTGTGGTTGCTGGAAATCCTTGGTGCTTCTTGGCTTGCAGTTGCATCACTCCAGTCTCCACCTCCATCATTACATGGTGGTGTTATCCCCGTGTCTCTTATTGTCAGGACACTATACAAGTCGTATTGGAAGAACGGTCCCCTCTTCTCCAGTATGACCTCATCTTAACTTACATGTTAATTACATCTGCAAAGACTCCATTTCCAAATAAGTTCACATCCAAAGCTACCAGGGGTTAGGACTCCAATATATTTTTTGATAAGGGACACAATTCAAATCATGACACCTAGTTAAGACTCATTTTTCTCCCAAGGTTCATTAGAATTGCTTAACATTTTATTGTTTTAGAATAGCTGGCTGAAGCAAGACAACCCAAGGTATTTCCCTGTGGTTATTTCCCCTACTTGTCCAGGTATGTGCAATAATCAAATTTTGGGGGATCTTTAAAAGCACTCTCCCCAGCCATGGCCTTCCCATCTTCTGAATGAAACCCAAGAAGAAAGAGCTTGGGAATGAAGACTGCAAACAGCGTTCTTCGCTACATGGGGACAGATGGCAGTGCCTCAATTGTGATCTTTCTTGCAAAGTCCTATTTGGTTCAATGCACTTGCACTTGCTGCTACTTCCTGGATGAGGAAGCTCCTGTAGTTTTCATCAGGGAAAAAGTGTGCCACGGTACTGGTAGAACATTTTCCCATATGAATCTGGCTTGCAGAGAGCAGAGAGACTATTGGTTTGAACTATGAAATATATCTTGAAACCATCCACTTCTTTCCATTTCACTGGCCCAAACCCCCATCACCTAGCTTCTTCACACAGCAGCCAGATAGATCTCTTCACAGCCTCGATCAAATCATGTCACTTTCTGGTTTAAATGCTCTATGATTGTCCCTTCCTCCCTTGGCCTTTAGAATGAAATCCATAAGGCATGGGCTACATGCCTCTTTTCTATGGGGGCACAGACATCTTGGAATTGAGTCAGTACTCTTGGCCTGGCTTGGATTATATGCCCGTTCCTAAGTCCGTCTCCATAGCCAGGGTGAAAAGCGCTCTCATCAGCCAGATTCCTAGAGTAGAGAAAGGGGTCACCCCACCTAGACCATGTGCACTGACACGAGGGAGTGTTGGAACTTTGAGGACAATCAGTGAGTCATTACTAGAAGACAGGATGCCTAGCAGGCTATTAAGATAGGTGTCTGGCCGGGGTGGGGGCCAGCACTTTGGAAGGCCAAGGTGCGAGAATAGCTTGAGGCCAGGAGTTTGAGATCAGCCCGGGCAACATAGTGAGATCCTGGCTCTACAAAATAAAAATTACACGTGCATATTACATATTACCAAGTTTAAAAAACTTAGCTGGGCATGTTGGCATATGCCTGTAGTTCCAGCTTCTTGGGAAGCTGAGGCAGGAGGGTTGCTTGAGCCCAGGAATTCGAGGGTCTAGTGAGCTATGATCACATCACTGTACCCCAGCCTGGAAAACAGAGCAAGACCCTGTCTCTAAAAACCCACTAGCCGAACAAAAATAAGTGTTCACTCCCACGACAAAGGACCATGATGTGTTGCATCTGCGACTGTAACATTCTCTGGCAGCAATCTGGTAGGACTGGAATGAATGTAGAAGCCACATGTTTATGAGATGGTGGCCGGACATAAAAGTTGGAAATTTGAGGGAAATTTTTATTTAGGAGTAAACCACAAGGAAGACTGGGAATAAGGAGGAGAAGAAAATGCCATTCAAGACCCAGGGAAGTGATGTAATCCCAATTTCCTGGAGATTTTGCAGTCAGAGTTCCAGAAAGGTCAATCATCTCTTGCTGTCCATCACTTGTAGGCCCACTCAGAGGGGATGCCAGGGCTGCAGTGCAGAATCCAGGTGGGTAGGAACTTCCTGACTTTCTTTACACTTGGCTCATTGTATTCATTTTTTTCGTGGCGGTGTGAGAGGGTCAGACTATTTTTTGGGTGGGAGAAAGGACTTGGGCACTCAGGAGGGTGACTGCCAACCTGACAGGACCTGAGGCGCATCGGTCTGACTGTGCCTCAGAGGGTGCTGCAGTGGCCCGCAGGGCCTCACCGCATGAAGGGACAGAGCTGCCATCCTGGTTGACTAGGATGCTTTATTGATGCAGCAGCTCATTCAAGGCCCTGTGTTTTCCTTCTGTGGCTCTGATTTTCAGCTCCAGATCTTTTCATCGTTATCAAAGTTTACACTCACAGAGTCAAAGGCTGAGTAAATATTTTGCTACACAAATTTGTATTGTATTGAAACTGAATACGCCTCTGACAATGCTTTTGAGTAAGCAATAAGACCGTGTACACAGAGAATCTTGTAAAAATTTAGCTGGGAAAGGGGGCTCCTTGCTCCACTCCAAAGGGGGCCATAGTCCCACACACTCAGAAGTCAGACTTCAGGCAGCCCTGACACTGACCCCAGCCTGCTTCACAGGTCATCCGCCATGTCTCCTCCTGAAATGAGATAATACATGTAGCCCGTGGAAGGAACTGCCTGGTGGCCATGCTCAGCACAGGATCACGTCCAGAAAACACATTAGCTTGGCACCCACAAAGCATTAAAAACTCATCCGAATCTTTACCAGGTAATTCCAAGCAAAATAGAGATATCTTGTCCAGTTGATAGCAAAATTCCCCAAATATCTCTCCATTCCTATGAGCCTCTCTAAGCCTCATTTTTCTAATCTGAAAAATCTGAACAGTACTTTTGTCTACTTTGCAGGGTTTTAGGAAACATCAACTACAATAATACCTGTAAAGTGTTCAGCACAGTGCCCAGCTCATATTAAGCTTCCATCTCTCCAGTCCTGTGGAAACCCCCATATCCCACAAAGCTCCCTTGGGCCTGAGAATGAATCTTGCTAATATGGCAACATCCTACACCCTCATGGACACCAAACACCAGCCATTTCTCCACTGGCTTCCTTAATTAATGACATAGCCTCTTTCATCAACAAGTATGACTTACATCAGAGCCCAAAGGAAAGCTGTTTTTAGAAAGCAAGTTAGGGAGGGGCAGGCTCAGGGGAACCCTCTGATTACCACCTTCCATTTGGAATACTTAGGACGATGCCTAAGATCCAAAGCCTTCAATGGAAGGGGCAGCATGGTTGAGAAAAGTCAGAAATTCCCATGGGACATCCCCAGAAGTTTTCAGAACTACTACAAAAATCATATTAATAATTATGGCTCACTCAAAACCCATTTCAGCCCCTTTCTCCTTGCTGTCTTCTACTAGAAAGGCAGAGGAATGAAAAATTCACTTCCCTAGCTCTCAGCTAGGAATAGCCATTTGACATGGTGTCTTACTCTGTTTTCTGTTGCTGTTACAATAGAATACCACAGACTGGGTAATTTATAAAGACCAGAAGTTTATTTGCTAATGGTTTTATAGTCTGTAAAGTCCAAGAGCATGGCACCAGCATCAGGCAAGGGTCATCCCATGGTGGGATGGTGGAAGGTAGAAGCAAGCATGAGAGAGAGAGAGAGAGAGAGGAAGGAGGAGGAGGAGGAGGAGGAGGAGAGAGTGAGCACATACAAGGTGGCAGAGTTTGCTTTTATAACAACTCCCTCTCACTTTAACTTGCCTGCTCCCTTACTAAAGACATTAGTCCACTGATGAGGGCAGACCCCTCTTATTAAGCCCTACCTCCCAACATTGTTGCATTAGGGATTAAGTTCCCAATACATGAACTTTTGGGGGACATATTCAAACCATAGCACATGGTCTGGCCAATCAAATTGAAGTGGACTGCACTGAGGATTTCTGGGAAGTCTTTTATTTCCACCTTCCTTTCCCTCTCCTTCTTCCCTTCAGAAATAGAGGCATTGTATTAGTCAGTTCTCACACTGACATAAATAAATGCCTTAGACTGGGTAATTTATAAAGAAAAAGAGGTTTAATTGGTTCACGATTCTGCAGGCATGACAGGAAACCTGATGCCGGCATCAGCTTGGCTTCTAAGGAGGCCTCAGGAAACTTACAATCATGGTGGAAGACAAAGTCAGGGGCAGCACTTCACATAGCCGGAGCAGGAGGAAGAGAGAGAGGAAGGAGGTGCTACACACTTTTAAAAAGCCAGATCTCATAAGAACCCACTCACTATCATGAGAACAGCACCAAGGGGAAAATCTACACGCATGATCCGATCACCTCCCACCAGGGCCCACCTTCAACTTTGGGGATTACAATTTCACATGAAATTTGGGTGGCGACACAGATCCACATCATATCATGCATGATAACTGAAGGTACAGTAGCCATTTTGAGGTCATGATGCAAAGTTCAGGAGAATCACAGAGGCTTCAGTCCTCAAATTCTGGAACCTGTTGAACCAACACCAGGTTCAACAGCAGATGTCTACTAGACTTCTTGCTAAATAAGAAAAAAAAGAAAGAAATACAGTAGACCCTTGAACAACATGAGTTTGAACTGCATGGGTCCACTTATACATGGATTTCTTTTTCAACCAAATGTGGATAAAAAATACACAGTATTCTCAGGATGTAAAATCTGCTTATAAGAAAGACTGACTTTTTGTGTATGTTGATTCTGCAGGGACAACTCTAGGAGCTACCTAGAGTTGGAGCTACCTAGAGTTAAAGCTACCTCTTAAGAGGTTAATCCATGTATTAGGATACAGGCTAAGCTTCTGTAACAAAGGCACCCTAAAATTCAGTAGCTCAAACCAGATAGTTCATTCTGTCTTTCATGTAACAGTTCAGAGGTGAGAAGTACAGAGCATACAGGCTGCTCTGCTCCGTGATGTCACCCAGAGCTCCAGGGTTGTTTTGGTTGTGGGTCTACCATTTCCAGGATTGTTGCTCTCCATGACATGTTTGAGGGTGGGTGGTTCAAAAAGAACCATGTTTGCACGCCAGCCCCTAGGAAGGGGGAAAGAAGACGGGAGGCTGAGTAGTCTCCTTTGTAAGGGGCATGACCCAGGGGTTTCTGAAGTCACTACTGCTCACAGGCCATTGGCCAGACCTTCGTCACAGCACCTTGCCTTGCTGCAAGGGAAGCTGGAAAATGTAGTCTCTAGCTGTGTGACTCTGTGTATGTGTGTGCATTGACAGCAGTTTTATTATTAAAAGGACGAGGAGATTGTGGGGCCATTAGCTATCTTGATTGCATTTTCTGTTTCCACTAAATGCATTCTCTAATCAAAACATTATTTATAGCAATAACATTATTAAATTTACTGGATACATTCAATGTTCCTTTTATTCATTATTTCTTTTTTTGAGACGGAATCTCACTCTGTCACCCAGGCTGGAGTGCAATGGTGCAATCTCGGCTCACTGCAACCTCTGCCTCTTGGGTTCAAGCAATTCTCCTGTCTCAGCCTCCTTAGTAGCTGGGATTATAGGCACACACCACTGCACCTGGCTAATTTTTTTGTATTTTAGTAGAGATGGGGTTTCATCGTGTTGCCCAGGCTGGTGTCGAACTCCTGAGCTCAGGCAATCCACCCACCTCAGCCTCCTGAGGTGCTGGGATTACAGGTGTGAGCCACTGTGCCTGGCCTTATTCATTATTTCTAACAGTGGATAGTTGTAAAGAATAATCATCTCAGGATGTTTCTTGAGAGCCACATTTTTCTTGAAAAGTAGAGAAAGGACTTATAGATGTTTCATGATGACCCAAGCTCACTAGGAATTTTCTGAGGTATCATGAACATGGAAATGGAGGGTAAAGTTATGTCAGAACTTGTTTACTTCCAAGGCCACGTGAGTCACAGCAAGCCTGCTCTGGGTGATTCTTTCTCAAAGAAATCCTCTACTAGGATCTAATAGGATCAGCACCAGGACGGGAAGGTTGGGTTTCTCTGAAGGTGCTCAAATTAAACTGGATAAATTGGAGGAGTATGGATTGACCCCATGGTTATGCTGAGAAGGGTTCTAGGCATTCATGTGTCTCAGGTCCTTGAGCAGTAGGTGCTTGCATTAAAAATAACTACTGTCTTCCCAGGACTCTGTTAACAACTGTGGCTAGATCTTACATGCCAGTTGGAGATTCAGGAGCTACACATGAAAACTACACATGGTATCTAATGCAGTGTTCAGCTGAGCACTGGAATGTGAGGAACAAAAGATAAGTAACAGTATGGTTCATTCTCCATTTGCCTCTACTCAGATTCATTCTCCAGCCCTCACTGCTTGCTCTATGCCCTGAGGGGATGACCTTTCCATTTGGCATCACCAAGTTACCCCTCTTGGCTGGCTTCCATTAGGGTTTGGCCAATGGGATATTCTGATTGGTAATCAGAGGGTGGGAAGACAGAGGGGTTGGAGTGCTTCTCCTCTACCCCTTCTGCTTTGGTGCCATGTCTCTCAAAGTGGCAGCTCTGCATATGACTACAGCTCCTCTGAGAGGCCCCTTCTCTGGGTACCAGCTCACACTGGGCTTTGCTAACACGACTTCCTCTTCTTGCCACTGTAGCTGAGGAGTGGTAACAGTGTCCCACTTTTGCTGGTCTCTGGGTGTTTCAACATCCTTGCTGGTTCTGTTAACCTGCCTATACCTCTGTATAGTAGTTTCTTCATTAACATTTCTTTAGTTGAACCACTTGAGTGTGATTCTGTTTCCTGCCTGATTTATGACTCATAAAGTATGGAATTTGGATAAAGAAATGACTGTGTTGAGCTGGAGTCATCATGAAGGGCTTTCAAGCAGCAGTTGGTATAGAACAGGGTTTGGCAAACTATAGCCCATGGCCAGATCTGGTCCACCATCTATTTTGTAAATGAAGCTTCATTGGAATGCAGCCTAACCACTTTTTCATGTATTGTCTACTGCTGCTTTCATGCTGTGGTGGCAAAGTTGAGTTGTTGCCAACAGAGACTGTAAAGCCCACAAAGCTTAAAAATATTTACTATCTGGCCGTTTACAAAATGTTTGCCAGTCTCTGGCATAGAAGTTGGATTGACAGAAGGGATGAAAGAGGAAGTGTAATATAATGGAAAAAGAGGGAGAAATCTGTCCAAGTCCGGACGTGGTGGCTCATGCCTGTATTCTCAGCACTTCGGGAAGCCAAGGCAGGGAGATCACTTGAGGTCAGGAGTTTGATACCACCCTGGCCAATATGGTGAAATCCCATCTCTACTAAAAAAATATAAAAATTAGCCAAGTATGTTGGTTTGCACCTGTAGTCCCATTTACTCAGGAGGCTGAGGTAGGAGAATCTCTTGAACTCGGGAGGGCGAGGTTACAGTGAGCAAAATCATGCCACTGCACTCCAGCCTTGGGGACAAAGCGAGACTCTGTCTCAACAAACAAACTAACAACCCCCAGAAATCTGGGTCCAAATGTCAGTTCAGCCCTCATCAGCTGTGGGCAAGTTAACTTCTCAGAGTCTCAGTTTCCTTATCTGTAAAATAGGTTTTCTTGATGATCCAATGCAAACAGCATGACACCCACAGGTGAATAGTAGGTGATAGTCACTTGCTCTCTACTTTTTTCCCAGTAGGGTATCAATAATGATGTAAGGGAAGACACAGATGTGGGTCTCAGAGAGGCAGCTAATGTGCCGGAGGTATGGTGCATCGGGAAAGTGTGGGAGGTGAGTCTAGATCACACTTGCAAGGAAAACCAGTTTTGCTGGTCCAGTGCAAAATGAAAATGCAGGGGCCCTTAATAAAAAATTATTAGGAATTTCAAGACAGTGACAGCAGCATTAGACAATTCCAGGGCCCTTCTAAGTGTGGAGTCCTATGTGACTGTTCAGGTCACAGGGCCATGAAGTGCTTGGTGTCAAGTCACCAGATGGGGCCTCACCATTCTCAGGGCAGATATTGGTAAAGCAAAGGGAGTGTGAGCCCTGGAGTGGTGCGGTTTGGGTTCTAGTCTTGACATAGCTGCTTGCCAGGTATCTGGGAGAATGAATTATGTGTTCTAGGGTTTGGTGTCCTCTGTAAATTAAGAAGGACCAAGTGAAATCATGTTAAGTCCAGTGTGTGGCACATTGTAGCCCTTACAGCTCTCTTTCCTTTGATGGATTTATTCTTTCTTGGTTAACGTGTGTACTTTACATCCTGTGTCTATCTGGAACCCCATAGAGAATATAACAGCCTGTAGGATGTGGCCAGAATTACCGAGAATTTTAGTCTCAATGTGTGGTTACTTCCTCGGGGCCACATTGATGTTCATATCCTTTCTCCAGGGGAGAAAGATGCTAACAGAAGGGAGAAAACAGCACCTTTCTCCTTGCCAAACTCCCTGCTTCCCTATGCCTTTTGAGTTTCTAAAAACGTCAAGTTGAAAATAAAAATCCATCCTCCCTTCCCCCCAAATGGCCCTTGTCTAGTTTCCATTTGGTGTTAGCATCATGGAATGACTGCAATTTGATCCAGGTCAGAGTGGGGCCCCTTGGTCCTGCCACAGGTTGAAGCAAACACCTCCATGCTCCCCTGAAGATGGCAGGTGCTCCCAGAGCTTCCAAGAGCACCTGGTGTGGGATTTGTATAATGTGCATCTGGCAGGTTGTAATTTGGAGTTTGCAGGTC
Organism: Homo sapiens; assembly: GCF_000001405.40. NCBI lineage: Eukaryota > Metazoa > Chordata > Mammalia > Primates > Hominidae > Homo > Homo sapiens. The sequence goes on along the minus strand of NC_000010.11, from coordinate 118,521,179 downwards.
AGCAAGTGACACCTGCTTGCCTAGGAAGCCACCCCTACTCTCTGGAAGGAAGTTGTAGGGGTGAGTCCTGGTCTGGGGGATCCACTGCATGGGAGGATATGGGTAATGGAGGCATTTGGCCTGTCCCTCAGCGAGCTCCGTCCTGGAGCCAGGAATGGGGAGAGATGGCACTTAGAGGGTTTTGCTTTGTTCTTTTTTAATGGCAGTGGTGGCTTTCTGTCTTAGTTAAGGGACATGTTCTTCCCATTGTTTTTAAACAGCATTGGGAGGCTGCCAGCTTCCATGGTCCAGGTAGAGAGGCAGCACACAGCATATTCCACAGTCAGTGGTATTGGCCGCTGGATACCGGTGTGCAAACAATTTAATCATGTGCTGAATTTTGAACCTGGCAACATGAGCACAACCTCTGTCTATTGGAACAGAGAATGCTTAAAACAAAATAAAACAAAAAACACAAGAAAAGCGTTGATTAGTTAGCATGGTTAAAAACAATTAGAGGGTGCTGGGTTTTTTGTATTGTTGTTTTTTAACGGCATAGTGTGAAGAAGCCTTACAAATGAATTAGAAACTCCCTCTGAATCAATCTGGGCAGACATTACCTTCTGTGTCTCTGATTCCCATGTCCGGCACTTTGGTTTATGCTGGTGTATTTGGCCTTGGTGCTTGCTGGTGACGTTTGGAGATGGGGGCTCTGAGTACACAAAGGGAGTGAGTTAGATGACCTCAAAGGCTCCTTTTTCTACAAAAGGAGGTATGCAAGAAGGTCATTTCTTTTGGCTGAAATGCACAAACAAATCCAAAAGGGTGGATAATCATTCCTCCCTCCTCTTTCCCCAGGCACCTCCACAGGGAATATACGGTAGTCAGCATTACACTTTGAACTTCTTCTTAGTCAACAGAAAGTCAATTGTTCTCTCCAGCCAGTCCTGGAGCCCTTCAGTGGTCTGATTAAAGTCTCCCTCTGCTATTTAAATGCCAAGCCAGAGACCCGGCATTTACCAAAAATAAATGATACATAAAGACTTGACATTTATTTTCAAAGAGGGAGGCCATCTTTCCATCACAGCAGCTAGTTTGTTAGAAGTTATTTTTATCAGACCAAATGATTCGTGTTAGCAAATAAATATAAATCAGCTTATTAGGTCAGCAGGCTAACATGACCTCTGTTCACCATGCTGTTATTGAAAAGGTGGATTCTGATTTTTCAGAGCAGACGTGAGCTGTCTCAAGGATGGCTGATGAGAACACAGGCCATTGCTTCATAGATCTGATAGGCGAAGTTTGCCACCTCTCTCCTTCAGCTTTAGTTTGTAGAGCTTGGGGTAGGATGATACCCAAGGAAGGTAATAGAAAATGGAATAGAGCACTTTACAGGGATAGGACTCAAATCTAGGTCAAGACTGTAACGAGCCTCCCCCAGACAGCTTGTTGACAGTTCAGTGGTAGAGTTTTGGAGACTATTTGGTTAGGTGAGTGTAAGAACAGACCAGTGTGTGGTCTGGAGAGTTCAGATACCAAGTGGCATTCTGTTTCTGCTGTCAGTGGCTGTGCTTCTGCCAGGCTGTCTCTTTGTGGCTTTATACAGCCAAAGCACCCAGCTTCTCACCCTTCTTGACAGCATTTGTTTTACTGATCCTTTTTCTTCTCTACTGTCCATTTAATGGAGTTCGTAGGGCATGACCAGGATTGGAGGGCCTGAGGCTAGGTGTGGCACTGTTTGGTCACTGTTGTGCCTCAAACCTCAGGGAATAACATCTGACCAGGACCAGTTGCATAATTTGTGGGATCCAGTGAAAAATGAAAATGCAGGGCCCTAATTCATAAATCAAGATGGTAGCAGCAGGACCAAGTCAGGGCCCTTCTCAGTAATGGCACAGGGTATACACCCATGTAACTGGCCTTGCCTCAGAGGTAGTAAACATGGGATTAGGATGAGGGAAGTCACCTTCCTGTAAATGGGAAGGGATCTGCTCCTGACTTAGTGGCCAGATGTTCCAGGAAGTGCATTTCTCCAGAGACACTGCATTTCTGCAGTGGGCAGATGTTCCAGGAAGTGCACTTCTCTAGAGAAAACTGATACAGAAAGCTGGCTCCCATGAACAGTTACAAGGGACCGCTCAGAGACAAAGAGAACATCTGCTCAAGCACAAAGTTCCCCCCAGCTGGGATGGCTCCAGTCCTTAGCCCCCTGCCTGCCCCTTTAGCCCCTTGCCATCCCCACAGGCTGATGAATGCTGAAATGGTACTAGCAACTGACATCATCCAGCTTTCTACCTTAAATAAAAAGACAATTCTAACAGTGCTCGGGGAACCAAGGAAGATATCCAAGGAATATATTTTGTTCCCATCCCTACTTATTTGAGATGAACTCCAGGGGAGATCTGCTCTCAAAATAGGAAACGAACACAAGGGAATCATGAAAAGCTTCCATGCCATAAATGATGATCTATTTGGAAGCCAAATAATGGAGAACATATGTTTGAGGAAATAATGTATTCCAAATCCTAAGAAAAATATGAAAAGAAAAGTATTTACATGAAATAAGAGATGATAATGATATTATTAGACCTAAATAAAAGAGATGTTGGTGTAGGTAAGAAAAAAATTTATGGAAACAGATAATGCCAATATAGAAATTAAAATAATATAATCATTTAGTAGCAGAGTAGACACTGTTGAAACTTTTTATAAGATGTGGGAAACAGGTTTGAGAAAAATCTTCCAGATGCAGAGGAAAAGGTCAAAGTGGGGAAATTGGTTAGAGAGATAGTAATTGATGCAGTGGTGAGATTCCATAGATATAGGTATCTAAGTGGATTTACTGAAGAAGAGAAAAATATTCAAAGATATGATAGAAGAAAACTTTCCTGAACCAAAGAAAGATCTGAATTCATGGATTGAAAGGTGCACCATGTATAGGTAAAATTAGTGAAAAATTGCCAAGACCTGGAGAAATAACTATGTCTTGAATCTTAAAAGCATCCTGGTTACCAAGAATAGAAAGGGATATATGGCTAGCTCTAGACTTTTCTGCAATGTTAGATTCCATAAGATGTGGAACAACATTCATGAAGGTGGTTTGAGAGTAAAAAGGGGTACAGTGCAAGAATGTTACGGTCAGCTGTAGCAGATGCTTTTTGTGTCCTACACCACATCTCTTAGACCACTTGTCATTTTAACTGCCCATGGTAGCAGTTTCCAGATATGCTGTCAGCTTCTCACTTCAAGCCTCCAAAGCTGTAGAAGCAAGAAGTCAAAGGGAGCTAATAATGTTCCTTGTTCAATTCTTGACCAATTGGAGGGAAGAGTTGGTAGATGAATGCCCTGGGCTCCCACCTTTTGTGGAACAATTTTGAGGCACTTTCTACAGGGTCCTCAGAGGTCCCCAGGAGCAATGATCTCCAGTTGCCCACAGTGTTAATCAGCTCAATTATACACTCATTATTGATTTTTCCATCTTCCCTATCTCTGTTCCCTCACTGCTGTTTCCCAGGAGCAGCTCCAACATAAACTGCCTGCACTCAAGTCCTTGTCTCAGGCTCCATTTTGGGCAGAACCTAAACTAAGATGCCTACCAAAGTGTTATTTTTGTATGAAAGCAACAGAAAGAAATTTTCACATATTTGAGGACCCAGAAAATAGGCATATATGTACGCTTTGTGATAAAATTACCTGAATATATACAGCAGACAGATGAGAGGTAAATAAAGCAAAGATTTTATAAATTAGGAAATGAGGGGTGAAAATTTAAAAAGGACCAGTAGTGAGCATAGGAACCAATTAAAACACAGAATTAGTCAAATGACCATGGTAAATGTGATTTTAGAGCAATGTAAATATTGTAACTCTTGGAAATGAAAGACAATGAAAAACAATACTATAAACATCAAGATATATTATTTCTACATATCATAAACATCTACATATCAAAAACAATATCCTAAACCTCAAGAAATATTATTTCTATTGTTCTGCTCAAGGACAAAGTTCCTCCCAACTGGGATCTTCCAAAAGTCTCCCCATCATACTCAGAATACAATATTATTTCTTGATGTTGATTAGTCAAGGTATACATCATAAAATATAAATTTTAAAGTCCTAAAGATTGCGCCACTAAGATAAAAAGCACTCTTATGCCTTCTACCTCTGTTCCTGAGCCATTCAGTTGCCTTCCCTACAGGCAAACATCTTAGTTTGTGTCTTTGGAAATATTCAATACTTATACCAGCAATTCTATATATACTTCTCTTTTTTTGCACAAATAACATACTAAAGAACTTCCTTTTTCTTCATGTAAGAGTGAATTTTGTAACAGTACTATTTTGAAAATTATTCCACCCTTTCCTTTTCTACAACTTCAGCGTATTCTTTTGTATGGGTGGGCCTTAAGTCAGAGGTTCCTAACCCCCAGGCCACAGATGGGTACCGGGGCTTGGCGACCTTTGACTTAAGGACCATCCATATGAAGGTACCTGTTTGTGGCCCGTAAAGAGCCAGGCCACACAGCAGTAGGCGACCAACAGGTGATTGAGTGAAGCTTCATGTGTATTTATAGCTGCTTCCCATTGCTCATATTATCACATGAGCTCTACCTCCTGTCAGATCAGTGGCAGCATTAGATTCTCATAGGAACATGAACCCTGTTGTGAATGGTACATGCAAAGGATCGGGATCTAGGTTGCACATTCCTTATGACAATCTAACGCCTGATGATCTTTCACTGTCTCCCATCACCCCCAGATGGGACCATCTAGTTGCAGGAAAATAAGCCCAGGGCTCCCACTGATTCTACATCATGGTGAGTATGTAATAATAATATAAATAAAGCACACAATAAATGTAATGTGCTTGAGTTATCCCAAAACCATCCTCCCAACCCGGTCCATGGAAAAATTGTCTCCCATGAAACCGGTCCCTGGTGCCAAAAATGTTTGGACCACTGCCTTAAGTTATTTTTTTCGGTCTCTCATTATGGGCCTTTAGGGTGTTCCGATCTGTTACTGTTAAAACAATGTCTCAATGAATAACCTTAGCACAGGCATGGGATTACCTTTCCTTTGTAAACCTCTCCTCTTTTGGTTTCCATGATGCTATGCTTTCCTGGTTGTCTTGGGACCTTCTTTGGTTGCCCTTTCTTAGTCTCCTCTGCCAACTTCTCTTCTTTCACTTTGTCCCCTGAATGTTGAAGTTATTGGGATTTCTCTTTTCTCCCTACACTTTCTCCCTAAGTATGCTCATCCACTCCAGGGCCTTAGAACCATCTATATGCTGATGATTGCCCAAATTCTATCTCAACGAAACCTCACCTCTGAATTCCAGTGCCTTCACAGATGTACACACACATGTCCTTTGGATGTTGTAATCTTAACAAGCCCCAAATAGGACTCGAGAAGTTTCCCTGCAAACCACTTATTCCTCAAGCCTTCCCCAAATCAGGCAACAATACACTTTCGATTTCCTCAAGCCAAATCCTGGCAACAATTTTATCTCCAAACCTATTTACAATCCTACACTTTTCCTCTCTCCAGCATTACCACCACCATGTAGACCAGCATCATTGTTCACAGGGACCATGGCATGCCCAGGCTGGTCTCCCCATTCCCACTCTTGCCTCCTACAATCCACCCTGTGTTCATCAGTGGAAAGGACTTTGTAGGATGTAAGTCACCCTTTTTTTCTATACCATAGCAGTTATCATGCTGTAATATAATGGTTTGGTTTTGTGTTTGACCCCCTACAAGACTGGGTCTTCTTGAGTTGCAACTTGTTACTGATTCTCTAGCACCTAGAACAGTAAGGGCACCTATTACAGTAGGAAATTCACATGGAACTGAGTTTCCAAATTACGAAGAATACCTTTAGGTAAAGTTAAGACAACATTTTCCAAATCACCATTAAAATATTAAGGGTTCATTAGAGCAAATGTAGGATATCCCAACCCATCTTTCCTCTCAATGTCCTTTATTCTTTTCATCTTATTATTTGATCTTCAGATGACTTGAAAGAATTTTTTAAGAGAAGCAAAGATCTTTATAGCTATCATATTCCTGAGTCTTTGGGAAGGTTCCCTGTCAGTGTGCAAGGAACTCTAACAATGAAATCATAGTCCTGATAGAATTTCAAGATTTCACGTTATTATCCTACTTGTGAACAATAGTGATTATTATGAACTATTCTTCTGTATAGACACAGACATCTGTGTAGACTGGTTAAGCAACTGAGAATTAATTTATTGGTAATGAACATTTTCAATTTCATTAGATACTCAGAAGCCTACTACATTATCATTATCTGGATGCTAAATTTTAATTGCATGCAGCCTGGTCCCTCAATAATTAACACATTGTATATACCACCTAATTCACAAACTAATTGTCATTTCTTAGATCTTAATATTACTTGCTAATTTTGCCAAGGATAAAAAAAATCCGACTGTCAAAACTCCAGAGTAAATGACATTATACAGGCACAATACTGACAAAACAAGTTAATTTATTGCAAAGTCACAGAGAGAAGGAGTTTTTAATTGCATATTTGTTACCTTCATAAAAGACATAAATGGCTTTTTAGTTACATATTTGCTTATTTCTTACATATTAAAAAAGTGTTAACAAGCCTGATTAAAATTAATTGCAAAGGTCCAAGATCTGAGCAGAGATCCTAGCATTAGCAAACTTCTAATTGAAGCTGAAAGAAGAAGAACGAAAGGAGATGTTGGTGGAATGGGAATCAGAACAGATGTTTGACGGTGGAGATAGGAAATAATTAAATGACCCACCAAGAAAAACAGAATCCAAAGAGAAAAAGCAAACTTGATAATAATAGGAAAATTTTTATTCTAATAATATTAACAATTGGTAACAGTGATTTGTGTTTAAGGCTCAAGATGGAACAATAACCAATATTATTAAACAACTTCCAAGGATGCACACTCTGTTGTTATGGTATGAAAAACTATAATAATGAAAATCATAGAATCACTTGGTAATATTCCAAATCGTTGGTTCCATCTATATGTAGCAAGTTCCATGTAAGCTTCTACTGGCAAAACATGGTTGTTTGTTTGTTTGTTTGTTTGTTTTTTGAGATGGAGTCTCACTCCGTTGCCCAGGCCTGAGTGCAGTGGCGCTATCTCGGCTCACGGCAAGCTCCGCCTCCTGGGTTTACGCCATTCTCCTGCCTCAGCCTCCCGAGTAGCTGGGACTACAGGCATCCGCCACCATGCCTGGCTAATTTTTTTGTATTTTTAGTAGAGACGGGTTTCACCGTGTTAGCCAGGATGGTCTCAATCTCCTGACCTCATGATCTGCCCGCCTCGGCCTCCCAAAGAAAACATGGCATCTTTAATGAGCTGGGGCTGCCATATCATTTAGAGAGAATGGCAGATGGGAAGTACTCTTACCTTTTATTTTCATGATGGTTTGATTATAACATGAGAAAGTATACCATCCTCACTTGTGGGACTGACATTTCCTTAGTCGTGCTTATGTTAAATGTCTTTCAGTTCAGCCACTATCTGCACAGAGGGATGATGTCCTGGGGTAATGACACAGAAGATATGTCTCCAAAAATGAGAAATAGCTCTCCTAACTATCTATAGATAATGCAACATGCCTGTAAAACAGAGCTTTCCGAGGAAAAGGATTTTGAATAAGGAGGAACATGACCATTTATACCATATATAGAAAGGTCAGTAGAAAATGACTATATATCCCGTGAATGAGTTAAACTATTAACTTTCAATTTGTTTTCATGATGCATTTGAGCCAACATGGCTTTCCATTGTTTCGGCAACAAATTAATGACATCATCCATTCTGTTCATAAAGATTTTTTTTCCACAAGGTTATGCATTGATTGTAAATCCTCTTATCCAATGCAGTGAAAAATAGTTATCAGTCAGTTAATTGAAAAAATTGGTTAAAGCAGGGAATTCTAAAATAGGACACATGAGGACTACACCCAAAAGATCTTATTTTAATTTAAAACACAGATTTGTGCTTAATTTACCAATATTTTGATATAAGGCCAAGGCCTTTTCTGTGAGTGTGGGCTTGTTGATTAGATTCTATATTTTTCTTGCATTCAACAAACACTTAAAGCATTACCTATCATTTCCAGAGTTAATTTCTTTAAACTGGAGCATGAATTTGAAAGGGTTTGTGAAGTAATTTAAGTGAAAAATTATTCTAGTTTTAATTTTTGCACGCATTTTAGAGTTTTCTCTTCTGCAATTGATTGAAATTTTTTTGTCTCACTCTTTTTTTTTTTGAGACGGAGTCACGCTCACTGCAAGCTCTGCCTCCTGGGATTCACGCCATTCTCCTGCCTCAGCCTCCCGAGTAGCTGGGACTACAGGCATCCACCACCACGCCCGGCTAATTTTTTTTTTTGTATTTTTAGTAGAAACGGAGTTTCACTGTGTTAGCCAGGATGGTCTCGATCTCCTGACCTCGTGATCCGCCCGCCTCGGCCTCCCAAAGTGCTGGGATTACAGGAGTCTTACTCTTATCTAGTCTTTTCAAAGGACTCTGGGTTTAGCTCATGAGCCATTGCACATGCCTGGGGCATTTGCTATATGTTATACTGATGGGTAGGAGAGTTTCTACCTTCACAAACAAATTTAAAAATAAATATTAGGAGTTGATTTTTTTTTAAAAAAGCTACGTCTGTATAGTGACAAAACAAGTTAATTTATTGCAAAATCACAGAGGAACTTTATAGTATGTGACAGAATATTATAAAGGAATCAAAGACATTTTTGTCACATATTTAATAACCTGGAAAATAGTTCATGATATATTAAGTGAAAAAGGAGGTTACAACACAGAAAGCATAATAGTGTCTCATGTTTACAAAATAAGAATCTGCATATGCACAAAAGATGGGATATTGATTACCAACAACATACTGAAATATTAACAGAGATTATCTCTGTGTGGTGGAATTAAAGGCGATATCTATTTTCTTTGTGCTTGTCTATAATTTCTAAATTCTGTATAAGTGCCTGTGTTGTCATAAAGGCATATGTTTTAGTTCTAAGCTAAAAGCAGGTTAGGATTATTTCTGGTAAATGTCTGAAGGGGACTACATCCAATGTCCTATGCTGGTTTGTTGCACCTCCCAAAACGGGAGGTTGGAGCTAGTGACACCAGTTCAGGGAGGTGAGACCTCATATTGAACAGGATGACCCTGGGGAAGTTGAATCACTGGAGGTTGCGTACAACCCTCAATCATAAGCTCTCTCATAAAATCATAAACTCATCCCCCAAATCTGTGTCAAAGAGATTTGGGTGATGAATTGACAAGACTTCCTGCTTTGCAACACTTTGTGGTTTACAAAATATTGTCAGCTTTCAAGGCACAGAACCAATTCTTGGCATTTGAGAAGTCCTGGCCTTCTGTTAGGGAAGTTTAGAAACCACTCCACTTCACTGGAAGCCCTAAAGGGAGAAATGTATTTTGTAGAATTAACTATGGCAGCATCTCTACAACACCCAAAATTTGGAATAAAATATTTGCAGAAATCTCTATTTTTATTTGAAAATTTCATTAGACCCAATTTGCACACATGCCTTCCCCTAATGTCTCTCCCCGGTGTGGGAAGGGTGCCCTGAAAAGGGCATTCCTATATATTGCTATAAGAGTAGAAACTGATAATCTCTTCCTAGAGGGCATTTTGGCAATACGTATCAAAAGCTCTAGAATGTTTATCTGTTGGACTTGGTAATTCAACTTCTATAAAATGTTTCTTATGAAAATGCAGTTGATCCTTGAACAACATGGGTTTGAACCGTGTGGGTCTATTTATATGTGGATTTTCTTTTGCCCCTGCCACTCCTGAGACAGTAAGACCAACCCCTCCCTTTCCTCCTCCTCAGGCAACTCAACATGAGGAAAATGAGGGTGATGACCTTGATAATGATCCACTTCCACTTAATACATAGTAAAAATATATTTTCTCTTCCTTATAATTTTCTTAATAACATTTTGTTTTTCTCTAGCTTACTTTATTGTAAGAATACAGTATATGTATGCATGTATTTATATATGTAACATATAAAATATGTATTTATTGACTGTTTACGTTATTGGTAAATCTTCCGGTCAACAGTAGGCTATTGGTAGTTAAGTTTTGGGGGAGTCGAAAGTTATACATAGATTTTCAACTGTGCAGGGGTCAGCACCCCTAACTCCTGCATCGTTCAAGGGTCAACTATACTCAGGAGAGCGTAGAAAGGGTGAAGAACAAGGATGTTCACTGCAGAGCTATTTACATCATTGGAAAATGAAAGATAATCTAAATGCCCAACAAGAGAGGATTTAATTAAATAATTGATTCATCCACAAATGAACACTATTAGCCTGTTAATAATCAAGCTTAAGAAGAATGTTTAATAACACAGGGAAAGCTCAGCATGTAATAGGCTATAAAATATATAGTGAGCCCAATTTTATAAGAGAGAAATAGAATGTTAGTCCATAGGAAAGTGTTGGAAGTATACCTCAATGTTAACAGTCTAATCTTTGATTGGTGAGATTATGGGTAATTTCCTAAAGACTTAATTTAATTTAATTAAAAAAAAGTCTAACATAATAAAAAGTATTTAGTCAAAGCTAAGACTCCTTCCAATGCCTACCCTCCACACAACCAGATCCTTCCCCTCATGCAACCATTACAAGTTTCTTGTGTTCCCTTCTAGAGACATTCTGCACACATTAGGATGGATTTTTATTTTCTTCATCATAATTTTCTATATTTTCTAAAATAAAAAAATAAAACGAATATTTAAAAATGTATTTTACTTTACTTGTTCCAAATCTCCATAAATAATTTCCACCAGATCTTGAATCACCATTGTGTCATATAAGTGAAAAGATGGAACAAAAGTTAGTCATCATTCCACTTAGTTTCCATTTATACTTTGAAATGAAAAACAGCTTCTTGCAATTTTACTTGAATAACTAATTTTGATACTGTTCTGTTAGCCTTCTAATAGCATGAAGGCCCAGAAATTAAATTGTTCCACTTCCTTATCCATAATTATGTGCAATTAAAATGGTTACAGACCCTAAAGTTTTTCTCTAAGTTCCAGACCCTTCAACTGTCATTCTTTATTATCTTGAAGCCCAGTACTTTTAAGCAACACATTGTATACAGCAAGTTAAGTGAAAGGGGAGGTTATTATATTTAACTGATGTGGGTGTTCTTTAATTAATGTGAATTAGCTTTTTTGATATGGGTACTAATTGTTTTCTTTGAAAAAAATCACCATAGGTGTGTGATTCTTCCATGCCTGTTGCTCTTCAATAAAATAGTTAATTGCAGAAAACAAGAATGTTACCTTTTTCAAATAAATAATCAGCTTTGCATCAGAAGAGTCACTCAATCCAACTTTCTGACTCGTGTTAACAGGAAGTTGGTAGTGTTTGTGAGCAGTAGAATCTCCTCTGACTTTTGATATTCTCTTTGCACTTATTCATAAGGCAGGAGGAATAATTACAACGTGAAGTGGGAACAACAAGCGTTTCATTTGTTTATCTTTAACAACTTCTAATAGCTATACATCAAAATATCTAAAACTCTATACAAGGGAGCAATGGTAAGAATGAAGTCCGTATCTGGAATTATAGAGACAACTAAGCAAAATTGTTATTCTTTCAAGATCACTTAATTCCATTGATTATCAAAATGTAAATCGCTTATACTAAATAGGCGGATTTGACTACAGTTACCACACTCCACCCTCATTAAGCCACCCTTTTCAGGATCTGAGTGTTTTGAGCATTTATAAAGAAGTGTTACCCTACAAGAGTGATAATGAGTTAAGTGCACTTGGAAGTCAAGTTGCAGCTGAATAACTAAACTTGAAAGAGATCATTAAACCAATATTCTCTTTTTAAAAAATTTGATCACAGTATTTTCAGATCACTTTTTAATGAATATAAAATCTTATGTAGAATCCTGCCCACCTCCAAAAAAGAAACTTTAAAAAACAATGGTTAAAACTGGGTAATCTATTACACTCTCTATGTTTACTTGATTTTTTTTTCCCATTATGGAACAGGATAACATCTTTGAATCTAGTCAGCTGGGGCATGTGTCAGTGTATTATCTGTATTTTTCATCTAAGTAAGAAGGGCTCTGAGTAGGAAAAAACAGCCATGTGGAACACTGGTGAATTATGTGAGCTTTCCCCCCCAAAACTCGTTAGAGCTCAAAATATCTTCTTGTGCTTGACTTCATCATTTTGGACTTTAGCTTGGAGCTAGCTCTCCCATAGACCACAGAGTTACAGTTATTCCTTCACACATGGCGAACAGAGGTAAAATACTCTGTGAAAAAAATAAACCCAACAAAATTTAAGTGATAAAAGCATTCCATAAGCTATTTCCACTAGAAACACGAAAAACGATTTTCTGAACGCTCAGCATTACATGAACTTGATTTTAGCCCCAAACCTTCTTTGGGCATCACTGGGTTATTTCATTACCCACTGAATCTTATCTTTTAGTCTACACATATTTTTTTAAGGGCCTGCCACATTTGCAGCCCAGTGTTGGAAAAATAACTGATAGGCATTGGGCCGGAACAACTCGTGCTCTACAAGGAGATGCAGGTCACAGGTGTGAAGAGTTCCAGAACTGTGCTGGCCAGGTGCTTGCTGGGCATTTCAGAGAAGCCAGAGAGTGGGAGAAACACCAGTGACTGGACCTGAGCTGTAGGGAATGGAAAAGGCCTTTGAAGGTGGAATGGAGAAGAAAGGGCCTCCTAGGCAGGGGCTGGGCCCAGAGGAGGGATCCACAGTGAGTGCCCTGGAGCAGGCCACTGGCTTGACCTAGAGAGGAGTCACTGTTTCTTAGGTATGAGAATGACATTGCTGAAGACTCTTGAAAATATGTCTGTGGAGTTGGTTTCCAACAGTAGTGGTGGGTTTGGCCTATCTGCTATGACTAATGATGTCTTTATGGAATGGCTAATGATGTCTGGGGGCACAGCAATGTGGCCCATGTGGTTCAGCCCAGGCTCTCTCCTCATCACCCACTGGACTCTCTGGCCTTAGGCAAGAAGGAGGATTCTGAGGTGAAAAGGAGAGGGTAAGAGGAGCAGGCCCCACTCAGGCTTGTACCTGTTCTGTAGCCCTGTGGCTTGTCACTCCTTGGTCACCCCAAGAACCATGCTGGGCAGCCCACCTAAGAAGCAGTGATGGGCTCTTCTATTTCTTTTCCTGAGCACCGTCAAGGGCAGGTCTACATTTTTTTCAAGTTCTATTTTCACAGTGCTTTAATTGAGTTATTTAATTTTTCTTCCAGGATCATAATTTTGATAATTCTTTTTCCCCAAAGCAAGGCAACTACGTGGACTTCAAGGTTGGCTTTGCCTGGTAAAGCTCTGATGATGAGGATAATGACAAGGTATAGTAAGAGTCGTTACTCTTTATTGATGTCTTGTTACATGCCAGACACTTTTTAAAAGTTGATATATGTTAACTTGTTTAATGCTCTTTACAACCTAATGGGGCAGTTGCCATTGTCTCCACTTTGTATATGATGAAAAATGAGGCCCAGAGGGATTAGGCTACTAGTCTAGAGTCACACAGTTGGCATAGAGAGCCAGATAGGCACCAGGCAGTCTGCTTGCAAGTTTGTGCTTTACCACCACACGTATGACTTCTATGTGACCTCTGTGTGCATTTGTTCACTTGTTTATTAATTCATGGATGCCCTGTTAGCTTTTGCATGTACACTGGAGCTTCAATTCCAGTGGGAAAGCCAGGAAATGGTATCTGTGATTCTAACACAGGGTGACAGGAGCATTGACCAGCCTCTGCGCTGTGAGCCCAGAAACAGGCATCCAAACAGACTGTGATTTGGGGAGAGAAAAGGGATGTCATGGAACCCCCCCCCCACCCCCAGTAGCTATCTTTAAGCTCTTAGGTCAGAGGGAGGAGACGGGCATGAGATGCAAAATGAGGAGGTTATTTAAACTCCCCAAGGCTCAGCTTCCCCTTTGTAAAGTGGAGAGGATGATTTCAGGGTTGCCATGAGAATTAAATGACATAAGATGTGTTAATTGCCTGAAATGGCATCTGGCACACAGTAGGCTCTCCACAAGTGGAAGCCCTGATTACCGGGGCAGAGAAGGATTACGCGAATAGGTGTGAGGCCTGTTTGACCCTCTTGGGGCTCAAATACTGCAGAGAGTAGCAGAAAGACTGAGGAGGGGTACCTGGACTGTGGCCAGAGAGGCCAGGGCTGCGGGGATGAGTGTGATGCTGGGGAAAGTTGCTGTCAGTGCTACTTGGACTTTGAGGCACCTGGTCCAGCAAACCCTGAGTGGTCTCATGAACATTTCTGTCTCTTTCCTCCAAGAGTGGCCTAGCAGGCAGTGTTCAGCTAGAGGGAAATAAAGCATGCCCTAGAGGTGAGCTTGTAGGCTTGGGAAAAGAGAATTTACTGACAAATGCTGGTGATCTGGGTGAAATCTGTGTAATACAGAAAAGATCTTACTATAATCAGGGCCCTGCTTAACCGCAACAACTTTACACTTGTTTCGGCTGTGGAGACTTTGACTAGGAAATAATGTGTTCTTCTTTCCCCTTAGTAATTGAGAATACATAACAACATCAATAATTGTAATCACTATAAAGTTGAGGAATGAGATTGCTTGGGTTGGATCCCAGTTCTGGCACTTGAAGCCTGGCGGGTTGCTTATCTCTGTATGCTTCAGTTTCTTCACGTGTAAAATGGAGAGAAATGGTAATGAATACATTATATGATCCATATAAGTATACATAATTATATCCATATTAATATATTAGTCAGATTAACATATATTAATATATTTATTTATATATTATATATTTATAAATAATTTATATATTAAATAATATATTTAATTTATTTATATATTAGATTTTTTTATATATAATCTATCTATATCTACTATCTAATCTGTAAATGTATAATCTGTATATTATCTAAATAATATATAGATATAGATATCTATAATAGTATATATTATATATTATATAATATAATATATATTATATATTATAATATACAATAATATATATAATATATAATATAATTTATATATTATATATTATATATAATATATAAATTATATATATTATAATTTATATAATTTATATATTATATATAATAATATATAAATATAACATGTAAATAAATATATAATATATTATATTATATATTTATTTACATATTAAATAAATGTTAAATATATTAAAAAATATAATATATTATATATTTATTTACATATTAAATAATCCATCTATAATATATTATATATTTATATATTATATATTTATTTACATATTAAATAATCCATCTATATATAGATATCTATATCCACAGATATAGATATCTATAATATATATTTAATATTATATATAATATATATTTAAATATTATATATTTATTTACATATTAAGTAATCCATCTCAGCAAGTGCCCACTAAATGTTAGCTCGTGGTCTATTTATTGAGCACTATGCAATGCCAAGCATTGTGCAGGTATGAGCCTGGGGCTGGCTGAAAGTTCTCCTTGCAACCTTGAGAGATAAGGAGATGGAGCCTCAGAGGGGTGAAGTAACTTCGCCAAGGTCACACAGTGAGAAAGTGCCTGAACTGGTCTTTTTTGCCTCTATTTCACCACCTACAACATCAGGCTAGGTTTCCATACTGGGATTTGAAACAGACCCACGAGAAGAGTGTGTAAGTGATTTGAACAGAGAACTCAATGGGAGCTTAAAAAACAAATCTTCTTTGTATTATTCACTTCTCATTTTAAGTGGCACGAACATAGTTTATAGCCTAAAAGTTACTTGCACAGCGTCGGTAAAAACGTGTTCATTTGTCATGTATAGATTGTTTTATTTTTAGATTAATGAAGATCCAAATTAAACCATCGGAGTGCAATCATCCTGATGGTCCTTAACACATTTTGCTCATTATCACTTCATTTATATTTATGATGAAGAACAGATGGTACCAATGTCATATTTCAATGTGTATCATATCCAGCTACGAGGATATATCTCATATTAGCTGCACTTATCAAAATATTTGTACTTAACAACAACAGAAATCTGAGCTTATGTACTATCTTGTCACCATGTCATAGCTACCATTTAGAAAAAAACCATTTAAATTAGATACGCTAGGGAAAGAATGCATCCTTCATTATTATTGAACGAATTTCACTGAACTCTGAAAAGTAATTATGGGTTCGTTGTAAGGAGAGAATCATTAAGCTTCAGTGGAAAACAGCAATTACAGTCTGTTGTTTTTGTGGCATGATCAGATTTTTTGATGTAAGCTGCTTTTGGAGAGCACTGAGAAGGAAACAGAACAATGGGTGATGGTGAAACAAGAGGCTGTAAGGCAGACAATGGGTGTGGCATGGACACCGAACTGATGAGTCAGCCTCCCTTTCTAAATGGTAGCTCTAAGGAGAAGCAGCCTAGGAAAAGCCTAGGAAAAAACTCTTAGAGGTGAGTTAAAGCCCTGAGGATCATTGTTCAAAGGCTTTTTTTGCACGTGTCAATGTTGCACAGTCTCAAAGGGGTGAGGAAATACAGGAGCCCCATGTTCCGCCAAATAACAGTCTAAGTTTCTTTTCTTTCTTCTCCTCCCCTCCCCTCCCTTCCCTTCCTTCCTTCCTTCCCCCTTTCCCTGCTTCCTCTTTCTCTTTCTTTCTTTCTTTCTTGCTTTCTTTCTTGCTTGCTTTCTTTCTTTTCTTTCTTCTTTCTTTCTTTTCTTTTCTTTCTCTGTCTCTCTCTCTCACTTGATCTTAGCCAAAAGGCCATGAAGCCATCTTTTTCTCTGTCTCTTTTTCTCTTTCTCTCCCTTCCCTTCCCTTTCCTTCCTTCCCTTCCCCTTCCTTCCTTCCCTCCTTCTTTCCTTCCTTCCTCTCTTTCTTTCTTTGTTTCTTTCTCTTTCTTTCTTCTTTCTTTCTCTTTCTTTCTTCTTTCTTTTCTTTTCTTTCTCTGTCTCTCTCTCTCTTGATCTTAGCCAAAAGGCCACGAAGCCATCTTTTTCTCTGTCTCTTTTTCTCTCCCCTCCCTTCCTTCCTTCCCTCCTTCTTTCCTTCCTTCCTCTGTTTACTTTTCTTTCTTCCTTTTCTTTTTCTTTCCTTCTTTCTTTCTGTCTTTCTCTTTCTCTCTCCCTCTCTTTCTCTCACTTGATCTTAGCCAAAAGGCCATGAAGCTATCTTTTCTCTCTCTCTTCTTCCTCCCTTCCTCCCTTCCTCTTTCTTTCTTGTCTTTTCTTTCCTTCTTTCTTTCTTTCTTTCTTTCTTTCTTTCTTTCTCTCTCTCTCTTTCTTTCTTTCTTTTGATGGGTACTCACTGTGTCACCCAAGTTGGAGTTCAGTGGTGCAGTCACAGCTTGTTGCAGCCTCAACCTCCTGGGCTCAAGCAATCCTCCCACCTCAGCCTCCCAAGTAGCTGGGACTACAGGCACATGCCACCACACCCAACTAATTTTTTTATTTTCTGTAGAGATGGGGTCTTGCCATGTTGCCCAGGCTGGTCTCAAATTCCTGGGCTCAAGTGATCCTCTGGCTTTGGTCCCTCAAAGTGCTGGGATTACAGGTGAAGCCACCATGCCTGGCCTAAGTTTGTTTTCAGATAGGTGGTCAATCAGCATGTACTGAACATCTTATTATGTGCCAGACATCTGAAGGATACAAAGAGGCATGGGACATGCTTCCTATCCTCAAGGAATTGATAGACCCATGTGACATGATAACAAATAATTCTGATGACAAAGCAAAACAAGACAGTGTGTACACGGTGCCAAAGTGGCCCAGAGGGAGGGGTTAGCTCTGTTATGGGAGTCAAGAAGGGCTTCATAAAGGAGCAGATACTGGATCGGCATCCTGAAGGCTGAATAGACATTCAATGTTTACATAAGGAGGTGGGCTTGAAAAACATTCTGTCAGGCAGCAGTTTGTCAGAATGGTCAAGAGCTCTGTTTTGGTGCCAGGCAGATGGACTTTGAGTTTTAATTCTAACTGCTTACCACTTATATGAACTTGGGCCAGTCATTTATTACTTTGTGCCTCAATTTCCCCAAACTACAAAATCAGACCAATAACCATGTCTATTTCATAAGGATGTTGGGACACATTTGTTATAATGCTTGGCACGTAGTGTGTACTCAGCAAATGCCAGCTCTTAATAGCATTCCAGGCAGAGGGCAAGACCTGAGCAAAGGCCAAAAGGCATGAACCAGTGTGGCATTTTTGTATTTTTTTCAAGGCATAAACCTCTAGCAATTGCATATCATTATGTAACTAGAAAGGCTCAGAAAAGATGAAAAGCCAATGACATTACAAAATCTTTAAAGTTTTAAGATGACATTAAAGCCAATTGCATTTGATGATGTAATTTACCAGCAATTTATTTAGGAAACACAACCAATAGAAATCGTATTTAATCTGAGTGAGGATGCTGGATCCTTTCATAAGGGGAAAGGCCTCTTGGAAATGGGCAACTGTCGCAGCCACTTGAAGGACAGGGTTTGGAGGAGCACTGGGCTAGGCGTTGGCCTCAAGGAGCCACAGGCCAAGTGACCCTTCAAACACCAGGCATCTCCTAATTCCTTGCTGAATGACAAGTACTCCTCATGTGAGGCTGACTGCTCTCTAAAAGGGACAAATGATCGACAAGATCCACATATGAAAAGCAGCAAGAATTTTGCAAAAATCTGACTTGAGAAAACTATAACATATTTAACACAAAGATGTATGAGAATGGGTGGTGGAGGTTTGATTTGCTTTTCAGTTAGGACACATTTGCAGATACAGGCATATTCCGCTGGCACATTCTGCTTGGCACTGGATCAGAGACTCATGGTTCTGTGCTCACCAAGTGGGCTGTCCTGTTCCATGACAGTGAAGTAGCAATGCCACCCAGGGTGAGGGGAGCGGAACAGCAGGGCACCATCGTGGGCCCTCAACCGTTCAAGGACATTTTAGTGAACGAGCTCACCTTGCTTTCATTTGCTGTCTGACTGAAGCGCCCTCTCCTTTGAACTCGGCAGGAGTGCCTAGTGGCTGAGAGTGGGGAGAAAGCAAAAGACACTTGTCAGACAGGGCTCTACTGAGGTTTTCTTCTTCCCTGCAACCTGAGCTCATGTGCCTGGACTCTCTCTGCCTTAGGGTGAGGCTTTTCCCAACAGGCTCCTGTTCCCTTGTGCAAATCGATTCTTGGCACATTTTTTCCCTAATGCCTGGGCAAGTCTGAATTCTTCAGAGTCCAGCTTAGGCTGCAAAATAGAACTCCTGCTACACAGTGGCCCTAAACACTCAAAATGATAGCTTGTCAAGACAAGGGAATCCGCAGAGCACAAAGGTGGTGAAATCTCAGTGACTCATGTTCTTAACACATTGCTTCATGCTCCCAGCCAACAGACTCATTTCTGTGGGCTTTGAATTTAGGTTTGGGCCTTCCTCCCCTAAGGCAATGGCATCACAGCCATTCCCAGAAGGACCAAATATAGGGTCATCAGCACAGGGCAAATACCCTATGAAGTTGCATATGAACCTTAATTCCCAAACTCAGGTAAACTAAGACCCCATGACACAAGAGTCTTTTAAGGTGGTCGACCCAAGCGAAGCTGCATCGTGAGAGAGAGATGATCACAGGCTTTGGTATCAGACCGAGTGGGGTTGACACTTGTTTGGCTACCTACTAACCATGTGACCTTGGGCGGTTTACTTATCTAATCTCTGCCTTAGGTTTTCCCATCTGTAAAGGAGCAAAATCATATGTATTTGTGGGGTTTTATGAATAATCATAGGAGATGATGAGTCAAAAGTGCCTCACCTGGGCCCAGCAGCCAGGAGCTGGGATGGTTGCTGGCACAGACGCTGTGGCTGTGACTACACTTCCAGGAGGGCTGTGACCACACTTCCAGGAGGGCTGTGACCCAAGGTCTGGATGTGCAGAGCAGATGAGGCAGGAAGGCCAGGTGAGGGTGAGAGGAAAAGAGGAATAGGGCATTTCTGAGAGGGGGAATAGCAAAGCAAAAGCATGGATAAATAGGAGTGTTGGGTGCAAGGGACTGGAAGAACTCCTTGTAGAGGATCCTTTTCAAGGAATTTTCAAGATCTCAGGGTTTAGATTTAGAAGCCTCCCTGTATTCTCCATCCTCTGCACAACTCCTGGTTAAATCCAGGCCCAGGTGGAATGTTGAGATAGCCTGGTCTAGACTGGTTGATGGGCCATTCGGGCCTTATGCATTTTGTGCAGGGCAGCCATCTGTTTTTATGTCATGATAAGAGATGTCAACAGATATTGTGTTTTTTATGGCAAACTGCCAATGATGCTAAAAGGTAATCACAGGCTATAAATCCACTCAAGTCACGCCAGCAAGGGTTTTTTAAGCATCTACTATGTGCTTAGCACTGTGCCTTAGACTACAATGAATAGACTTAATTTATCTATGCTTCTTTTATTGTTATTTATTTATTTATTTATTTATTTATTTATTTATTTATTTTGAGACAGGGTCTCACTCCGATGCCCAGGCTGGAGTGCTGTGGCGCAATCTTGGCTCACTGCAACCTCCGCCTTCTGGGTTTAAGGGATTCTCGTGCCTCAGCCTCCCAAGTAGCTGGGATTACAGGTACCCACCACCATGTCCAGCTACTTTTTATATTTTTAGTAGAGACGGAGTTTCACCATGTTGGACAGGCTGGTCTCGAACTCCTGACCTCAAGTGATCCTCCCACCTCGGCCTCCCAAAGTGTTGGGATTACAGGCATGAGCCCCCACGCCCAGCCTATCTGTGCTTCTTTTAGATCAAGCTTGGACTAAACAGCTTCTGTGTTTTTCAGTATTTTTTTCTAGTTCTAAACTAAGAGAATGTCCTTAAGGAGCTTAGAAGTGTGCTGAGAGGATACTTTTACTGTGAGAAATATTATAAACAAAATATAACCAAGTACATGTGTTTTACTAGCAATCAGCTTAATTCTGAGTTCATAATAATAGCCACTAAGCAGAGGTCAGTAAGCCTTGTAGTACGCCTCTTAGTATCTAGTATGGGGAAATCACTTCACATTTGGGGCTGCAGAGAATGCAGCCCCAAATCAAACCTTAAATCACACACAACTTTGAAGTATAAGAGTTAACTGTGGAGGAGAGAACATTCGATGTGATGCCACGTTCCCTCTGAGAGTCTGAGCCCAGCGTTTGTGCGACACAAAGTTATTAAAGGTGAGGTTTTCTATTTCAGGTCTGATGGGAAGATTCTATATTTGGTGACTGTAATCACAGATAGATTGAGATGGTTTTTTCCTATTCAGCTGCTTATGAACAAGCACAATTAGAAGTTGACAGCAAACACGCTTCACAAAAATTATCACATTTAGTGTGATTCCCATAATAAAAACAGGAGTGAGCTCAGGAGTCTTTTCAATTTACACAAATAGCCCTGGGGTCTCTCAACAGTCACTGCCGGTCCAATGTTTCTGAGTAAACTTTATTAGGAAAACAGATTGAAAACTCCTGAGGTTTAGTTAAATCTTGGTTTAAAACACACACACACACACACACACAACAGACACATACACACAACAGACACACACACACACACACACACACAGATGAACTCACAACTTCTTATTCTCTCTTTCTTTAGCCAAAGCATCCAAGTAAGCACTACACAGACATGAAAAGAAATAAGAGGCACGAGTGGTCCTACAGCCACCACATTCCATGTGATGTGCTAAGTATTGAAGGCACTTCCTACACGTAGAGGATATTGTGACTCTAAGCCACAGCTGCCTGCCAGCCTCATTATTATTTGCAACACCCACTTGTGTACTATTTTAAGAGGTCTTTTATATATGCTATATGATTTAATCCTCATAAAAATCCTGAGAGAGGTTGATAGAGAAAGTATTTTCTATCTTGGTTTCTAGGGAAGAACAGGTGTTCAGAGGGGAGAACGTTAACTCACCCCAAATCATCCTGCTGTTAGGGGCTGGAGCAAGCCTTGAATCCTGGGATGGATCCTGCCTGATTTTCATGCCCTTGTTTCTTTAGGCATCAGGGAGGCAAGAAATAAACACATAAATTACTTATTCATTTAAAAAACATTCATTGAGCACTTATGCTGTGATTGCTCCATGCTAGGCATCGTGTATACAGTGGGGTGGTGTTTATTATTATTATTTTGTCTGCTCAGTATTTGGGAAACTATCCCTCACTCATTATTCCATAATATTCCTGTTCCTTCTACTTGATTTGGTCAAGGCTGACTCCACCCTCCTGTGGTAAGGGAGGACTGTGTCCCTGACTAGCCAATTAGAATTCCTCCTGCATGCATAGACTCTTGCGATTGGTTCAGGCATGAGCATATGACTTCAAATGGTTCAATCAGAGTCAGCCCTCGAACTTTTCACCAGAGATTTGAGCGACATCATTTACTTCTTTCTCTGGAAATGTAGGGGATCACATTGTCTCCATAGAGGGAAAAAGTATGTGACATTGGAGCAAAGAAAAAGCAAGCAGAGCTGAGAGACAAAGAGTACAAGAGTCATGACAGCTTCATCTGAACTCTGAATCCAGCACTTTGGATTTCCCAGTCACCTGAGGCAATACAGGCTCTTTTTAAAAAAAATTTAATATAATTTGAATTACTCAAGAAAGGAACAAGATAGGTAGGACTCTTCTACTGAAGAGACAAAACAGACAATAAACCAGTAAATGAATATATATGTATCAAATTTCAAAGTGTGGTATGTGTTATAAAGGTTAAACCCAGGGACAAAAGGTTTGACTGAGACAAAAATGCTATGGTCAAAAGAGGGAACTTTAAGTGTGGTCCAGCAGGGACGGGACTTATTTATTAGAGCATGTATTAGTTTGTTTTCACGCTGCTGATAAAGACATACCCCAAACTGGGAACGAAAAGAGGTTTAATTGGACTTACAGTTCCACATAGCTGGGGAGGCCTCAGAATCATGGCGGGAGGTGAAAGGCACTTCTTACATGGCAGCAGCAAGAGACAAATGAGAAAGAAGCAAAAGCTGAAACCCCTGATAAACCCATCAGATCTCGTGAGACTTATTCACTAACACGAGAATAGCATGGAGAACACCGGCCCCCATGATTCAATTACCTCCTCCTGGATCACTCCCACAACACGTGGGAATTCTGGGAGATACAATTCAAGTTGAGATTTGAGTGGGGGCACAGCCAAACCATATCAGAGCTGATGCCACTTATATTGGATTTTGAGTAATAGGAACAGTAATAGTGACAAAGATCTTGACATTAACAAGGACTGTGACAGCTAATATTTATTGACTCAGTGTACGTTATGTGCTATCTTAAATTATTTAACTTCCGTAAAACTGATGAGGTAGGAATTATTATATCTGTGTTTTACTGATGAGAAAATGAGTTCAAGAACCATGAGGTCACTTGCCCAAGGGCCATAGCTGGTAAACTGCATCGCCAGGCTTGAACCAAAGACTGGCTCCAAAACCCATGCTCTTTAATTTTTAGGGTGTGTTGCCAGCAAAGAGGGGAATCGTGTTTCGGATGGGAGTTACGATCCAGAAATTTTCCTTAGGAGAAACAAAAGGGAAAATCTGGGAGTGTCCTGGGGCTTACCTCAACGCTATTCTTTAATATCTTAGTTGACACAATGCATTTATCGACTCCTGGCACAAGCCCGGCACTGGGAGACAGAAGTGCACAAGACTCGGCTCCTGCCCACAGGTTCTCAGCCTTCACCATCTGGAGATAACACAAACAATTGAACACACGTGCAGCCCAGGGCTGAACAGAAGTTTAATTTCCCATTGCTCCATATGCAGTCTTCCCCTCCACTTTTTTCTCCTCTTCACCACCCCTTATTTCTCATTTCTTACATCTTATTTCTTTCCTGACTGGAGCTAAGTTGGAAATGGAACCTGTCGTGGTGTACAATTAGACAGTAAATCCCCTTGGCTTATGTGCCACTCGATCCTTCACCTGCGATTTTGCTTTCTGTGAGTTACTATGTGTGAATTACATACTCGCTGGATGTGAAAATCCAGCCCGATCAAATGCAGACCTTTCCCTGCTCACTGCCCCACCCCCTTCGCTCCCTTTCTTTTATTCATTGCTGTCCTCCACTCTCCCCCCAGGTTTGACAAAAGCAGATTCTTCAAAATTATCCTTCTGGGACTGTCTATTTCATTTTGAACTTGATGCAAAATACTATTTTTGACAGTTGAACTTTTCAGCATGCTTGATAAAAATATTTTAATATCCTGTTACCTGAGCTGAGGGAGAGATAAAGTTTTACACCAGACACCTACAATGGCAAGGGAATACGTTTTCTGGTGACTGATTTAAAGGTACAGTAATAGCAAAATTGTTAATGAGCTAACCATGCTTGGTAGGGCGAAGGTCAACAGGGAAAGAAAACCCTGTAACTCAGCCAGCGCTCTGGGACTCACATGAACAAGGAAATGCTTGCCTGTAGGACAGTGCAATAGTTTCACCCCAAGTACATTCCCAAGAGGCTAGAACAAAAAAAAAAATCAGTTGCCATTGAGGATGTCTCCTGACTTACCCAAGGGATGGAAGGCAGGTGGGAAGATGTGAGAGCAGCCAGGGTGACAAGAAAAGAAGGCTCATGAGTGCTGGTGCGTTGGACAAGATGGAATGAGAATTTTTGTCATTGAGGAAGTGTGGTGGGGGTCATCTGGGTAGAAGAATAGATATCAAAATATTGGAATAACCTCAGGTCCATATGCTCAGCAAACAAGAAAGAGATGGGGTGGCAGGCCTGGGAAGGGAGTAATGGTGGCAGAGCTGAGTCCCTCAGGAAACAGAACTGACCCAAGTGGTCTCAGAAGCATCTAGAGCCGCCCTGGCTGATAGAATTTTCTGGAATGATGGAAATTTTCTCTTTTACACCAATTTGGTAGCCACTAGCTATAGTGGTTACTGAGCACTTGGAATGTAGATAGTATGTCTGAGGAGCTGAGCTTTTAGCTTTATTTAATTTTAATTAATTTACCTTTAAATGTAGTAACTTTACATGGCCAGTGGTTACTGTACTGGCAGCACAGCTCTGAATCCTGGGAACCCGAGAAGCAGTGCTTGATGCTGGCTCAAGCCTCCACCGCAGATGGAGCTTGGCTTCTTACAGGGGTCTTTCTTTCTGTCTGTCAACTGCTGTCTTCACCTTCTACTCTGTGATTCTCTTTTTCCACCTTAAGTTCCTGCTCCCTCCTACTTTCTGTACCTTCCTGATTCTGACTTATGTGGACTAACAGTATTATTGCTGCATGACAATATGACCAGAAACTTAGTAGCTAAAAATAACACACATTTGTTATCTCACAATTTCCATGAGTCAGGAGTCTTGTGGGCCAGGCTTAACCATGCCATGTGCTGTAGGGTCTCACAAAGCTGCAGTCAAAGTGTCATCTGTGACTGGTCTCTTCTGAGGTTTGGCTGGGGAAGGGTCTCCTTCCCAGCTTGTGTGCTTGTTAGAAGGAACTGGTTCCTTGCAGGCTGCTGGACAGAGAACCTCAGTTCTTGCTGGCTGTTGGCCGCCCTCAGCTACTTGTCCCATGGGCCTTCCCAACAGGGCTGCTTGCTTCTTTAAAGTCAGCAAGAACGTCTCCTCCCAAGATGGGCAGTGCAGACTTACACAACCTAATCACAACTCTGTAATCACATACATGTA